>NC_000017.11:38185980-38810980 GCF_000001405.40 Homo sapiens
CCCACCTCCTGCAAGAGCCAGAGTCACCATGGAAGGACATCACCTGGGAGGGCTGAGGTCACCCGGGAGGACTCATGTCATTGGAGAGGGCAGAGGTGACTGGAGAGGCTTCCTCTGAAGGAGAGGCTTCCTCTGAAAAAGAGGCTTCCTCAGGATGCACATTCATTTCATGACAAGAGCCAAGTCCATCAGGCACTTCAGCACCTTGTCCAAAATGTCTGCTGATAGCACCATCCTGTGTGCGATGCTGCCAAGCTCCTGGGCTTTGGGGCAGCCCCAGGAGGAGGGCGTCATTTCTTGTTCTGAGAAGTGGTGGTCAGGCCCAGGTGACACCAGGAGTCCAGGCCCTGACTCCTTTGTGTCTCAGCTTGACCCCTTGAGACCACCCCCTTCCTTGGAGGTTTATGCCAGCGGTGAGCTGACATCCTACCTCCTATATCCTGGTGGGTCACAAATACTAACTTTAAAAGAAGCAACGACACCCCCACCAGACACCCACTCCTGTCAATATGGAAATATGGCCCGGGAACCTCACTGCCGGGAATACTCACCGGGTTGTACTCCTCATATGCCAGGAGGATGTGGAGTAGTTCCCGCTGCCTAGGAAACAGAGAAAGGGGGCTTTGGTTTGTTTTGTGCAGATGTTGTTAATTTCACTTTGTCTACAAAGCCTAACAGCAAATCCCATTTCAGGTTCAGATGTTTCACCAGATAAGCAGTGAGCTCTTCAGGGCCTGAGACTCTTGAAGAAATGTTTCAGTAAAATCCACATCTGTGACATGCAAATAGCCCAGTTGTACAGTGACTTGCCTGATCCTTTTCACTCTGAATGATTTTTTTTTTTTTTTCAGTTTGCATACACGCCAGTTCAGTCTGTGGGTGTACAGTTCCTCCACGGTTCCAAACCAATGTGCAGAGTCTCCCGGCCACCGCTCCAGCCCCTCCTGGGGCGACTCCTTCATCCTCCAAGTCTCCAGGGTGGCCCCTATGCACCCAGCCTCTCCCCGATCCGTCAGCCTCTGGCCACCCAGACTGCTTCTCAGTCCCTGTGGTTTGGCCTTTTCCAGAATGGCCTAGGAATGGGAATCCTACGGTGGTAGCTTATTGGGTCTGGCTTCTGTCCCTCAGCAAAATGCATCTAGGATCCACCCACGTTCGTGCGGGCATCACCGGCTCGTTCCCTTTTCTCACTGGGTCTTCCGTTTGAAGGGAGGACCAGCCTTGCTCTCCCCATCCCCGTGTTGAAGGCCGTCCCCGAAGGCTCCGTGTGTGAGTGACGAGGAGTCAAGCAGTGAACCTGGCATGCTGGTTTCATGTGGATGTCAGTTTGCAAATCAGTGGGTTCAATATCTGTGACACTTTGGGGATGTGTGGTTCAAGTCCATCGAGCTTTGTGAGCCACTGCCCAACGGGCTGCCAACGTGGCTGTGCCATGTCATGTTCCCAGCGGACCTGGATGAGAGTTTCCAGGACCCCTAATTCTCCCAGCATTTGGTGCTGTCACTGTTGCCTGGCGGGGGCTCATGGGCCCTCTATCCTGCCACCCTCCCGTGGGTCCTACCATGGGTCCCCATGGGTCAGGGAGAGCACCCTTCACCATTGTGCATGATTTTGTTTGCTGCCTTCCATCTCCTCAGGATCCTCCTGGGTTCTGGCCCCACATGTTCCAGTCTGGCCCAGGGCTTGGAACCAGGGAGGTGCTCGGTTCATGGTGCCGGCTGCTCCCTGGGCCGGGAGAGCTCTTGGCAGCTGTGTCATCCCTCCTGGGTGACCCTGGCTTCTGCTCCGGGGAAGCCCCCATCCCTCTCATTCACCCCATCTCTGCTGGGACCCTGTGGCTCCCGTAGGCTTACTTGGTTCCGTATCGATCCCTGAAGAATATATGCTTCCTTAATGTCCCGCTTACGTCCCGGTCGATGCGCTGGATGTGCTCAGATGACCTCTTGCCCTTCTCCTTCATGATCTGTAGGGCAGGGCCAAGAGGAGGAAGCAGTCTCAGAACAGATGGAAGACTCCCTGCCCCCAGTGGCAGTCAGCCCACAGTCAGCACTTCGGGAAGGAAGGACAGAAGGAAGGTTTCCTTCTGCAGAAAGCTGCATTTTGGCTTGTTACTGAAGCCAGGGAGGGTCACCAGAGCTGAGTTTGTCTGTGGTGACTGTGTCACCATCTGTGCCCAGGGTGTTCATCTGACCTTCACCCCCAGCTCCCCAGGGTGGTCTTGACGTTCCCTCCAGCTGGAGACCTGGGCCCCGACACGGCCTGTCCTGTTTGTTGTGCTCTGGCTGAGCGTACCTGGTATCTTCCGGGGTTTTTCAACTTCATTTCCTCAGTGTTCAGGAGGACTGACCACATCGGGCCCCGGATGTTCATGGGCATTCCCTTGTACGCTCGATCTATGAGCTGTGGGCAGAAAACGATCTGGTGTCACAGGCCACGGGGTGACCCCAGTGAGGACCAGAGCCCGGGGATTCTGGAAATTGTCGGTTTTGGCCCCATGATTCCTCAGTAGAGGTGAGATCAAGCTGGGACAGGGTCTCCCTTCCCAGGACTGAAAGAGTGGATGGACACTCAGAGTCGAAACTCTGATCTGAACCTTTTCCTTCCTTCAGGTCCCCAGGGCATCCCTAGCCTTGAGCTCCGGGTAGTCCCAGCCCTAGATTCAGATTCCCTCCCTGCAAGGTGACGCTTGCACGAATAGGCAGGAAATCTGGCGACCAGGCCTGCAGTCCTCTGGGCGAGGACAGTGTGCCGCCCACCCTCTGAGAGGCTGATGGTGCCAGGCCACAGCCATGGGTGCCTGTCCCCTGTCTCTGCAGAGAGTGCTTCCTCCCTCCACACGTTACCTTTCTGCTGCTTTTGTATTTCTCCCAGTCTCCCAGCATATCCACCCACTTGCTCTTTCGGCTGATCTCCCGCCGAATTTGCTGTCAAATGAGGCATGTTGGAGTTAGCGGAGCTGCCAGGCTTCCCAGAGCCGCCCGCGGATGCTGGGTCTTGGGCTCTGGAGCCCTGGTGGGAGCCAGCTGGAAGGAGCCAGGGAAGGGCAGACCTCAAGGGCTGAGAGCCTTTGAGCAAATGAGCACCAGTGGGCTGGCTTTGGGACCCCGGGATGTACCATCCTCAGGCCACAGACACACCAGTCTTAGGTCCCAGCCTCTAGGTGGGGTCCTGACACAAGCGCGCAGCCACCCCCAAGCCAGGACTGTGGTTCTCCTTTTGGAATTTTATCAAACTGCCAAAGTGAACAGCAACCTGGGGTCAGGTCCAGCAGGGACTGCTGCCCCTCCCAGTGACAGCGTGTTGCCCTCACCCGCCACCGCTCAGGCCAGCTGCTTCCTCTGCCTCACTGACCACCCGCCCAGTCCCTACGTCCCTGGACCAGCCCCTCCACGCATCAGGCTCTTACCTTCGCCTCCCGCGCAGTCAGAGGAGGCAGCTCCGTCTCACTGTAAGGCAACCCAGGCAGAGCTGAGGAACTGCACGGGGCCTGGAGCGGCCCCAGCCTGGGTGCCGACCCCCAGAAAGGACTGGCTCTGTCCCTTTCCAGCTCAGGGCTCAGCCCAGGAGAAGGCACAGGGAAGGGAGGACAAGGGCCTTCCTGTGGGGCTGACTCCCAGGAGGGGCAGGACCTGGGAGAAGAAGGAGTGTAGGGACAGCCTGGCCGGGGTTACTGGGGCCCCTGGCGTGGGGGGCGGTCAGGCTGCCCAATGGGGCTGCCCGTCCTGGACTCGAGGTGGTGCTTTCTGCTGGAGCTGAGAAAGGTTAGCCCTGAGATGGGATGGGGGCCGCCCAGGGTGGGCGACCGGGCCCTGACAGGAGTCCCTCAGGGAGTGACCACATCCCCCCGCCAGGGTCAAGGGAGCCTGCCCTGAGACCTGCCCGGTGTACTCTGGCTGCACCAGGGGCCCACCCCACTTGACAGCCCCAAGGCCCTTGCAGGTTCTGACCTCCCAGCATCCACCTGCCTCTCCCTGCACCCGAGCCACACACCCTGCGTTTCAGAAGTGGCACGGCTCGTCAGCTCCCTCCCGCCCTACCTCCCCAGGGATCCTCTGTCTCTCCATCCTGTGATCCCTGAGGGATGGGCTCCTGGCTGGGCTCCTCTTACCCGGCCCCAGATCCCTTCCCAGCACCAGACCCAGGTCTTTAGCCGCGAGCCCTGCTGCCTCCCTGGCCTCACCGTGAGATGCCCAGAACGGGGCCCTGCCCATCTTCTCCCCCGTTCTCCTAGGGCTACAGCCCCCATTGTCACCATGCCTTTTCCCCTCACGGGACAGTGAGGGCTGTAGCTCTAGGGGAATGGGGGAGAACAGGGGCAGGTGGGCCCTCAGAGACCTGCTGCACAACAGCCCTGAGGCTGGGCCAGGAGTCCCCTCACCCTGTGGCCATAACCCTTGCATCTCACCGGGTTTGTCTCCAAGTAGACAGGGCCAGACCCTCAGGCTGCCCCGCTCCTCTTGTGCTCACTTGCCGACAGAACTGCTGAGCGCCCAGGGGCCTGACCTAGCCCAGTCTCCATTCCCACCGGCTCCCTAGATGGGCCCCACACCTCTGGCCTAACAACCTCGGGCTGGACCTGCAGGGGAGTCAGGGAGGAGTTCTGTCCCTGGAAAGGAGGTTGACCCGACCTGGTGAGACATGTCCTGCGTCAGAAAGGCCTTTCTAAAAGCAAACCCATCCCTGAGCTGAGACAGGTGCTTTAGGGGTGAGGGGAGTGCAGAGGACTCACTGTACAATCCCCAAATGATCGACGTTGTTGTTGTAGCTTCGAAAAGGCTTAGGCCCCTTGTCCTCTGGCAGCCCAGCTCGGTGTCCCTGTAGCCCAGAGGGAGCCTTGGTGAGGGGTCCAAGGTAAAGGGTGCAAGGGCCTGGGGGCATTGGCCACCCGTCCCTGCCCTGTGCTCCTAGGGAGCCCAGGACCCTTTGACCAGGGCACACTGGAAGAGGCCTCCCTCCAAGAAGCAGACCGACTTGTACCTTTTCGTATTTCATAATGATGTCCTCTCGCTCTTGTGCCCACCAACTGCCCGCGACCTCTACCACGTCCATCCTGTGAGACAGAATTGTCTAAAGGTCACACCGTACGCGGCGGCTTCGGAGAACACCTGAACCGCTCTCGCCGGGCTCCCAGATGCTGGCTGGCTGCGTAACCCCCATTCCACCGCCGCCCCCAGGGAAAAAGGGGCCAGACCCAGTGGCCCACAGCTGCTCCAGTCTCTGGAGTCTCAAGTCCCAAGCAGGGGTGGGCATCTTCCCAAGGACTTGAGTACAGTGGGACCTAGACAGAGAATCCTGTTGTCCCCCAATGCCATGAAATGGGGACACACTGGCCCCAGCAGGTTGAATGGTTTCCACCTGCCAAGGGTGAAGGGCCCATGATGGGCTATTCCAGGGATGTGGAGGCAGACTGGGGTCAGCGACCAGAGGTCTCTGTGCAATCGGCCTCCTGGGATGCTCAGGGCCTCAGCGATGCCCAGTTTCCTACAGGGAACAAGATCTCTCCCGACTGCTCGGTTCTACTCCGCTCATCACTTTGGCTACCGTGGCTCTTCAGTCTGAACAGTGAAGCCACTTTAGGAATAACGCCTGTTGAGCAGGAGGGTGTTGGGTTTGGGGGATGAGAAAGATCTATTGTACGCATGGAAACCACGTCTCTCGCGGAGGGACTGTGGAGTCCACCATTCTGAGCCGTCCCAACAGGAGGAGGCTTCATTTTCCTGGGTCACTGAGGAAGAACAGTGGGTCCTTGGTCCTGGAGAACAGCTGGATGGACCGTCCCTCCTGGGAATACTCGAGGCAAAAGGAGGGCGAGGCCTCAAGAGGACCACGCAGAGCAAGAAATACCTGGGGAGAACCCTAGTGCCCGGACCCCTTTGAACACAAGGGAAGATAGTCTCCCCTCAGCCAGCCCTCCAGGGCTCCTTCATTTTCCACAGCTGCCCAAGGGCAGCAGGCTCCCCCGGACAAGGGACCATGTGTGTTCAGTGGGGCCCACAGCGACCATCAGGACCCAGCTTAGGGCACAGAGGTGTTCTGAGGACCGTCAGTGGCTCTGTACCAGTGGCTCTGCCAGGACCAGGCTCTGCCCCATCGGGATGGGAAACCTGGGCAGATTTGGGATCTAGGGCAGGGAGGTCACAGGGTTCAGGCCTGAATTCCAGCACAGCACACGGCAGGGCTGAGAGCAAAACTCAGGGTCATGTCCGGATTCCCAGGCCGGTTACTGCCTCTCTGACCCCAGACGTCTCATCTGTCGAATGGGGACATTTGGGAACAGCACCCACTCTACGAAGCCACCATGGAGACGAAAGAGCCAATCGTCTACACGGGCAGTGTAGAACGGGCGCCTGGTGAGTGCTCAGGGATGACCCTCCTCGGTAGCTGCCCCACAGAGGCCAACACCGCCCGCACCGTAGCCACTGCCCCCAAGTCCGCCTGGAGGGAAGAGAGCAGGTCACGCTCACCTGATTCTGATGAATCAGCTGGCCTGGGTCATGCCTCTCAGGGAGAAAACCTTTGAGTCCACAGAGCTGCTCACAGATACCACTGCCTGTGTGTAACTGCTGTAGACCACTGAGGCAGACCAGAGAGCAGATAGGTGCTAAGCACCAGTGACATTCTGAGGTCATGGCACGAATCACAGTGGGGCCTTGCCCGGGTCAGCAGCGCCCAGAGTCAGGGTCCTCCGCTGCCTGAGGCGTCAACATGCCTGCCTGCAATGTGTTTGTGCACGTGCGTGCACATGTGTATGTGGGTAAACACATCTGTGCACGTGTGTGCTGCTTCTCTGGCCAGGCCCGGCTGCCCCACTCATGTGTGCACCCAGTTCCTCATCACTGTCACCCCCGAGGCCCAGGGCCAGCATCAGAGCATCCATGGCTGCTCCCTAACCTCAGCCCTCCCCGCCCAGGGTGGTCCTGGGATACACATAGCGGTGGAGGGAAGTGACTGCTGCTGTTGGATCTCAGAATACAAAAGCTAGTACTATTACCTAATGGTCTTTTTAGTGTCTCTAATGGTATCGCTTTTTCATTTCTGATATTTTAACTGGGTATTTCTCTCCATGACCCTTGGATATTCTAGCTAGAGGATCCTGTGGGGAAAGTGCCGGGCACACAGTAGGGGCTCACTCTTCTAGACATGTTATCTAAAACCTGGTTCATCTGTCCTTCCACACAGGGCCTAGGGGATGCCAAATTCCAGGGGCCAGAAAGAGCTTGGGATAAAAAGAAACTTCAAGGGGACGGCTTTGACCTGGGCTGAGTCTGCCTGTGCCATCCAACTGGAGTCTCAAGTCCTGAGGCAGGACGTCCAGATGCCCCAGTGCAGGGTCCTCCTGATCAACACCTGCTCCCCTGTACTCATTAGCAACCTCACCCACCCTACTCTCAAAGCACACTTGGCTCTCGTATCCAGGAGCTCTGCATCTGTAGATTCAGCAACAGCAGATGGAAAATATTCAGAAAATAAATTGGACGGTTATGTTTCTATTGAACATGTGCAGAGTTTGTTCTTGTCATTATTCCCTAAAGAATCCAGTATCACGACCATTTATGTAGCATCTGCATTGTATTACACATCATGAATAATCCAGGGATGGTCTAATGTCTACGGGAGGATGTGCATAGCTGATATGTAAATACTAGGCCATGTTATGTCAGAGACTTGAGGATCCATGGATTTTGGCATCCCCGGGGACCCTAGAACTAATCCATGGATACCAAGGGATGACTGTATAAACTCACTCAGGAAGGCTTCTCATTGGAGGAAGGTCCCAGTTCAGGACACACAGGGACATCTCCCTGGACTACTGTCCATTCATCCATCCATTCATCCATTGTCTCCCCCCACCCCCGCATCTCGGACTGTCCCAGTGACAGCCCTAGCAAGAAGAGACAAGAAACAAGTTCACGTTGTCCAGTTTTGAGGTAATGGAAGAAGTTGCACCAGTATGAGAATAGTGGGTCAGTTTTCTACAGGATGCAGAAAGCATATCGGGCAGCCTCGGGGTGCGGAAAGGAGCCTGGCCTCTCTAGCAGCCACACAGGCCTGCAGTAGGATGGGGCTGTGGCTGGCCATGTGGATCACTTGGGCCTCATGAGGGGAAAGGAAATACCAGGGGGGCAGAAGAGGAGCATGGGGGCAGCTGGTTGCCTAAGGAGAAGGCACCTCAGGGAAGGGGACTGTATTCATTTGTTTTCACACTGATGTAAAGAAATACCTGAGATTGGGTAATTTATAAAGGAAACAGGCTTAATTGACTTGCAGTTCCGGAAACTTACAATCATGGAAGAAGGGGAAGGGGAAGCAGGCACCTTCTTCACAAGACGGCAGGAGGGAGTGAGTGGAGAACCAGTAAGTGCCACACTTTGAAACTATGATCCTCCTACCTCAGCCTCCCAAGTAGCTGGGACTACAGGCACATGCCACCACACCCAGCTAATTTTTGTACTTTTTATAGAGACGAGGTATTGGCATGGTGCCCAGGCTGGTATCAAACTCCTGGACTCAAGCAGTCCACCTGCCCCAGCCTCCCAAAGTGCTCGGATTATAGGCATATCAGCCAGCTGATGGAGCATCTTTAATATCATATTTTTACTGTAACTTTTCTATATTGAGAAATGTTCAGGTATACAAATACTACTGTGTTATAATTGCCTATGGTATTCAGTACAGTAACATGCTGTACAGGTATTTTGTAGCCTAGGAGCAACAGGGTATATACCGTGTAGGCTAGGTGTATATAGCCTAGGACATACTGTGTAGGTTTCTGTAAGTACATTCTATGATGTTCACATATTGATGAAATTGCCTGACAACATATTTCTCAGAACATATCCCTGTTGTTAAGCAACACATGACTATTCCCTTGATTTTTTATTTTTTCAGAGACAGGATCTTGTTCTGTTGCCCAGGCTGGAGTGCAGTGGTGCCACGATTGCTCACTGTAACCTCAAACTCCTGGGCTCAAGTGACCCTTCCCACTTCAGCCTCCTGAGTAGCTGGGACTACAGGCACATACCACCACACCCGGCTAATATTTTTGTATTTTTTGTAGAGGTGGGGTCTCGCTATGTTGCAAGCTGGTCTTGAACTCCTGGGCTCAATCAGTCCTCACATCCTGGCCTCCCAAAGTGCTAGGATTACAGGCGTGAGCCACCACACCCGGCCCAGACTCTTTAAGTTGGCAAAATATTCAGTTATGGAAAGCAGAATGCTGGAGGATGACCAAAGGGATAATGAGTCCTGATTCATGTTGACCCTATGACTTACTGCAGGTTGAGTGTCCCTTATCCAAAATGCGTGGGACCAGCAATGTTTTGAATTTCATATTTCTTTTGGATTTTGGAATATTTGCATTATACTTACTAGCTGAGCATCTATAATTGCAATATCCAAAATCTAAAATGTTCCAATGAGCATTTCCTTTGAGCATCACGTTGGCACTCAAAAAGTTTCAGATTTTGGGTGGGAATTGAACAATGAGAACACTTGAACACAGGGCGGGGAACATCAGACACCAGGGCCTGTCATGGGGTAGGGGGCTGGGGGAGGGATAGCATTAGGAGAAATACCTAATGTAAATGACGAGTTAATGGGTGCAGCAAACCAACATGGCACATGTATACTGATGTAACAAACCTGCACATTGTGCACATGCACCCTAGAACTTTAATTAAAAAAAAAGAAAGAAAGAAAAGAAAAAGTTTCAGATTCTGGAGCATTTCAAATTTCAGATTAGAGATATTCAACCTGAACACAGCTTCAAATAAGGCTAATTTATTTATTACATGGATCCTGACCTTGAGTTAAGTATTCAGAACAAAAATAAAATGTCCCAGCCTGGATAGAGTGACAATACTTTCTCTCCATTTCTATCTCAAGCTATTAAAGATTACCTGCGGCAGCATTCTTTTGTTGGAACTTGGTTAAATACATGTTCATTCCTTTCTTAAAGTCCTGAGAAAACACAATTTTTAAAATCCAGGGAAGTCAGATCTCAGAATTTATAGTATATTTGTATATTAGTAATCAAAAACAAATTTACTCAAATACTCAAGTATCAGATACACTGAAACACATATATCCTTCTGATGCCTACTGCCTTTTATTTAATAATGCGTACTCTATGCCTTCTATTCTTGCTCTTAAGTTTTATAACAGCCTCCCATTTCCACTCCCAAACACACCTGCACATCACTCATCTAAGAGACCACAGTAGTCAACTTCAAATAATTGAATTCTCATTCTTTTTGGTCATTAAAAAAAATGACAAGCCAGAAACTATTTGGGAACTTAATCCAAATAAAGTGAGACTTTTTTTCATGCAAAACTCTTATGATTTCACCATGAAAGAATGAAATACTTAAAGTTTTTTTTTTTTACCTTATCCCCAATGTAGTCATGCAGCATTCGGATGACAGATGCACCTTTGCTATATGATATAGCATCAAATATCTCATCAACCTCAGATGGATGGCCCACACTGACCTGGCAGACAGTGTGATTCAGGGTTATGACAGGAAGCAGATAGCCTGTAATACTGAATTACATAAAACGCTTTCTAGGAAAACCCTTCTAACTTACATTTTTCTGCCTTTAACTCACTCATAATGTATAACGATGGTCCTCAAAAAAATGTAGTAACTAATAATAATAAAGTTGAATAGAACATGATTCCTGTCATCCCTTAGAGCTTGGGTTCCAGTCCTGGCTTTGTTCTGCTGGGAAAGAAGCCACTATGGTTCTGTTTATTTTTGGGGTAGTTGCAGAGGAGTGATGAGGAAGACATGGAGGTGAAGAACATTAGATTTCTTGCACTAATTGTAATGAATTACAATTATATGGGAGCCTAATTAAATATGTTGAAGTAGGATTATAACTCTAGTTCTTTAGATACAAAATTTATATATATAAACTGAAGTAGGGATAGGCTAAGTCAAGAGAATTAAAGTATTCACAAAACAGACCCTGACAATAAAATATGTCCAGAATTTTCCTTGACATAAACAATGGAACCATAGTGTTACCCAATAGGTATGACTTCTCCCATACTACTCTTTTTCTTTTTTTTGGCAGAGTTTTTTGCTCTTGTTGCCCAGGCTGGAGTGCAATGGCACGATCTCGGCTCACCGCAACCTCTGCCTCCCAGGTTCAAGTGATTCTCCTGCCTCAGCCTCCCGAGTAGCTGGGATTACAGGCATGCGCCACCGTGCCCAGCTAATTTTGTATTTTTAGTAAAGACGGGGTTTCTCCATGTTGGTCAGGCTGGTCTCAAACTCCCGACCTCAGGTGATCCACCCGCCTCAGCCTCCCAAAATGCTAGGATTACAGGCGTAAGCCACTGCGCCTGGCCAGACCAATTTTTTTTTACTGCCTACCTTTAAAAGAAATGTTTAATTAGAACTTAGACTTACTAGCTTTTCAAGACTAGAAATATGAACCAGTAAAATCACCCATGCTATTTTCTCTTCTTTTCAAAGTCCAAAGTACCTATGTAACAAATTACGTATTTCATTGTAAATGAGAGCAGTCATAGGCTAATGGTTAGAAAGTATGGCTCACTTCAATAGGATGGCTGTTATCTAAGGCGTCAAGCTCCTGGGCACGGGTGTAATCAGCAGAAACAAACTGAGTCCAAATATCATACTCTGGGAAGCAGTGGTCTACACACAGATATTCAATCCAGGATGCAAAACCTTCATTTAACCAAAGATGAGTCCACCATTCCTAAAAACAGAAGATGAAAATACTTAAAGAAATTGAAATGATTGTCATTCTACTAATCTAAAACACTCACATGTCCCTTCCACTATATTCCAAAACTCACAATTTAATGACCTAAAATTCAGTTCAAAACATTTCGCAAAGAACTCACATTTCTGAAAAAGAGAGAAGACTAAAAGAGATGTCAAGAAAGGCCAACTGGTGATATTAGAATTATATCTGAGGGTCATTTTCTTTTCCTTTCTTTTTTTTTTTTTTTTTTTTTTTTTTTGAGACAAAGTCTTGTTTTGTCACCAGGCTGGAGTGTTCACCAGTAGCTGGGATTACAGGCATGTATCACTATGCCTGGCTAATTTTTGTATTTTTAGTAGAGATGGGGTTTTGCCATGTTGGCCAGGCTGGTCTCAAACTTCTGACCTCAAGTGATCCACCTGCCTCGGCCTCCCAAAGTGCTGGGATTACAGGTGTGAGCCACCATGCCTGGGCCAAAGGATATTTTCAAAACATTGTAAATAACTTCTCCCCCAAACCCAGACAGGGTCTCATTCTGTTGCCCAGGCTGGAGTGGCAGGGGCACCATCGTAGCTCACTGCAGCCTTGAACACCGGGGCTCAAGCAATCCTCCCGCCTCAGCCTGCCAAAGTGCTGGGATTACACACGTAAGCCAGTGCACTCAGTCCTAAGTAACTTTTTAAATACCAAAGGTAGAAAAGGAAGAAGAGGGAAAAAAAAAATAAGCCCATATATGGAAAAGGAAAAGACAGCAGATAAATATAGGCAAATAGAGGTGGAAAATATAATCACGTAGAATTTAGTATAGTAAAGGATTATCTCTGAAAAACAAAAACAGAAAACTATCAGAGCCAAATAAAGAAAAATGGAAATGACTGGGGAAAACCACTCACTAATGAGTTGAATGTTCAAGAGAAACTGAGAAAGAGTACTGCTTATATAAAAATTATGTGAAATTAAACAAAAATGTAGTTCAGTAATGAATGGTGTTTAAGCACTTATGGAATATGAAATTATCACCTGTTAAATAAGAATGCATAGTAAATGGAATGGACAAAGAATATGAGTGACAGATAAAATCAGTTTTTAAAAAATTTTAAAGATCTTAATCTAAATTTTATTAAAGTTGATTAAGCCTATTAGTGAAAGAAAGCAGGCCAGGCACAATGGCTTGCTCCTGTAATGCCAATACTCTGGGAGGTCAAGGCAGGAAGATCACTTGAGCCCAGGAGTTTGAGATAAGCCTGGGTAACACAGTGAGACTCCATCTCTAAAAAAATTAAAAAGTAAAAAAAAATTAGCTGGTCATGGTGACACACACCTGTGGTCCCAGCTACTTGGGAGGCTGAGGCAAGAGGATTACATAAGCCCAGGAAGATGAAGCTGCACTGACCCATGATTGTGCCACTGCACTCCGGCTTGGGTAACAAAGTGAGATCCTATTCTCCATCCCCAACCAGTCCCCCCAGAAAAGGCCAGGTGTGGTAGCTCATGCCTGTAATCCCAGCACTTTGGGAGGCTGAGGTGGGAGGATTGCTTGAGCCCAGGAGTTTGAGACCAGTTTAGGCAACAAAGTGAAACCCTGTCTCTACAAAAGGCAATACAGTGAAACCTTGTCTCTACAAAAAGTGCAAAAATAAGCTGGGCATGGTGCCACACACCTGTAATTGCAGCTACTCAGGAGGCAGAGACAGGAGGATTGCTTGAGCCCAGAGGTCAAGACTGTAATGAACCATGATTGTGCCATTGCACTCCAGTTTAACTGACAGAGTGAGACTCTGTCTTAAAAAAAAAATTATTTTGATATTAAGTGATAAGTGGCTATTTGCCTAGTAGCTTCCTAAAATAAACTAGCATAAAATGAAACTTATTTTCCAACCTATCCCTAAGCCCTTGGAATTTCAGTTCTAATAACTAGAATAGTTACATAAAACCAGTAAAAAGTTGTTTAATAAGAATGTACACATTTCCCCTACTAAAATTTATTGCTTGTAGTTTCAAAATAAAATCATAAAGTTATCTCAAAGCCAAGCAAAAAAATTATTTGGTACGAAGTAGCAAACTCGCTGCATTAGAAGAAAAGGCCATTTCTTCACATATTTGAATACAGGCACCAACACATAGTTCCACATGAAATTATATTTCTTTTTTTTTTTTTTTTTTGAGATGGAGTTTCACTCTTGTTGCCCAGGCTGGAGTGCAGTGGCGTGATCTCGGCTCACTGCAACCTCTGCCTCCCAGGTTCAAGCGATTCTTCTGCCTCAACCTCCAGAGTAGCTAGGATTACAGGTGCATACCACCACGCCCAGCTAATTTTCTATTTTTTTTTTAGTGGAGATGGAGTTTCGCAACATTGGTCAGGGTGGTCTCAAACACGTGACCTCAAGTGATCCACCCGCCTCGGCCTCCCAAAGTGCTGGGATTACTGGCGTGAGCTACCGTGCCCGGCCTGAAATTATATTTCAAAGAATTTTTTTCACCTGTAAAATTTTAAACATCCAAAATAAAAGGAAAAGATTTATTTTCAAGGGTTGACTTTCTGTAGAAACTCTCTGAGACACGTAACAGTTGATAAATGTCTTACATTCTTATTTATATAACGTATGGACTCAATCTACATTCAAATCAGGTTCTGCTCTTTGGCAGCCTAAAATGTCAGGGAATCTAGCTGGCTCCAGAATATCCAGTTATTTAATTGCAGAGGTACATCTAGTTCACTTATTAAATCCTGTGCTCCCAAGCTCTAACACAGTTGGCATTCATAAATAGTATTTACTTAGAGTAAGAGTGAAAAATCAGGACTGAAGGACAGAGATCATTACTGCAAACATTATAAGGATTTCAACAGAACAGCTGGAATTTTAATACAGCTTTATTCTGCAGTCACTCTGCAGTTTGTTTACTTTTATTTCATTAAATTTCAACTTAACATTTTAGGCAATGAAAAAACTGACTCCTAAAAACATTTCTCTCTAATTAAAGATCAGTCTGTTATTCATCAGGTTACTTTTCAGCTGTGAGTCAGATTAACAAATAAGATTCAAGAAACTACAGTTAGCCTGGAATCTCACTGCATGATTCATTCATCTACACCTAAGAGGAATCTTTTCCTCTCACCCAAATTAGTATCTTGACTTTTCCCATTTGCAGACAAATTTTAGAACAGTTTAGGAAGTGTCTGTTGAATA
Organism: Homo sapiens; assembly: GCF_000001405.40. NCBI lineage: Eukaryota > Metazoa > Chordata > Mammalia > Primates > Hominidae > Homo > Homo sapiens. The sequence goes on from NC_000017.11 coordinate 38,200,908, forward strand.
AAGACTGTCCATATGCCCTTGTTCAATGCAGAGATTCTGATAAGCCCTTTCAAAGTGGACCTTTTAAAATAATACTTTTCTATCACTCAATTATTTTTTGGCACAGTGTTGCAGCCAAACTTGAAATACTATGTAGCCAAAATAATGTGGAGTAGGATGAAGATAAATATATTTGAGCACTTAAAAATATTAAATACCATAGTAACAAGATTTCCAAACCATTGATGGGCAAGTTCATGTCCCACAACCAGAGCAACCCACTGGCGGGATGAAGAACAGGAATTTTTTGGATCAATAAGCAATGCAGTCTCCCTATGTTTAAAAAAAAAAAAAAGAGAAACAAATTTAAACAATAAAAGTGGGCATGCATAAGTTGGGAAGATTCAGACAGTAAGTCAGATGGACAAGTTAGGCTTTAGAGATATTAGGAAAATATTTCCTAATATGGAAAGAAAAAGTTTCACGAAGATTAAAGACTACCCCAACAGAATTAATACAACAGAATATCAAAGATGTGACACAAGTTTAATTATCAGTTTGTTGATAGAATAGCTGCCTGAAATTTTGGGAAAACATTGTCTAAGGGATTAGCGATTACTGTGCTAGATGGAGAGAGAAGAAAGTCCTTTCATTAAATGAGGGGAGTGGTGGAGGAAGATGCATTCCATAGTCCCAAAAACAGCACTGAGCCGGCCGTTCAACACTTAGCTCATCTAAGAAGGCAATTGAAAGTAGAAGGCAAAAACTTGTTTACAGACAGACTCTGCTTTTAAAAGTTATTCAACTCACATGTTTATGTTGTGGTGACAGACATGTAAAAACTTGGCTAGAAGATATGAAATTAGGGAAGGTTCTCCAAGCTGGATAAATAGCTGTGAAACTACTGGCAGGAAAGAAAGGCACTGCAATGAGAAACTTAGCCAAGAATATATCTAAAAATGCTACTACCGCCAGATGCTCACTTTAAAATCTTACACCCTCAGACAGTAGCACCAAAGGGAGAGGTGTCCATCTGCATTCTTGAAATGTGCATGGAAGTGGGGGAAGGTAGAAAAATTTACACCATATCGTAAAGCAGAAGCTACTCAACTGTGATTAGGAGGGAAGCCCTTTTGAAATCAGTGATTTGAAAAGATAAGGCAGGGTAATACATCATTAACATACCTATAAGTAACAAGGTCCCAGTTCTCCATGGCACCTTCACAAAATAAATATAAACATTTATTGAGATATATATATATATATATATATATATATATACTCTTGCATCAAAAGTCACAAAATTTTAAAAAGTTATTACAATTCAGCAATAAAATGAAATTTACTTTACCAGCTGCAAAGTCTGCAATAGCAATGAGATCAATTTTAGGTAGAGGATAAGGAACATTGAAGTAGTCCTTATAAAAAGGCAAGGTTTTAGCAGCAACCTATAAAAGTATAAACAAAATAACCATCTAATAAATATGTTATTATAATTCATATTGAAACCCACAAAGGAATCCTGTTGCAAGCCAATGTATCTTAAATTACTAGAAATGAATCCCAGGGAGCCCTACCTCCGAAGACTGCCTTAGCTCCAAACTTTGAATACAATGGCCAAACTTTAATCCATTTATAACTTGATATGAAAAATATAACTACATATTTTCCAACCCATTCCCTAGAGAAATTCCACTCTTATATTCTCTTAATTATTATTTTGTAAAATAACGAAACACCAAGGTTGGCATTTCCTAAATTCTATTAAAAATAAACCAAGTAGCACAACTTTCAGATTAAATTATAAATAACTGTACTAATAATTGACCAGAAATGTAAATTCCCCAACCTGGAGTTATGGACTGCTGGAACAATCCTCTTCAAGTACATTTACCTCTAATGCAAATTTTCCTTGTTCTGCTTTGCCAACAGGAGTGTAAACACAGACACACACACCATCTTTTGACCTTGTTTCTACAAAGTCATATTCACCCACAACAAATGCCACCAGATATGTAGATGTAACAGGTGTGCGGGCAAACTTCACTTCCACTAAATTTTCATCATCAGGGTATGGTTTCCGGTCAATTACATTCTTTAAGAAAGAAAAAAAAGAAAAATTTAAATAGGTTTACATTAATACCATAGAGCAAATACCAGCCAAAAACTGTAGGCTTTATTGCATCTCTTTCCCCCTTTCTATTCTAGCATGGCTTATTTCTCTACCCCAATTCATCCAGTGCTTTTATGCTGTCTTTAAGAAGGAAAGTGGTCTGATAAAACACTCATACTAAGAAGCTGGAGGCTGAAGTGTTAAAACTACCAAGGACCTGTGAGAGAAAAGAGGAATGGACTTTTCTCGAATACTTATTATAAGCCAGGCATTGGGATGATTTAAGTAAGGGCTTCATACTTTTCAACTGACATAAGTTTAGGAGAAAATGACTATTAATAAAAATAAAATAGGGGCCAGGCGCGGTGGCTCACGCCTGTAATCCCAGCACTTTGGGAGGCTTAGGCGGGCGAATCACAAGGTCAGGAGATCAAGACCATCCTGGCTAACATGGTGAAACCCCGTCTCTACTAAAAATACAAAACATTAGCCAGGCATGGTGGGGGGTGCCTGTAATCCCAGCTACTTGGGAGGCTGAGGCAGGAGAATGGCGTGAACCAGGGAGGCGGAGCTTGCAGTGAGCTGGGATCACACCACTGCACTCCAGCCTGGGCGACACAGCGAGACTCCTTCTCAAAAATAAATAAAAAAAATATAATATAATTGTAGAATCTCCCATTTCAAAGGATACAAACTTCTAGATCGAGGGCATTCTCTACCAAAGTTGGCTCTAAGCTTATTTGTGAAGAAATTTCAACTTTACCTTTGGAGTCCCTAATTTCCTTTGGTGTTCTCCCTCTTTTTCCTATTCAGGCTCCATTTCCTCAAGCTCTCTCTATTCTTCCTTCCAAGGAAGACTTATTCAAGAACACACTGATAAATTCACTCATACTAAAGTGTGAATGAATATTTCTGCTTAATGTATTAGCCTCCTCTTCTAAGAATATGTGTGAAGAGAATGACATTCTATTTATGGGATGCTCTCCCCCAGTAAATACATAAAAGAGTTATTTTCAGGTGCAGCAGGTTTTTCCAAGTTCCCCACACAAGACAGTCCTAGACAACACACTTCAAGTGGGGAATGCTTACCCTGTTCATGAATGAGATCAATAACACTGGTGAAGAGAATACATTCCAAGAATACAAACAGCCAGAAACCTAAATATACTTCATTATGCAGCTACATCTTTTGAATTCTTTTAACTTTTTAAAAAGATAGAGACAGGGTCTTGCTCTGTTGCAACCTTTTTTTTTTCCCCCCGAGATGGAGTCTTGCTCTGTCACCCAGGCTGGAGCGGAGTGGCGCGATCTCAACTCACTGCAGCCTCCGCCTCCCAGGTTCAAGCAATTCTCCTGCCTCAGCCTCCCAAGTAGCTGGGGTTACAGGTGCCTGCCACCATATCTGGCTAATTTTTGTATTTTTAGTAGAGATGGGGTTTCACCATGTTGGCCAGGCTGGTCTCGAACTCCTGGCCTCAAATGATCCACCTGCCTCAGCCTCCTGAAGTGCTGGGATTACAGGTATGAGCCACCATGCCTGGCCTATTTTTTTTTTTTAAGAGATGGGGTCTTGTTCTGTCACCCAGGCTGGAATACAGTGGCGCAATCATGGCTCCCTGTAGCCTCAAACTCCTAAGTTCGAGAGATCCTCCCACATTAGCCTCCCAAGTAGTTAGGATTACAGACACCTGCCACCATACCTGGCTAACTTTTAAGTTTTAAATCTTTTGTAGAAATGAGGTCTCACTATGTTGCCCAGACTGGTGTCAAACTCCTGGCCTCAAGCAATCCTCCTGCCTTAGCCTCCCAAAGCACTGAAATTACAAGCAAGAGTCACTGTACCTGGCTTTCTTATGACATTTAATAAGTCAAGACCTTTTTCTTTTTTTTTTCTTTTTTTTTCTGACATAGGGTCTGGCTCTGTCACCCAGGCTGGAGTGCAGTGGTGTGATCTCAGCTCACTACAACCTCCGCTTCCTGGGTTCAAGTGATCCTCCCACCTCAGCCTCCCAAGTAGCTGGGACTACAGGTGTGTGCAACCACACTCAGATAATTTTTGTATTTTTAGTAAGGACAGGATTTCACCATGTTGGCCAGGCTGGTCTTCAACTCCTGACCTCAAGCGATCTGCCTACCTTGACTTCCCAAAGTGCTGGGAGGACAGGTGTAAGCCACCATATCCAGCCCAAGACTTTTGCTTTTAGTTACTATAAATCTATTAAACTTGTCAATTTACCTCTCTAAATTAAAAGAAGTAGATAATCTTATAAATGTATTTAACAAGGAATTTGACAAGGAGAAAATCCTCCAAAAATAAAGCTATCAAGAAAAAGAGGTCTTGGCTGGGCATGGTGGCTCATGCCTCTAATCCCAGCACTTTGGGAGGCTGAGGCAGGAAGACAGATTGACCCCAGGAGTTTGAGACCAGCCTGGGCAACATAATGAGACCCCAAGTCTACAGAAAAAAAAAAAAAGAAAGAAAAAGAGGCTTATTGAAAATAAAGAAAACTATTATTTATGTTCCTATAATATACCAGCACTGTGGTAGGTGGTTTCATATTATCCCATCTAATCAGCAAACTAAATCTGCTAAAGCCTATTAAAATTTTAGATAAACTTATAAACACATACATACCATGTTTGATAAAGCTACTCTGTCTTTAGGAACAACCAATGAGATATCAAAAGTTGCTTTGATAGCAGGCTCATCCCAGCAAGGAAAAGCCCTTCGGGCATCAGTAGCCTTAAGAAAAGAATATGAAATATAAATACCTTAGAATTAACCTAACAAGTTATTTCATAAAGCAGTCGCCATTTCCCTCTGTCATTCATTCATTCCCTTGTTCAAATATTTACTTTCTCTTCAGTGCCAGGCAACAAGCTAGGCATTAACTAGAAAGAAAAGACAACACTTGCTACCACTGCCATTCCAGCAAATATCCAGGAACAGTGTCTGCTATGGATTTTAACAATATATTATAATTATTTACAACTAAATTTTTGTTTACATTTTAACATTTCAAATTTAATGCAAATGCCTTCAAATCAATAATGTTAACACAACACAGAGCACAGAACAGTAAAGAGTATGCTATAAGAATTCAAAGTTGGGAAAACATGGTAAGTTGCCTCTCTGGCTTTTATTTTTGAATTAAAAATAAAAATATTCTCAATCTTTGATGTGCTTTGTTCTTCATCTGGAATGGCAGCAATGGGAATAAAGACAGATGCTCTATCAATTCAAGACAGGTCATTCATTTAATGGCACTTCCATATGCTACACATAAAACTGTCGCCACTTGACCTACTTGAGTCCTTACTCTTTCATTAAAAATTTAAAAAAGAGCAACCTTATGAAAGCAAAATAAAACTTAGGGGTTCTGCAGGGTATCAGTTATAAAGGAAAGACACTTCAGTAAACAGAATTTTCCATTTATTTAGTAAATAAAATGGAACCAATGACAAGATACTGTATCATAAAAAGAAACAACAGACTGGGTGCAGTGGCTCATGCTTGTAATTCCAGCACTTTGGGAGGCCGAGGTGGGCGGATCACCTGAGGTCAGGAGTTCGAGACCAGCCTGGTCAACATGGTGAAACCCCGTCTCTACTAAAAATACAAAAATAAGCCAGGCATGGTGACACATGCCTGTAATCCCAGCTACTCGGGAGGCTGAGGCAGGAGAATGGCTCGAACCTGGGAAGCGGAGGTTGCAGTGAGCCAAGATTGCACCACTGCACTCCAGCCTGGGCGACAGAGCAAGGCTCCGACTAAAAAACAAACAAACAAACGAACAAACAAACAAACAAACAAACCAAAGAGGTAGAAGAAACTTGGCTGACTACATTCTCAAAAACATTAAATAAATAATGAATTCTATCAATGAATAAAAAAGACATCTGAAAAGAAGGGAGAGTATAAGGAAAGAAATGGCAGCACAGAAGCATTTAAATTAGAAGCAGCAGCAGTAGAGAAATGAATTTATACTAAAGGAAATTAATGACAGATAACAAGATTTAAGTTTGAAAATATCTAAAGGACAAAGTGATAAAAGCAATTAAACATAATTTGAGAGACAGATACTAGAGCTAAACTGAGTATTAACTGAGAAGGGAATGGAATGGATATCACAGTGAAGATATAACAGAAAAACTCTTTCACACTGAAAAATTACCTGAATCTAAAAATCAATAGGGTTCACCAAGTACTATGCAAAAATCAATGAAAAGTGAACACCTGGTTTAAAAAACAGTTTAATTTTCGATATCAAGATATAATTTAACAAGCAAGCAGGAAGAAAATAAAGCAAAACGAAACAACATCTTACCTACAAAGGAAGAAGAAACATTTTAGTCTGTGACCCCTCCTCTTGAAAAAGTGAGATGTAGAAGACTTTGGAAACAATATTCACAGACTTTTGAAAGTGAAAAATTGTAAGCTGATTGTACTACTCTTACAATTGAATGAGCTGGGCCTATTACTCATGGCAAGAGAGAACTCACACCACAGGGAACCACTGGTGTCTCCATAAGAATGTAAGAAAGAACCCACTATACGATTTGGGATTTGGTTTACATGATTTGGAAGAGGGTCTAAGTAAACAGGGATTCACTCTAGATTGAGTGCTGCAAGAAGTCCTATGAGGCAATTCTATGGGTATGTATCTCAATAAATCTTATCTATACGGAGGCCAGACTAGAGCAAATCTAAAACCGTAATTGGTAAAGAAGCAGTAGTCACTCATTTTAACTGAGAGATGGAGATGTTTGATATTTTGCGGGTAGCATAGTGATCCTGTATGTACTGTACCTAGGCAAAATTATGGATCCCTTGTTTTGTCTCACTTTATTATGGTCTCAAGTAGCCTTGTCTAAAGTTGGTATTCTGTAATATTATGTCTAATAGGGAGAATAACACGGGCTAGCTGTGAGTGCCAGACAACCTCTGGATGTCAAAAGTTGCTCTTTTTACCTTTTTTCATCAACAAATCTATATACCCAGTAAATCTGGTCATGTATAAAGGCAAATGAAAGATTTTTCAGAAAAGCAAAGGTTTAGGAATTACATTACCCACATACCTTCTCCTAAAAAAAAAATTGTTTAGAGACATACATCAGCCAACCATTCCAGGATGAAGTGTTCAAAGTGGGTAGAGAAAGGCATTGGAATCATTCAAACACAGAATTAAACCTAAATATCTGTGGCAAATATTATTCTAAACAGAAGGTAACATAAAATTATTGAAAGAGAAGATACATCAGGTAAAACAAATTAGTAGTAAACTGGATAAAAAATTTTAGGTTATCCCAAACAAGCAAACAATATAGGGATATGGGCAGAAACATAAGAATGGATATCATGAATTGTTTCTTTATCCATACTGAAATTTATAGAAATAAATTTAATTAGATTTAACACTTAAAAATACGACTAGCAGATTCAAAACAATTTATATAATTTGCAAATACCTGACAAATAAAAATCATCCTGGCCTACGTAGGACAGCAAATATATATATGTGTGTATATATATATATGTATACACACACACACACACACACACACACACACACAGAGAGAGAGAAAAAAAATCAAAGACAGCACAGATACTACAGTAAGATAAACAAAAGATGTCAAAGAAGGAAAGGAATTCTAGAAAACAGCTAATAATACTGTAGGAAAAGCCATAGGTGTCAAATACTAAGAGAATGATTTTAAGAAAGGTACACAGTATATAGGCAATTCAGGTATCAAAATGTGTCGTGTGTTTGAATGTCTGTGTGTATAACTGTATATAATCATTCCCCAACCCATACCCTTAATTCCCTCCTTTCTATAGAGATAATGGCTAAATATAAAATAAAAATTCTAAAATTGTGAATACAATCATGGCCAAGGGCACCTAGCCTCAAATAATCACCCCACATAATAAACACACCTTTGTCAGAATGCCTAATTTAAGAATAATAATATTTTAGAGAAGAATAACCCATACCTCAAACTGTGTTACAGCAGCATAGGGCACCTCTCCAGAAGGGGTAGTATACTTACTTCTATAGAAACCTTTCATTTTGTCATTCAGCTCTCCAACAAAATCTATCTTTAAGGTTCCTGTACCTGTGATTGAAGATAAATAAAAAACACTTTTATGGAGATGTTAAACACAGTTACCAAAAATATGTCCTCAAGACACTATATTCAGTTAGCTATTTACAATGTTCAAATCATTCCTTCCTTTTTCAAATATTCCTCCTGGCAATGGAGAGAATACAGTACTTACTAAAGTAAAAGGCAGACTAATCCTAAAATAACTCTTGAAAGTCATGTTTAGGGTGACTGCCTAAAAAGTTATTAACTTAGTCTCAAACTACCAATATGTGAAAATAAGAACAGGAAAGGAAACAAACATTTATTCTTAAATGCCTGATATGTGCTATTGTGCACAGTGCTTTTAAAATATATATAACTATTTATAAACCTGGAAGTAGATATTGTCCTCATTTTTTCAGATGAGGAAACTGAGGCTGAGAAGCTAAATAACTTGTCCAGTGTCATAAAATTAGTAAGTAGTGAGAATGGGATAAAATGTTAAGTCCAGAATTCATGCTCTCTGCCAATTATACATGTGAATTGGTCCTTTTACACAACTTCATGCATAGAAAGAGAAATGTAGCCAATTACTCTATCAAGATAAGACACTAAATGTTTACTCCAAATGGAACACTGATTGCATAATTTTGTAAGGAGCTATAGGGAAGACCAATGATTTGATCAGCAACAGGGCATAAAACAAATTCTTACAAGTCACCTCAATCATTTGAAATCTGACAAAGAAATACATTTAATTAATAAATTATTAAATGCAAATAAAAATACAACTTAAATATGTATTCTATTGTATAAGAGCAAAAACAATTTAGACAAAAAAGTGAGCTTTTTTGAGTTTATATACTTTCTTTTTTATAACATAAAAAATTATAATTATTATCTAGTAATCATCTGCTAAATACAGATGCATGGCAAAACAGTAATCCCATTCTGTGTTTTACAAATCAAGTCACGAAAAAACGTAGAGGAATGGTGACTTTTTAGTTGACCATTTTAAAGGCCCTACGTATATCAAGATTTAAAGCATGGGAAGTCTAACAAATCAAAGATAGGGCATGACTATAAAGTAATTAACCAATCATACCAAACTTTTATATCCTAATGTTTCAAATTGTCATTTTGGAACGCTAAAGAGCAATGACATTTGACATTGTTCAAAATGTTGTGACTTTCTCTTTCTCTCTCTCTTTTTTTTTTTTTGAGACAGAGGCTCACTCTGTTGCCCAGGCTGGAGTACAGTGGTGTGATCTCGGCTCACTGCAGCCTCCGCCTCCTGGGTTCAAGCAATTGTGCCTCAGCCTCCTGAGTAGCTGGGACTACAGGCGGGCACCACCACGCCTGGCTAATTTTTGCATTTTTAGTAGAGACAGGGGTTTGCCATGTTGGCCAGCTGGTCTTAAACTCCTGGCCTCAAGTGATCCACCCACCTTGGCCTCCCGAAGTGCTGGGATTACAGGCATGAGCCACTGTGCCCAGCCCCTCTGACACTCTTTTGAATGATCTCAAAGTCAAATCTTCATCTTATAAAATTGAATTTGCTTTTGGAAAGGACCAAAAGTTATGGGGAGTGCGAGTCTACAGAATAAGTGAATGACAAACTACAAACTGTCTCTAGCCTGATGCCTCAAACTGGTTCTGAAAGTAATTTAAGTGAAAATTTCAGACCTTTAGAGCAAAGTCACCACTAATGAAAGTGCTATATTCTTAATCATTCTGAGAAAAAAACAACTCAACTGAAGCTTAATTGAATAGACATTTGTGATGTTTATTTTTTAGAAATCAGATATTTGTAAATATCTAAAGAGGACAATGAATACTTTTTTCTTTAAAGAGAATGACAGGTTACTGGGACAGTATATATGGATATAGTAAAATAATTGATAATTCTAAATGATACTAAAAAATTAAACTATAAAGCAAAATTTAAATTAAAAATTTTTAATTTCTATTTTCTTTAGAAGTTCACTTAATTTTTTTAAAAAAGCAAATGTATTCACATTAATAAAGTTTGCAAAGAACGTCTAACAGATTATAAAAACCTACTACCTTTAATGGAAACTATATGATGGAATTTTATGTTACAATTCCATAAGTGGAATTGCCCAGTCTGTTTCACTAAGTCAGTCAACTGTTAAGATGTTTTTTAAATATAATTCATATTTCATGGTAAATCTACTTGCATTTTTTCCTAGTTGGAACATAAGTGGTTTTAAAACTCATAACTAAATAAGAAAGACTGCTTACACTTTTACTCGGTTTTAAATCTCCAAGGCCATCAAACCATAACAAGATATTGACAGTGACCACTTCCAAAAAGTGGCATACTAAACAAAATACAAAGTATTGGAAAGAGTTATTACCTGAAATTCAAACAAAACACAAGTTAAAGTATTTAAAAATCATTAATAAGTTTAATTAGTGTCACATTATATGATACCAATTACAAAGTATTTACTTACTATTCATATAGTAGAATTTTAGGGCAAGTAGGAGAAAAAATGACTTTTTAATAAATTTCATTTATCAAATTTACACCATATTAATGAACGGATTGCCAAATTGTCTAATTTTATACCTATCAACACACATAATTTACACCACTTCCTCAAATTAGATACCTTATTTCATATCCAATGTATGAAATATTTATGTTTGGGGTTGTAAACCTTTTGAAACATACATCAAGCTCGTTTATAAAGTAAACAACTGAAAAATTGGGACTTCCATCAAAAACCTTAAATGTTTAAAGCTTAGGAGAGTATAACAATTGTAAAACCTGGAGTAAATCTTGAAATACTTTAATAATAAGAAATTTAATGAGTCTACTAAATGCTATAAAAATAAAGAGATTAATTTATACAAAAAGGGAATAAAGATCGTTGCCTTTGTGTCACCACCTCTTTTTTTCTTTGGAAAATGGAGTCTCAGTCTCAGTCTGTCACCCAGGCTAAAGTGCAGTGGTGCAATCTCGGCTCACTGCAACCTTCGGCTCCCGGGTTCAAGCAATTCTCCTGCCTCAGCCTCCTGAGTAGCTGGAACTACAGGCGTGCGCCACCAGGCCTGACTAATTTTTGTTTTTAGTAGAAACAGGGTTTCGCCATGTGTCACCACTTTTTATTATCTTGTTTTTGACTCTTCAAAATGCTGACAACTACCAGTGTTTCTCCATATAAATGCCACCCTCAGGACCCTCAGCCACTAATTCTAAGGTTGTTAGACCTTACAATAATTATGGTAATTTAATCACTATCCCAGAATGGTGCCAATTTCAGAAAAGTAGGTTTTACTTAGCTGTATAATAGCTTGCATTACTGTTAAATTTGATGAGGCTAAACACAAAGGTTATTAATGTCCTCCTAAGATAAGCTCAGTATTTGCTTCATTATCAGATAGATCACTTGTGCAATCTGTCTTGAAAAAGATTAACTTCATTTTTAAAGCAAACCTTGGGAAAATGTGAAAGCCAATGGTTTCAAACAGATATTCAATAATTCAATATTGTCGGCTGGGCGTGATGGCTCACACCTGTAATTCCAGCACTTTGGGAGGCCGAGGCGGGAGGATCACGAGGTCAGGAGATCAAGACCATCCTGGCTAACACAGTGAAACCCCATCTCTACTAAAAATACAAAAACAAAATTAGCCGGGCGTGGTGGCGGGCAGCTGTAGTCCCAGCTACTCGGGAGGCTGAGACAGGAGAATGGCATGAACCCAGGAGGCAGAGCTTGCAGTGAGCTGAGATCGCGCCACTGCACTCCAGCCTGGACGACAGAGCGAGACTCCATCTCAAAAAATAATAATAATAATAATTCAATATTGTCACACCTGCAAGATAATTTTTCTGTTCTAATATTTATATCAGTTGTTATATTAGCTCAAAATTGTTATATTGGCCAAAAATATCAAAAATTATGTTAAATCATACTATACTAATGGTCATAACCTTCTCTAACTTGTTTGTTATTATTTGAAATAGCTTCACCATTTAGCATGTCTGCTGTAAACAGACCTTATCAAGAATGATACATCTCTTATATACTAGTAATAAATGGCCTCCAATATTTACAGTTAAGGGGAAAAGAAGAAAGGTGCAGAACATTATGTATGGCATGGTGATTTCTGTGTTCTTAAAAAGTATATATATAAATGCTTACAAAAGCAGGGGTATAGTTTTGAAAGGAAAATTTCATTTCATTCTGTTGAGGAATGGAGCTGAGAAAGAAGACAGGGTAGACTGGCAAACAAAATTTCATTGCATAGCATTTGAATTTCAAATTATGTAAATGTACTATGTTTTTGAAATATTTAATTTGAAAAATAAAGATAGCACAATGTGGTGGTTAAAAGTGCAGACTTTTGAGTTAAACTGCTTGGGTTTAAATCCCAGCTATGTTACTTACTAGCTATGTTACCTTGGACAAATTATTTAAGTTACTGAAATCATTTTTCTGCCTTAGTTTATCTACAAAATAGAAGTAACAGAATCTGGCTGGCGTAGTGGCTCATGCCTGTAATCTCAACATTTGGGAGGATGGCAAGATCCTCTCTCTGAGGTAGGAGGATCACCTGAGGCCAGGCATTTGAGACCAGCCTAGGCAACATAACGAGACCCTGTCTCTACAAAAAAATTTAAAAATTAACCAGATGCACTGTCATGTGTAGGCAGTCCTAGCTACATGGGAGGCTGAAGTGGGAGAATCACTTAAACCCAGGAGTTTGAGGCTGCAGTGAGCCGTGACTGCACCACTATACTCCAGCCTGGGTGACAGAGAGACTTTGTCACAAAACAAATCTACCTCAAAAGGTTGTTGAAAGGACTAAATAAATTAATATTTTTGAGGCACTTAAAACAGTACTTGGCACAGATTATGTCGTGTGTGTGTGTGTGTGTGTGTGTGTGTGTGTGTGTAATACATATCTTCTATCATGTTAGAAGTTTCTGTCTACTCTTCCCTGGTGAATTCTAGCAAATAAACTGATTCCTTTTGATAAATATAGAATGTTTAACTTTTTAAATTTAATGAAAAATGGTTACCATATTTCCTAATGCTGAACAACAATTCAATCTACGCTTTTATTTTCTATACTGGCTAGGTTTATATATCTTTTGGGACTATTTTTAAATATCAGTTTTTTAATATTTCTGCCCCTCACTTCACTTATTTCATTTGTTTCTGCTCTTAAAACTTTCTTCTACTTTCTCCAAGTTACCTTTTGTTTTTATGAGTTTAATGCTTAGCTAATTAATTTTCAGTCTTTCTTCTTAACTAAATATTCTAATATTTTATCTGCATATGAAACATGTTTATCCCTAATGTTTCATATGTGGTAATTTCATTATTCAGTTCTAAATATTTTCTAATTTCCATAACAAGTCTTCTTTGACTCAATTATTCAGAGGTATAATTTTTTCAAATATATAAAAAGGGATTTTTTTCATTTCTCTTTTTCTATTGACTTCTAATTTTTTCACAGTGTAAACACAGAATATATATAGTCTGTAATGATATAGATTTAAAACTCTAAAATTTTTTAAATTTCTATCAAAGTAATAGTTCACAGTTTAAAATACGTAAGCTCCAGGCCCTGCTCAACACTAGGCCCTACTCCCCACACCCTGCCCCTAGAAGCAATCAATTTCAAACTCTGTGACTTCTAAATGTCTTGCTTACACAGCTATTTTTTCTTTTCCTTTCTTTGAGACAGTCTTGCTCTGTCGCCCAGGCTCGAGGGCAGTGGTACAATCACGGCTCACTGCAGCCTTCAATTCCTGGGCAAGCAATCCTCCCACCTCAGCCTCCCAAAGTGTTGGGATTACAGGCATGAGCCACGACCACGGCCTATTTCTTCATTTTTCAACTTTAGACATTTTCTCTTCACTGTAGAAAGTCATGCTTTAGCTAATCCATCCCCCACTCCAATATCTTTTACAAAGAATCAAATTTTCTATGACCTTGCAAATCTGAAAATATTTTTACTCCGAAATTCAAAGTTGGGCTAAGCATGCAATCTTAGGTTGAAAATCAGATTCACTTTGTATTTTGAATGAACAGCTTCATTAGAGTCTAAGTTTCCACTGTTCCTAATGGTAAGTCTAGGACTATTCTGATTCCTAAATTTTAAAGGTAGTATGCCACCTGCCTTCCCTCCTATTGCCCCCTATCCCAGACAGGAACTTTCTGGGAGTTTTACTTTATCGCAGAAGTTCTAAAATTTCAGTCAGTGTGGCAATTTTTACATTTTTTAAGCTAGTCTCTCTCAATGGTGTACCTTTGCAAACTGAAGGCTCCTGCTCTATCAGTTCAAGGAAATGTTCCTGTCTTTTTGAGTTTCTCTTCTGGCCGGGCACAGTGGCACACGCCTGTAATCCCTAGCACTTTGAGAGGCCGAAGTGGGCACATCACCTAAGGTCCGGAGTTCGAGACCAGCCTGGCCAACATGGTGAAACCCCAACTCTACTAAAAATACAAAAATCAGCTGGGCGTGGTGGTGTGTGCCTGTAATCTCAGCTACCCAGGAGGCTGAGGCAGGAGAATCACTGGAACCCACGAGGTGGAGGCTGTGGTGAGCCGAGATTGCACCACTGCACTCCAGCCTGGGTGACAGAGCAAGATTCTGTTGCAAAAATGAAAATTAAAAAATCCTCTTCCCATTTCCTCTGCTTTCTGTTTTACTAGATGGATGTTGGTTCTGCTGGACTGGTTCTCAAATCTATTTTTCTGTTTTCTATCTGTTTTTTCTACTGCTTGGAAGTTTCCTCAACTTCATCTTTAACACTTTTACTGGGTTTTTTATACCTATCATAATTTCCAAGTTTTCCTGCTGTAATTCTTCCTATCTGATGGCATTCTGTCCTGTCCTTGTTTAATGCACGCAATGCTTTCTCTTAACTCTCTAAGGATAGTAATTAGCTATGGGTTTGTTTTTTTTTTAACTTTCTTTAGATTTGTCTTTGCTTTTTCCAACTTCCTTTATTTCTATTATACTTATAATTTTGCTTTTTGCCCTATCTTTCATTAGAAACTTTTCGCAAATGTCTGTTAAATGCTACCCCAGTGACTTTGGGCTTGGTCATGCTACTTGCTTTGGTCAATGAAATGTGAGTAGACATCAAGTATACCACCATCACACAGAAATTTTATTTTTTATTTTATTTTTTATAGAGACAGGGTCTCACTACATTGCCTAGGCTGGTCTCGAACTCCTGGGCTCAAGCAATCCTCCTGCCTCAGCCTCCAAAAATGCTGGGATTACAGGTGTGAGTCACCACGCCTGGCCATGCAGAAGTTTTAAATGTGTCTTTGTGGTCTAGCTTTCTCCCCATCCCTGAGCCTCTGCCCTCTGCCATGCATGATACAGAGAGTGGCTGCTCGCTGACTACTAGTCCTGGAAAGACAGTTGGGAGCCAAGTGGAGCCAGCAGAGTTGGTGATATGGCTGCATATGATCAGCAGTCCTCATGGCCCATGTGTAAAAAAGAAAGAAATCTCAGTGGTTATAAGCCACTGAGATTTGTGATCCTATCTGTGGGTTAAATTATATACATAAATTTATATATACATAGGAATATTTCTAGACAGATTCACCAGACAATGGAAGTAGAAGAAATCAGCGAAAGAATCTCCTTCCTTTTCAAATTATATTCTTCAATAGCTTTTAATACATGTTCATGGCAAAGCATTTTTTGTTTTGTTTTGTTTTGTTTTTTGGGACGGAGTCTCACTCTGCCACCCAGGCTGGAGTGCAGTGGTGCGATCTCGGCTCACTGCAAGCTCCACCTCCCG
Source organism: Homo sapiens (assembly GCF_000001405.40). Classification (NCBI taxonomy): domain Eukaryota; kingdom Metazoa; phylum Chordata; class Mammalia; order Primates; family Hominidae; genus Homo; species Homo sapiens. Next base: position 38,216,891 of record NC_000017.11, read on the forward strand.
GGTTCACGCCATTCTCCTGCCTCAGCCTCCCGAGTAGCTGGGACTACAGGCACCTGCCACCATTCCCAGCTAATTTTTTGTATTTTTAGTAGAGACAGGGTTTCACCGTGTTAGTCAGGATGGTCTCGATCTCCTGACCTCGTGATCCGCCCGCCTCGGCCTCCCAAAGTGCTGGGATTACAGGCGTGAGCCACTACGCCCGGCCCATTTATTTTTATAATAATTACACATAAAGGGCCTCCAAGAGCACTGAAATAAAAGACTAAACATCTCCAATTTAAATTTTTTCTAAAAATAATTTTATATTAATTCAATAGATTCTCAGTAGGAAAATTGTGAAAATCAGACAAAAGATATAAATAAGAATAAAAATCACCAATTATGTCAACACCCAGACATAATTATCATTTTATTTGTGCCATTTAGAGACATGATTCACCACCTTAAATATGTAATTTTATATTCTTCTTTTCAATTTTACATTATAATAAGCACTTTACAGGGTTAAGAATTCGCAAACCTCACTTTTAATTGCTAAGTATATTTCACTATATAGATATATCATTCCTGGCTTGATCATTTCCTTAGTGTTGAACAAATATATTAATTATAATTTTTTACTACCGTAAGTAATATCTCAGACACTTCTGGGCATAAAGTATTTTCTGTATTTATGACTTTTCCTTGGGATATATTCCTATTAGCAGAATTGCTGGGTCAAAGGACATGAACATATTTAGGCTCTTGATATACTGCCAGAATGCTTTACAAAAAAATTACATGGATTTATACTCCCCCCAGCGATATCAAGGCAGCCATATCATTGGGAATTTTTAAAATTTCAGCTCACATGAGAAGCAAAAATTTCTCATTACTAGGAGGCTCAATATCTTTTCACATGTTTATTAGTCATTTACATTTTCTTCCTTTTGAATTATCTGTTCCTTTTCATTTGTTCATTCATCAAAGTCTTAGTACTTCACCAATTGATTGGTATATAATTTCTTCCACATATACTAAGCTCAGAAAGTCTATTTCTTTGTGCTTTTATACCTAACAATAGTAACATATCAACGTATCTTTCTTTCTGTGCCCTCAATAACACAATACCTATTTGATCTCTGGTTGTATATCAAAATCATCTGTGACCATTCACTTCAGGGATTTGGATTGAATTAATAGAAGATGGAGCTAGGTAAAAGTATTTTGTTCGTTTGTTTTAGACAGAGTCCCACTCTATCACCCAGGCTGGAGTGCAGTGGCATGATCTCGGTTCACTGCAACCTCCACTTCCTGACTTCTGGCGATTTTCTTGCCTCAGCCTTCTGAGTAGCTGGGATTATAGGGATGAGCCACCACACTGGGTAATTTTTGTATTTTTTGGTAGAGATGGGGTTTTGCCATGTTGGCCAGGCTGGTCCCTAACTCCTGGCTTCAAGTGATCAGCCCGCCTTGGCCTCCCAAAGCGCTAGGATTGCAGGTGTGAGCCACCACGCCTGGCCTAGGTAAAGGTATTTTTAAAAAGGTAAAACTGGAAAACAATACATTACATTCTAGGATAGAATGATCTTTAGTTTTTGTCCTGTTTTTCTTGGCTTGTTTGTTTAAAGAGAATATAGAGTGACAGGAGGTGGAAACCCTGCTTTTCGTAGCCCAACTTCCGCAGAAGGAAATGCTGGTGGCCCAAAAGTTGCAACAAACCTCTTTAAAAAGCTCTTAATACAGCTGGGCGCGGTGGCTCCTGCCTGTAATCCTACCACTTTGGGAGGCCAGGGCGGGCAGATCGCTTGAGATCAGGAGTTCAAGACCAGCCTGACCAGCCTGGCCAACATGGCGAAACCTTGTCTCTACTAAAAATACAAAAAAATTAGCCGGTGTGGTGGTAGGCACCTGTAATCCCAGCTACTCGGGAGGCCGAGGCAGGAGAATCACTCGAACCTGGAAGGTGGAGGTTGTAGTGAGCCAAGATCATGCCACTACTCTCCAGCCTGGGCAATAGAGTAAGACTCCGTCTCAAAGTAAAAAAAAAAAAAAGCTCTTAATACTTAATCTGCTAATAACAACGAGGGAAAAAATGGCATACAATAAATTTCTCTGGAGGAAGTCAGATGTCACTATATTCATCACGAGATTTTACAAAAGCTATGTCTCTTACCTGTTTGCAGAGTACTAGGGAAAGACAAGGTGACTTTTTCATCTTCATTCTGATAGTTAAATCCTGTAGCATGTATTTCTGGAATGAGAAAAAAAAATACTTCACAATTCTGACTGGACTGACAAGACGAAATCAAGACTGCAACATTTTCAAGAGCAAAATCTCTACAAAAACTAAATATTCTTAATTTGGTGAATTAAGTTCCTATTAGCAAGAGTTTCATTTCAAATGAGCCTATTCTAGGTTACATTAACTACATTAAATATGCTCCTTAAAAATAATTACAAATTCTTTAAAATTCACAAAACGTCAGTGATGTACAGGAAAGAAGGCTTTATAAATGTGATGCTTTTCTATCAGATTCCTGTGTGACTATGATATTGTGATATTGCAGTCTTACTCATGAACATTTGAGACTTGGCAACTTGCCAAGATTTCAGTGTTAAAGATACATCAAGGAAAGGTCTGTTCCCCAAAGGTAAGTAGCAATTCAAACTAAGATATAAATCATACCCACTTCTGGTAAAATTCTTTGTTGTGGCCAGGCGTGGTGGCTCACGCCTGTAATCCCAGCACTTTGGGAGGCCGAGGCAGGCGGGTCACCTGGGGTCAGGAGTTCAAGACCAGCCTGACCAACACGGAGAAACCCCGTCTCTACTAAAAATACAAAACTAGCCGGCTGTGGTGGTGCATGCCTATAATCTCAGCTACTTGGGAGGCTAAGGCAGGAGAATCGCTTGAACCCGGGAGGCAGAGGTTGCAGTGAGCCAAGATCGCATCATTGCACTCCAGCCTAAACAACAACAGAGAAACTCTGTCTCAAAAAAAAAAAATTATTTGTTGTTACATGAAAACAGGTATGCAAATTGAATTAAGGCTTTGACTTACTCTCTGCCAGGAATGAGAAGAGACTGCTTATTTGACTGATACTTTAGGATGCTTGGACATGTTAGGGAAATAACCAAAGACACCAACTTCCAACTATGTCCTATCCCCATTCCAAATGAAAAGCTGGCCAATCAGGCCGGACATGGTGGCTCACACCTATAATCCCAGCATTTTGGGAGGACGAGGCGTGTGGATCACCTGAGGTCAAGAGTTCGAGAACAGCCTGGCCAACATGGCGAAACCCCATTTTTACTAAAAATATAAAACTTAGCCAGGCATGGTGGCAAACGCCTCTAATCCCAGCTATGCGGGAGGCTGAGGCATGATAATTTAGAATTGCTTGAACTCAGGAGGCGGAGGTTGCAGTGAGCCGAGATTGTGCCACTGTACTCCAGCCTGGGCGACAGAGCGAGACTCTGTCTCAAAAAAAAGAAAAAAAAAAAAAAAGTATAAGGTAGGATGTAGAGAAACTGGAGCATATATTGATAGTGGGAATGTAAATGGTGCAGCCACTTTTGGAAAACAGTTTGGCAATTCCTCAAAAGGTTAAATACAGAGGTATCATGTGATACAGCAATCCCATTCCTAAGTATATGTCCAAGAGAAATGAAAACACATGTCCACATAATGTTTGTATACAAATGTTCATAGTAGCATTATTTATAATAATCCCAAAATGAAAACAACTCAAATGTCCATCAACTGATGGAATAGATAAAATGTGGTATATCCATACAACTGAATGTTATTTGACAGTAAAAAGAAATGAAATAGCTGACACATGCTACAACGTAAATAACCTTGAAAACATTATACTAAGAAACCAGCCACATATTTGTCCATAACAGGGCAATCTATGGAGGCTGAAAGTAGATTCATAGTTGCCTAGGGCTAGGTGATAGAGGGGAAATAGGCAGGGTACTTTCTTTCTGGAGTTCAGAAAGTGTTCTAAAATTGATTGTGATGATGGCTGTACAACTCTGTAAATAGACTAAAAACCGCTGAATTGTATGCTTTAAATATTAATAGATGACATGTATGGTATGTGAATTATACATCAATAAAGCTATTATTGAGGTGGGGAGAAAGGAAAGTACTACAGAAAGACAAGGGAGGAGAGGTGGCCATGAGTACCTTTATCAGTCACAGGATGCTGTGGGTAACAATGATTCAGATTACATAACATTTTACAGGCAAGATGCCCATAATTCTTCCTTTCTTTTATGAATCACCCAAATATAGGATTTCAAATGTTTCTGCTGTCACTATGGTTCACACATTTTTATAAAGCCAAAATCTCTACAAAACCAATTAAGAAACTGTAATTTCAGATTTTAAAAGAACTTTAATAAATCCTCTAATCAAATCTTCCTCATTTTACAGATGAAGAAAATGAGACATATAAAGTTAATGGTTTGTCACATGTTAACTAGCTAGACTACAACTCAGTTCCCTCACTTCTATTGCCAAAATTATTTCTACAATCACAAGCTAGCTCCTAAATTTGTTTGGTTTTGTTTTGTTTTTTGAGACAGGGTCTCACTTTGTTGCCCAGGCTGGAGTACAGTGGCACTATCTCAACTCACTGCTACCTTTCCCATCAGGTTCGGGAGATTCTCCCACCTCAGCCTCCGGGGTAGCTGGGGACTACAGGCGTGAGGTGCCACTAGGCCCATCTAATCTTTTGTATTTTTAGTAGAGACAGGGGTTTCCCCATGTTGTCCAGCCTGGTCTCAAACTCCTGGATTCAGGCAATCTACCCACCTCAGCCTCCCGAAGTGCTGGGATTACAGGGCTGAGCCACCGTGCCTGGCCCAGCTCCTAAATTTGAATAGAAATCAAATTTGACAAGAATCACTTCAATGCTTAAGAATGTTCCTTTCTGGGCTGGGCGCAGTGGCTCACGCCTGTAATCCCAGCACTTTGGGAGGCCGAGGTGGGTGGACCATGCGTGGTGGTGCATGCCTGTTATCTCAGCTACTTGGGAGGCTGAGGCAGGAGAATCACTTGAACCTGGGAACGGAGGTTGCAGTGAGCCAAGATGTGCCACTGCACTACAGCCTGGAGACAGAGTGAGACTCTGTATCAAAAAAAAAAAAACAAAAAACCTACAGCTGTTGAATAAAAAGGTAAACAACCCAATTTAAAAATGGCAAGACTTAAACTTCACAAAGGAAAATTTATAAATGGCAAAAAAAAAAAAAAGCACATAAAAAAGTGTTCAGCATCATTAGCCATTAAGGAAAGGCAAATTAAAATCACAATGACATATCACTACACATCCATTAGACTAGGCTATTAAATGACTGACAATAAAAATGTTGCCCAGGGCCAGGCATGGTGGCTCTTGCCTGGAATCCCAGCACTTTGGGAGGCCAAGGCAGGAGGATCACCTGAACCCAGGAGTTCAAAACCAACCTGGGCAACACAGGAAAAATAAAAAAAAAATTAGTCATACGTGGTGACACAAACCTGTGGTCCCAGCTACTCCAAAGGCTGAGGCAAGAGCATTGCTGAAGCCTAGGAGGTTGAAGCTGGAGTGAGCCATGAACATGCCACTGCACTCCCATCTAGGTGACAGAGTGAGACCCTGTCTCGAAAAAGAAAAAAAAATGTGCAGGGTGTAGCACAATAACTAGAAGTCATGCTGGTGGTGCCTCTTTTACTATTCAGACTGTAAGCATTTTCCAACCCCAGGGTTTCTGCATCTGCTTGCAAAGTCTCCAGATATCTAAACACTTTATGTCATTCAGGCCTCTGCTCAAATCACTTTTTTTTTTTTTTTTTGAGACAGGGTCTCACTCTGTTGCCCAACCTGGAGTACAGTGCTGCCATCTTGGCTCACTGCAACCTTGACCTCTCAGGTTCAAGTGTTCCTCCCACCTCAGCCTCCCAAATAGCTGGGACTACAGGCGCCCACCATCACACCCGACTAATTTTTGTATTTTTTATAGACATGGGGTTTCACCATGTTGCCCAGGCTGGCCTCAAACTCCCGAGCTCAAGCGATCCTCCTGCCTCAGCCTCCCAAAGTGCAGGGATTACAGGCATGAACCACCACACGAAGCCTCGAATCATCTTTTTTTTTTTTTGAGATGGAGTCTTGCTCTGTCGCCCAGGCTGGCATGCAGTGGCATGATCTTGGCTCACTGCAACCTCCGCCTCCCGGGTTCAAGCACTTCTGCCTCAGCCTCCCGAGTAGCTGGGACTACAGGCACGCACCACCACGCCTGGCTAATTTTTGTATCGCCTGGCTAATTTTTGTATTTTTAGTAGAGACGGAGTTTCAGCACGTTGGCCAGGATGGTCTCAGTCTCTTGACCTCATGATCCACCCGCCTCGGCCTCCCAAAGTGTTGGGATTACAGGTGTAAGCCACCACGCCCAGCCTCAAATCACTTCTTTAAAGATCTGTTCTATCAACTTGAAGAACAATCCTCATTCTATACCCTCTTGTGATTTTACAGCACTTATCACTACTTTACATCACATATTTGCTTGTTGCCTGTCTTCTCAAATATCAGAAATGTTGATGCTTGATTTTGTTCACAGCTCTACTTCCAATGCTAGCAGTTTCTGGCACATAGTGTGTGTTCAGTAAGTATCTGTAGAATGAATGAATCACTTCAAAAGCAACAGACTAAGTAATTATGTCATGGAGATCATTAATGCTACTCATATGAAATATATTAATGAAAAATCACATTTACTAATGTTATGTGAATAGAGACATGGCTAGGGATAAAATTTCCAGTCACAACATAATATACTGATTCAAATAAGGATCTATCTCAAACCTCTTAGAAGATAATATTTGCTCTGGAACTGTTAGATTGTTTAAAGGGTAGAAACCCATAAATACTGAAGATGCATATGAGAAGTCTGAGGAGGCTTCACTGGAGAAAAAAGTATTTCTAAATTAATGTTTACATTAATACTAATATATAATTAGTATATTTATATATTATAGTAATATATAATACTGATATGATAAATGAATAATTCATTCACTAATACAGTTTGCAATATATTCATAATTGGAAATGTATATATATGTAAATTAAGCATTGTACATAGACACTTCACTATATATCGTGTATCAATACAACTTAAACTTGATCGAAAACTTTTAAAAATGGAGTATGAGAGAATCTTATAAGGTATATATGATTATTCAATTCTCTAAGCCTCCGTTTCCACACCTATAAAATTAAAATCATATCATTACCTAATTCTTTCTTTTTAAAATTGAGATAAGGGTCTCACTATGTTGTTCAGGCTGGTCTCAAACTCCCGGGCTCAAGCACTGGCAATCCTCCCACCTCAGCCTCCTGAGTAGCTGAGATTATAGGAGTATACCATTGTGCCTGGCACCTGCTTCTTAATTAAAGATTGGGGGCCAGGCACGGTGGCTCACACCTGTAATCCCAGCACTTTGGGAGACCGAGGTGGGAGGATCACTTGAGGTCAGGAGTTTGAGTCCAGCCTGGCCAACATGGTAAAACTAAACATACAAAAATTAGCAGGGCATGGTGGCGTGCGCCTGTAATCCCAACTACTTGGGAGGCTGAGGCAGGAGAATCGCTTGAACCTGGGAGGTAGAGGCTGCAGTGAGCTGAGATCGCACCACTGCACTCAGTCTGGGCAACAGAGTGAGACTCCATCTCAAAGAAAAAAAAAATTATATAATATACTCTTATATAAAACACACAGCACAGTTCCTAGTTATTGTTAAGAAACACTTTTCAGGGCCGGGAGCAGTGGCTCACGCCTGTAATACCAGCACTTCTGGAGGCCAAGGAGGGCGGATCACGAGGTCAAGAGATCGAGACCATCCTGGCCAACATGGTGAAACCCCGTCTCTACTAAAAATACAAAAAATTAGCTGGGTGTGGTGGCACGTGCCTGTAGTCCCAGCTACCCAGGAGGCTGAGGCAGGAAAATGGCGTGAACTCGGGAGGCGGAGCTTGCAGTGAGCCGAGATCGTGCCACTGCACTCCAGCATGGGCAACAGAGCAAGACTCCATCTCAAAAAAAAAAAAGAATCACTTTTCTAGATCATAACACACCTTACAGTTCTTTATTGATCCAACTGCAATTGGTCCATTATATACATATATATAACAGCTTTTGCTGAAACTCCTTATTAGGCCTTTTAAATATAATTAGCATTTTAAAATCTATAAACATATATATTTGGGTATAAGCATCTATGTGTAAGTGTGTTAGTCATCTATTAAATAGAAGTAAAATTTGATTATAAACATAGCATGTATAAAACCATGACCAGGCTGGGCATGGTGGCTCATGCCTGTAATCCCAGGACTTTGGGAGGTCAAGATGGGCAGATCACCTGAGGTCAGGAGTCTGAGACCAGCCTGTCCAACATGGTGAAACTCCATTACTACTAAACATACAAAAATTAGCCAGGCGTGGTGGTGCACGCCTGTAATCCCAGCTACTCGGGAGGCTGAGGCAGGAGAATCGCTTGAAACGGGGAGGTGGAGGTTGCAGTGAGCTGAGATCACGCCACTGCACTCCAGCCTGGCTGAGAGAGCGAGACTCCGTCTCAAAAAAAAAAAAAAAAAAACAAACAACAAAAAAAACCATGGCATTATAAAATGACCATAAGCAAAATCAAAAGAGAAGTATATATTGGGGAAAAAATGCTCCAACTCATGATGGAAGGTTAATTTCACTCAAATATAAAGACCACGTTTTAAAAAATCAATAACAAGAATAAGAATAACACTGAAATTTAAAATGGACAAATATGAATAAATTACAGAAAAAGGAAACACAAATGGTTTTTAAAATATAATGAAGAGATTCTTTTTTTTTTTACAATTAACTAAACTTTTTTTAAAATTAACTAAAGTTGGTATTTCACTAGGACGATTTAGCAGATGAAATGGGTTTTAAGTTTAGAACACCATTTCTTCTTCCTTATTACATTTCCCTTTTTAATGTTAGCCCTCTACAAACACACACGTATATACACACACACACACACACACACTCTGCATCAAAAAAGCCTTCCTACATTAATACTTGAGCATGATAACCTTACAATGAAAGGTAAATCATTAGTTGAATCATGAAACATTTTCTTCCCCTTGTGGAGAAAAATCAAATTGCTTTTCCTCTGCTCTTACACCACAATCATCAACACAGTAGACTTCTGTGACCAAATGTGTGGGGATTTCTCCCCACCAACAAGAAGCAATCAGTTCTGCAGAAGATACCACCAGCTGAGCACCTTCTAATCCAATTCAATTCTCATGCTATCTACCTGGAGATAGCATTAGATCCCACAGGCTGAGAGAGGGCTCAGTCTCACAAGACTGCCCCCACTTCAGACACTAGTTGTAAGGCCAGGCCTCATCCAGAACTTCTGGCCAACCAGCTTCAAGTCAGTGTTCCCATGACCCCCTTCTTAGGTTTGATTAATTTGCTAAAGCTGTGCCCAGAACTCAGGAAAACACGTGTACTGGTTTATTATAAAGAATAGCACAAAGAATGCAGATGAAGAGGTGCACAGAACAAGGCATGTGGGAAGGGGTGCAGAGCTCTCATACCCTCCCTGGGTGCACCACCCTCCAGGACCCTCCACGTGTTCAGCTATCTGGAAGCTCTCTGTACCCGGTCCAGGACTTCACTGGACCGTCACGACTGAAGCATGGACAACCGGGTAGAAATATGATTGGACAAAGTAGGACCTAATGCTAACAGACTGAGTGGGGAAACCTAGCAAGGCCTCTCTGTTCAGAGTCTTCTTGGCCTCTCTGTGCAACTTCTTTCCTCCCAAGTACAGGGCAGGATGCCTTCTGAAATGGGGGTCTTATGACCTCCAATCAGACAAGGTAGGTCAGATAATTTCTTTGCTGTCAGCTCCAAGACAGAATGTTGGGGGATGATCAGAGTATATTTTTAGTTTCTATTGCCTGCTTGGGGAGAAAAAGGAGCAGGTAAAAGCAAGGCAAGAAAAGGTCAGAGAGCGATTCTGTTTTCTGAAGCCTGCTTCTGAGGTTTAAAGTGCCCCAACGTTATTACAAAAGACCATCTTTCACTTTTATTGATCTGAAGCTGTACTGAAGCCACTTCAAAAACCAAGAATAAAAGGCCAAATATTTCAATAAAATATATGTATATTGTTTTAGTCACTTAGGAAATAACAGGGACTATGGGTGTTCTATGACAGAAACTGTGGATGAAAACCAACATATGTATCATAATATCATAGCACCCTCCCCAACCTTTTTTTTTTTTTTTTTTTTTTTTGTTTGAGACAGGGTCTCACTGCATTGCGTAGGCTTGTCTTGAACTCCTGGGCTCAAGCAATCCTTGTGCCTTGGCCTCCCAAAATGCTGGGATTGCAGGCATGAGCCACTGTGCCAGGCCCCCTTTATGTCTATACATAATAAAACTTAATCACATAAAAGGAGGTATAGGGAAAATGAGAAGTACAAGATGGTATTTCAAGAGGCAACATTAAAAAAAGATTGAAATTTTTTAAAATAGCTGAAATCATTATTGCTTATACCATCTATACAAGCATCTAGTGGATTCTGCCTAGGCATTACATTGAGATACAGAAATAAAATCTTCTAAAATTTCAATATCAGAAGTGCCAAGTCAACTGTACTTCAAATTTTCCTTTACAAATTATCTATTTGAAACTCAGAATGTATTTTCCTCCAAGCCACTGCTATACTTAAACAAGTAATCTAAACCACATAATTCTATATAGCCCACATATACCAGTGTAGCTCAGTACTAGATCAAACACATTGTGAGGTTTTATTTTGTTTTTTTATTCAGATAGCAACTTCCCTATCATATTGTTTATGTGGTTTTAGAAAGCAGTTCAGGTGCAAAAAAATAAAGTTCACAGTTCAAAGAAGGCCTACAGTGACTACCTGCTACTTGGAACATACTTTGTTTCTCCACAAAGCTGAAAATAATGTTGCAATGGGAAAGAAAACACATCATTCTGGAGGATATCCAAGGGGGATTCAAGTGAAAAATGGAACCAAGAACTTACTTTGCAAAGCTTCAAGGTGACCTCCTTCTCACCGTAGGGCATAAAAGCCAATCAGATATATGCATAGTTACAGTTCAAGCAGTACCTATACTGACAGGTCCCATATTTTCAAATGGATTTCACATTTATATAACATAGTGATGGTTCTATCCTATTAGGCTATCTAAAAAGTCTAAAAAGAATGAGCATGTGCCAAATATAAATCTGGTTCAACAGAATCAAAAAATTCCTTCTAGGGTGCCCCTGCTCTTAATAAATGACTGTGAACTATTTCATTAAAATCACTCAGGATTCTGGACCAGGATTTCCATTGATTATGTGGTCTTACACGGTTACTTAATTTGTCTAGGTCTCAGTTTATCTTTTTTTTTTTTAAAGGAGTTTATATTTGGGTAATAGAGGAGTATATAATTCAAACTAATTATCTCTCTCCTACTTGACACCCACAAAACTAAAAAAGCTGGAAGGAAGGGAAAACTTCTCCTTAAAAGAATCATAGAACAAGATAAGGTGATCAAGATGAAGAAGAGGATGAAATTCCATAAAGAGGAAGCTTTGCATTCTAGGCCACTTTTGCTCTGGGGTCATTTGCTGATCTAGCAGAGATGTAGCAGATTTGGAAGCTGAGGCTATAGGCCCCAGGGACAAAAGTGGAAATCCAGGGCCCATCAACACTGGGGGCTTTGTGGCTGGGTGGGCACTGTGTCTGTAATCCCAGCATTTTGGGAGGCGAGGTGGAAGGACTGCTTAAGCCCAGGAGTTTAAGTAACATAGTCTATCTAGGTAGCACAGTGAGACTCTATCTCTATTAGAAGAGACAAGACAAGACAAGACAAGAAGCTTGAGTAAATGACCCCCTCCTTTGGGCTTGAAACCAAAAAAGTGATATCCTACCAGGAAAGATGAACAAGAAGAAAAGCAGTCCACAAGTGGAATGTGATTAAACTTCTGAACATCTGAAGCCCAGACACTGGAAAAAGATGAACCTTAAGTATTAGTAACCAACGGGGAACAAAACAAAGCTCCCCTAGATACTAGCAAACTATTCATATACCTGCTTACTATGTTCAAAAATATAAAATCCCAATCCTGAAAAATTTGGCAAGTAACGCGAAGTTACTTTAAAAAAACAAACAAACAAACAAAACCCCCAAAAAAACCCAAAACCAAGCAAAACAAAGAAAACAAGCAAATCTGGAAAAATTAATTCTAGAACAAAAATATGTAATAAGAAAAAACAGGCCAGGCACGGTGTCTCATGCCTGTAATCCCAACACTTTGGGAGGCTGAGGTGAGAGAATCCCTTGAAGCCAGGAGTTCGAGACCAGCCTAGGCAACAAAGCAAGACCCCATCTCTACTAAAAAAAATTAGCCAGGCACCTTGGTAGCGTATATCTGTAGTTCCAGCTACTCAGGAGGCTGAGGTGGGAAGATCACTTGAGTTCAGGAGTTTGAGGTTGCAGTAAGCTGCGATTCTGTCACTGCACTCTGGCCTGGGTGACAGAGCAAGACCCTGTCTTTTTTTTTTTTCCCTCTTTTTTGAGATGGAGTCTCGCTCTGTTGTCCAGGCTGGAATGCAATGGCGCAATCTCGGTTCACTGCAACCTCCGTCCGCCTCCCGGGTTCAAGCAATTCTCCTGCCTCAGCCTCTCAGGTAGGGGGGACTACAGGCATGCGCCACCACGCCCGGCTAATTTTTTGTATTTTTAGTAGAGACAGGGTTTCACCATGTTAGCCAGGATGGTCTCGATCTCCTGACCTTGTGATCCACCCACCTCGGCCTCCCAAAGTGCTGGGATTACAAGCGTCAGCCACCACACCCAACCGCAAGACCCTATCTTAACAAAAAAAGAGGCCGGGCATGGTGGCTCACGCCTAGAATACCAGCACTTCGGGAGGCCAAAGCAGGCAGATCACCTGAGGACAGGAGTTCAAGACCAGCTTGGCCAACATGGTGAAACCCCGTCTCTACAAAAACACAAAAATTAGCCAGGCGTGGTGGCAGGCGCATGTAATCCCAGCTACTTGGGAGGCTGAAACAGGAGAATCGCTTGAACCCAGGAGGCAAAGACTGCAGTGAACCGAGATCTAGCCACTGCACTCCAGCATGGGTGACAGAGCGAGACTCCGTCTCAAAAAAAAAAGTGGGGGGTGGGCCAGGTGTGGTGGCTCATGCCTGTAATCCCAGCACTTTGGAGGCTGAGGCATGTGGATCACTTGAGGTCAGGAGCTCAAGACCAGCCTGGCCAACGTGGTGAAACCCCATCTCTACTAAAAATAGAAAAAATTAGCCAGGAATGGTGGCACAAGCCTGTAATCCCAGCTATTTGGGAGGCTGAGGCAGGAGAACTGCTTGAACCTGGGAGGCAGAGGTTGCAGTGAGCCGAGATCACACCACTACACCCCAGCCTGGGCAGCAGAGCGAGACTCCATCTCTAAATAAATAAATAAAAATTAATTAATTAATACAAATAAAAACCCACAAAAATGAGCCAGGTGTGGTGGCGTACACCTGAAGTCCCAGCTACTCGGGAGGCTGAGGCACAAGAATTGCTTTAAGCCGGGAGGTGGAGGTAGCAGTAAGTTGAGATAGAGCCACTGTACCCCAGCCTGGGTGACAGAGACTCTGTACAAAAAAAAAATAACACGGAATCAAATCATAATTGCCTGGGGAAGGAGCAAGGAAAAGGGGAGAAAAGGATTATAAAGGGGCATGAGGAAATGTTCTAGGGTGATGAATATGCTCATTACCTGGTTACATTCATGAGAAAACTTATCAAATTACATATTTTAAGATGTACCCTTTATAGTATGTCAACATTACAGGTACTCTCACAAAGCTATCAACAAAAATAGGAAAGAAGCAGCAGCAAGCAACAACAGCCATAACTACTGCCTGGAGAATTTCCCCCAAAACAAACAAACCAAAAAAAGTGTGGGCTGCAGCTAAAAGCAGTACATTTTTAGGATTAAAATTTATATTTAAATGAATATAATAGAAAGAAGGACTGAAAAGTAATAAGCCAAACATCCATCTCAAGACTTCTGTTTGTTTTTTGTTTTTTTTTAAGGGCAGTCAAGTGAAGCAGTGGGAGTGAAGGAGGAATAAAGAAATCTGTAACTGGCTATGATTGATGAGTTATAAACACCACTGCACTGGGACCAGCCTAAAGAAGTTTTTTTAAATCTGCAAAGTAGACCGGGCACGGTAGCGGTGGCTCACACCTGTAATCCCAGCACTTTGGGAGGCCAAGGCGAACCGATCACTTGAGGTCAGGAGTTTGAGACCAGCCTGACCAACATGGTAAAACTCCGCCTCTACTAAAAATACAAAAATTAGCTGGGTGTGGTGGCACATGCCTTTAATCCTAGCTATCAGGAGGCTGAGGCATAAGAATCACTTGAAACCAGAAGGCAGGGATTGCAGTGAGCCAAGATCACGCCACTGCACTCCAGCCTGCGTGACAGAGTAAGACTCCGTCTCAAAAATAAAAAAAAAAAACCTTGCAAAGTAAACCCAAAGGAAGCAGAAGTTAATAAGGAAATAATAGTTAACTGAGGTCTACAAAGCAATGGTTAGTTCTTTGAGAAAAAAAGCAAGAAAACTGAAAAAGATCTGGGATCAAGAAAAAAGTAAAACAGGCTGGGTGCGGTGGCTCATGCCTGTAATCCCAGCACTTTGGGAGACCACGGCAGGTGGATCACAAGGTCAGGAGTTCGAGACCAGCCTGGCCAACATGGGAAACCCCATCTCTACTAAAAATACAAAAATTAGCCGGGCGTGGTGGCCTGCGTCTGTAGTCCCAGCTACTTGGGAGGCAGAGGCAAGAGAACTGCTTGAACCCGGGAGGCAGAGGTTGTAGTGAGCCGAGGTCACGCCAGCACAAGACTCCATTTCAAAAAAAAAAAAAAAGTAAAACAGAAGGCACAAATAAATAAAATGAGCCCTGACTACTACCTAACTTCCCTTCTAATTCTATTAACTTGAAACTATAGCAGAGCTTCCCTAACTGTGGCAGATCCAAACATGTATTACAGGTTTATCAAGATAATAATTCCCTTGGCCCTTGGACCAGCCTGGTAGGCCTAGAGCAATGAAAGATCTCTGATACCCTCCAGTTGTGAGCCTCCTCTTCCTTATGTACCAGGAAAACATCAGTTTCTACTAATGCCTTGAAAAAAAGTAAGGAAGCATTGATGTGGAGAACAACTAACTCTTCCAGCTTCACACTTAAGAACAGCATACATGGCCGGGCGCGGCGGCTTGTGCCTGTAATCCCAGCACTGCGGGAGGCTGAGGCAGGCGGATCACCTGTGGTCGGAGGTTCGAGACCAGCCTGACCAACATGGATAAACTCCATCTCTACTAAAAATACAAAATTAGCCGGCTGTGGTGGTGCATGCCTGTAATCCCAGCTACTCAGGAGGCTGAGGCAGGAGAATCACTTGAACCCGGGAGGCTGAGGTTACGGCGAGCCGAAATCATGCCATTGCACTCCAGCCTGGGCAATAAGAGCGAAACTCCATCTCAAAAAAAAAAAAAAAAGAACAGCATACACTACAATGTTACTAACATTATGCAATCAGTGTTTTCTCTACATTTAATGCAAAAACTACATAATTTACAGCAGTTTTTTATGCTCTCCATTTTCTTAATATTTAAAATACTGTAAAGAATCTTTACAATTAGTAAGTATCTTGATGGTAGTCCTCAAAGGGAAGTAAAATACAAGTTAAAGCTGGTAACAAAATAATCTCAAATACGAAATAATTTTGTTACCCATAAAGTTACTAGGATAGAGCACATGAAGAAATGCAGACCTGACAAGTCCCCCTTATCTGCAGTTTCACTTTCCACAGTTTCAATTGCCTAGAGTCAACTACAGTCTGAAAATATTAAATGGAAAATTCCAGAAACAAACAATTCATAAGTTTTAAACTGTACTGTTCTGAATAGTGTGATGAAATCTTGTGCCCTCCCATTCCATTCTGCCCAGAACATGAATCATCCCTTTCTCCGACCTATCCATGCTGTATATATATGCCACCCAGCCCATTAGTCACATAGTAGCCATCTCAGTTATCAGATTGACTGTCAATGTATCACAAGGCTTGTGTTTAAGTAACCTTTATTGTACTTAATAATGGCCTCAAAGCACAAGAGTAGTGATGCTAGCAGTTTGGAAATGTCAAAGAAGAAGAGTGAGTATAATACAATAAGATACTATAAGAGAGGCTGGGCACAGTGGCTCATGCCTGTAATCCTGGCACTTTGGGAGGCTGAGGCAGGAGGATCGCTTGAAGCCAGGAGTTCAAGACCAACTTCAGCAATAAAGCCAGACCTGACTCACAAAAAATTTTTACAAATTTGCTGGGTGTGTTGGTGCATACCTATAGTCCTAGCTAACTGGGAGGCTGAAGCAGGAGGATCACTTGAGCCCAGCAGTTTGAGGCTGCAGTGAGATATGATGGCACCACTGCACTCCAACCTGGGCAACAGAGACTCTGCCTCTAAAAATAAATAAATGAAATAATTTTTTTTAAAAAGAAGATATTGGCTGGGCGCGGTGGCTCATGCCTGTAATCCCAACACTTTACGAGGCTGAGGGGGGAAGATCACCTGAGGTCAGGAGTTTGAGACCAGGCTGACCAACATGGAGAAACCCTGTCCCTACTAAAAATACAAAATTAGCCAGGCGTGGTGGCGCATGCCTGTAATCCCAGCTACTTGGGAGGCTGAGGCAGGAGACTTGCTTAAACCCGGGAGGCAGTGGTTGCAGTGAGCCGAGATCACACCATCGCACTCCAGCCTGGGCAACAAGAGTGAAACTGCATCTCAAAAAAAAAAAAAGATATTGTGGCTCACACCTGTAATCCCAGCACTTTGGGAGGCCGAGGCGGGCAGATCACGAGGTCAGAAGATGGAGACCATTCTGGCTAACACGGTGAAACCCCGTCTCTACTAAAAACACAAAAAATTAGCCGGGTGTGGTGGCATGCGCCTGTAGTCCCAGCTACTCAGGAGGCTGAGGCAGGAGAATCGCTTGAACCTGGGAGGCAGAGATTGCAGTGAGCTGAGATCGCACCATTGCACTCCAGCCTGGGCGACAGAGCAAAGTCTCAAAAAAAAGAAAAGAGAGAGAGATGCACACAACATTCATGTAACTTTTATTACAGTATATTGTTATAATGGTTCTATTTTTTATTAGCTTTTGTTAATTTCTTACTATTTCTAATGTAAAAATTAAACTTTATCATAGTACATATGTATAGGGAAAAACATAGCATATATAAGTTTTGCTACTATCTGTGGTTTCAGGCGTACCATTGGGGGTCTTAGAACACATCTGCCATAGATAAGGAGGAACTACTGTATGACAGACTTACTCCATTTATCTAGATTTTCTTCGTTTCATTCAATGTATATTTATTAAATCCCTACTATATGTCAGATACCAGGGAAAACCACAAATGAAAAAGAATGAATCATAATTACTGGATCTTTTTTTTTTTTTTTTTGAGTAGAAGTCTCTTGTCCCCCAGGCTGGAGTGCAATGGCGTGATCTTGGCTCACTGCAACCTCTGCCTCCCAGGTTCAAGCAATTCTCCCACCTCAGCCTCCCGAGTAGCTAGGATTACAGGCGCCTACCACCACACCCAGCTAATTTTTGTACTTTTTTTTTTAGTAGAGACGAGGTTTCACCATGTTGGCCAGGCTGGTCTTGAACTCCTGACCCTAGGTGAGCCGCCCGCCTCGGCCTCCCGAAGTGCTGGGATTACAGCCATGAGCTACCATGCCCGGCCCCTCAAGGATCTTAAGATTCCATTGAAAAGTAGTACAGACATGACACAAACAAATAATTGCAATATGGTGTGGTTACATTAATGACAAGCAATAGAGTGGCAAGTACATGGACCCTAGATCCAAACCGCCTGGGTTTGAATCCTGGCTCTAACATTTATCAGTTTTATTACCTAAAGTAGATACCCTCTCTGTGCCTACGGTTGTTCTCTATATGAACAGGTAATGCACTTAGTGCCTGGTATAGAGTAAACACTAAACTCATCATTATTTTTATAATTATCACTATTAAACATTATATTATGAAAAATGTTTCACTTGGTTAGGCACCTAACCTGAACTGGAGGTTAAAAAGAAGATAAAACGTTCCCTCTATAGTCAGCAATAAGCCAACTAAATTCCTAAAACAGCAGTCACTAAAGCAATCCATATCACCTTAAGGCTATTTAAATAACGTTTTAAAACTTACCAAGTATAACTAAGACAAAATTTAAAACTATTCTACGCTCATATACTTTGTATATAGCCATATGGAAACCTACACAGGTTCTTTATCAGACAGCCCCTCAATATTATTCAAAACCAACAAATGTAAAAATGAAAGAATGCAAATACACTGCAAACTTCATGTTCTTTATCTCTGATTTGCACTAAAAAGGAATAAAGGGGCTGGCTAACTATCACTTGCTCCTTCTAATGCTGACATTTATTTGGCTCCAGTTTGAACTAATGATACTTAAGGGTTGTTTATTTGAGAATGGATCTATCCTGCATAGAAACCAGAATATACTTCACAGATAAGCATAGAAATCCAAACAAGGGCCAGGCACAGTGGCTCATATCTGTAATCCCAGCACTTTGGGAAGCTGAGGTAGGAGGACTGCTTGAGTCTTGGAGTCTGAGACCAGCCTGGGGAACATTGCAAAACCCCATCTCTACAAAAATTAAAAAATTAGCCAGGTGTGGTGGCACATGCCTGCCATCCCAGCTCTCCGGGAGGCTGTGGTGGGAGAGTAACTTGAGCCCAGGAGGCTGCAGTAAGCCATGACTGTGCCACTGCATTCCAGCCTGGATGACAGAGAAAGACCTGTCTCAAAAAAAAAAAAAAAAAAAAGAAATCCCAACAAACAAGATCAGAAATTAGAAACTTAAGACTTTTGTCTTAATGTTAACACTATATAAACTCTTCCTCTTTGAAAAATATGCCCTCTGTTTGTCACTATTGTCTTGGCAATTCGTTATACTTTCTCACAAGCAAAGAAACCTATTTCAGACTTGCGTTCACACTTATCAAACTATCACTTAAACAGAGTATTTAAGGTCTGGTGCAGTGGTTCACACCTGTAATCCCAGCACTTTGGGAGGCCAAGGTGGGCGTCAACAGTTTGAGAGCAGCCTGGCCAAAATGGGGAAACCCCATCTCTACAAAAATTTAAAAATTAGCCAGGTTTGGTGGCACACACCTGTAATCCCAGCGACTTGGGAGGCTGAGGCACAAGAATCGCTTCAACCCAGGAGACGGAGGCTGTAGTGAGCCGAGATAGTGCCACTGCACTCCAGCCTGGGCAATAAGAGTGAGACTCTATCTCAAATAATAATAATAATATTTAATAAAAACTCTTTGAATGACACAAATTACCACTTAGGCAAAAAGAACCTTGGTATTTACAGGGGTAAAAAGTTCAAATAAATAATAAACTTCATTTATTATTATATATAAGCCAAGGGAATTTATTATATGCAAGGGAATCACTGTTCAGACAATGAGCTGAGGGGCCAGAATTTGTGAGACAGAAGGGGTCCTTTTCACACAATATTTACTTGAAGTTTCACAATAATCAAAGGTATCTGCTTTTAGCCCAGTTATTCATGTATACACATCAACAAGATTTAAATTAACCAAAATGTTAAATGTTTATTAAGCTGCCACCATATAATGTAGGTTTTGGAACTAGTATTTAAATGGAAGAGTATATCTTCAGAGTAAAGTTCCATTGAGAAATAGAAAAGTCTGTAAAACCAGGTCTCGTCTTATAACAAGAAACTGATACTGACTTCTGTAACAAAGCTAAATAGTCTCTTGATGTGTAGTTGGCACAATTCCAGAAATCTAAACTACTAGCAAATTTGCTTATATCTGGTATAACTGGGCCGGGCGTGGTGGCTCATGCCTGTAATCCCAGCACTTTGGGAGGCCGAGGTAGGTGGATCACCTGAGGTCTCGAGTTCGAGACCAGGCTGGCCAACATGGTGAAACCCTGTCTCTACTAAAAATACAAAAATTAGCTGGGCGTGGTGGTGCACACCTGTGATCCCAGCTACTCGGGAGGCTGAGGCAGGAGAATTGCTTGAACCTGGGAGGCAGAGGTTGCAGTGAGCAAGATCATGCCATTGCACTCCAGCCTGGGCAACAAGAGTGAAACTCTGTCTCAAAAAAAAAAAACAAAAAAACATATATATATATATATCTGGTATAACTGTTACTATATCTAAAGAAAGGGATGAGAAACAAACCTTTAATTTCTACTTGAAATGATTTTTCATTTTTGCAAAGAGAAAAGGGTACATAACTAATATCCAAACAGAGTTAATAAAAGCCTATTAAGGATTATTTTAAAACAAGTTCTTTAAAAAAAAAAAAAAAAAGTTCTACTAGTTGCAGTGAGCCGATACTGCGCCACTGTACTCCAGCCTGGGCAATACAGCAAGACTCCATCTCAAAAAAAAAAAAAAAAAAAAAACAGACACATGCTCATAGGTCTTTTAGGATGACTGCACATATCACAAAAAAATGGCCTTTTTCTTCAAATAAAAACTTACACAAAGAAGCAACAATTGGCCAGGCACGGTGGCTCACACCTTTAATCCCAGCACTTTGGGAGGCCGAGGCGGGCGGATCACAAGGTCAGGAGATCGAGACCATCCTGGCTAATACGGTAAAATCCCGTCTCTACTAAAAATACAAAAATTAGCTGGGCGTGGCGGCGTGCGCCTGTAGCCCCAGCTGCTGGGGAGGCTGAGGCAGGAGAATGGCGTGAACCCGGGAGGCAGAGCTTGCAGTGAGCCGAGACTGCGCCACTGCACTCCAGCCTGGGCGACAGAGTGAAGACTCCATCTCAAAAAGAAAAAAAAAAAAATTAAAAGAAGCAACAATTTCATGCCTTAAAAGTAATTTTCTGATTTTACTTTTATCTTCTTTTTTTATTACATATATATATACACACACACACACACACACACACACACACACACACACACACATACATACATGTGGAAGCCCAAATCTATCCCTGTTCCCAATCCAAACTATTTTTTTTTTTTTTGAGACAGAGTCTTGCTCTGTCGCCCAGGCTGGCGTGCAGTGGCACAATCTCCGCTCACTGCAACTTCCACCTCCCGGGTTCAGGCGATTCTCCTGCCTTCAGCATCCCAAGTAGCTGGAATTACAGGTGCCTGCCACCACGCCCAGCTAATTTTTGTGTTTTTAGTAGAGACGGTGTTTCACCATGTTGGCCAGGCTGTTCTCAAACTCCTGACCACAGGTGATCCGCCCACCTAGCCCTCCCAAAATGCTAGGATTATAGGTGTGAGCCACCACACCTGGCTGCCCCCAATTCAAACTTTAACAACTCATACAACTTCCCATTCTCTTAAACTCTAAAATTACATGGGCTTACACATGACTTCAGGTTTTTTCCTGTTGCTGTGGTAGAAAAGTGTTGAGAAATGTACCTTAGCTAGTTCTGAAGGAAAATATTTTTTTTTTGAGACAGAGTCTCTGTCACCCAGGCTGGCGTGCAGTGGCACGATCCTGGCTCACTGCAACCTCTGCCTCCTGGGTTCAAGCAATTCTCTGCCTCAGCCTCCTGAGTAGCTGGGATTACAGGCACCCGCCACCACACCCAGCTAATTTTTTTATTTTTAGTAGAGATGGGGTTTCACCATCTTCGCCAGGCTGGTCTTGAACTTCTGACGTCATGATCCACCCACCACAGCCTCCCAAAGTACTGGGATTACAGGCGTGAGCCACTGCACCCAGCACTGAATATATATTATGTATCTAAAATAATTTAATGTTTTATCAGAATCTCTCTTCAAATCTTCTTTTCCATTAAGTTTTCATTTCTCTCCTGACTCTCTTAATAAGAACACTAACTGGGCTTCCGTGAGATACAGATCATTATGAGCTTAGCAACATTCGGTTACACATATTCAAAACTTTTCAGTCAGGTCGGGCGCGGTGGCTCACGCCTGTAATCCCAACACTTTGGGAGGCTGAGGCGGGTGGATCACGAGGCCAGGAGTTCAAGACCAGCCTAACAAACATGGTGAAACCCCATCTCTACTAAAAATACAAAAATTAGCCGGGTGTGGTGGCACACGCCTGTAATCCCAGCTACTCAGGAGGCTGAGGCAGAAGAATTGCTTGAACCCCAGAGGTGGAGGTTGCAGCAAGCTGAGATCGTTGGGCGACAGAGCTAGACTCCATCTCAAAAAAAAAAAAAAAGAACTTTTCAGTCACCTGAATTCTATCCCGACATTTTTAGTACAGGAAGATAAAAAACAAACTTGAGCTGAAACCATGCCAGCTGGAAGGTACACATTTATATTACTAGATCTACCTATCTACATACCACTTTAAAACCACACATCGAATTTAAACATTCTCTACCTGCAACAAAGAAAGCCTTGTTGCTTTGATATACCTGGCTAAAGTACTTCTATTTTTCTCCACAGTTAAAGAAATTAAATAATCACTCTTTCATTTACCAGACAATTTTTTAAAAGTGGCACTCATTCAAGTCCATTTGAAGAATCTGTTCTTCCAGCAGTTTGATCTAATTTACAATCAATTGAACTTAAGTACTTCTTCGGAACAGTATGTTCAACTGCTACTACTTTGACTTTCTATAGACAAAATAGTTTAAGAAAAAATCATAAATGTTATGAGGCCTTAAAATGAAACTTCTTTTCAGTATAATGTAAAGGAGAGAGGAAATCAAAATATAAAATGTAAGTTAAAAGATCAAATGTGTAAATTATTTTATTTTATTTATTTTTTTATTTTTTTTTTTGAGACGGAGTCTCGCTCTGTCGCCCAGGCTGGAGTGCGGTGGCGCGATCTCGGCTCACTGCAAGCTCCGCCTCCCGGGTTCACGCCATTCTCCTGCCTCAACCTCCCGAGTAGCTGGGACCACAGGCGCCCGCCACCACGCCAGGCTAATTTTTTGTATTTTTAGTAGAGACAGGGTTTCGCCGAGTTAGCCAGGATGGTCTCTATCTCCTGACCTTGTGATCCGCCCACCTGGGCCTCCCAAAGTGCTGGGATTACAGGCGTGAGCCACTGCGCCCGGCCTTAAATTATTTTTTATTAAAGAAGTCTCAGAGTAACCAATAACCATTTTGACAAGGAATGTCTAGGTGAAATCAAAAGTAAAAAGGCAACCAGGTGTGGTGGCTCTTGCCTGTAATCCCAGCAACCTGCGAGGCCGAAGAGGTCGGATCCCTTGAGCCCAGGAGTTCAAGACCAGCCTGGGCAATATAGGAAGACCCCCCCCATATCTATAAAAAAATACAAATACGAATATTAGCCAGGCATGGTGGTACACGCCTGTAATATCAGCTACTTGGGAGGGTGAGGTGGGAGGATGGCTTGAGACCAGGAGACAGAGGTTGTGGTAGTTGAGATCATGCCACTGCCCCCCAGCCTGGGTGACAGAGCGAGACTCTCTCAAAAAAAAAAAAGTAAAAAGCAATCCAGCTCCAATACTGATGTACTTGTAAGAGTTTATGCCAAACTTGGTATCTATTTAAAAATCAGCTCATACGGGAATAAGATTTCCAGTCAAAACGGACTACTTTCATACTAAAATTATAAGGTCTAAAACAGTTCTCGGCCGGGCGCGGTGGCTCACGCCTGTAATCCCAGCACTTTGGGAGGCCGAAGCGGGTGGATCACGAGGTCAGGAGATCAAGACCATCCTGGCTAACACGGTGAAACCCCGTCTCTACTAAAAATACAAAAAAATTAGCCAGGCGTGGTGGCGGGAGCCTGTAGTCCCAGCTACTCCGGAGGGTGACGCAGGAGAATGGCGTGAACCCGGGAGGCGGAGCTTGCAGTGAGC
This sequence comes from Homo sapiens, assembly GCF_000001405.40. Classification (NCBI taxonomy): domain Eukaryota; kingdom Metazoa; phylum Chordata; class Mammalia; order Primates; family Hominidae; genus Homo; species Homo sapiens. The sequence goes on from NC_000017.11 coordinate 38,240,904, forward strand.
CGAGATCGCGCCACTGCACTCCAGGCTGGGGGACAGAGCGAGACCCCGTCTCAAAAAAAAATAAAAAATAAAATAAAATAAAATAAAATAAAACAGTTCTCATTTTATAGACACTAATCGAGTTCCACATTCTATACCATGTTTCTTTTTAGCATGTTCTTCCCCTGTAACTAACTCCATTATTTAGCTTCTAATCTTCATATTGTCTCATAAAGCAAATGTTTTTCTCTGAATTAGGAGTATGACTTATCTCAATTTTAAACTATAGTACAAAAAGAAAAAAAAACTTTAAGAAAAACATAAAAACGAAGCCTCTTTGAGGAGCCTTTCATGTTCAAAGTACTTAATTTTTCAAATAACTCATCAGCTTTATTATGCGTATTATATTCATTTTATACTTATGAAAATATGATTTCCCTAGTACCACAAAATAAGTTAATCTTGGAAGTGGAATTTTAATTGTGACATTTGCCCGGGTGTGGTGGCTCACATCTGTAATCCCAGCACTTTGGGAGGCATGCAGATCACCTGAGATCAGGAGTTCAAGACCAGCCTGGCCAACATAGCAAAACCCTGTCTCTACTAAAAATACAAAAATTAGCTAGGTATGATGGTGGACACCTGTAATCTCAGCCACTCAGGAGGCTGAGGCAGGGAGAACTGCTTGAACTCACGAGGCAGAGATAGCAGTGAGCTTAGATGATGCCACTGCACTCCAGCCTGGGCATCAGAGCAAGACTCTGTCTCAAAAAAAATAAAAATAAAAATAAATTTAAAAGTAAAATAAATTGTGACATTTATTTCACAATACTGTTAGGTTATAATATTCAATATTTCCCATAAACATTTTACCCTTTTTCTTTTTCTTTTTTTGAGTCAGGGTCTCACTCTGTCGCACAGGCTGGAGTGCAGCGGCGCAGTCATGGCTCACTGCAGCCTCGGCCACCTGGGCTCAATAGATCCTCCCACCTCAGCCTCCCAAATAGCTGGGACTACAGGCACGCACCACTATGCCTAGCTAATATTTTTGTTTGTTTGTTTGTTTTTGTTTCGCCATGTGGCCCAGGCTGGTCTCAAACTCATGGGCTCAGGGATCTGCTCGCCTCAGCCTCCCAAAGTGCTGGGATTATAGGCGTGAGCCACTTCACCCAGCTGAATTTACCCATTTCTAAAGTAACAAACACTGAAGTCTTAACCTGAAAATGTCTCTCTCTCTCTCTCTCACACACACACACACACACACCCCCCCCACATATGCACATGCAGACAGCAAATTAAAATGGAAAACAGCTCTTACCTTCATCTCCTTCTGGTGCATATGAAGCTGTAATAATATCAATATCAGCACAATTCATCACAATCTGATTAGTCGCCTGCCTCACCTAAGGGGAAAAGGAAAATCAACAGTGTCAGAAATAGCCTAGATTAATAGTATATACAACTTGGCCAGGTGTGTTGGCACACACCTGTAATCCCAGCACTTTGGGAGGCTAAGCAAAGAGGATCGCTTGAGCCCAGGAGTTTGAGACCAGCCTGGAAAACATGGCGAAACCCTATCTCTACAAAAAATACAAAAATTGGCCAGGAGTTGTGATGTGTGCCTATAGTCCCAGCTACTCGGGAGGTTGAAGTGGGAGGACTGCTTGAGCCCAGGAGGTTGAGGCTGCAATAAACTGTGATTGTGCAGCTGCACTCCATCCTGGGCAACTGAGCAAGACTCTGTGTCTCTCAAATAATAATAATAATGATGTTCGTAAGACTTGAACTAATATCACAGTCAATTTTTTAAAATCCAGACTTCGCTAAAACCTAGACTGAGAATTTATGCATCAATGGTACAAATAAATGAAGTTTTAATAATCCAAAGCAACTCATATTTTCCAAATTATATTAAAAACAATAATGGATGTTTAAGTATTTCACATCACTTACATCTAACCAATGAGCCAAATAAAATAATGTTTTCTACTTAAACTTTGATTTTAAACTATTAAAGGGCTGGGCACAGTGGCTCATGCCTGTAATCCCAACACTTTGGGAGGCTGAGGCAGGAGGATTACTTGAGGTCAAAAATTCAAGACCAGCTTGGGCAACACAGTGAGACAAAAAAAAATTTTAAATTAGGAGGGTGCTGGTACCCACCTATAGTCCTAACTACAGGAGAGGCTGAAGGAGGAGGATCCCTTAAGCCCAGGAGGTCAAGCAAGGCTGCAGTGAGCTATGATTACATCACTGACCTCCGGCCTGAACAACAGAGTGAGACTCTGTCTCAAAAAATAAAAATAGGCTGGGGGCATCGGCTCACACCTGTAATCTTGGCACCTTGGGAGGCCGAGGCAGGCGGATCACTTGAGGTCAGGAGTTTGAGATCAGCCTGGCCAACATGGTGTAACCCCATCTCTACTAAAAATTAGCCAGGTCTGGTGGCACACACCTGTAATCCCAGCTACTCACGATGCAGGGGCAGGAGAATCACTTGAACCCAGGAGGTGAGCTTGCAATGGGCCGAGATCGCACCATTGCACTGCAGCCTGGGCGACAGAGTGAGCCTACGTCTCAAAAAAAAAAAAAAGAATACAAAAATCAGCCAGGCAAGGTGGCATAGGCCTGTAATTCCAGCTACTCAGGGGGCTGAGGCACGACAATTGCTTAAACCCGGGAGGCAGAGATTGCAGTGGGCTGAAATCCTGCCACTACACTCCAGCCTGGTAACAGAGTGAAACTCTATCTCAAAATAAATAAATAAATACGTTTAATTTCATAAAAATCTTAATTAGGAAACATTTCTTACAACATATTGCAATAATTATATATTTTAACCTGCACATCAAACTCACCATGAGGCCTTCTGTGAGGATAGAGGAAGAAGGCTGATACTATAAATTATGTCAAAACTTTATACAATAACTCTTACCACCGAGTGTGGTGGCTCACACCTGTAATCCTAGCACTTTTGGAGGGTCAGGCAGGCAGATCACTTGAGGCCAGGAATTCAAGACCAGCCTGGCTGACATAGAGAGTAGAGAGACCCCATCTCCACTAAAAATACAAAAATTAAGGCCGGGCACGGTGGCTCACGCCTGTAATCCCAGCACTTTGGGAGGCCGAGGCAGGCGGATCATGAGGTCAGGAGATCGAGACCATCCTGGCTAACATGGTGAAACCCCGTCTCTGCTAAAAATACAAAAAATTAGCCGGGCATGGTGGCAGGTGCCTGTAGTCCCAGCTACTCGGGAGGCTGAGGCAGGAGAATGATGTGAACCTGGGAGACGGAGCTTGCAGTGAGCGGAGATTGTGCCACCGCGCTCCAGCCTGAGCAACAGAGCAAGACTCTGTCTCAAAAATAAATAAATAAATAAATAAACAAACAAACTAGCATCTTGGTCCATGTTTTCCTGTGCACACATGAGAGAATTTTTCCATGGAAAGGAACCTAATAGTGGACTTTCTGGATTGTTGGACATAAATCTTCAACTTTACCAAGAACTGCCAAATTATCCTCTAGAGTGGTGTCAACTGACATTCCCATGAGCAAAGAATGAAGAAATCCCACTTTCAGCATGTTCTGAAAAACTTTAGTATTTTTGACAATCTAATGGGTATTAAATGATAGTCCTGGCCAGGCACAGTGGCTCACGCCTGTAATCCCAGCACTTTGGGAGGCTGAGGTGGGTGGATCACTTGAGGTCAGGAGTTCAACACCAGCCTGACCAACATGGTGAAACCCCATTTCTACTAAAAAAAAAAAAAAAAAAAAAAAAAAAAAAATTAGCCAGGCCTGTGGTGCGTGCCTGTAATCCCAGCTACTTGGAAGGCTGAAGCAGGAGAATCACTTGAACCCAGGTAGTGGAGGTTGCAGTGAGCTAGATTGAGCCATTGCACTCCAGCCTGGGCAACAAGAGCAAAACTTTGTCTCAAAAATTAAAAAAAAAAATTTTTGTACTGATAGTCCATTGGTTTAATCAGAATTTCCCTGATTACTAATAACATTGGTTACTATGCATCTTTTCTCGTGTGTGTGTGTGTGTGCACGCGCCATTAAGTTTTTCCACTGTGAACTGCTTGTTTAACACTCTTGTGCATTTTTCTTTTTTTTTTTTTTTTTTGAGATGGAGTCTCGCTCTCTCACCCAGGCTGGAGTGCAATGATGCGATCTTGGCTCACTACAACCTCCATCTCCTAGGTTCAAGTGATTCTCCTGCCTCAGCCTCCTGAGTAGCTGGGATTACAGGTGTGCAACACCACACCCATCTAATTTTTGTATTTTTAGTAGAGATGGGGTTTCACCTTGTTGGTCAGGCTGGTCTCAAACTCCTGACCTCGTGATTCGCCCGTCTCAGCCTCCCAAAGTGCTGAGATTACAGACGTGAGCCACCACGCCTGGCCTCTTGTGCATTTTTCAATTTAGTCATAACCTTGCTTAAAACAAAACTTCAAATTCATTTCCAGACATTTGAATGTTCTAAATCTAAAATAACAAAAACACAGATGCCCTAAATCACAAAGAAATGCTTCCTGAGGCAGGTAAGTGTAGCAAGCCATGTGGAAGCTGTGCACAACCCCTTAAAAGAAGGAGGTGGTAGCCATTTCTTGGAGCCAAAGAATTATCGCTATGGTGACTGGCAGGTTTAGTGCTGACAGATCTTCCAATTTTTTTTTTTTTTTTTGAGACGGAGTTTTGCTCTTGTTGCCCAGGCTGGAGTGCAATGGCGTGATCTCGGCTCACCGCAACCTCCGCCTCCCAGGTTCAAGCGATTTTCCTGCCTCAGCCTCCCTAGTAGCTGGGATTACAGGCATGTGCCACCACGCCCGGTAAATTTTGTATTTCTAGTACAGACGGGGTTTCTCCATGTTGGTCAGGCTGGTCTCGAACTCCCGACCTCAGGTGATCTGACCGCCTCGGCCTCCCAAAGTGCTGGGATTACAGGCATGAGCCACCGCACCTGGCCTGATCTTCCAATTTTTTTTTTAAAAGCTACAAATTCAGATTTCATGTGCAGTCTCTCTATTTTTTATTAATGGTAACTAATTCAAGTTTTCAGAAACACTGTATAGACCAAACAAAATCTGTGTGCAGATCAACAATGCTCTTAGACAACTGAACATACCACAAAACTAGGTAAGAACATCAGAGTAGTACGCTATCTGCATGAAAGACCTGTATACGGGTAATCATTTATTAATAACCAATACATATTTAAACATGATTAGCTGGCAACTAAAATTACCTGCCTAAATGAGAGACAGTAAATTACAAAGTCTATAATGAGCTATTCAAAATCTGTAACACATAAAGTGAAACTACTTTGGCTTACAAAAAAAATGCTTCTCATAAGTCTTCATGTTTCAAAACAAAGACGTCATTTAATGAATGGCTTATCTTTTAAGCAGCAATATTCCTTCACACTATTTCACCAAAACATACCTAAATAGCACTAAAACCTTTGTGTCCAACTGGCGATTTATAGCACTAAAGTTGAACAAAAAAACAAAAAGAATTCTTTGCCTATTCAGAAGTTGACTTAAAAATTCAGAAACATGGCTGGGCACGGCAGCTCATGCCTGTAATCCCAGAACTTTGGGAGGCCAAGGTGGGTGGATCACGAGGTCAGGGGTTCGAGACCAGCCTGGCTAACATGGTGAAACCCCATCTCTACTAAAAATACAAAGATTAGCTGGGCGTGGTGGCAGGCACCTGTAATCCCAGCTACTCGGGAGGCTGAGGCAGGAGAATCGCTTGAACCCAGGAGGTGGAGGTTGCAGTGAGCCGAAATCGCGCCATTGCACTCCAACCTGGGCGACAAAAGCAAGACTCCATCTTAAAAAAAAAAAAAATCAGAAACACAAAGAAATGAAGCACTTACTGGGGTATGCTCCAATGGGTAAAATGAATAAAAACCTTTCTGAGTTTGAAGTTTATGCCAGCAAAATAATAACTGTGGTTTAGTTACTGGTCTTAATCATTACCTAGGCAACCACACTTTCATCCATCAACATCTACAGTGAATTTCACAGTAGCCAAGCAGTTAATCCACCAATGTCAAGATACCTGTACAACATTATACATGCCAAATCACACAGCACATTACTACTGCAACCATTTGAGAGAAAGTATTTGTGCATTTTGGAAAGGCACCATGCACAACATCCAATTTCAAGTACCTTCCAACTCCTCCTGTGTTTAGGGGAAACTCATCTATTTATACTAATGAATTAAGCTGTTTCTTGAATTGCTACTAATTTTTTTTTTCCAGGATACTACCATTTCTGGAAGGGTGGGAGGGAGGAACCAAAGGAACAAAGGTACTTATCTTAAAAATAGAAATCCATTCACATTTTAAAAATTGGTCAGCATCTTGTCTTATATTAGAGATGCACTTATTTAAAAAGTTGACCAATAATGGGATAATCTATGTAAAGTCTCTGTTTTAGCACTTAGTGCCTCATATGTAGTCATCACTTAATAGATGTTAAGACATACATATACACACACACAGGTTAAATTGTGCTCTCATATCATCTAACAGCATTCACCTAACAGTTTATAAAGCTTCTGATCAGAATGATATGAAGTTTAAAAACTATGTATTGTATTATATGGCACTTTGGATATCAGCATATGTGTACTACCCCAAGAAGGTAATTTAAAATATCTGTCTGGACATAAGTGTATGTGCTGACTACAACGCAGTATAACACTGCTCTTTGTGATGCTGCTCTTCCAAACAGTAGTGCTGACCTGATGGTGTAGTACATGATTTCTCACCTTTGACACCTTCATATTAGTAAATATTAGCTGTGTGTTCCACTATCAAAAAAACAGGTAATAATTCAAAGAAATTTCAGCATTAAAATCTTCAGTTTCCCAGTTTAAAACACAAGTGAAACAAGGTTGGCATATAAAAGTGCACTGATAACAAGCTCATTTTCAATTTTTCTACTTGATGTTATTAAAGGATAGAATGTTAGTGTATCCTTGCTTTGTTTCAAACCCAGGATTAAGTCTTCTTGGCCTCCTATATAGACTGCACTTCAACTGAGCCAAATACTAAGTAAGGGCTGTACCAAAGAGGCAGCTTGACGCCTGGTAACAACTTTACAATGGAAGTTTCCTATGAGCTAGGGAGGCAGAAATCGGAGATAACATTTTCCTGAATGAGTCTTTACTATAGTCACTCAGGAACATATCTTACATGTACGATAGTAAGACTCAAGAGGGTTTTTTTCTGATTGTCAATGTCCTGAGACTTCAGTAAAAGAAAATCTCCAGTGTGACAATTCCAAATGCCAGTCTGAAGCCTGAGTCAATTTGCCTAATAAAACTGATTTCACCATTAAAATAGCAATAATTGTTGCCTTGGTGGAACAGTTCTATAATAGCTAAAGACAAGAAGAAGCAGATAATTAGTAAACTCAAGTTGAGCCAAGTTTTCTAACAAGAAACACTGAAAAGAGCCATTTGCAGAAGGTCAAAAATAATTACCATTAATGTAAAAATGCAAAAGGCACAGAATATTGGTATGTGATGTTTGTGGCTACTAATATGCAATTAAAGTTTTAAACTATACGTAGGAATAAAAAGGAATAATACGCACCTACCTGAAGAAAGAAGTTACTTCTAGAGGCAGGGTGGGACGAGATGGAAACGGGCTTTAGTGGTATCTGTGACATTTTATTCCCCCCCAAAAAAAGCATGCACAGTCTGATGAAAATGGGGCAAAATGTTAACATCTGTTTAATCTCATAGTGTGTGACTTTCTTGTATTTCTAAAATACTTCCTAATTTAAAATAAAATTTTAAAGAGATTACAAGTGACCAAATAAACCAAGAACCACATACTTGTATGGTGTTCAAAACAAAATCACTAAAATCTAGAGAACTAATCTCAGTTAACAACAAAAGCCATCCGAAGGCTCAGTTATTTCCCACTGACTCACATACAGATTAGAGTAAGATTTACTTCACAACAAGAGCAGGCTCATTTATGTGGCAAAGTTCGGAGAAGCTTCACAGATAATTTACTACTCAAGACCACATTTACCCAGGTTGTATCAGAGTATCAGTTGTATCTAGAACCAGGAAGCTAAAAAGAAAGAAAAAAAAAAAGGCCTGGATGAAAAGCCAAAATAGGTGATACAAAGTCCGTACAATAAAACACATACCCTTTACTCAGAAGAGAATCCAACAAACTCTCACACAGCAATTGATTTTTTAGCCCAAACAAGCTTGTTTATCTGGCTACTAAGGCTTCTTCAGATGAAGTTCAGTAAAATACAAGAGGGAAGAAATTGCACAACAGGCAGCAACAAGGCACAATAAGCAGCAAGAAGAATCTGAGAGTAAGGAAAACAAAACAATTTTAAAGAACAGACACAGGCTAGCCGGGTGCGGTGGCTCAGGCCTGTAATCCCAGCACTTTGGGAGGCCGAGGCGGGTGGATCACAAGGTCACGAGTTCGAGACCAGCCTGGCCAATATGGTGAAACCCCTTCTCTACTAAAAATTCAAAAATTAGCCTGGCATGATGGCAGGTGCCTGTAGTCCCAGCTACTTGGATGAGGCAGGAGAATCGCTTAAACCCGGGAGGCGGAGGTTGCAGTGAGCTGAGATCACGCCACTGCACTCCGGCCTTGGCAACAGAGCAAGACTCTGTCTCAAAAAAAAAAAAAAAAAAAAAAGAACAGATATGGACTAGGCGCGGTGGGTCATGCCTGTAATCCCAGCACTTTGGGAGGCAGAGGCGGGCGGATCACCTGAGGTCGGGTGTTTGAGACCAGCCTAGCTAACATGGTGAAACCTGGTCTCTACAGAAATACAAAAATTAGCCAGGTGTGGTGGCATGCACCTGTAATCCCAGCTACTAGGGAGGCTGAGGCAGGAGAATCCCTTGAACTAGGGAAGTGGAGGTTGCAGTGAGCCGAGATCGCACCACTGCACACTCCAGCCTGGCCTAGGCAACAGAGTGAGACTCTGTCTCAAAAAAAAAAAAAAAAAAAAAGAACAGATATGGCTTGGCGCGGTGGCTCACACTTGTAATCCCAGCACTTTGGCAGGCGGAGGCAGGCAGATCACCTGATGTCAGGAGTTCAAGACCAGCCTGGCCAACATGGTGAAACCCTGTCTCTACTAAAAATACAAAATTAGCCAGGCGTGGTGGTGCATGCCTGTAATCCCAGCTACTAGGGAGGCTGAGGCAGGAGAACTGCCTGAACCCGGGAGGCAGAGGTTGCAGTGAGCCGAGATTGTGCCACTGCACTCCAGCCTGGGCAACAGAGCGAAACTCCGTCTCAAAAAGAAAAAAAAAGAAAAAAAAACAGACATGAAACTGATAAATTATAGTACATAGTTTGGGGTCAATAAGAGATGTTCAGAATAAAGTTCAGTATTTAAAAAAAACAATGAAACAAACCTACACTATGAGGAATTGCAAAGCATAAAAAGATAATGTATTTTAGAAATATTTCCATTCAGATTAGTCAACTTTTTTTTTTTTTAAGACAGGGTCTCGCTGTGTCACCCAGGCTGGAGTGCAATGGCGTGATCTCAGCTCACCGCAACCTCCGCTCCTCCGCTTCCTGAGTTCAAGCAATTCTCCTGTCTCAGCTTCCCGAGTAGCTGGGATTACAGGCATGTGCCACCACGCCCGGCTAATTGTTGTATTTTTTTGTAGAGATGGGGTTTCATCATGTTGTCCAGGCTGGTCTCAAACTTCTGACCTCATGATCCACCCACCTCAGCCTCCCAAAGTGCTGGGATTACAGGCGTGAGCCACCACACCCAGCCTAGTAAACTTTTTTAAAAATGTCTAAGGGCCTCAAAGGGTAAACTTCAGTTATCTGGAAAAATCACTGCAGAATTCATTGCCAGATGAATTAGACAAAGCTTAGCATACAAAACTATTATACTTCTTTCCTCATAGATACATTTCAAAAAACAGAAAATCTGAACAAATTCAATTCCTTATCACCAATATTTTGAATTTAATTTTATATATATGAATTTTTTTTAAGAAAATTTCTTCCTTTTTTTTTTTTCCCTGGAGACAGGGTCTTGCTATGTTGCCCACACTGGTATCAAACTCCTGTGCTCAAGCAATTCTCCCACCTCCACCTCCCAAAGTGCTAAGATTACAGGAGTGAGCCACAGTGTCGGCCAAAATGATTACATAGAAGATATGCAGAAAATGGCCAGGCACGGTGGCTCATGCCTGTGATCCCGGCATTTTGAGAGGCCAAGGCGGGTGGATCACCTGAGGTCAGGAGTTTGAGACCAGCCTAGCCAACATGATGAAACCCTCTCTCTACTAAAAATACAAAAAATTAGCTGGGCTTGGTGGTGCGCGCCTGTAATCCCAGCTACTCTGGAGGCTGGGGCAAGAGAAACGCTTGAGCCTGGGAGGCAGAGGTTGCGGTGAGCCGAGATCGCGCCATTGAACTCCAGCCTGGGCAACAAGAGCAAAACTCCGTCTCAAAAAAAAAAAAAAGAAGCCAGGCACGGTGGCTCGGTGGCTCACGCCCATCATCCCAGCACTTTGGGAGGCTGAGGCAGGTGGATCACCGGAGGTCAGGAGTTCGAGACCAGCCTGACCAACATGGAGAAACCCCGTCTCTACTAAAAACAGAAAAAATTAGCTGGGCGTGGTGGCACATGCCTGTAATCCCAGCTATTTGGGAGGCTAAGGCAGGAGAACTGCCTGAACCTGGGGGGGTGGAGGCTGCAGTGAGCTGAGATCATGCCACTGCACTCCAGCCTGGGCAACAAGAGCGAAACTCCATCTCAAAAAAAAAAAAAAAAAAAAAAAGAGAAAATATGCAGAATTTGGGCAAAAAATTTGTAACACAGAATTGACAATAACCATTCAGGTGCCAAATTTTTAATATGCCAAACAAACTTCTATATTGGCAACTCTTCACTTAGTGCCAATTTAGTTATCTCCAACATGAATATTTTGTTAGTAGAGGCCAGGGGTTGGCTAGGATATCCTGATTTCTGGCCTTGAATGATAAACTTAGTTTCTCTGGCACAGGTAAAGTATTTCCATAAGAGAAAGCCCAGCTGGGCACGGTGGCTCACGCCTGTAATCCCAACACTGTGGGAGGCCGAGGAAGATGGAATGAGGTCAGGAGATCAAGACCATCCTGGCTAATATGGTGAAACCCCATCTCCACTAAAAATACAAAAAAATCAGCCAGGCATGGCGGCGCGTGCCTGTAGTCCCAGCTACTCAGGAGGCTGAGGCAGGAGAATTGCTTGAACCCGGGAGGCAGAGGCTGCAGTGAGCCAAGATCGCACCACTGCACTCCAGCCTGGGTGACAGAGCAAGACTCCATCTCAAAAAAAAAAAAAAAAAAAAGAATACCCAATTATTGTACCAACCACTACACACTCATAATCATAAATAGTAGTCACACACATAAACTTATAATTCATTTTAATTAATTATCCACAAACGGAGAGGATCAAAATATGAAATATCTACAAAAGTCCACTGCTCTCAAGTATCCAGTGTAAAGGGAGGGGACAGGGAATGAAATAAATTTTGGGCCTAGAGAAACTTCTGTATAATAACAAATTTTCAAAACCAGCTAGACCACACTAATGTGAAAGACAACTAATTTTTTTTTTTTTTTTTTTTTTTTTGAGACAGAGTCTTGCTGTGTCGCCCAGGCTGGAGTGCAGTGGCGCAATCTCAGCTCACTGCAAGCTCCGCCTCCCAGATTCACGCCATTCTCCTGCCTCAGGCTCCTGAGTAGCTGGGACTACAGGCTCCCGCCACCACGCCCAGCTAATTTTTTGTATTTTAGTAGAGATGGGGTTTCACCATGTTAGCCAGGATGGTCTCGATCTCCTGACCTCGTGATCCGCCCGCCTCGGCCTCCCAGAGTGCTGGGATTACAGGTGTGAGCCACCGTGCCCGGCCAAGACAACTAATTTTTAAATCACTGAACATGGACTAATTTCTTCACCTTCTGCAGCAGTCCACACCCCAGGCCAGGTTAAAAATCCACTAAGTTGGCCGGGCATGGTGGCTCATGCCTATAATCCCAGCCCTTTGGGAGGCCAAGGGAAGGGGATCACCTGAGGTCAGGAGTTCGAGACCAGCCTGGCCAACATGGCAAAACCCCATCTCTACTAAAAATACAAAAATTAGTTGGGCGTGATGGCACACACCTGTAGTCCCAGCTACCCAGGAGGCTGAGGCAAGGAGACTCACTTGAACCCGGCAGGGGGACAGGGTGGAGGCTGCAGTGAGTCGAGATCACACCACTTCACTCCAACCTGGGAGAAAGAGCGAAACTCCGTCTCAAAAAAATAAAAATAAAAAATAAAATAAATCCACTAAGTTTCTAATATGTAACCTGTACAAATACTCTGGGCTTATCGTAAAATTTTGTAACTAAAGCAACTAAGCAACTTGCATATTTTGTGTTATGTGATTCCAACTGTTAGGAAACTGATCCAATATCAGTCATAAATATAGGTTTCTACAGATAAGAATTTTGTCCCCCTGCCCGGCCAGCCGCCCCGTCCGGGAGGTGAGGGGCGCCTCTGCCCGGCCACCCCTACTGGGAAGTGAGGAGCCCCTCTGCCCGGCCACCACCCCGTCTGGGAGGTGTGCCCAACAGCTCATTGAGAACGGGCCAGGATGACAATGGCGGCTTTGTGGAATAGAAAGGCGGGAAAGGTGGGGAAAAGATTGAGAAATCGGATGGTTGCTGTGTCTGTGTAGAAAGTAGAAGACATGGGAGACTTTTCATTTTGTTCTGCACTAAGAAAAATTCCTCTGCCTTGGGATCCTGTTGATCTGTGACCTTACCCCCAACCCTGTGCTCTCTGAAACATGTGCTGTGTCCACTCAGGGTTAAATGGATTAAGGGCGGTGCAAGATGTGCTTTGTTAAACAGATGCTTGAAGGCAGCATGCTCGTTAAGAGTCATCACCAATCCCTAATCTCAAGTAATCAGGGACACAAACACTGCGGAAGGCCGCAGGGTCCTCTGCCTAGGAAAACCAGAGACCTTTGTTCACTTGTTTATCTGCTGACCTTCCCTCCACTATTGTCCCATGACCCTGCCAAATCCCCCTCTGTGAGAAACACCCAAGAATTATCAGTAAAAAAATAAATTTAAAAAAAAAAAAAAAAAAAAGAATTTTGTCGCCAGGCACAGTGGCTCACGCCCGTAATCCCAGCTCTTTGGGAGGCCGAGGCGGGCAGATCACGAGGTCAGGAGGTCGAGGCCACAGTAAAACCCCATCTCTACTAAAAATACAAAAAATTAGCTGGGCGCAGTGGCGGGCACCTGTAGTCCCAGCTACCTGGGAGGCTGAGGCAGGAGAATGGCGTGAACCCGGAAGGCAGAGAGCTTGCAGTGAGGCGAGATCGTGCCACTGCACTCCAGCCTGGGCGACAGAGCGAGACTCCATCTCAAAAAAAAAAAAAGAATTTTGTGAATATTTTAAAATTCCCACAAGATACCACCTAATGCCACAATTTAAACGTATTGCTCTAATTCATGGATTTCAAAAACATTAATATATGCTTTTTACTTCTTACCAATGTTAATTTTTTTACCCTTCCAAACATGTCAATTAGTACAATTTAAAAGTCCAATCATCCTTTAATAAAACCTGTTGGAATTCACTATTGCGTCATCTTTGTGTTGCCATCTAGCCTGAAAAGAATTTCTGGAAAAAAAGTGTTTTGAAAAGTTCATGCTACTTACAAAATTTATTTATTTTTTATTTATTTCCTTGCATCAAATTAACAAGTCCCTGCTAATATCTAGTATATTACCATATGCTCACTCAATGGCACAAACCAGTCTTCCACTAAAGTAGAAAAGAGGTAAGGAGAAACATGTCACTGCTTGTTGTTCTATCCCGATACTTAAATCAAACTCACTTCTTTAATAAGTAATTATTTAAAAATCTGTACTTTTTTCTAGACTTTTCCCAAAATATGTCTGCCTCCAAAAATTATGAATCCATTTTGGCAACTAATGGGGTAAAGAAACAAATGTTTTTTTTAATGTTAGTCTTTTCACATAATGCGAACTCATTCATCACTAGGTTCTCTTTCCCAAAGGTTTGCCAAGTCACAAGACACACTACTGTTTACAATCCCTCCCATCTGCCCCTTGCCAATATATATCAAACACTCTAGTCACTTGGCTTAAGCCACAGTTTCCCAAATAACCTTCTCAAATTCTAATTTAGACCCAAGATGCATTCGTTCTGATTCATATTCTTAATGGAAAAATTTTAAATCACCTGATTTTCACTAAGTTCTGCCTTTTGATGCTGCCAAATCCTAGAGCCCTCTTGCTTTCACACCAATGCCCCAAATGTGACAGCTATAGTTATCTATCACAGATAAGTATAAAGTATAGATAACTATACTTTTAAATTCTGTACTTTTAGACATATTTTTAATCTGAGTACCGTACCCTCTTGGTTTTCAAAGACAACTACCAACATTCAATTCATTCGAGCACAAGTCTTCACTTCATTTCATTACTATATACACCATGTTCTTTAAGGTGGGAGCCTACTGATTTCCCCCGACCCCAGACTGCAGTAGGAAAAGAAATGAAACAAAATATATTTACTAACATTCTATTTACAGATAACTATCAAACAGTTCCCATTTTTATTACAGGCTTCCTGTTACATAGTATCATAAATGCCTATTGTGCAGGATGTTTGTCGGGCATCTATACTGATGGTCTCCAAAATCAAACAATACTTCAGATAATGCTGCGGGAGGAGGGAGGGGAGTATGATTCACCAAAAACTGCAGTGAAGAGTAATGGAATATTTTCACCGGTGGTATGTTATAACTAATAGCTTCTTTCTTTCCTTTTTTTTTTTTTTTTTTTTGAGACGGAGTCTCACTCTGTCGCCCAGGCTGGAATGCAGGAATGCAGTGGCGCGATCTCGACTCTGCAACCTCTGCCCCCCGGGTTCAAGTGATTCTCCTGCCTTAGCCTCCCGAGTAGCTGAGATTACAGGGGCCCGCCACCACGCCCCGATAATTTTTGTATTTTTAGTAGAGACGGGGGTTTCACCATGTTGGTCAGGCTGGTCTCGAACTCCTGACCTCAAGTGCGCCCGCCTCAGCCTCCCTAAGTGCTGGGATTACAGGCATGAGCCACTGCGCCCAGCCAGCTTCTTGGGAGAGGAAGGTACTGCTAAGCAACCATCACGGTAGCAATAAATCCACCAGCTTCGAAGGCCGCAAAGCTAGGAAGATAGGTGGAAAAGCGGAGATGGGGTCCTCCCACAGCTTCTCTAGAGGTTAGGAGAGAACAAAGTCACTGCTGCACTGTCACTTGAGGGAAAGGGGGAGGGGGCGGATCATCTTGGAAACCCAGCCCCTGGGCTGGAGCAGGCGGGGAGAAGTCAGAGAGGCTGCCTAGGATTAACATTCTCGTTCTCACCCTCTCCCGCCCTTCTAGAAGCTCCCCTCCTCGCTCCAACGCGGCGGCCAGAGTCCCAAATGACCACTCCCTCCAATCTATCACCCGAGAGGTGTAGAGAGAAACCAAAGAAAGAACTGAGTCAGGTGGTTAGGCAGAGCGGGGACTCCCATGACCTCTCCGTCCTCCCCCAACACCCTCCAGCCTCCCCCGGAACACTATCAAGCCCAGAAGGGTCCGGGGCGGGGGGGAAAGCCCCACACAGGTGTGCTCGCCGGGGAGGGGCGCAATGGCCGGGCCGCCGGCTCCCCAGAGCTCCCGCAGCGCGGCCTCAGCCCGAGCCCCAGCCTCAGCTCCGGCCACGGTCCCTGCCCCGGCCCCAGCCCCAGCCCCAGCCCCAGCCCCAGCCCCAGCCCCAACAGAGAAAGGCAGAGCACGCCGAACCCGGCGCCCTGCGGCCGCCCAGCCCCGACTCGAGGCCCGCCCGCCCTCCCGGCCGGGCCCTGAGTCCAGCCCGCGGGCGCGGCCTAACTGCTCGCCCCGCAGCTTGCCCCGGGGCCCGAGGGTCGCTGTACCTGGGCGGCGGCCTCCAGCTTGCCCTCGAAGGTGAAGTCCAGCAAGTCGGGCTTGAGGCAAAGGCTGCAGTTGATGGGGGAGACATCGGCAGGCAGCCGCTCGAAGGGCCTCTTCTCCGGCATCGCGGCGAGGCCCAGGCTGTGGAGGCGGCGGCGAGAGGAGCGGCTGAAGACGAGAAGGAGGAGGGGAGGAGGCGGAGGGCCGAGGAAGAGCAGGCGGCGAGCGAGGGAGGGGGCGGCAGCTGCCAGCCACATCCACCGAGCGCGGGCGACCGCCGGAGGAGAGCGACCGGGGGAGCCTGGGGGGCGGGGGAGAGACCCAGCCGGAGCGCTAGGGGTTGGGAAGGAGGCGGTGCGGGCGGACTGGCGGGCGAGCTGCCTACGGGGAAGGGGGCGGAGGGGAGGGAAGGGGAGGAGGGCCAGCAAGGAGGGATGGAGAGGGGGAAGTGGTGGCGGCGGCTGCGTGCGCGGCCCCGCCGGCCGGGCGCGCCCCCGTGGAGTGCGCGCGCACGCCGGGGCAGAGGGCGGAGCGGCGAGGACGAGGGCGCGGCCGGCGGGGCGGGAGGGCGTAGGGTTGCCCGCGCGAGCGCAGGGCGGGAGGCGGGCGCTGCACCTGTCGGCGCCGCTCAGGACTGGGGGCGGCCTTCCAACTGGAAGGAGCCGGGAAGGGCTTGATCAGAGGAAGGAAAGGCATAAGGGGCCCTCGGGAAACTGAAGCCTACGCAGTTGGTCAGTTCAGCCAGGGTCGCATGCATAAAATACCAGTTACAAGCAAAACCCCAAACTGGATTCTGCCTCCAGGTCAGCGAAAAGCCCTGACTTGAGCCTCTCTGGCCTCAGTTCCTGTTAGTAGCAAATTCAAAGGATGATTTGAAAGTTTTGTTATAAAACCTTTAATAGCCGGGCGCGGTGTCTCACGCCTGTAATCCCAGCACTTCGGGAGGCCGAGGCGGGCGGATCACGAGGTCAGGAGATCGAGACCATCCTGGCTAACATGGTGAAACCCCGTCGCTACTAAAAGTACAAAAAATTAGCCGGGCGTGGTGGCGGGCGCCTGTAGTCCCAGCTACTCAGGAGGCTGAGGCAGGAGAATGGCGTGAACCCGGGAGGCGGAGCTTGCAGTGAGCCGAAATCGCGCCACTGCACTCCAGTCTGGGCGACAGAGCAAGACTCCGTCTCAAAAAAAAAAAAAAAAAAAAACCTTTAATAATCTAGGTTACTTCAACCAATGAGATCTGGACTTTTGAGGGAGTGATTTCAAAAACTATATTTTTGTTTCCATGATTTAATGTTTAAAATGGGATGTTTCGGGCGGTCGCGGTGGCTCACGCCTGTAATCCCAGCACTTTGGGAGGCCGAGGCGGGCGGATCACAAGGTTAGGAGTTCAACACCAGCCTGGCCAATATGGTGAAACCCCGTCTCTACTAAAAATACAAAAAAAAAAAATAGCCGGGCTTGGTGGCGGGCGCCTGTTGTCCCAGCTATTCGGGAGGCTGAGGTAGGAGAATCGCTTGAACCCGGGAGGTGGAGGTTGCAGTGAGCCGAGATTGCGCCACTGCACTCCAGCCTGGGCGACAGAGTGAGACTCTGTCTCAAAAAAAAAAAAATAAATAAATAATAAAATAAAATGGGATGTTTCACCTTTTCCCCATTTTCATCTTTGTTTCTTTTTAAACTAAAAGATCCTTCAGCAATCATGGCCTCTTTAATGGTGAACTATCTGTGGCTCTCTCAGTTCTGTAGATACCTTGCAAATTGAGGAGGTATATATATAAATGCATATATATATATATATATATATATATATATATATATATAATGTAACTGAAATTATCTTTAAAAAGGGGGGCCAGGGCCAGGTACGGTGGCTCACACCTGTAATCCCAGCACTTTGGGAGGCTGAGGCAGGTGGATCACGAGGTCAGGAGTTCGAGACCAGCCTGGCCAATATGGTGAAACCCTATCTCTACTAAAAATACAAAAATTAGCCTGGCATAGTGTCATGTGCCTGTAGTCCCAGCTACTAGGGAGGCTGAGGCAGGAGAATCGCTTGAACCCGGGAGGCGGAGGTTGCAGCGAGCCAAGATCACGCCACTACACTCCAGCCTGGGCTACAACGAGACTCTGTCTCAAAAAAAAAAAAAACAGTGGGCCCAGGTGTGGTGACGTGTGCCTATGATCCCAGCTACTCGGGAGGCTGAGACGGGAGGATCACTTGAGCCCAGGAGGTGGATGGAGGCTGCAGTGAGCTGTAATGGTGCCACTGCACTCCAGATGACAGAGTGAGGCCCTGTCTCTAAAAAAATAAAAATGAAATAACAATTTAAAAAATGTTATTTAAAGTGTCAAAGGCAAGGAGATTTATCCATAATCTTCATATTTCTTTATAGAAATTTCTCAGATAGAACCCTGTAATTTCCAAAACTGAATGTAGTATGTTGTAATGGACCAGTACTGTCCAGCAGAAACATACTGTGAACCACTAGGTAGTATTAAATCTTACAGTAGCCACATCACAAAAAAGTAAAAAGGAAACAAATGAAAACACATCTTATTTAACCCAACATATCCAAAATATTATCATTTCAACATGTAATCAATATAAAAAATATTAATGAGGCCGGGCACGGTGGCTCACGCCTGTAATCCCAGCACTTTGGGAGGCCAAGGCAGGTGAATAACCTGAGGTCAGGAGTTCAAGACCAGCCTGACCAACATGGTGAAATCCCGTCTCTACTAAAAATACAAAAATTAGCCAGGCATGGTGGCGCATGCCTGTAATCCTAGCCAGCTACTCTGGAGGCTGAGGCAGAAGAATCACTTGAACCCAGAAGGCGGCGGTTGCAGTGAGCTGAGATCACAGCACTGCACTTCAGCCTGGGCAAAAAGAGCGAAACTCCGTCTCAAAAAAAAAAAAAAATTAATGAGATATTTTACTTATTTTCTTCACACCAACTTTGAAATCCAGCGTGTATTTTACATTTATAGCACATCTAAATTCTGACTATCCACATTTCACGTGATCAGTAGTCACGTGTGGTTAGTGGCTCTTGTACTGGGCAGCACAATTTTGGACTCTGGGCCTGGCCTCTTAGCCTCTGAATCCTACATACTTTTCAGAAAGGCAGATTGAAAATCTGCAATCCTTTCAAACTAAGGTGTGAGATGGGGCCTTTTCTTATATATATGTAGTTCTATGACCACTTACTGGTCAGAGAAATAATAATTTAAATAACATATAATAATTTTTTTTTTTGAGCTGGAGTCTCCTCTGTCACCCAGGCTGGAGTGCAGTGGCGTGATCTAAGCTCACTGCAACCTCCACCTCATGGGTTCAAGCAATTCTCCTGCCCCAGCCTCCTCAGTAGCTGGGATTACAGGCGCCCACGACCATGCCCGACTAATTTTTGTATTTTTAGTACAGATGGAGTTTCACCATGTTAGCCAGGCTGGTCTCAAACTCCTGACCTCAGGTGATCTGCCCACCTAGGCCTCCCAAAGGGCTGAGATTACAGACATGAACCATTGTGCCCAGCCCATATAATAATAACTTAATTAACTGTAATTGAATGTTTATCGAGTGCTTACTAAACACTTTTTTTTTTTTTGAGATGGAGTTTCGCTCTTGTTGCCCAGGCTGGATTGCAATGGCATGATATTGGCTCCTGCAACCTCGGCCCCCCGGGTTCAAGCGACTCTCCTGCCCCAGCCTCCTAAGTAGCTGGGATTATAGGTGCCCGCCACCATGCCTGGCTAATTTTTGTATTTTTAGTTTTATTTGTTTGTTTGTTTTGTTTTGTTTTTCTTGTTTATTTTTTCTTTTTTTCTTTTTATTTCTTTTTCTTTTTTTAATTTTTGTATTTTTAGTAGAGACTGGGTTTCACCATGTTGGCCAGGCTGGTCTCAAACTCCTGACCTCAGGTGATCCACCTGCCTAGGCCTCCCTAAGGGCTGGGATTACAGTCATGAACCACCACGCCCAGCCCATATAATAATAATTTAATTAACTGTAATTGAATGTTTATCGAGTGCTTACTAAACATTTTGTTTTTTTTTCTTTTGTTTTGGGTTTTTTTTGAGATGCAGTTTCGCTCTTGTTGCCCAGGCTGGAGTGCAATGGTGTGAGCTCGGCTCACTGCAACCTCCACCTCCTGGGTTCAAGCAATTCTCCTGCCTCAGCCACCCAAGTAGCTGGGATTACAGGTGCCCACCACCACACCCGGTTAATTTTTTTGTATTTTTAGTAGAGATGGGATTTCACCATGTTGGCCAGGCTGGTCTCGAACTCCTGTCCTCAAGTGATCCGCCCACCTCGGCCTCCCAAAGTGCTGGGATTAGAAGTGTGAGCCACTATGCCTGGCCAACACTTTTCATATATTAATTCATTTAATTATTCTCAACAACTCTGTGAGGTGGACACCATTATCCCCATTTCACATTTGAGGAAACAGGCACACAGAAATTCAAGGACTTGCCTAAGGTCATACACTAATAATTGGTAGAGCCACAGTTAGGACCTAGGCATTTTTTTTTTCTCTCCTGAGAATCTTGCAGCAGATTCCCTGTTGTTCTGACTCTCCAGTTTTGTTTTGTTTTGTTTTGTTTTTGAGACAGAGTCTCGCTCTGCCGCCCAGGCTGGAGTGCAGTGGCACGATCTCGGCTCACTGCAAGCTCCGCCTCCCAGGTTCAAGCCATTCTCCTTCCTCAGCCTCGCGAGTAGCTGGGACTACAGGCACCCGCCACCAAGCCCAGCTAATTTTTCGTATTTTTAGTAGAGACAGGGTTTCACCGTGTTAGCCAGGATGGTCTCGATCTCCTGACATCGTGATCCGCCCGCCTCGGCCTCCCAGAGTGCTGGGATTACAGGCGTGAGCCACCGCGCCTGGCCCTAACTCTCCAGTTGTATTTTATTATAGTTCGTCTGTTTCTCAGCTTCTCAAAATGTTATTTTCATTATGTCTGTTAAAGCAAATTTAATTCATAACCATTTAAGGCTCTCCATGAACTGTCCTTATCATTTTCCCAGACTTGTTTTTTCTTATCCTTTAACATATATTCTCCAGTCTTAACAAGCTAACCAGTTTAATGCTTGGCCCTTACAGCTTGCTCATTCTTCTCTTCTCTACCATTGCTCAGGCATTATTGCTGGTATGACCTCCTCATCTTTTTCGGCAAACCGGGGCCCCTCCCTTCCTTCAACACTCACCTTTTCCAGAAAGTCCTCATTGACTAACTCCACCCAACTCTCTTTTCCCATCAGTTCACAAGTACTGGCTTTTGCTGATTTATTTGTACTTGTTCTGACTGTTACTCTGTAATTATGTTGTTGTTTTTGTTTTATTCTGGTTTTTTTCTGAGATGGAGTTTTGCTTTTGTTGCCCAGGCTGGAGTGCAATGGCACAATCTCGGCTCACTGCAACCTCCGCCTCCTGGGTTCAAGCGATTGTCCTGCCTCAGCCTCCTGAGTAGCTGGAATTACAGGCATGCGCCACCATGTCTGGCTAATTTTTTGTATTTTTAGTAGAGATGGGGTTTCTCCATGTTGGTCAGGCTGATCTCAAACTCCCGACCTCAGGTGATCTGCCCGCTTCGGCCTCCCAAAGTGCTAGGATTACAGGCGTGAGCCACCGTGCCCGGCCTATAATTGTGTTTAAATTTATTTTATATGTGTATCTTCGCAAGATGTACTACTAGTAAGAGCTTGTTTCCTAATTCCTTTATTACTCTCAGTACTGGACCCTGCACAAAGTACATCTCAATTATTATTGAGCTGACTAACCAATTAACCAAGAGACAATATTTTACCCAGTCTGTAGCCTTTCCTGTATGTACAAGATGTGTGCCCCATAGAGAAACTACGTGAACCTAAGACTGGAGGCAACTTTCTTTTATAAAATCACAGAAAAGATTAAAAACAAAACACCAGGCTAGGCACCATGCCTCACGCCTGTAATCCCAGCACTATGGGAGGCCAAGGTGGGCGGATCACCTGAGGTTGGGAGTTCAAGACCAGCCTGACCAACGTGGAGAAACCCCATCTCTACTAAAAATACAAAATTAGCTGGGCGTGGTGTTGCATGCCTGTAATCCCAGCTACTCGGGAGGCTGAGGCAGGAGAATCGCTTGAACCCAGGAGGCAGAGGTTGCAGTGAGCCAAGATCACGCCATTGCATTCCAACCTGGGCAACAAGAGTGAAAGTCCATCTCAAACAAAAACAGAAACAAAAACAAAACACTAGGGCCACAGACTTCATGGCAGCAGTAATTTTTGATCCTGCTGAGGAGAAAGAAGAGAACCTTACTTGGCCCCATCCTTGGTCCTATGATCCAAGAGATTCCAATGCAGCAAGTCAAGAATAAACCCACACTTAGAACTTGGGCTACAGGAATGGAAGGTAACACACAGTTCCCTTAAATATGACTGGATGACCACTTAACATATGCTCCATACAGGCTTCTCTGAAATAACAGAAATTAGAACACAAGGGCCCTTGGAAATTCATTTCCCTCCATGGTGCTTCAGAAGGAATGGGAAAGTCAGTAATGTCCCAAGATCCTTAGCCCTACTTTTAACAGGCTTCTAGGCTTCTCTGTTTACCACACCTTTGAAAATCTGCAAATGAAAAACCTATGGAAGTCCATATATATCAATAAAAAGTTAACAAAGATTTGGGAGACTGAGGCAGGAGGATGACTTGAGGCCAAGAGTTCAAGACCACTCTGGGCATCATAGTGAGACTCCCATCTCTACAAAAAAAGAAAAAAAAAATTGGCCGGGCGCGGTGGCTCACGCCTGTAATCCCAGCACTTTGGGAGGCCGAGGCAGGCGGATCACGAGGTCAGGAGATCGAGACCATCCTGGCCAACACAGTGAAACCCCGTCTCTACTAAAAATACAAAAAAAAACACAAAAAATTAGCCGGGCTTGGTGGCGGGTGCCTGTAGTCCCAGCTACTCGGGAGGCTGAGGCAGGAGAATGGTGTGAACCCGGGAGGCGGAGCTTGCAGTGAGCTGAGATCACGCCACTGCACTCCAGCCTGTGCGACAGAGCAAGACTCCATCTCAAAAAAAAAAAAAAATGTTTTTAATTAGCTGGGTGTGGTGGCCTATGCCTGTAGTCCTAGCTACTTGGGAGGCTAAAGTGGGAGGATTCCTTGAATCCAGGAGTTTGAGGCTGCAGTAAGCTATGACTGCATCACTGCAGTCCAGCCTGGGCAACAGAGTGAAATCCTGTCTCTGTTTGTTTTGGTTTGGTTTGTGTTTTTTTTTTTGAGACAAAGTTTTGCTCTTGTTGCCCAGGCTGGAGTACAGTGGCACAATCTTGGCTCACTGCAACCTCCGCCTCCCGGGGGTTCAAGCGATTTTCGTGCCTCAGCCTCCCAAGTAGCTGGGATTACAGGTGCCTGCCACCACGCCCAGCTAATTTTTTGTATTTTTAGTAGAGAGGGGGTTTCACCATGTTGACCAGGCTGGTCTCGAACTCCTAACCTCGGGTGATCCACCCGCCTCAGCCTCCCAAAGTGCAGGGATTACAGGCATGAGCCACTGCGCCCGGCCGAAATCCTGTCTCTTAAAAAAAAAAAAAAAAAAGTTTAAGAAAGGAAAAAAAAAAGGCCGGGCGCGGTGGCTCACGCCTGTAATCCCAGCACTTTGGGAGGCCGAGGCGGGCGGATCACGAGGTCAGGAGATCGAGACCATCCCGGCTAAAACGGTGAAACCCCGTCTCTACTAAAAATACAAAAAAATTAGCCGGGCGTAGTGGCGGGCGCCTGTAGTCCCAGCTACTTGGGAGGCTGAGGCAGGAGAATGGCGTGAACCCAGGAGGCGGAGCTTGCAGTGAGCCGAGATCCCGCCACTGCACTCCAGCCTGGGCGACAGAGCGAGACTCCGTCTCAAAAAAAAAAAAAAAAAAAAAAAAAAAAAAAAAAAAAAAAAAAAAAAAAGAAAGGAAAAAAAAACAATCAGTCATTCTAGCCAGAGCCACTATTGTTTTCAGTTTTCAAGTACTAGCCTGACAAATATGAGGACACAAAAAGAAATAGTTTCAATATCATCACTGACTTTATGACCTAAAACAAGTCCTAGCAATTCTCTGCCTCAGTTTCCCCATCTGTAAAGCAGATATGGGCATAATGCACGCTTATCTCAAAGAAAAGTATGATTTCTCCAGTGGTTTGAGAATTTCTTAAAAAGCCTATTATTGGGCCGGGCATGGTGGTTCATGCTTGTAATCCCAGCACTTTGGGAGGCCGAGGCAGGCAGATCACTTGAGGTCAGGAGTTCAAGACTAGCCTGGCGAACATGGTGAAACCCCGTTTCTACTAGAAATGCAAAAAAATTAGCCGGGTGTGGTGGCGGGTGCCTGTAATCACAGCTACTTGGGAGGCTGAGGCAGGATAATTGCTTGAACCCAGGAGGTGGAGTTTGCAGTGAGTCAAGATCACGCCATTGCACTCCAGCCTGGGTGACAAAACGAGACCCCGTCTCAAAAAAAACAAAAAAAAAGCCTATTATTTTCTTAATGTGAGAATGGTCTTTGTAGCAGGACTAGTAAAAAGTTGAAGTAAAATTATAGAGAGCAAATGTAAGTCATCGAAAGAAGTATTTCAGAGCAAAGATAATGTAAAGGAATTGGATTAGGGAGGCAAAATATTCAGGCAGGAAGGAGAGAAACCCCAGCTATGGAACACAGAAAGAGAAAGATGTGGAGCGTTTGAGAGAACCATTACAAAACCACCAAGTTAGATCAAAACAAAGCATTACAGTTACTGTTTAGCCTCTCTGACTTACAAATTATGGCCTTCAATGTCAATTTCAAGCATACAAATTATAACTCGAATTCCACTAATATGTGTCTTACCTGCGGAATATGATGAAGGGGTTCCAAAGGCCAGGAACACAAAAACTTGGAGAGCAATCCATGGAAAATGATGCCATGAGGTCCCAGCCTTGACTCTTCCGTAACTTAAAATGGATGTTGAAATGACAGTTGGAAATGTGAGTAGATGGAATGCTGCCTACCCATCCTGTGTTCTTCATGAAAGGAAAGTAGATTAATTTCACATGCTTTAAAATGTTTGCTATACTGATGGATAACTTAATTTGTCATAATAATATGTGAGCTATAGATTGGATAGATTGATGGATAGATACATAGTTTTATTTATGTGGGGATAGCAATATGACATTATGCACATAAAAATGTGGCCAAAGGAAGGTCCTATCTGGTCATAGTTTTATTTCTCTTGGTATCTTTCCATCAGGAAGTTGAAAAAGTCATACATTTCCACCTTTCTCACTTCCTTTCTAGCCCTCCTTTTTTTTTTTTTTTTTTCAGTACTTCTGCTTCCCTTTTCACAACTACTTCTGCAGGTCTGTTTACCAATCCCAAGGGAGTGACAACTACAAGAGCAAACCTAACCCCTTTGTTGATGATCTTCAAACTGAGATGACCTGTTTGGCTGTGACCTGTTTGGTTGTAAAGGATTAGCCACCAGGGCTTTGCAGAATATAAGTTAGGGAGCCAACTTATATGATAGGGTGAAGCCAATACCCTCTGCTGCAAAGAGTGCATATGTCTGTGTCTGATGCGTGGGCCTCTGGAATGCTACTATAACATTTCTCCTGAAATCCCAAGTCTTTTTTTTTCTTTTTTGAGACGGAGTCTCTCTCTGTCGCAGTGGTGCGATCTTGGCTCGCTGCAACCTCCACCTCCCGGGTTCCAGCAATTCTCCTGCCACAGCCTCCCGAGTTGCTGGGACTACAGGCGCATGCCACCATGCCTGGCTTTTTTTTTATTATTAGTAGAGACGGGGTTTCACCATGTTGTGCAGGCTGATCTCAAATTCCTGACCTCAGGTGATCCACCCGCCTCGGCCTCCCGAAGTGCTGGGATTACAAGTGTGAGCCACCGCGCCCGGCGAAATCCCAAGTTTTTAAAGGTTACGGTGCTCTGGAGCTGGCATGCTGGAATTGAGTTTGCAATGATGTTTGCCTTGACGTCAAATCCAAAAAAATCAGTGCGAGCTCAGGTTGAACCAGACCAGTGGGGTAGCCAAGAGGATTAGAAGTCGCAGCTTGGCAAGTCAGGGGGCCTCAGTTTCTCCATCCTTGGCTCTATTTCTGTTTGCTTCTTAAATCCTTGACAAGAAGAATTGACATCAGAATAGTCCTCACCCAATGTGCTATCCAAGGCCTAGCAAAGAGAATAAGCTTAACCCAGGTTAAGAGTTGGGTGAAGAGAAGAGACCCAAGACATTAAGGCCTACTAATCTGGCAGAATCACATCTCATGGGGTGTGATTTTATGAGAGCAATTTGCCTTGGAGTCTTAGACACATAAATAACTAAGGATAAGAATATTCTGCTGCCAGCCTCCCTACAGTTTGAGAGAGCAATTTGCCTTGGAGTCTTAGCCACATAAATAACTAAGGATAAGAATCTTCTGCTGCCAGCCTCCCTACAGTTTGCATAGGAGTCAAGATTAATAAATACTTAAAAAGTGTAAGGGGAGCTAAAAATTGGCTTGTGACCTGCTTATTCATAGGACTGAACCAAAAGTCATAGTGTCCCCAGTAAACAAATAATGCTAGAGCTAAAGAGAAACCATAAGGTAAGCATCTAAGATCCTTTCATTTTCAGATATACATGCTTTAGAAAAATTGTCTTGGCATGGAGACTAGCCTTTGGGATCTAGTGCCTTGAAAAAAAATCTGATGGTAACATCTCTATTTTGGTAAATTGATTCAAGAAAAAGGCAAAGAGACAAAAAGCAATTCAAACTGCTCATACTCTTTAGCCCTGGGAAGCCTGCACCGGCAGGTTTCTGGATATGGTCTATTTTAGTTCAAAGTGCAATCACACTGTATAAAATATAAAGTCACTAAGAATGAGGCATAGCACAAATACCCTAGGGACCTGACATCAGGAATTAGGGCAGGTCACAAAAGAAAAAGAACAAAACTCAGAGCTTCACTCTTGTTGCCCAGGCTGGAGTGCAATGGTGCAATCTCGGCTCACTGCAAACTCTGCCTCCTGGGTTCAAGCGATTCTCCTGCCTCAGCCTCCCAAGTAGCTGAGATTACAGGCATGCACCAC
Source organism: Homo sapiens (assembly GCF_000001405.40). Classification (NCBI taxonomy): domain Eukaryota; kingdom Metazoa; phylum Chordata; class Mammalia; order Primates; family Hominidae; genus Homo; species Homo sapiens. The sequence continues at coordinate 38,267,995 of NC_000017.11, forward strand.
CACGCCTGGCTAATTTTGTATTTTTAGTAGAGACGAGGTTTCTCCATGTTGGTCAGACTGGTCTCGAACTCCCATCCTCAGGTGATCCGCGCCCCCTCGGCCTCCCAAAGTGCAGAGATTATAGGCTTGAGCCACTGTGCCTGGCCAAGACAAAATTCTTCAGGCAAAAAGGCACAGTATAAACCATTCAAGAGAGATTTATATTCCTGTTGCCCCAAACCTACATTAGCTGTTAAGTGGAGGCCACAGTTTTAGCAACTCTACATCAGGAAACCCTGAACTCTTGTTGTGCCCTATCCCAATGTGTCTCAGTGCCAAGAGATGCCAAACGATGTCATCTTTGTTTAGCTCTATGTACTTTTGCTAAAGTGATTCATTACTGTCTTATCTCAATGTAAGAGGATATCAGTAGATGCAGGAGAGGGTGACAGAATCAAAGGAGTGGAGGAGGTGGAAGAAGAGAAAAAGGCGTCACTATTTTACAGAAAAAGTGCCATTATTGGTGTCTGACAAGGTAAATCGTTTTCTTTAGTTTATAAGCCCTACCTCCTTTTATTTTTTCCAGAAATTAGAACATTAGTTCTATCCAGGTTTGGTTCAGACTTGAATTGTACAAGTTGCAGTTCTTAGAGCTGATACCAGGGTCCCATTCTGTCACCCAGGCTGGAGTGTGGTGATGTGATCTCAGCTCACTGCAACATCTGCCTCCCAGGCTCAATGATCCTTTACCTCAGCTTCCCAGGTAGCTGGGACTACAGGCATGCACCACTAGGTCCGTCTAGTTTGTGTGGAGTTTTTTGGTAGAGATGGGATTTCACCATATTGCCCAGGCTGATCTCAAACTCCTGGTTCGAGCGATCCTCCCGCCTCCCCAAAGTACTGGGATTATAGATGTGAGCCACTGTGTCTGCCCTAAAATGGTAAAATCTTTAAGGCCCTTGTTTTCCCTAATTTTTCCTCCCCTTCATGGTAAAGAAGTCCAGTGTGCTATGTTACTAACGCTAGGATTCATAACTTACATTTTAAGGATAGCCAAAGTAAGTTGAAGATTACTTCCTATTGTTTCATTCTTTATAATTGTTTTAGGGGGCTTCAAATACAAGGGGTCAAAAACTGACGTAGGACAAAGATAGATGCAGTCATTGCCCAGAGTTAACTGCAAAGCAATGACTAAAAGCCATGATGAGAAGAATTTCTGACTCCCAGGCCTCTCTTCTTTCTGAATATCCTAGCAGTCCTAGATAACTGTCAGAGGACAAGTGTTGAAATGTGTTGACAAGTGTTGACAAGGAGGACCACACATACCCTAGATTTTCCAGGACAGTCCTGATGGCAAATATTCTCCACTGTCATCAGAACCCATGTAAATAAATGTCCTAGAAATTCCAATATTCTAGCATTTTGGGTTAAAGAAAATGGAAGAAGAACTGCATGCCTGGGAGTCAAGGCAAAAAGGGCACATGATAGTTGGTGTCAAGGCCAGGTAACAGGAAGGAGACAGAAAGATCTGATTGCTAGAATAACCAGGCAGCTCAAATGAGGGTAATAGAATCTTGTGCAGCACAGCATCATGATGGTAAAAAAAATGCTCTTTCCATGAGTGCTTAAAGCAGACTCAGAGAAAAGTTGCTGTTTTCAACCCACCTCTGGAGTACTAGTACTCCAGCCTCCATTAGTCAGGCTTCCACCCTGGAGATCTGACATAGTATGACAAGTCCTACAAAGCCAAACAATGAGGTCATCCTTTGTAGGTTACTTCATTGTGGGTGATAACTTCATCAGGAAAAAATATGTTCATTCAGCATTTTTCAAGTCCTCAAACTGCTTTATGAAATCAAGTCTGTTCATTCCTCTCTAGGAAGAGCAAACCTAGCAAGAGAAACAAGTTCTCTAGGTTTATACATCTATATGGTTAATCCTAGGCTCTTAGCCCCTACTTAAACAAATCCTAACCCTAGAGATCTAAATGAAATATTCTCTTTATTTAGTACGATTAATCTATTACCACTCTGAATAATTGGAAATATATTTAAATGCTTTTCATAGTGTGAGAGACAGAATGGAAATCCATGGAGCAGAAGAAAGGCTCAGTTCTTCTCCTTTTACCATGATCATGATAACTTTATAATTCCATGTAGTAAACCCTAAGGGCACGTTCTCATCAGCCAGGTTAGAGCCCCTTGTTCTACAGAGTAATGAAGGAGTTAGACCAAGTATCTTTCCCCAGTAATAGGGTGGCCAGATAAAAAAACAGGACACCTAGTTAAATTAGAATTGCAGATAAAATGAATAGTTTTTTAGTGTAAATAGTCTCAACTATTTCATGGGACATGCTTAGACACATGCTTAGACTAAAAATATGCAATAGTTTGCCGGGCGCAGTGGCTCACGCCTGTAATCCCAGCACTCTGAGAGGCCGAGGCAGGCGGATCACGAGGTCAAGGAGATGGAGGCCATCCTGGCTAACACGGTGAAACCCCGTCTCTACTAAAAATACAAAAAATTAGCCGGGCGTGGTGGCGGGTGCCTGTAGTCCCAGCTACTCGGGAGGCTGAGGCAGGAGAATGGCGTGAACCCGGGAGGCAGAGCTTGCAGTGAGCCGAGGTTGTGCCATTGCACTCCAGCCTGGGCAACAGAGTGAGACTCTGTCTCAGAAAAAAAAAAAAAAAAAAAAAAAAGCAATAGTTACAAGTTAGGTTACTAAATACTAAAAACTATTCATTGTTTATCTGAAATTCAATTATTATTATTATTTTTTGAGACAGAGTTTCACTCTTGTTGCCCAGGCTGGAGTGCAATGGCGCGATCTCAGCTCACCGCAACCTCCACCTCTGCCTCCCGGGTTCAAGTGATTCTTCTGCCTCAGCCTCCCGAGTAGCTGGGATTACAGGCATGCGCCATCACGCCTGGCGAATTTTGTATTTTTAGTAGAGACAGGGCTTCTCCATGTTGGTCAAGCTGGTCTCGAACTCCCGACCTCCAGTGATCCACCCGCCTCGGCCTCCTAAAGTGCTGGGTTGTTTTTTTGTTTTGTTTTGTTTTTTGTATTTTTTAGTGGAGACGGGGTTTCACCATGTTAGCCAGGATGGTCTCGATCTCCTGACCTTGTGATCCACCCACCTCGGCTTCCCAAAGTGCTGAGATTACAAGTTTTCTTTTTTCTTTCTTTCTTTCTTTTTTTTTTTGAGATAAGGCCTCACTCTGTGGTCCAGACTGGAGTGCAGTGGCGATTACAGCTCACTGAAGCCTTGATCTCCTGGACTCAGGTGATCCTTCCACCTCAGCCTCCCAAATAGCTGGTACTACAGGGATGCACCACAACATTTGGCTAATTTTTTTTTTTTTTTTTTTTTTTTTTTTTTGAGACAGAGTCTCGCTCAGCTGCCCAGGCTGGAGTGCAATGGCGCAATCTCGGCTCACTGCAACCACCCTCTCCCGGATTCAAGCGATTCTCCCGTCTCAGCCTCCCGAGTAGCTGGGATTAGAGGCACCCATCATCATGCCCAGCTAATTTTTGTATTTTAGTAGAGACAGGGTTCCACCATGTTGGCCAGCCTGGTCTTGAACTCCTGACCTCAGGTGATCCACCTGCCTCAGCCTCCCTAAATGCTAGGATTACAGCTGTGAGCCGCCACGCCCAGCCTTTTGGCTAATTTTTGTATCTTCTCTTTTTTAGAGAAGGGACTTTGCCATGTTGTCCAGACTCGTCTCAAACTCTGGGCTCAAATGATCTGCCTAACTCGGCCTCTCAAAGTGCTGGAATTACAAGTGTAAGCCACTGAGCCTGGTCCGAAATTCAAATGCAATTGGGCATGCTGTATTTTTATTTGCTAAATATAGTAACCCTACCAGTACTATGCTTTCAGATTTTTTTTTTTTGAGATGGAGTTTTGCTCGTTTCCCAGGCTGGATTGCAACGGCATGATCTCGCCTCACTGCAACCTCCACCTCCTGGGTTCAAGTGACTCTCCTGCCTCAGCCTCCTGAGTAGCTGAGAGTACAGGCGCCCGCCACCACGCCCAGCTATATATATATATATATTTTTTTGAGACAGCCTCTCACTCTTGTCGCCCAGGCTGGAGTGCAGTGGTGCGATCTCGGCTCACTGCAACCTCCACCTCCCAGGTTCAAGCGATTCTCCTGCCTCAGCCTCCCGAGTAGCTGGGATTACAGGCGTCTGTCACCACGCCTGGCTAATTTTTGTATTTTTAGTAGAGACGGGGTTTCACCATATTGGCCAGGCTGGTCTTGAACTCCTGACCTCAGGCAATCCACCCACCTCAGCCTCCCAAAGTGCTGGGATTACAGGCGTGAGCCACTGCGCCCGGCTTTTTTTTTGTATTTTTAGTAGAGACGGGGTTTCACCATGTTGTCCAGGCTGGTCGCGAACTCCTAACCTCAGGTGATCCACCCAACTCAGCCTTCCAAAGTGCTGAGATTACAGGCGTGAGCTACCTTCGCCCGGCCTGCTTTCAGGTTTTTTTTTTTTTTTTTTTTTTGAGACAGAGTCTCACTCTTGTTGCCCAGACTGGAGTGCAGTGGTGCGATCTCGGCTCACTGCAACCTCCACCTCCCAGGTTCACGCCATTCTCCTGCCTCAGCCTCCTGAGTAGCTGGGATTACAGGCACGTGCCACCATACCTGGCTAGTTTTTTTTTTTTTTTTTTTTTTTGGAGATGGAGTCTCGCTCTGTCGCCCAGGCTGGAGTGGAGTGGCGCAATCTTGGCTCACCGCAAGCTCCGCCTCCTGGGTTCCCGCCATTCTCCCGCCTCAGCCTCCCGAGTAGTTGGGACTGCAGGTACCGGCCACCACTCGCGGCTAATTTTGTGGGGTTTTTTTCTTTTTTGTATTTTTAGTAGAGATGCGGTTTCACTATGTTAGCCAGGATGGCCTCGATCTCCTGACCTCGTGATCTGCCCAGGTCGGCCTCCCAAAGTGCTGGGATTACAGGCGCAAGCCACTGCACCAGGCCCATATCTGGCTAGTTTTTGTATTTTTAGTAGAGATGGGGTTTCACCATGTTGTCTAGGCTGGTCTCAAACTCCTAACCTCAGGTGATCCACCCGCCTTGGCCTCCCAAAGTGCTGGGATTACAGGCATGAGCCGTCACACCCGGGGTAAATAGGGATTTTAAAATAGCTTTGTGTGCTGGCAAATATCTTTTTCTGGAGAGTGGAATGACATTCTGTCATGTTTAATTTTTTAGGCTAGGAGACCGCTAAAAGGGATATCTAACTCTCTTCTCCTTTTCTTATTCCCTAGGGTATTCACTTTAGTGGAAAACAGCATAGGTTAATATCAACTGGCTCCATAAAAATCAACTTGTCCCTTTAAATATATCAAATACTTTAAATAGTTTTTCCAATATTAAATATCCATGTTCAGAATATGGTGGTGATTATGCTGTATTAATAAGAGAAATTACTTTGAGAGTGATGTTGGCAAGATTATGTCAAGTAGCAGCCAAGGGCTGATATACCACACTGTCAAACCAATGATTTTTTTTCTTTCTTTCTTTTGCCACTGTTACTATATTAATATACTTTTAGTATTTCCACTCACCTGAAAATGATGCAGGCAGATATTATAAACCTGATTCTGCCACTCCTGCAAATATCAAAGCTTAAACATTTTAATGGGGAGGAAAAAAAAACACTCTGAAGAATAAATATTCATAGGATTTTAATCCAGAAGTATCCCAACAGGCGCAGTGGCTCATGCCTGTAATCCCAGCACTTTGGGAGGCCGAGGCAGGCAGATCACCTGAGGTCAGGAGTTTGAGACCAGCCTGGCCAACATAGTGAAACCCCCGCCTCTACTAAAAATATGAAAATTAGCTAGGCATTGGCCGGACACGGTGGCTCATGCCTGTAATCCCAGCACTTTGGGAGGCTGAGGCGGGCACATCACGAGGTCAGGAGATGGAGACCATCCTGGCTAACACAGTGAAACCCCGCCTCTACTAAAAATACAAAAATTAGCCTGGCGTGACGGCAGGCACCTGTAATCCCAGCTACTTGGGAGGCTGAGGCAAGAGAATGACAAACCTGGAAGGTGGAGTTTGCAGTGAGCTGAGATCGTGCCACTGCACTCCAGCCTGGGTGACAGAGCAAGACACCGTCTCAAAAAAAAAAAAGATTAGCCGGACGTGGTGGCAGGTGCCTATAATCTCAGCTACTGGGGAGGCTGAGGCAGGAGAATCTCTTGAACCCAGGAGGTAGAGGTTGCAGTGAGCCAAGATTGCGCCACAGCACTCTATCCTGGGTGACAGAGTGAAACTCCGTCTCAAAAAAAAAAAAAAAGTATCCCAGCCAGGTGCAGTGGCTCGTGCTTGTAATCCCAGCACTTTGGGAGGCCAACGCGGGCGGATCACGAGGTCAGGAGTTCAAGACCAGGCTGACCAACATGGTGAAACCCTGTCTCTACTAAAAATACAAAAATTAGCCGGGCATGGTGGCATGTGCCTATAATCCCGGCTACTCAGGAGGCTGAGGCTGAGGCAGGAGAATGGCTTGAAACTGCAAGGCAGAGGTTGCAGTGAGCCGAGATTGCACTGAGCCGAGATTGCATCATTGCACTGCACTCCAGCCTGAGCGACAGAGTGAGACTCTTGTCTCAAAAAAAAGGTATCCCAACAGAGTTTCACATTTTACCATAACCCACAGGAGAGAAATCTTTTCTATAATCATTAATAATTTAGTTCTTTAGAAAAATCATTTCCTCTTCGTGTGATTTTTCTTGTTTTAGACGTGGTCTCATGATGTTGGCCAGGCTGGCCTCAAACTCCTGGACTCAAGTGATCCTCCTGCCTCAGCCTCCTGAGTAGTTGGGACTACAGGGATGTGCCACGACTTGTTTATCAAGCAGTTATTGAGTACCTAGTGTGTGCCACTCAGTGGCTTGTAAGTGGCAGAGCCAGTGGCAGAAGCCAGGTTACCTTGACTCAGAACAGGCACTCTTTCCCAATACTTGGTCTTCCCATGATCTCTTTCTGGAACTCCCAGGGCTGATGTAATATAACCCAAAGAATAAACTGGAATAAGACAAAGAGAAATAAAGCTTGAGTTTCCATTTAGCTCTTCCCTGACAGGTGGTACATAACTTAGCCCATTCAAGAGCAGATGAGTTTCCATCACCTGTTTTGTTTAAATATTAAGAACTATTAAAAGACATTATTTTCCCTTGATGGTTATCAGAATCTTCTGGCTTTCCAACAGTGCCACCCAAATCCTTTATCTGTCTAGAACCCCTTGCTGTTTCAGTTTCTTCATCTGTAAAATTAGGTAATGGATTAGATCATCTTCAAAGTTCTTTCTAGCTCTAAAATTATTTTATTCTACTAATTTTCTGTGGAAAAAAATTATTATGCTCAGGTCCATCAGCTTTGGCTAATGAGGGCTGCACTCCACAGTTTGAAAAGTTTAGGAAATTCCCGGCCTGGTATGGTGGCTCATGCTTGTAATCCCCGTACTTCCAGAGGGCAAGGCAGGCAGATTACTTTTGCCCCCAAGTTTGAGACCAGCCTGGGCAATGTGGCAAGACCCTGTTTCTAATAAAAAGGTAAAAATGGCATATCATCCATGGCCTTTTTACTTTTCCAACACAGTCTGGGAAATTATTAATAACAATAAAATCTCTACAGAGTACTCTTTCCTAATTACTTTGAATATTTTCCTTTCTCACAATGTCATTGAGACACAAGAAGGTATTATTCATCCACCAAAAATGAGAAACTGGACATACAGATAGGTCGTGCACTTTTTTTTTTTTAAATGGAGTGTTGCTCTGTCACCTAGGCTGCAGTACAATGGCGCGGATGTCCATTCACTGCAACCTCTGCCTCCTGGGTTCAAGCGATTCTCCTGCCTCAGTCTCCTGAGTAGCTGGGACTACAGGCGCATGCCACCACACCGGCTAATTTTTTGTATTTTTAGTAGAGACGGGGTTTCACATGTTGGCCAGGCTGGTCTCAAACTCCTGACCTCGTGATCCGCCCACCTCGGCCTCCCAAAGTGCTGCGATTACAGGTGTGAGCCACCACGCCCCGCCTAGGTCGTGCACTTCTAAAACTCACAGTAAGTGGGAGTAGATCTAAAATGAGAAAGTGGATCTCTCTGCTGACTGCGTCTCTTGTCCAGGCTTTTTATCCACAGTAAGCTTTCTGGTTAATGTACAGAATGTGGAATGCTCATTAATTGCTCTTGGAAAATGAACCTGTCTCTTCCTCCCTTCCTACTTCAAAAAAAAAAAACACACACAAAAACACAGAAAAACAATAATACCCTCACTTTACTAAATGAGCAAGAGGAAAAAAAATGAATCTGGCCAGGTGCGGTGGCTCATGCCTGTAATCCCAGAACTTTGGAGGCTGAGGCAGGTGGATCACTTGAGGTCAGGGGTTCAAGACAAGCCTGGCCAACATGGTGAAACCCTGTCTCTACTAAAAATGCAAAAATTAGCTGGGCATGGTGGCACACACCTGTAATCCCAGCTATTCGGGAGGCTGAGGCAGGAGAATCACTTGAACTTGGGAGGCGGAGGCTGCAGTGATCCGAGATTGCACCACTGCACTCCAGCCTGGGCAACAGAGCGAGACCGTTTCAAAAAAGAAAAGAAAAGAAAAGAAAATCCACAGTAGGCGCCATCTGGAATGGCTCAGGTGATAGCCAGTCACCTGGAGCAGAGAAAAAGCTGTGGTCACTAGTAATTTCAGTATTTCAGTGATGTTTCCCACCACCAGCTGTCATCATAATTTCCAGAAAAGCTGCCAAGAAAAAGCAGGAATTTGCATTTCACACAACCCTAAACACACACACACACACACACACACACACACACACACACAATGGATCTTCCTGACTGCTCTTTGCCCTCATATCTTCCTTCCCTCAAGCATTCCAGATAAACAGGTAAGGTACTTGACTCACCTGCAGCTGAATAACTCAGTACTCTTGAAGGCGCCTCCCTTCTGCCAGCAATCCTTACTCAGTTATTCTTTCCTTCCCTAATCTGGATTGTTTCCTTGAAACCAAAAACCCCAGTAATAGGTGCCTTATCCCTACTTCCCCTTTTTCCTTTCTCCTCTTGCCATCCCTCATTCCAAACAATACACTCAGGTCTGTAGCGATCCAGGCTCTTATCACACTTAGGAGGTAACTGGCCATTGAAGTGCTTATCTTTATTTTGACAATATGTGACATGTTTATGTTCTATTCCAATCCAGCACAGTGTCTGCCCCATTGTTGGGACTCAGCAAATGTTTGTTGAATAGAACTTGCCTAAATTGGCCTCAGGCATCTCCTAAATTTCACAGTATGCTGAATTCCAGGGAAAACTAGACCGACTAAGCCAACTGCTCCCTTCCTGTCTGGGAGGACCCACCCACAGAGCAGAAAGGGGAAGCTCCACCTCTGCAGACAGAGAGGGTTTGACTGATGTCCCTCCTCCGCCTGTGATCCCACCCCATTCTCCTTCCTCTGTCACAGGCTAAGGCAGTCCTGGAACGCCTACCCCCCCACCCCAACCCCCCAGAATGATCCAGGCCATTTTATGTGGCAGAGCTGCTAATAGAACAGGCTGTGTATTAGATAGGGTTCAGGGTAGAGATCAGAGCCTGAATTTTATTGTAGGGATCACTAAGAAAGTTAGATTAGTTTGTGTTGGGTTGTTTTTTTTTTTTTTTTTTTTTTTTTTTTTTGAGGCGGAATCTCGCTCTGTCCCCAGGTTGGAGTGCAGTGGCGTGATCTCGGCTCACTGCAACCTCCACCTCCCAGGTTCAAGTGATTCTCCTGCCTCAGCCTCCCAAATAGCTGAGACTACAGGTGTGTGCCACCACACCTGGCTAATTTTTGTATTTTTAGTAGAGGCGGGGTTTCACCATGTTGACCAGGCTGGTCTTGAACTCCTGACCTCAGGTGATCCGCCTGCCTCAGCCTCCCAAAGTATTGGGATAACAGGCATGAGCTACTGTGCCTGGCGTTAGATTAGAATTTGATATGAACCTAAGTAGACTAGTCTGAGACGTGTCTGTAGGGATTGAGAGTGTGAAGCTCTAGAGACCTAATGTCTAGGTTCAAATAGTGTCAGTGCAACTTTTTAACCATTTGTTACACATTTAACCATAAGTTACACAAGTTACTTAACTGCCCTATACCTCAGTTTCTTCACTCATGAAATAGGGATAATAGGCCAGACACGGTGGCTCACACCTGTAATCCCAACACTTTGGGAGGCCAAGGTGGGTGGATCACCTGAGGTCAGGAGTTCAAGACCAGCCCGGCCAACATGGTGAAACCCCGTCTCTACTAAAAATACAAAAATTATCTGGGCATGATCGGGGTGTGGGGGCGCCTGTAATCGCAGCTACTTGAGAGGCTGAGGCAGGAGAATAGCATGACCCTGGGAGGCGGAGGTTGCAGTGAGCCAAGATCACGCCATTACACTCCAGCCTGGGCAACAAGAGCGAAACTCCGTCTCAAAAAAAAGAAAAAGAAATAGGGATAATAACAGTACCTGTATCACAAGATTGTCCAAAGGATTAAATGAGTTAAAACATGTTAGTGCTAGGGCTGGGTATTGTGACTCACACCTACAATCCCAGCGATTTGGGAGGCTGAGGCAGGAGGTTTCCTTGAGGCCAGGAGTTCCAGACCAGTCTGGGCAACATGGTGAGACCCTGTATCCACAAAAAATTTTGACAAAATTAACTGGTCATGGTGGCATGGGTCTGTAGTCCCAGCTACTCAAGGGGTTGAAGTGGGAGGATTCCCTGGGCCCAGGTGGTCAAGGCTGCAGTGAGCCATGATTGCACCACTAGACGTCAGCCTGGATGACAAAGTAAGACTTTGTTGGCTGGGCGTGGTGGCTCACACCTGTAATGCCAGTACTTTGGGAGGCCAAGGAGGGCGGATCACGAGGTCAGGAGATCGAGACCATCCTGGCTAACATGGTGGAACCCCATCTCTACTAAAAATACAAAAAATTAGCCAGGCGTGGTGGCAGGAGCTTGTAGTCCCAGCTTCTTAGGAGGCTGAGGCTGGAGAATGGCGTGAACCTGGGAGGCGGAGCTTGCAGTGAGCTGGGATGGCGCCACTGCACTCCAGCCTGGGCGACAGAGCGAGACTCCGTCTCAACAACAACAACAACAACAAAAGGCTTTCTCTCTAAAATAAAATAAAATACACTAAAAATAATTTAATTTAAAAATAAGGATAAAACCATGTTAGTGCTCAATATTATTACTGAGGAGAATGGCTCTTGAATAGCAGCAAGTTTACTATGTTGAGGTTTGTATTTCTTTTATTTTTTTTTAGAGACAGAGTCTCACTCTGTCGCCCAGGCTGGAGTGCAGTGGCGGAGTCTCGGCTCACTGCAAACTCCGCCTCCCAGATTCAACTGATTCTCCTGCCTCAGCCTCCAAGTAGCTGGGATTACAGGCGAACGCCACCACGCCCAGCTAATTTTTTTGTATTTTTAGTAGAGATGGGGTTTCACCATGTTGACCAGGATGGTCTCTATCTCTTAACCTTGTGATCCACCCACCTCAGTGTCCCAAAGTTCTGAAATTACAGACATGAGCCACCGTGTCTGGCTCTTTTATTTTATTTTATTATTATTATTATTATTATTTTTTGAGACAGAGTCTTGCTCTGTTGCCAGGCTGGAACGCAGTGGCACGATCTTGGCTCACTGCAACCTCTGCCTCCTGGGCTCAAGCAATTCTCCTGCCTCAGCCTCCCAGGTAGCTGGGATTACAGGCTCCTCCCCCTACCATGCCCAGCTAATTTTTTATTTTTAGTAGAGATGGGGTTTCACCATGTTGGCCGGGGTGGTCTCAAACTCCTGACCTAAGGTGATCCACCCACCTTGGCCTCCCAAAGTGCTGGGATTACAGGCGTGAGTCACCGCGCCCAGCCCCTTATTTTATTTTTTGAGATGCAGTCTTGCTCTATCACCCAGGCTGGAGTGCAGTGGCGTGATCTTGGCTCACTGCAACCTCTGCCCCTCGGGTTCAAGCAATTCTCCTGCCTCTGCCTCTGAGTAGCTGGGATTACAGGCACACACCACCATGCCCAGCTACTTTTTTTGTATTTTTAGTAGAGATGGGGTTTCACCATGTTGGCCAGGATGGTCTCTATCTATTGACCTTGGGATCAGCCCGCCTCGGTGTCCCAAAGTGCTGAAATTACAGACGTGAGCCACCGTGCCCAGCTCTTTTTTTTTTTTTTTTTTCCGAGATGGACTCTTGCTCTGTCGCCCAGGCTGAAGTGCAGTGGTGTGATCTTGGCTCACTGCAACCTCCACCTCTGGGGTTGAAGTGATTCTCCTGCCTCAGCCTTCCCGAGTAGCTGGGATTACAGGCACCTGCCACCACGCCTAGCTAATTTTTGTATTTTTTCAGTGGAGACAGGGTTTTGCCATGTTGGCCAGGCTGGTCTTGAACTCCTGACTTCAGGTGATCCACCCACCTCGGCCTCCCAAAGTGCTGGGATTACAAGTGTGAGCCACCACACCTGGCCTAATTTTTGTGTTTTTAGTAGAGATGTGGTTTCCCCATGTTGGCCAGGCTGGTCTTGAACTCCGGACCTCAGGTGATGCACCTGCCTCGGCCTCTCAAAGTAGTGGGATTACAGACGTAAACCACTGTACCTGGCTGAGGTTTGTATTTCTTTTTCTTTTCTTTTCTTTTTTTTTTTTTTTGAGACGGAGTCTTGCTCTGTCGCCCAGGCTGGAATGCAGTGGCACGATCTCAGCTCACTGCAACCTCCACCTCCTGGGTTCAAGTGATTCTCCTGCCTCAGCCTCCTAAGTAGCTGGGATTACAGGCGGGCGCCACCACACCCAGCTGCTTTTTGTATTTTTAGTAGAGACCAGGTTTCACCATGTTGGTCAGGCGGGTCTCAAACTCCCAACCTCAGGTGATCTGCCCACCTCGGCCTCCCAAAGTGCTGGGATTACAGGTGTGAGTCACTGCGCCCGGTGCAGTTGATTTAAAAAAAAAAAAAAAACTAAATGGGCTGGGCATGGTGGCTCACGCCTGTAATCCCAGCACTTTGGGAGGCCGAGGTGGGCACACTTGAGGTCGGGAGTTTGAGACCAGCCTGACCAACATGGAGAAACCCCATCTCTACTTAAAAAAAAAATTAATTGCACAGGTAGGAGTAGGACTGGTTTGACAGTATCTTGTGTGAAAAAGGTTCAGGTCTCATGAAACCCAATGCAGTCAGAGTTTCATGAAAAGACACACTGTCAGATCCAGAGAAAGAATAGTCTCCCTGCATTTTAAACTGACTGGTTCTGACTGTCCCATATTAAGAAAGATATTGAGGGCTGAGTGTGGCGGCTCACGCCTATAATCCCAGCACTTTGAGAGGTTGAGGTGGGCAGATCACATGAGGTCAGGAGTTGGAGACAAGCCTAGCCAACATGGCGAAACCCCATCTCTACTAAAACTACAAAATTTAGCTGGGCACGGTGGCACACACCTGTAATCCGAGCTACTTGAGAGGCTGAGGCACAAGAATCGCTTGAACCCAAAAAGCGGAGATTGCAGTAAGCCGAGATTGCGCCACTCCAGGCTGGGTGACATAACGAGACACCATCTAAAAAAAAAAAACAGGCCAGGTGTGGTGGCTCACACCTGTAATCCCAGCACTTTGGGAGGTTAAGGCAGGTGGATCGCTTGGGGTCAGGAGTTCGAGACCAGCCTGACCAGCGTGCTGAAACCTCGTCTCTACTAAAAGTACAAAAATTAGCTGGGTCTGGCGCCTGTAATCCCAGCTATTCGAGAGGCTGAAGCAGGAGAATCACTTGAATCCAGGAGGCAGAGGTTGCAGTGAGCCGAGATTGCACCAGTGCACTCCAGCCTGGGCGACAGAGTGAGACTCCCTATCTCAAAACAAACAAACAAAAATCAAACATTAAAAAGAAAGAAAAATATTGAGGAACTAGAATATGCCTAAATATGAGATCATATTTGAAAAAGATCTCATAACTTTACCAGGTGAGAAAGAATTTGATGGAGTTTGGAGATATTATTGATGGGGAAGAGAAGACTAATGTCCTCAAACAGGTATAATAAGGCTGACAATATAAAACTGTCAATGTTCAACTGGTTTGATCTATAAAAATAGCATTTTCATTTGGTTCAACCTAATAGAAGAGGATGTAGACTTATTTTTTAATGCTGCAGAGGGCAAACCAGAATCATTGGGTGAAAGAAGGAAGCAAATGTTACATCAATATAGGAAGGAATTTGTCACAATCGGATGCTCAGAAACAGAATTAAGTACCTTACAAAGATCTAGGTTCTTTGTCTGAGAGAGCCCAGGCAGAGCTGGGTGACAGTGTGTTGGGGATATTTAAAATATTCTGCATTCAGTGGGAGACTCTCCATGATCCAGCCTGCATTTGCACCCTGGCCAACTGGACCCCACAGTACAGGGACAACATACCAGACCACTTAGGGCACCCTGGCCATCCCAAGTTCCCAAGTTGTTTTACACTGCTGTGTCTTCATGCATGTCAATCCCTTTGCCTAGAATATTTATTTATTTATTTTTATATGTTTTTTATTTTTTTTGAGACGGAATCTCGCTGTGTCACTAGGCTGGAGTGCAGTGGCGCAATCTCGGCTCCCTGCAACCTCTGCCTCCCGGGTTCAAGAGATGCTCCTGCCTTAGCCTCGTGAGTAGCTGGGACTACAGGTGCATGCCACCACGCCCCACTAATTTTTGTATTTTTAGTAGAGACGAGGTTTCACCACATTGGCCAGGATGGTCTCGATCTCTTGACCCCGTGATCCGCCCACCTTGGCCTCTCAAAGTGCTGGGATTACAGGAGTGAGCCACCGCACCTGGCCAAATTTTTATTTTTATTTATTTAATTAATTAATTAATTTATTTTTTGAGACAGAGTCTCGCCCTGTTGCTCAGGCTGGAGTGCAATGGCGCGATCTCTGCTCACTGCAACCTCCGCCTCCCGGGTTCAAGCAATTCTCCTGACTCAGCCTCCCAAGTAGCTGGGATTACACGCACATACCACCATGCCCTGCTAATTTTTCTATTTTTAGTAGAGATGAGGTTTCACATGTTGGCCAGGGTGGTCTTGATCTCTTGACCTCGTGATCCGCCCACCTCGGCCTCCCAAAGTGCTGGGATTACAGGCGCGAGCCACCATGCCCAGCCCCTTGGCTAGAATTTTATGCCTCCCTGCAAATTCCTGCTCATTTCAAGTGTGACTCAACTCCAGTGTGGCCCCACCTGAATTCTCAAAACGGTCTTTCATGCTCTCCTCTGCACCACCTTGTACCTTGTGCTTACTTCTGTAGTGGCTGTTATGGTTCTTTTGTTATTTTTGGTGTATTTTTCTCTTTCCTACCAAATATAAGCTGCTTGTGGACCAGAAACATTTCTCTTTCATTTTTATATTCCCCAGTGATTTCAGCAATATCTGCTACATGGCAAATACTCAATAAAAAATTCATTAAATGAATGAGGTTCGACATTTTGATTTTATATATATGTAACATCAAAAAGTTATAAATATGAATTTTGAATCAAATATTATTAGTTAATAAAAAATTAATGTCTTTACTATGTGTGATGCACGATTATATTTTCTATTCTATATTATTCATTTTTTTAAATGTAAGTCATGACCTAGATTCCAAAATTAACTTGGGTTCCCAGCCTTATTCTGAAAAACACTGAACTGTATGGTCCACAGCAGGGATTTGAATGGAAGGTATCATCATGGAACCCTTTGAGAACCCAATGGAAGCTATGGGCCTTCTTGCCAGAAAGATGCATACGTGTACTAAAATTGACATTCAATTTCAGGGGCTCCTTGGACCCACCAAACTCCTTCTGAGAATCACAGGTTATGAGAAAGTTCCTTCTAACTCTATGATCCTATTTTTCTGAGAAGTATTAAAAAGTAGTTGGGCCTGCCTGGACAACCTGGTGAGACCCTGCCTCTACAAAAAATAAAAGATTAGCTGGGCATGGTGGCATGTGCCTGGGGTTCCAGCTACTTGGGAGGATGAGGCAGGAGAATTGCTTGAGCTCGAGGTCAAGGCTGCAGTGAGACTGTGCTATGATTGTGCCACTGCACTTCAGCCTGGGAAACAGAGCAAGACCCTGTCTCAAAAAAAACAACAAAAAAAATTAGGTAGCTGGGAGCTGGGCATGGTGGTGAGTACCTGTAGTTCCAGCTACTCAGGAGGCTGAGGTAGGAAGATCTTTTGAACGCCAGGAATATGAGACCAGCCTGGGCAATATAGCAAGAATCTCTCTAAAACAAAACAAAACAAAAAGTATTAAGAAGTAGTCTTGGGGCTGGGTGCGGCGGTTCACACCTGTAATCCCAGCACTATGGGAGGCCAAGGTGGGTGGATCACTTGAGGTCAGGAGTTTGAGAGCAGCCTGACCAACGTGCTGAAACCCCGCCTCTATTAAAAATATACAGTTACCTCTATTAAAAATACAAAAATTAGCTGGGCATGGTAACGCGTCTGTAATCCCAGCTACTCGGGAGGCTGAGGCAGGAGAATTGCATGAACCCAGGAGGCGGAGGTTGCAGTGAGCCAAGATCACGCCACTGCACTCCAGCCTGGGCGACGGAGCGAAAGTCCATCTCAAAAAAACCCCAAAAAAGACCTAGTCTTGGAACCTCAAACCTCTATTAATCATCTATAGGGAGAGCACAAATTTGGAGGGGAGCTACATAAAGAACAAAGAATGGAAAGAAAATTTTGAGGTGAGACAGGTAGGATAGATACGTACATGTGAAAAATCAAAGAGTGAAGAACAAAAGAAATCCCGACTAAGGGTTAGGTAGAGGGGAGAGGTGTGGCAATGCTGACTCAGGTTTTCAGGCCTGCAGTATCTGATTTTCTTTTCAGACTATTAGGCTTGGGATTGCAGCCCTGTAACGTTCTTCTTCCCTCCCTATGGCTCCCTCTCTCTTCCTCCCCTTTAGGCAGCCCTTATGGAAACTCTGAAACTCTTTCTCTTTTCTTCCAGATGGGGAGCTCTGGCAGAAAGAATGTTCTGGCCTATGTGCAATGACTGTTTTCTCTGCCAATGGATAAAGCTAAAATCTGCTTTCTTGGAAACCAGCTAATGTCTTTAGAAGCATGACCCTAGTTAAGGAGAGACTGGGACCTTTTTTTTTTTTTTTCTGAGATGGAGTCTCGCTCTGTCGCCCAGGCTGGAGTGCAGTGGCGCGATCTCGGCTCACTGCAACCTCCGCCTCTCATGTTCAAGCAATTCACCTGCCTCAGCCTCCCGTGTAGCTGGGACTACAGGTGCCGGCCACCAAACACGGCTAATTTTTGTACTTTTAGTAGAGACTGGGTTTCACCATGTTGGTCAGGCTGGTCTCAAACTCCCGACCTTAGGTGATCTGCCCACCTCAGACTCCCAAAGTGCTGGGATCATAGGCGTGAGCCACCGTGCCCAGCTGAGACTGGGATCTTTTTTTTGAGACAGAGTCTCTGTTACACAGAGTGCAGTGGCACAATCTCGGTTTACTGCAACCTCCAACTCCCAAATTCAAGTGATTCTCATGCTTCAGCTTCCCGAGTAGCTGGAATTACAGGCGTTTGCCACCACGCCTGGCTAATTTTTGTATTTTTAGTAAAGACAGGGTTTCACCATGTTGGCCAGGCTGGTCTCGAACTCCTGGCCTCAAGCAATCCACCTGCCTTGGCCTCCCAAAGCCCTGGGATTACAGGTGCGAGCCACCACACCCAGCCCAGATGGGGACCTCTGAATAAAGGGAGGGTAAGAAAATAATTTTCAGCATCTACTGGTACAGTGACTCATAAAGATATGAGGATCTTGAACAGCAACAAATGATTTAAAAATGGAATATTCTGTCTCTGAGATCTAACCTTAGGATCACATTGGTCTTCTTTGAATCTAAGAATAATATCTAAAGTGTTTTTGGCAACCTGTCCAGGAGGCAACAAATATATATCTCATGTTTTCTACAGGACAAACTGTGAAAGAGATACATGTGAAGCCCAGAAGCATCACAGAATCAGCTTCCTATCCAACCCTCAGGAATTTGACAATTACAAGAACTTTGGTAAAGTCCAGAAAGCCCAGGACATTACTGTAGTCCATAAGTAACTAAGCTGAGGGAAAGAATGGAATTTGGGGTGGGGTTAGGAAACCTGAGTTATGTCCCTAGTTAGGCCCCTGATTAACTGTGTGATAATCACCAGTCACTTCCTGGTTCAGTGTTTCAGTCCCTTCCCCTGCCCAAGTAAAATAAAATAATGATTTTATTCTTTTTTTTGAGAAAGGTAAGCATGATTGTTTCTATAGAGAAATCTGGAAAGTAGCCAATCTCTTAGTGTAGCTCTATGGGATGATTTTGGTCATTTTATAAGCAATGTAACCTGTAAACCTCCTGGTTGTTGTTGGGACCCTCAGAAGGGAATGAGATAAATAGGTAGTCTGCTTTCCTCCTGCGTCTTCTGTCTAGGATGATACTGTTGTGTTGCTAACAGAGGGCCCTGGAGAGAGATTTAGGAGATAACTGGGTACCACCCAACTAGGTCAGGGAATGAGTCAGGGCTCAAGGACTCGATACCAACCTCTCCCACTCCTGCCAGGAAACCTCTGGGTGAGACAGATGAGAGAGAAGCCGAGGGGCGGGCCTCACGGCTGCCTGCCCTGGGTCCTCTGGCTTGTGGTTTCACCCTGGTTTGCCCTGCAGCAGCTGTAACGTGTCTGCTGACACGCAAGCCCTGGACACGGCTGTCCCTCCCCCTTTCCCAAACTTCTGCTCAGTTTCAGAAACAGATGGCACATTCCACCCCAGAAGTGACTGTTGGAGAGATGAGAGGAAAAGGGCAGAGCAGAGCTAGGTGGAGATGTGACACTTCAGAAAGCACAGGGCAAAACACCGTACATGAGACTTTTCATCCAGGAGGCGAGTAGGAAGTAGAAACTAAACTCACCTCCAGAGAAATCAGGATGGGAAAAGGGCAGAACGACATGGCTGGGCTGTTGCAGATGATAGAACACAGCTGAAGGATAAGGCTGGGGCATGCCCTGCAGCGCTAGCCTGGAAACCTGCAAGCCTTAAGAGCAAAATGACAAAAGGTCACGTCTCTTGTTTGGAGGTACTCAGTGCCTGCAAATCCATCTTTCTCTCCTCAACATCTCAATTCCCAGTTTATAATAGGCCAGTGCAAAAACGGTTTTAGGCACCTACAATCTACCGAGTTACCTGTTTCCATATATGATTTTACTTACGTTCACAACCCCTCTATGAGGTAAGTTCTCTGCATTTCAGTGTACCCATCTGCGAAATTATCTCCATTCCACAGATGGGTTTGCACTGAAATGCAGATGACTTAAGTAATTGGCTAATAAAGTTTGGAAATAGTGGAGCAAGATCTACATCAGTTGCCAGAGCCCCCACGAATTTCATTATGCCAAGTTTTCTTTGATTTGAAGTAATCAAAATGAAGAAAGCAAAATGATGTCCAAATAGTAGAGACTTCTTAAAAGCTTTTCAAGGGGCCGGGCGCAGTGGCTCACGCCTGTAATCCCAGAACTTTGGGAGGTTGAGGCAGACGGATCACCTGAGGTCAGAAGTTCGAGACCAGCCTCAACATGGGGAAACCCCGTCTCTACTAAAAATACAAAATTAGCCGGGCGTAGTGGTGCATGCCTGTAATCTCAGCTACTTGGGAGGCTGAGGCAGGAGAATTGCTTGAACCTGGGAGGCCGAGGTTGCGGTGAGCCGAGATCGAGCCATTGCACACTAGCCTGTGCAACAAGAGTGAAACTCCGTTCTCAAAAAAAAAAAAAAAAAAAAAAGCCTTTTTTGAGACGGAGTCTCGCTCTGTCGCCCAGGCTGGAGTGCAGCGGCGCGATTTCGGCTCACTGCAAGCTCCGCCTCCTGGGTTCACGCCATTCTCTCGCCTCACCCTCCCGAGTAGCTGGGACTACAGGCGCCCGCGACCAAGCCCGGCTAATTTTTTGTTTTTGTATTTTTAGTAGAGACGGGGATTCACCACGTTAGCCAGGATGGTCTCAATCTCCTGACCTCGTGATCCGCCCGCCTTGGCCTCCCAAAGTGCTGGGATTACAGGCGTGAGCCACCGCGCCCGGCTGAGCAATTTTTTTAAATTAATTTTTTTTATTTCAATAGCTTTTGGGGTACAAGTGGTTTTGATTACATGGATGATTTGTATAGTGGTAAAGTCTGCGATTTTAATACACCAGCCACTCAAGTAGTGTACACTGTACCCAATATGTAGTTTTTTTATCTCTCGCCCACCTCCCACCGGTAGTGAGGAATTAATGGAGATCCCTGAATCTCTCAACATAGGTATTTAAACATCCAGGAATTGGGTTTACATAGGCCTCCCTGCAGTCTGAGATCCGGTGCAGCCTTGGTACCCTCTAGTGGAAGTTTTCTGCATTCGCACAGCTTCCCTGTTTCCAATCCCAAAGAGCTGAGAAGGAAGCCTTCACCCAGCCACAGGAGAGCATCCCAAAAGAATGGTCAGCTGGAAGATAGATTTTTTTGTTTTTGTTTTTGTTTTTGTTTTTGAGATGGAGTCTTGCTCTGTTGCCCAGGCTGGAGTGCAATGGCACGATCTTGGCTCACTGCAACCTCCGCCTCCCAGGTTCAAGCAATTCTCCTGCCTCAACCTTTCAAATAGCTGGGACTACAGATGCACGCCGCCATGCCCGGCTAATTTTTTGTATTTTAGTAGAGATACGGTTTCATCATGTTGCCCAGGCTGGTCTTGAACTCCTGAGCTCAGGCAATCCACCTGCCTCGGCCTCCCAAAGTGCTGGGATTACAGACGTGAGCCACCGTGCCCGCCCGGAAGGTAGATTTTTGTATAGCAGGGTCATGCAGGGTAGAGGAAGGAATACAGACTAGAGAAAATGTGTGCCAAGCACTTGGTTCACAAGGGACCCCCAAAATGAGTCACTGTTAGTATATAAATGAGCTTAGGACTTTGTACATTATTAATAGGGGCTCAATATACATAACACAGGACTGTAGGCCTTTAGGGCTCTAGAGGGAGACTTTTTTTGAGACGGAGTATCGCTCTGTCGCCCAGGTTGGAGTGCAGTGGCATGATCTCGGTTCACTGCAACCTCCACCTCCCGGGTTCAAGTGATTCTCCTGCCTCAGCCTCCTGAGTAGCTGGGACTATAGGCACATGCCACCACGCCCAGCTGTATTTTTAGTAGAGACGGGGTTTCACCATCTTTACCAGGCTGGTCTCAAACTCCTGACCTCGTGATCCACCCGCCTTGGCCTCCCAAAGTGCTGGGATTACAGGTGTGAGCCACTGTGCCCGGCTGAGACTTTTTTTTTTTAATGGAGAAAATTAGTGATCAGAGAACAAACTGACTTTGGGCAAAGCAATTTGCCAAAGGCCAAAGGGCAAATCAATGTCGGCAATGGTGGTACTAGAATCCATATCTCCTGTCTCCCAATCCAGAGGTGTTTCCACTCTATCGCACTTCCTTATTTGTTGGTTGATTGATTTTAGCCATAAATTGGTGTGCATACAAGGACATAAAGGTTGTAGGTATAACAAGGATATTGTTTCTGCCTTCATCTGCCCACAATCCATACATTTTTCATTCTTTCATCCAATGGGCACATTTATAGAGTGCCTATTCTTGCCACACTAGGCATTGCTTTTCAAGTTTGTGGACCCTTTTACAGGGTACTCCAGCATATGAGAAGAAGTTCCCAGGCTACTGGAACCCCATGCCTACAGCCCTCCAAGGCACTCCTGGAGCTTCTTTCCCAAGTTTCTAGCACTAAATTGTTAGGTTTATTTCTGTCTCCCTCCCCCTGGAGAGGTAATCCCTGGGAATGGAAGTGGGTTAGAAACAGATTACTCTGATCCAAGGGCTTTGCTCTCTCCTCCCTAAACATGGTGTGGGAGGTGGGGGATGTGGGGAGTTGAAAATAGCCTGAAATTCCCTTTTAGGATTATTGCTTGATTTAGCTATCTGGGGTGAAAGTGGAGCAAGAAGAGGTGAGGGATTAATTCTAGACCTAGCTTGAGCAATGGGATGCATGGGCTTCTTTTCTGGCTCAGCCAAGGTGAGCAAGCAACATCTCTTCCGAAACCTGTCTTTAGAATAAGGAATCTAGGGCAAGGAAGCAGAAAGAGGTAAAGGAAAAGGATTTGTCCCCAGCAGCAGGGGTGAGTGGAAGGATAGATGGGAAAGAACAGCAGCTAAGAGAAGAAAGACCTTCAGCACAGGAATAAGGAATGACTTTTGGGCTTGGAAGCTACCTGCATTTCAGTGGTCTTAGCTTCAACAAAGGCGAGAACTGCTCTCTAGGGGAAGAGAGCTAACGCTCAGGGCTTCCTGTGGACTTCTTGTTCATCCATCCAACAGGAACTCTCTTGCTTTAGGCACGCTGCACTGGGGTGGACTCTGGGGGCAGGGATGTTATCTGTGTCCAGCACAAAGAGCAGTTACACTTTCCAGGTTTCTGCTAGGCTCCTTATATCCCTTTCAGGGCTATGATGGGGCTTGGAAGCAGTAATTATAACTAACCAGAGTGGGACCATATATGAATTCACTTTATGAGTTAACAACAATTCTACTTAAATTCTACTTAATAACCCCCTTCCTTTCTTACTTTTTTTTTTCTTTGATACAGAGTCTTGCTCGGTCGCCCAGACTGGAGTGCAATGGTGCGATCTCGGCTCACTGCAATCTCCACCTCCTGGGTTCAAGGGATTCTCCTGCCTCAACCTCCCGAGTAGCTGGGACTACAGGCACGTGCCACCACAGCTGGCTAATTTTTGTATTCTTAGTAGAGATGGGGTTTCACCATGTTGGCCAGGCTGTTCTTGAACTCTTGACCTCGTGACCCACCCACCTCAGCCTCCCAAAGTGCTGGGATTACAGGTGTGAGCCACCGTGCCCAGCCCCCTACTTTTTCTTTTTTTTTTTGAGACGGAGTCTCACTCTGTCGCCCAGGCTGGAGTGCAGTGGCACGATCTCAGCTCACTGCAACCTCCAACTCCCAGGTTCAAGCAATTCTCCTGCCTCAGCCTCCTGAGTAGCTGGGGCTACAGGCATGCACCACCACGCCCAGCTAATTTTTGTATTTTTAGTAGAGGCAGGGTTTCACCATGTTGTCCAGGATAGTCTCAATCTCTTGACCTCGTGATCTGCCCGCCTTGGCCTCCCAAAGTGCTGGGATTACAGGCGTGAGCCACTGCGCCCGGCCAATAACCCCCTTTCTATAGGTGAGGAAAAAAGGTGAAGCTAAGATGTAAACTCAGGCACTATAGCATTCTTAACCACTTTCACTATGTGAAAGCCATATACAGTCAACTCGAGTGACAAACAAGCTCTACTAATATTGCTTGCTAAAGATCAGCTGAAGCCGAGCGTGGTGGCTCACACCTGTAATCCCAACACTTTGGGATACTGAGAGGGGAGGATTGCTTGAGCCCAGGAGATTGAGACCAGCCTGGGCAAAATGGCAAGACCTTGTCTCTACAAAAAAAAAAAAAAAAAAATGCTGGATATGGTGGCATGCTCTTGTAGTCCCAGCTACTAGGGAGACTGAAGCAAGAGGATCCCTTGAGCCCAGGAATTTGAGGCAGCAGTGAGCTGTGATGGTACCATTGCACCCCAGCCTGGTGCCAAAGCGAGACCCCATCTCTAAGTAACTAACTAATTAACTAAAGCTCAGTTGAGAATATTTCTTAGAAAGTCAGGATCCTTGTTTCTTCTACAGCACCTTATTTTGGACAATTCACTTATTTTGCTCTCCATAGTCTCACTTTAGGGAAGGGAAGTACAATATAAATACATGGCAAGCCTAGTACTTGCTCCAATTCTAGTATCATATTGTTTAGAATTGGGTTCTTCCCAGTTCTCCAGAAGAATTTTCCTGGTTCAAATCAGCTGTGCTTCTCCTAGAAAGTAGGTCACTACGCAGAATTTCTGAAGTTTCCATCTCTGATGTCATCTGCCACTGGGAGGGGAAAAAATGTAAGTGTGTGCTCCACTGCTTACATAGGAAGAGTCTCATTCTCTTTGGTCTCCATTTATTTTATTTATTTATTTTTTGAGACAGAGTCTCACTCTGTCACCCAGGCTGGAATACAGTGGCACAATCTTGGCTCACTGCAGCCTCTGCCTCCCAGGTTCAAATGATTCTCATGCCTCAGCCTCCCAAGAAGCTGGGACTACAGGCTCATGCCACCACGCCCAGCTGATTTTTGTAATTTTAGTAGAGATGGGGTTTCACCATGTTGGCTAGGCTGGTCTCGAACTCCTGGCCTCAAGCAATCCGCCTGCCTCAGCCTCCAAAAGTGCTGGGATTAGAGGTGTGAGCCACCACACCCAGCCCTCTTCGGGCTCCATTTAGAAATTTCAATACGACAACAAGGGATTCCAGTAACCCACTTCACTGGGAAAAACAGGAAATCAACTTTTCCTTCTGCCTCATTATATTTCTTTTTCTTTTCTTTTCTTTTTTTTTTTTTTTGAGATGGAGTGTCGCTTTTTCGCCCAGGCTGGAGTGCAGTGGCCAGATCTCTGCTCACTTCAAGCTCCGCCTCCTGGGTTCATGCCATTCTCCTGCCTCAGCCTCCTGAGTAGCTGGGACTACAGGCGCCTGCCACCGCGCCCGACTAATTTTTTGTATTTTCAGTAGAGATGGGGTTTCCGTGTTAGCCAGGATGGTCTCGATCTCCTGACCTCGTGATTCACCCGCCTCGGCCTCCCAAAGTGCTGGGATTACAGGCGTGAGCCACCGCGCCCGGCCTGCCCCATCATATTTCAACTGGAATTCTTCACATCTGCTTATTGTATAAATAAATATTGGAGTGTCTACTATGTGCAAGAGTGTTCTTTGCCAAGACTGAGCCCCTAACAATCGATTCCTTCCTCTACTTGCACAATGAGTTCTCTTCTCTTGCTCCCATCATCGTGACAAGATCTTTTTATCTTGCTTTTTCTGAAATGTGAATTACTAAGATTGTAGGATTAAGAAATACCCTTTTTGGCTGGGCACGGTGGCTCATGCCTGTAATCCCAGCACTTTAGGAAGATGAGGCAGGTGGATCACCTGAGGTCAGGAGTTCGACACCAGCCTGACCAACACGGTGAAACCCCATCTTTACTAAAAATAGAAAAAATTAGCCAGGCTTGGTGGCGGGCACCTGTAATCCCAGCTACTTCGGAGGCTGAGGTAGGAGAATCACTTGAACCTGGAGGCCGACGTTGCAGTGAGCCGAGATCGTCCCACTGTACGCCAGCCTGGGCAACAAAGTGAAACTTCATCTCAAAAAAAAAAAGAAAGAAAAGAAATATCCTTTTGGTGTTACTTCTCTAACAGACAGCTCCCAATTTTCTTCTTTTTTTTTTTTTTTTTTTTTTTTGGGGGGGATTGAGTTTTGCTCTTGTTGCCCAGGCTAGAGTGCAATGGCATGATCTCGGCTCACCGCAACCTCCACCTCCCGGGTTCAAGCAATTCTCCTGCCTCAGCCTTCCGAAGAGCTGGGATTACAGGCGCCCGCTACCACGCCCAGCTAATTTTTTGTATTTTTAGTAGAGACGGGGTTTCTCCATGTTGGTCAGGCTGGTCTTGAGCTCCTGACCTCAGGTGATCTGCCTGCCTCAGCCTCCCGAAGTGCTGGGATTACACGCGTGAGCCACTGTGCCTGGCCAGCTCCCAATTTTCCATGAAGCTGATGAGGTAGGAAGATATGAATTTTCCAAAACAGTAGCTCATCAAACAACAACAAAACTAACTTATAGCTCATCTCTAAGCAATTAAATGATATTGACTCCCCTATCATTATTTCATCCAGGCTGATATGGAACAAGTTTGTATTAACTGAGAAACTGATCAGAGGGTGGGCAGAGATGATCTGGGATGTGTTGGCTACTGTGTGAGGCTAACATAAAACTCAATGGTGGAGGAAGTAATCTAAGATAAATTATATTAATGTTCTGCATTAATCAATAATCTTGGCCAGGCGCGGTGGCTCACGCCTGTAATCCCAGAACTCTGGGAGGCCGAGGCAGATGGATCACCTGAGGTCAGGAATTAGAGATCAGCCTGGCGATGTGGTGAAACCCTATCTCTACTAAAAATACAAAAATTAGCCAGGCATAGTGGCAGGCACCTGTAATCCCAGCTACTCGGGGGACTGAGGCAGGAGAATCGCTTGAACCCAGGGGGCAGAGGTCGCAGTGAACTGAGATCGAGCTATTGCACTCCAGCCTGGATGACAGAGTGAAACTGCATCTGAAAAAAAACAAAAAAACAAACAAAAAAAACACCTCTCATCCATGGAGTAAACTTTCCTCACTTTGGTTGGGAATACCAGTAAAAATAATTCATGTTTTGGCCGGGCACGGTGGCTCACCCCTGTAATCCCAGCAATTTGAGAGGCCGAGGTGGGCGGATCACCTGAGGTCAGGAGTTTGAGACCATCCCGGCCAACATGGTGAAACCCCATCTCTACTAAAAATACAAAAAATTAGCTGGGCGTGGTGGTGGGCACCTGTAATCCCAGTTACTTGGGAGGCTGAGGCAGGAGAATCACTTGAACCCGAGAGATGGAGGTTGCAGCGAGCCAAGATTGCGCTATCGCATTCCATCCTGGCTGACGAGTGAAAACTGTCTCAAGAGAAAAAAAAAATCATGTTTTATTTTCTAGGGATTAGAGTAGGTGGACAGGAGTCTGTTAAATAATCAGATATAGCTTATTTAAATGCTTAATAACATATATTCTATTTTTTTCTTTTTTCTTGTTTCCCTATGCTTCTATAGGCACTGAATAGCTCTGTTGCCCAGGCTGGAGTGCAGTGGTGGGATCTTGGCTTACTGCAACCTCTGCCTCCTGGACTTAAGCCATCCTCCCACCTCAGCCTCCCCAGTAGCTGGGGCCACCATGCCCAGCTATTTTTTTTTTTTTTTTTTTTTGAGACGGAGTCTTGCTCTGTCGCTCAGGCTGGAGTTCAGTGGCACAATCTCGGCTCACTGCAAGCTCCGCCTCCCAGGTTCACTCCATTCTCCTGTCTCAGCCTCTGGAGTAGCTGGGACTACAGGCGTCTGCCACCATGCCCGGCTAATTTTTTTTGTATTTTTAGTAGAGACGGGGTTTCACCATGTTAGCCAGGATGGTCTCAATCTCCTGACCTCGTGATTCGCCTGCCTCGGCCTCCCAAAGTGCAGGGATTACAGGTGTGAGCCACCGCACCCGGCCTAATTTTTTAATTTTTTTGTAGAGATAGGGTTTTGCCATATTGGGCAGGCTGGTCTTGAACTCCTGGACTCAAGGGATCTAACCCACTTCCGCCTCTCAAAGTGCTGGGATTACAAGTGTGAGCCACCCCACACGACCCCACATACTCTTCAACACATACATACAGCACTAATTTCATGTCACTATTAATGTGTCGTGCTATAGGTTCAATACTGTGGCTGGAACTTGTAGGGAAATACTTACCACATAAGAATGTACGATATAGCTGCGAAGTCAAGCTTTAAAAAACGCCTGTAATCCTTGCACTTTGGGAGGCCGAGGTGGGCGGATTGCCGGAGCTCAGGAGTTGGAGACCAGCCTGGGCAACACGGTGAAACCTCGTCTCTACTAAACTAGAAAAAATTAGCCGGGCATGGCAGCGTGCACCTGTAATCCCAGTTACTCTGGCGGCTGAGGCAGGAGAATCGCTTGAACCTGGGAGGCAGAGGTTGCAGTGAGCCGAGATTGTGCCACCGCACTCCAGCCTGGGTGACAGAGTGAGACTCCGTCTCCAAAAACAACAACAACACGTGATCTCCAAACCCAAAAGTAATCTTTCAGTTCTTCTGATAGTCCCCAGCACTTTGCTTCGACCTTTGTAGCAATTCTACTTCAGCCTGAAATTTCTTGTATGTACAGCCTGTAGCTCCTAACTTATTGCAAAATATTGTAGATGAGAACTCTGTAAGCTGTAATTGGCAGAATAATAACCAACGGCTAAGTGTGGAAAGTGTCTGCCTTTCAGCAACGTTTACACTACTGAATTTACCAGGGTGATCCCAACATCACGAATCCTTTAACAACTTAACATGAAGCAGCACGTAGCAGTTACCTGCATGGGTTCTGGAATTAGACTGCTTAGATTCAAATCTCGGTTCTGCCAGTTATCATCTATCTAACCTTAAGTAAATTACGTAATTGCTCTGTGACTCCTTTCCGAAATGACAAATCACAAATGTTTTTGTCAATTCACGTGTCTTCTGCTTTAGTAAACATAGTAGAAGACAGTAGTCAATCTCTTTTTTTGTTTTTTTTTGAGACAAAGTCTTTCTCTGTCACCGACGCTGGAGTGCAGTGGCGGGATCTCGGATCACTGCAGCCTCCGCCTCCTGTGTTCGAGGGATTCTCCTGCCTTAGCCTCCCAAGTAGCTCAGACTACAGCCGCCTGCCACCAAGCCCGGCGCTCTCTTGCTGGCGCATGACAACCGTGCGTTCCACCCTACGACTAATTTTTTTTTTTTTTTTTTAGACGGAGTCTAGCTCTGGCTGGAGTCAGTGGCGCGATCTCGGCTCACTGCAACCTCTGCCTCCTGGGTTCAAGCGATTCTCCTGCCTCAGCCTTACAAGCAGCTGGGACTACAGGCGTGTGCCACCACGCCCGGCTAATTTTTGTATTTTTAGTAGAGACGGGGTTTCGTCATTTTGGCCAGGCTGGTCTCGAACTCCTGACTTCAGGTGATCCACCGGTCTCGGCCTCCCAAAGTGCTGGGATTACAGGCGTGAGCCACCGCGCCCGGCCTCCTTTTCCTTTTTTAACTAATGGAATAAACGGCAATGTGCCAAGCATACAGCAATGCCCATTCCCCGGCCTTCAGAAAGCCTCGGGCGCAGGCGCAGCTCGCGTTCAAGCGCTCTCTCGCTGGCGGGGGACAACAGTTCGTTCCACCCTACGCCCAACGTTGTCTCCCTGCGCACGCGCGGCCGTACTCCGCCCTCCTTACTCCACCCTCCCCCACTCCCGCGAGCACGTGCGCGTCCTCGCTGCTCACATTTCGGCGGAGGGCGCGCTCCCTGGAAAATTCCACTCCTGTGCTAGCTCCACCCTATGCGGCTTTTCTCCTACCCGACGCTCTTCACTCTCAGCTCCCTTCCCGGCGGCCTTTGCGGGAACAAGATGGCAGCCCCCATACCTCAAGGGTTCTCTTGTTTATCGAGGTTTTTGGGCTGGTGGTCTCGGCAGGTGGGTAGGGACGGGGCCGATAGGACCCTAGGGGCTACAGGAGAGGACAGAGTCGAGGGAAATACTCTCTGTGCAATTGTCCTTGGTGAGCTGGGACAATACGAGTCATACCTAGGCCGGGGAAGAGGCTTAGGTGGACAGGACCTAGCTGCGGAGCTCAGTGGTCGAATGGGGATAGCCTAGACAGGGCCATGAGAGCGAGTGAATTAACGGATATTAAGTTTTTCCGGATTGGTTTGGGTCTGTCTGGCGAGGAGATATTAAAGGAGAGACAAGTAATGGGTTGGAAGGTGGACTCCCTAATCTTCGATTCTTATAAGTGAACTACGTTGAAGAGTAGCCGAAAATGAGGGCGTCCCATATTGTCACTGCCCCGTCTGAGCAAACCTCATGATCAGAGAGAAAAGATCTCCTGATCTTTCGAGGGTTTATTGGTCAGTTGGGTGCTAAAACGACAGAATAAAGTTTACAGCGAGACTCCCGATAGGATGAGCAAAATATCACGAGTACATATGGAGCAGATGCCTACAAGAGGACTTTGCTTATGCTTTAAGCATAGCATTCAGGGCCCGGCGCGGTGGTTCACACTTGTAATCCCAGCACTTTGAAAGTCCGAGGCAGAAGGATGGCTTGAGCCCAGGAGTTCGAAATGAGCCTGGGCAACATATAAGACCTGGTCTTTACAAAAAAATTTTAAAATTAGCCAGATGCGATGGCGCACTCCTTAGTCCCAGCTACTTGGGAGGCTGCGGTGGGAGGATAGCTAGAGCCCAGGAGGTCAAGGCTGCAGTGAACCGTGATCGTGCCATCGCACTCTAGGCTAGCGATCTGCCTCAAAAAATAATAAAGAATAGTATTCTGCCCATTTCAGTATTGAGTTGGTGTTTCCCCATCACCATCAGTTTTTGAAACTTGCTTTGATCAACTCAGTATCCGTAGGAGTTAGCATAGTCCTGTACTGTGGGAAGTTCTAAAGGAAAGCCTTTAGTAAATGTGATGTTAATAAAGGTTGCTAACTGTCTTCTATTTAGAGACACCCATAAGTATTAAGGTCCTAATGCATTTTTTCCCTGTGATATTGTTTTATAATTGTTCCTGAAGCATTCTTTGGATATTCCCTCTCTATAGTGCTTTGCTTAGAGTTTGTAAAAGATAGTAGATCTTTTTTCTAGGTTCCTAACCTTTCCTTTACCTTCCAGCCAGTTCTGGTGACTCAGTCCGCAGCTATAGTTCCAGTAAGAACTAAAAAACGTTTCACACCTCCTATTTATCAACCTAAATTTAAAACAGAAAAGGAGTTTATGCAACATGCCCGGAAAGCAGGATTGGTTATTCCTCCAGAAAAATCGGACCGTTCCATACATCTGGCCTGTACAGGTGAGGTATTTCTGGGACCCTGACCTGGGATCCTTCTGTCAGAGATCTTCTGGAACTTGGGATGACTTGGACTATGATTGATAATATTTAATTAAGCACGAAGTCAGTTCAACCTCAATAATGATTAACCTTATATACACTATATATCATGAAGTTGTTCTTTGAACTTACTTTCACACTGTCCCTAGAAGGCAAGAGTGAAATTTCTCCATTTTGTGGAAGTAGAAACTGAGGCTCTGAGAGAAGACTTAAATCTTTCTGGCTTTTTTTGTTTTGTTTTGTTTTGTTTTTTGAGACAGAGTCTCGTTCTGTCGCCCAGTGGCACAATCTGGGCTCACTGCAACCTCTGCCCCCCTGGGTTCAAGCGATTCTCCTACCTCAGCCTTCCAAGTAGCTGGGATTACAGGCACCTGCCACCATGCCCGGCTAATTTTTGTATTTTTAGTAGAGATGGGGTTTCACCATCTTGGCCAGGCTGGTCTTGAATTCCTGACTTTGTGATCCGCCCGCCTCGGCCTCCCAAAGTACTGGGATTACAGGTGTGAGCCACTGTGCCCGGCCTTGTTTTGTTTTTTTCTAGTGTAACATAGTTCTCTCTACATGGAAGTCTGTTTCATTAGTCTACTTCATATCCACAATCCTTCCCAATTTTACATTACTTCAATTTTATGAGTTTTTCTCAATCTTTCAACACTTTCTTAATTTTTTTCTTCCTTTATTACAGCTGGTATATTTGATGCCTATGTTCCTCCTGAGGGTGATGCACGCATATCATCTCTTTCAAAGGAGGGACTGATAGAGAGAACTGAACGAATGAAGAAGACTATGGCATCACAAGTGTCGTAGGTGTCTGAGACAATTGGGTATTGGTATTAGAATAACAATTTTTTGTTGCTACTTTATCCCAAAGAGACCTTTTTGGGTTAATTGGGTTGGGTGTCATTCTCTTAATAACATGATGGTATTTTCTCCTTTGTACTAGAGTCTGTATTTAATGCAGAATAATGTGGGCTTCCTGATTCTCAGCATCCCTGCCTTTATTGGTAATTTTTGTCATATCAGTTAGGGAGTTGACTTTGGAGTGTATAGGATCCTTTTTTAATCATATATTTAATTTTTTTTTTTTTGAGATGGAGTTTCGCTCTTGTTGCCCAGACTAGAATGCAATGGCACGATCTTGGCTCACCGCAACCTCCGCCTCCTGGATTCAAATGATCCTCCTGCCTCAGCCTCCTGAGTAGCTGGGATTACAGGCATGTGCCACCATGCCCGGCTAATTTTGTATTTTTAGTAGAGATGTGGTTTCTCCATGTTGGTCTGTTGGTCAGGCTGGTCTTGAACTCCTGACCTCAGGAGGCCCGCCTTGGCCTCCCAAAGTGCTGGGATTACAGGTGAGAGCCACCACGCCCAGCCCTTTATTTATTTATTTATTTATTTATTTTGAGACGGAGTTTCACTCTTAACTCACTGCAACCTCTGCCTCCCGGGTTCAAGAGATTCTCCTGCCTCAGCCTCCCGAGTAGCTGGACTACAGACGCATGCCACCACGCCCAGCTAATTTTTGTATTTTTAGTAAAGACGGGGTTTCACCATGTTGGCCAAGATGGTCTCGATCTCTTGACCTCGTGATCCACCCACCTCAGCCTCCTGAAGTGCTGGGATTACAGGCGTGAGCCACTGCGCCCAGCCGACCTGGCTAATTTTTAAAAGAAATTTTTGTAGAGACGGGTTATCACTATGTTGCCCAGGCTGGTCTCGAACTCCTGGGCTCAAGCAGTCCTCCCACCTCAGCCTCCCAAAATTCTGGGATTACAGGTGTGACCCGTCACACCCAGCCAGTCTAGCTCTGACTGTATCTATCTTTTTTTTTAAATTTGTACTGTTCATTGCAGAGCAGGGCTACCCCATAGGCCACTGTGCCCAGAGTAGCCGCTGTCACTATATGTAAATCATGTATAGGTTTATGTGCATAAGTATATTGAGTCAGTATGAATTCTTCACATGGCCATGACTTATTTCTCTACATATAGATTTTATTGGCTGGGTGCGGTGGCTCACGTCTGTAATCCCAGCACTTTGGGAGGCTGAGGTGGGCGGATCACCTGAGGTCAGGAATCGAAAACCAGCCCGACCAACATGGAGAAACCTCATCTCTACTAAAAATGCAAAATTAGCCGGGCGTGGTGGCACATGCCTGTAATCCCAGCTACTCAGGAGGCTGAGGCAGGAGAATCGCTTGAACCCGGGAGGCGGAGGTTGCGGTGAGCCGAGATCGTGCCATTGCACTCCAGCCTGGGCAACAAGGGCGAAACTCTGTCTCAAAAAAAAATAATAATAAAAAAGATTTTATCATATTACCTCCCTGCTTAGAACTCTTTTATGGCTTCCTGTTAACCAAAGAATAAAATCCAGATATCTTCAGTGGTATACAAAGCTTTTATAATCTGGTCCTTGCCTTTTTCTCCACCATCATTCTTTGTCCTTATTCCATTTTTCTCATCCTAAATTTTAGCATTTCCAAACTAATTGCCAATTCCTTGCCAGTACTGTACCATTCCTCTTTGTCTTTGCACATCCTTTCCTTTGCCTGAAATGTCTTTTTCCCCTCCTACTTTTTTTTTCTTCTTTTTTTGAGATGGAGTTTTACTCTTGTTGCCCAGGCTGGAGTGCAGTGGTGCAATCTCGGCTCACCACAACCTCTGCCTTCTGGGTTGAAGCGATTCTCCTGCCTCAGCTCCCGAGTAGCTGGGATTACAGGCATGTGCCACCACGTCTGGCTAATTTTGTATTTTTAATAGAGATGGGGTTTCTCCATGTTGGTCAGGCTGGTCTTGAACTCCCGACCTCAGGTGATCCGCCAGACTCAGGCCTCCCAAAGTGCTGGGATTACAGGCGTGAGCCACCACGCTGGGCTATCATGTTTGTTTCTAAGGCCTCCATGACTATTTTTGGTGCTGCCTTTGCTGTGATTGTAATTGCACACTTGTATTTATTTCTCCTAATACTCTGTACTGCAATGTTTCCTCTCATGTATTTCTCTCCTGGACTGTGAGCAGGGTCCATGGTGATGATGAACAAAGCACATACGGTTTTACCATGCAGTTCTCTTCTAGGGGAGGAAAACAGTCATTAAATACTGATCGCACACAAATAATTATAGGTGTAGTGAAGTAGGAGTGCCATGGGAGCATATGACAGGGAAAGATAATGGCCGGGCGAGGTGGCTCACGCCTGTAATCCCAGCGCTTTGGGATGACGAGGCGGGTGGATCACGAGGTCAGGAGATCGAGACCATCCTGGCTAACACAGGGAAACCCCGTCTCTACTAAAAATACAAAAAATTAGCCAGGTGCGGTGGTGGGCGCCTGTAGTCCCAGCTACTCAGGAGGCTGAGGCCGGAGAATGGTGTGAACTCAGGAGGCAGAGCTTGCAGTGAGCCGAGATTGCACCACTGCACTCCAGCCTGGGCGACAGAGCAAGACTCCGTCTCAAAAAAAAAAAAAAAAAAAAAGATAACTTGGTCTGGGAGATCAGAGAAGACTTGCCTGAGGAAATGATATTTAAAGTTGGGATTGTGGCTGGATGAGGTGGCTCACAACTGTAATCCCAGCACTTTGGGAAGCCAAGGCTGGTGGATCACCTGAGAGGTCGGGAGTTCGAGACCAGCCTGGCCAACATGGTGAGATCCCATCTCTACTAAAGATACAAAATTTAGCCAAGCATGGTGGCACATACCTGTAATCTCAGCTACTCGGAAGGCTGAGGCAGGAGAATCGGTTGAACCCAGGAGGTGGAGGTTGCAGTGAGCCCAGATTGCACCACTGCATTCCAGCCTGGGCAACAGAGTGAGACTCCATCTCAAAAAAAAAAAAAAAAAAAGTTTGTTTTTTTTTTTTTTTTTTAGAGTTAGCCAGGTGGAGAAGTGTGGTGAGGAATAGCATTCTAGGGAAACAGAACAGTACAAGCAAGGCTTTGAGGTTAAAAGAGTATAAAGGGGTGTCAGATTTTGTCAAATGCTTTTTTGTGTCTATTGAGATGATCATGTGATACTTGTTCTTTATTCTGTTGATATGATGACATATTAATTGATTTTCTTTTCTTTTCTTCTTTTTTTTTGAGATGGAGTCTTGCTCTGTTACCCAGGCTGGAGTGCAGTGGCTCCATCTCGGCCCACTGCAGCCTCTGCCTCCCAGGTTCAAGTGATTCTCCTGCCTCAGCCTCCCGAGTAGCTGAGACTACAGGTGTGCGCCACCATGCCCCACTGATTTTTGTATTTTTAGTAGAGACAGGGTTTCACCATGTTAGCCAGCCTGGACTCCTGACCTCAGGTGATCCACCTTCCTGACCTCCCAAAGTGCTGGCATTACAGGCGTGAGGCACCGTGCCCAGCCTTATTAATTGATTTTCAAATATTAAACCAACCTCACATCCCTGGGATAAATTCCTTTAACACACTTAAATTAATACTTTGATTAAATCAAATTCTCTATATTGTTATAACTTGGAAAATGCTGTTGACAGCTGAGTTATATAGTACATTATGAACACTTTTTCTTTCCTGCATAATATATTTTTTTTTCCTGAAGTGTAGTGTCTTAATTTGCTCATTTGCTTATGGAACTATGGGTTATGTAATTTCCTCTCTGTGCATTCAAAACATTAAATTTTTTTTTTTTTTTTTTTTTTTTTGAGAGGGAGTCTCACTCTGTTGCCCAGGCTGGAGTGCAATGGTATGATCTTGGCTCACTGCAACCTCTGCCTCCTGGGTTCAAGCAATTCTTCTGTGTTAGCCTCCCCAGTAGGTGGGACTACAGGTGTGTGCCACCACACCTGGCTGTTTTGTATTTTTAGTACAGACGGGGTTTCACCATATTGGCCAGGCTGGTCTCGAACTCCTGACCTCATTATCTACCTGCCTCAGCCTCCCAAAGTGCTAGGATTACAGGTGTGAGCCACCACGCCCTGCAACATTAAATATTTTATTAATTTCATCTTTTTCAAGAAATCCCTCCTGGAGTCTTCTTACCTGTTTTAATCTGGACTAGTTGCTCTTAAGGCCAACTGTACGTCTTAGGATCTAAGATTCCTCTTGCCTCCGTCTTCTTTTCTTTTTTTTTTGAGACTGAGTCTTGCTCTGTTGCCCAGGCTGGAGTGCAGTGGTGCGATCTCAGCTCACTGCAACTTCCGCCTCCCGGGTTCAAGCGATTCTCCTGCCTCAGTCTCCTGAGTAGCTGGGATTACAGGTGTGCGCCACCACGCCCAGCTAATTTTTGTATTTTTAGTAGAAATGGGGTTTCACCATGTTGGTCAGGCTGATTGCCTCCCTCTTACGTTGTATTCCCTGTTGCTTGGATCCTATGTCTTTATGTTTTCATAGTCTATTTCATTACTTTGGTGGAGCACATTTTCTAGCAGCTGCCTGAGAAAGGCTGCATGGTGGATAAATAAGATCTTGCAAGTCTAAAAAGAAATATTTTATTCTCCCACTTCATTTATAATTTGCCCAGGTATTTAATTCTGTGATAGAAATAATTTTTTCCTCAATTAAAAGTACTGCTCAAAGTCTGGGCATGGTGGGTCATGCCTGTAATCTCAACACTTTGGGAGGCTGAGGCAGGAGGATCACTTGAGCAGGAGTTGAATACCAGCTGGGCAACACAGTGAGACCTTGTCTCTACAAAAACTAAAAAAAAGTGAAAATTAGCCAAGCGTGGTAGTGCACACCTGCAGTTCCAGTTACTTGGGAGTCTGAAGTGGGAGGATTGCATGAGTCCCAGAGGTCAAGGCTGCAGTGAGCCCTGATGGCGTCACTGTACTCTAGCCTGGGTGACAGAGTGAGACCCTGTCTCAGTGAATGAATGAATGAATGAGTGAATGAATAATAAAAGCACTGCTCTGTTGTCTTTGTAATTACTTTTTATTTTATTTTTTTTTTGAGACGGAGTCTCACTCTTTCGCCCAGGCTGGATTGCAGTGGCGCGATCTTGACTTACTACAACCTCTGCCTCTTGGGTTCAAACAATTTTCCTGCCTCAGTCTCCTGAGTAGCTGGGACTACGGGCGCCTGCCACCACGCCCAGCTAATTTTTGTATTTTTAGTAAAGACAGGGTTTCACCATATTGGCCAGGCCAGTCTCGAACTCCTGACCTTGTGATCAGCCCACCTTGGCCTCCCAAAGTGCTGGGATTACAGACCTGAGTCACTGCGCCCGGCCGTAACTTCCTTTTTTTTTTTTTTGAGACGAAGTCTCGCTCTGTCACCCAGGCTGGAGTGCAGTGGCAGGATCTCAGCTCACTGCAACCTCTGCCTCCTGGGTTCAAGTGATTCTTCTGCCTCAGTCTCCCGAGTAGCTGGAACTACAGGCACGTGCCATCACGCTTGGCTAATTTTTTGTATTTTAGTGGAGACGGGGTTTCACCATGTTGGCCAGGATGATCTCGAGCTCCTGACCTCATGATCTGCCTGCTTTGGCCTCCCAAAGTGCTGGGATTACAGGCGTGAGCCACTGCACCCGGCCTGTCTTTGTAACTTCTAATGTTGCTGTTAGGAAGCCCAGTGTTGCCAGGTGCCATGGCTCAGGCCTGTAATCCCAGCACTTTGGGAGGCCGAGGCAGGCAGATCACAAGGACAGGAGTTCGAGACCAGCCTGGTCAGCATGGTGAAACCCCATCTCTACTAAAAATACAAAAATTAGGCGGGCGGGGTGATGTGTGCCTGTAGTCCCAGCTACTTGGGAGGCTGAGGCAGGAGAATTGCTTGAACCCAGGAGGCAGAGGTTGCAGTGAGCCGAGATTGCGCCACTGTACTCCAGCCTGTGCGACGGAGTGCGAGACTCTGTCTCAAAAAAAAAAAAAAAGAAGCCCAGTGTTATTCTGACTCTTTTTTTTGAGATGGAGTCTCGCTCTGTTTCCCAGGCTGGAGTGCAGTGGCGCGATCACTACCTCTGCCTCCTAAGTTCAAGTATTCTCCTGCCTCAGCCTCCCAAGTAGCTGGGATTACAGACAGCACCACCATGCCCAGCTTTTTTTTTTTTGAGATGGAGTCTCGCTCTGTGACCCAGGCTGGAATGCGGTGGTGCGATCTCTGCTCACTGCAACCTCTGCCTCCTGGGTTCAAGCGATTCTTGTGCCTCAGCCTCCGGAGTAGCTGGGATTACTGGTGTGCACCACCATGCCCAGCTTATTTTTGGATTTTTAGTATAGATGGGGTTTCACCCTGTTGGCTAGGCTGGTCTCAAACTCCTGACCTCAAGTGATCTACCTGCCTCGGCCTCCCAAAGTGCTGGGATTACAGACGTGAGCCACCGCGCCTGGCCTATTTTGACTCTTGAGCATTTGTAAGAAACCCGTTTTTTCTGTTTTTAGTGCATATCAGATGTTATCTTTGATTCTAGAATTCTGAAATTTCACTATGAGAAGTCTTAGTCTTTCTTTAGAGTGCTTAATTTAAGAGGGAGAAGGTTGAATTTCCAGGACTTGACACATTAAAAAATCAATTATTGGCCGGGCGTGGTAGCTCACGCCTGTAATCCCAGGACTTTGGGAGGCCGAGGCGGGCGGATCCTGAGGTCAGGAGATCGAGACCATCCTGGCTAACACGGTGAAACCCCGTCTCTACTAAAAATACAAAAATTTAGCCGCGTGTGGTCGCGGGCGCCTGTAGTGCCAGCTACTCAGGAGGCTGAGGCAGGAGAATGGCGTGAACCTGGGAGGCAGAGCTTGCAGTGAGCCGAGATCATGCCACTGCACTCCAGCCTGGGTGACAGAGCGAGACTCAAAAAAAGAAAAAAAAAAAAAAGCTAAACAGTTATTGAGTAAGTGGATGGACATGAATGGAGGTCAGTGTAGGCTGTGAATTATGGAATTGTAAGACCTTTAGAAGTAATACTCAGGCTTAATTTTACAGAATCCGGAGGATAAAAGACTATGATGCCAACTTTAAAATAAAGGACTTCCCTGAAAAAGCTAAGGATATCTTTATTGAAGCTCACCTTTGTCTAAATAAGTAAGTGAACTCCCTATCTTTACCCATTCTGTTCTCAGCAGTTAGCTATTATTTTAGGCACAGTTTTTTTGTTTGTTTGTTTTTGTTTTGCACAAATTTGTTTTCTGCCTTCAGGTAAGAGATCTAGAGTGAGAGAACTTCCTATATTGGAAGTAATTAGTGACTGACGCTGTCTTTCACTCCCCTCTCTGCTTCTGGGAATTTCTACCATTTGGTCTGTCTCAGTTCCACCTGCAAGTGTTGGGACCTTGTGCCAGAATAGCTGCCTTTTTCACCCTATCTGATCCCTGAATTCATTCTGATCTTTTTTGTGTGTTTGTCTTACGTATCTTCATTTCCCTTTCCTTGGTTATTTTGAATATATTTCTTGTGAAAATTTCCAGCTCTCCCTCCACTTTTATTTTTTTATTTTTTATTTTGAGATGGAGTCTCGCTCTGTCGCCCAGGCTGGGAGTGCAATGGCGCAATCTTGGCTCTCTGCAACCTCCACGTCCCTGGTTCAAGCAACTCCCCTGCCTCAGCCTCCCAAGTAGCTGGGATTACAGGTGCACGCCACCACATCCAGCTAATTTTTTTGTATTTTTAGTAGAGACGGGGTTTCATCATGTTGGCCAGACTGGTCCTGAACTCCTGACCTCAGGCAACCTGCCCGCCTCGGCCTCCCAAAGTGCTAGGATTACAGGCATGAGCCACCACGCCCGGCCCCCTTTTTTTTTTTGAGATGGAGTCTCACTGTTGCACAGTCTGGAATGCAGTGGCATGATCGTGGCTCACTGCAGCCTTGACCTCCTGGACCCAAGTGGTTCTCTCAAGGAATCTACTTAGTCCGTCAAGTAGAGCTGGGACCACCAGCATCTGCCACCACACCCAGCTAATTAAAATAAACTTTTTTTTGTAGAGACAAGGTTTTGCTGTGTTGCCTAGACTGGTCTCAAATTCCTGGGCTCAAGCAATCCTCCTGCCTTGGCCTCCCAAAGTGAAGAAATTATAGGCATGAGCCACCATACCTGGCCACCCAGCTTTTTCTTGATTCATCCAAGTTAGGGCTCCTAGGAAGATGAAGAATCAACATTAGGAGGCTGGAATATCTTAAGTACTAGCCGTGGACTGTTGCTGGCATTCTTTGATCTGTGGCTGCTGTGGCTAGGCTTCAGGTGGGACCCAAAACCTGTAGTCTAAAATCCATTAATTATTTAATTTTACTTTTATTTCTTTAAAAAAAATTTATTTATTTTGAATAGAGATGGGATGTCGTGATGTTGCCCAGGCTGTTCTTGTTTTTGTTTTTTGTTTTGAGACGGTCTTGTTCTGTTGCCCAGGCTGGAGGGCAGTGGTGCAATCACAGCTCATTGCAGCCTCAGCTCCGGGGCTCAAGCGATCCTCCCATCTCAGCCCCCTGAGTAGCTGGAACCTCTAGGGGTATACCACCACACCCTGCTAGTTTTCATATTTTTTGTAGGGATGGGATTTCACCATGTTGCCCAGGCTATGCAAGCCAGTCATTTTTTTTTTTCCCCCTTTTTGAGACGGAGTCTAGCTCTGTCATCCAGGCTGGAGTGCAGTGGTGCAGCCTGTGCCTCCTGGGTTCAAGCAATTCTCCTGCCTTAGCCTCCCAAGTAACTGCATGCCACCACACCCAGCTAATTTTTGTATGTTTAGTACAGATGGGTTTTTACCATGTTGGCCAGGTGGTCTAAAACTCCTGACCTCAGGTGATCTGCCTACCTCAGCCTCCCAAAGTGCTGGGATTACAGATGTGAGCCACTATGCTCAGCCTTGTTTTATTTCTCAAAACATTGTTTTTTTTTTTGTTTGTTTGTTTGTTTTGAGATAGACTCTTGCTCTGTTGCCCAGGCTGGAGTGCAGTGACGTGATCTTGGCTCACTGCAACCTCTGCCTCCCAGATTCAAGCAATTCTCCTGCCTTAACCTCCCAAGTAACTGGGATTACAGGCACGCACCACCACACCTGACTATTTTCTGTATTTTTAATAGAGACGGATTTCACCATGTTGGCCAGGCTGGTCTTGAACTCCTGACCTCAAGTGATCCGCCCACCTCGGCCTCCCAAAGTGCTGGGATTACAGGCGTGAGCCAACGCGCCCGGCCTAATTTTTGTATTTTTAGTAGAGATGGGGTTTTGCCATGTTGGCTAGGCTGGTCTCAAACTCCTGACCTCAGGTGATCCGCCCTCCTCAGCGTTACTGTTGTTTCTGTTGAGAAATTAACTTTTTTTTTTTTCATTTTGTTAAAGTTTATTTTTACTTTGTGTGCTTTTATTTATGTTTTTTTTTTGAGACAGAGTCTCGCTCTGTCACCAGGCTGGAGTGCAGTAGCGCAATCTCGACTTACTGCAACCTCCGCCTCCCAGTTTGAAACGATTCTGCTGCCTCAGCCTCTTGAGTAGCTGGAACTACAGGTGCCTGCCACCACGCCCAGCTAATTTTTGTATTTTTAGTAGAGACAGGGTTTCACCATATTGGCCAGGCTGGTCTCGAACTCCTGACCTTGTGATCTGCCCACCTTGGCCTCCCAAAGTGCTGGGATTACAGGTGTGAGCCACTGTGCCCAGCTGACTTTGTGTGCTTTGAAGATTTTCTCTCAGGCTGGGTGTGGTGGCTCTCGCTTGTAATCCCAGCGCTTTGGGAGGCCAAGACTGGTGGATCACAAGGTCAGGAGTTCGAAACCAGCCTGGCCAATGTGGTGAAACCCTGTCTCTACTAAAAATACAAAAAAAAAATTAGCCAGGTGTGGTGGTGCATGTGTGTAATCTCTGCTACTTGGGAGGGGCTGAGGCAGGAGAATCGCTTGAACCCAGGAGTCAGAGGTTGCTTTGAGCCGAGATCGTGCAGCTGCACTCAAGCCACGACAACAGAGCAAAACTCCGTCTCAGAAAAAAAAAAAAAAAAAAGATTTTTTTTCTTTCTTTTTAGTATTCAGCAATTTACTATGATTTATCTATGGGTATCTGTCTTCTTAAATTTTTATTTTTATTTTTTAGTTTTTTTTGTAGAGACAGGGTCTGGCCTTGTTGCCCAGGCTGGTCTTGAATCCCTGGCTTCAAGCAATCCTTCCACCTCAGACTCCCAAAATGCTGGGATTATAGGCATGTGCCACCACACTGGGCCATGTGTGTGTCTTTTATCCTGCTCTGGGTTCATATTGCTTCTTAAATCTTTAGGTGCTTTTTTTGTCAGTGTTGGAAAATTCTCAGTCAGAACTCATCTCTTCAGATGTTGCTTCTGCTCCACTTTCTCGTCTCCTTGTGTAGTTCTGAATACACATATGTTAGATCTTTCACTGTGTGCCAAATGTGTCTTCAGCTCTTTTCTATATTTTTCCAACCTTTTTTTTTCCCCCTCCAGCTTTAGTCTGGATATTCTCTGATCTATCTTCCTGTCCTCTTTTCAGTTGTAGCTAATCTGCTGTTAACCTACCTATCGAGTTCTTAATTTTATATTTATTTTATTTATTTTCTGTTTTTCGCTTTTAGAATTTTCTTTTTTTTTTTTTTTTAGTGTGTCCAGATCTCTGGTAAAATTCTCCATTCTGTCATCTAATTTCTTGAACATGCTAATCACAGTTATTTTAAAACCTGTGTCTGATAACTTCAAAATCTATGTCTTCAATAGGTCCATTTTCTCTTGTCTTATTTGTTTCTTTTGGGTTTTGGTTAGTTCTTGTCATTTTTGTTTTTGTTTTTGTTTTTTTTTTTTGAGATGGAGTCTTGCTCTGTCACCCTGGCTGGAGTGCAGTGGTGTGATCTCCGCTCACTGCATCCTCTGCCTCCCGGATTCAAGGAATTCTCCCTTCTCAGTCCCTGGAGTAGCTGAGACTACAGGTGCACACCATGATGCCCAGCTAATTTTTGTATTTTTAGTAGAAATGGCATTTCACCATATTGGTCAGGCTGGTCTCGAACTCCTGACTTCAGGTGATTCACCTGCCTCAGCCTCCCAAAGTGCTGGGATTACAGGCATGAGCCACTGCACCTGGCCTTGTTTTTGGTTTTTGAGACAGGCTCTTGCGCTGTCACTCAGGCTAGAGTACAGTGGCTCGATCATGGCTCACTGCTGCCTTGACCTCCCAAGCTCAAGTGATCCTCCCACTTCAGCCTCCAAAGTAGCTGGGACTTAGTACATGCCACCATACCTGGCTAATTTTTAAATTTTTTGTAGAGACAGGGTCTTGCTATGTTGCCCAGGCTGGTCTCGAACTCTGGCCTCAAGCAGTCCTCTCAGCCTCCCAAAGTGTTGGTACAGTTTTCTTGCCATTTTGTATTCCTGCATTTTTTTTTAAACAAATAGATATTTTAGAAAAATCTAAGACAATCATTTATTTTAAAAATTATAAGATTAATAATAGCTTTTATATATTTATGGTAAAATACACATAATATACAATTTACCATTTTAATCATTTTGAAGTATATAATTCAGTGGCATTAAGTACATTCACAATGTTGTACAATTCTTACCACTATCCATTTCCAGATTTTGTTCATCTCAGACAGGAATTTTATACCCATTAAGCAGTAATTCCCCATTGCCCTCTTCCCTTATCACCTGGTAACCTCCATTCTACTTTATTTCTCTATGAATTTACCCATCCTGATGCTATGGTCTGAATGTTAGTGTCTCCTGAAAATTCATTTGTCAAAATCCTAACCCCCAAGGTGATGGTATAGGCTGTGGGGGGCCCTCTGGGAGGTGATGAGGTCCTGAGAGTGGAGCCCTCATGAATGGGAAGAGTGCCCTTATAAAGGAGACCCGGGGATCCAGGTGTGGTGGTTCACGCCTATAATCCCAGCACTTTGGGAGGCTGAGGCAGGCAGATCACGAGGTCAAGAGATCGAGACCATCCTGGCCAACATGGTGAAACCCCATCTCTACTAAAAATACAAAAATTAGCTGGGTGTGGTGGCGTGTACCTGTAGTCCCGGTTACTTGGGAGGCTGAGGCAAGAGAATTGCTTGAACCCAGGAGGTGGAGGTTGCAGTGAGCCAAGATCGCACCACTGCACTCCAGCCTGGCGACAGAGCGAGACTCCGTCTCAAAAAAAAAAAAAAAAAAAAGAGACCTGAGGGAGCTTGTGCACCCCTTCCACCCACTGACGACACAGCAAGAAGTCAACATCTATGAGGAACGGGCTCTCACCAGACACCAAATTTGCCAGTGTCTTGATCTTGGACTTCCCAGCCTCTAGAACTGTGAGAAATAAATGTTGTTTATAAGCCACCTGGTTTATGATATTTTTGTTACAGCATCCTGAACAGATGAAGGCATCTAGGTACCTCACATAAGTGGAATCTTACAGTTTTTGACCTTTTGTGATTGGCTTAGTTCACTTAGCATGATGTCTTCAATGTTCATATATATTGTAGCATGTGTCTCCTTAATTTTATTTTTATTTTTTTATCTTTTTTTTTTTTTTGAGATGGAGTTTTGCTCTTGTCACCCAGGCTGGAGTGTAATGGCTCGATCTCCAGTCACTGCAACCTTTGCCTCCTGGGTTCAAGCGATTCTCCAGCCTCAGCCTCCCAAGTAGCTGGGATTACAGACGCCTGCCATCACACCTGGCTAATTTTTGTATTTTTAGTAGAGACGGGGTTCACCATGTTGGCCAGGCTGGTCTCGAACTCCTGACCTCAGGTGATCCGCCTGCCTCGGCCTCCGTAAGTGCGGGGATTACAGGTGTGAGCCACCGTGCCCAGCCACGTATGTCTCCTTATTAAGGCTGAATAATATTTCATTGTATGTATATACACCACATTTTGTTTATCCATTCATCTAGTGATGGACATTCAGGTTGTTTCCACCTTTTATTGTGGCATAATGCTCCTGTGATTGTTGGTGTACAAGTATCTGTTTGAGCTCGTGCTTTCAATTCATTTGGGTATATACTCAGAACTGAAGTTGTTGGATCACATGATAACTCTATGTTTAACTTTTTGAAGGTCTGGGTGGTGGCTCATACCCGTAATCCAGCACTTTTGGAGGCCGAAGTGGGAGGATTGTTTCTGGGCAGCAGAGTAAGACCCCATCTCTATAAAAAATTTAAAAAATCATCCGGGCATGGTGGTGCATGCCTGTAGTCCCAGCTATTTGAGGTGCTAAGGCAGAAGGATTGCTTGAGCTCAGGGATTTTTGAGGCTGTGGTGAGCTATGATTGTGTCACTACACTCCAGCCTCAATGACAGAGTGAGACTGTCTCAAAAAAAAAACCCTAACTTTTTGAGGAACCACCATATGGTTTTCCTTAGCAGCTACACTGTTTTACATTCCTATGACCAATGCACAAGGATTCCAGTTTCTCTACATCCTCACTGATACCTATTACTTTCC
Source organism: Homo sapiens (assembly GCF_000001405.40). Taxonomy (NCBI): domain Eukaryota; kingdom Metazoa; phylum Chordata; class Mammalia; order Primates; family Hominidae; genus Homo; species Homo sapiens. The sequence continues at coordinate 38,312,975 of NC_000017.11, forward strand.
TTTTTATTGGTTTTTTTTTTTTTTTTTTGAGATGGAGTCTCGCTCTGTTGCTCAGGCTGGAGTGCAGTGGCACAATCTTGGCTCACTGCAAGCTCCGCCTGCCGGGTTCAAGCCATTCTCCTGCCTCAGCCTCCCGGGTAGCTGGAACTACAGGCGCCTGCCACCACACCCGGCTAATTTTTTGTATTTTTAGTAGAGATGGGGTTTCATGTGTTAGCCAGGATGGTCTCAATCTCCTGACCTCGTGATCCACCCGCCTTGGCCTCCCAAAGTGCTGGGATTACAGGCGTGAGCTATTGCGCCTAGCCACTTTCCTTTCTATTAAAAAAAAAAAAAAATATATATATATATATATATACATATATATATATACGTATATATATATATATATACGTATATATATATATATACATATATATATATATATATGAGAGATGGGGTCTCACTGTATTGCCCAAGCTGGTCTCAAACTCCTGGGCTTAAGCAATCCTCTTGCCTCGGCCTCCCAAAATGCTAGGACTACAGGTGTGAGCCACCATGCCCAGCCTTTTTCTTTTTATAATAGGCATCCTCATGGGTGTGAAGTGTAGTATCTCATTATGGTTTTGCTTTGTATTTCCCTAATAGCTAGTGACATTGAGCATCTTTTCATGTGCTATTGGCCTTTTGTACGTCTTCTTTGAAGAAAGGTCTTTTTTTTTTTTTTGAGTTGAAGTCTTGCTCTGTCGCCCAGACAGGACTGCAGTGGCACGATCTCGGCTCATAGCAACCTCTGCCTCCTGGGTTCAAGCGATTCTCCTGCCTCAGCCTCCCGAGTAGCTGGGATTACAGGCATGCACCACCATGCCCAGCTAATTTTTGTAGTTTTAGTAGAGACGGGGTTTCACCATGTTGGCCAGGCTGGTCTCGAACTCCTGACCTCAGATGATCCACCCACCTCAGCCTTCCAAAGTGGTGGGATTACAGGCGTGAGCCACTGCACCCAGCCCAGAAAGGTCTATTTTTAAATTAGGCGGTTATTTTGTTGTTGAGTTATAGGAGTTCTTTATATATTTTGGATATTAATCCTTTATCAGATATATGCTGTGCTAATATTTCCCCCCATTTTATGGTTTGTCTTTTCACTCTTTTATTATTATTAGTTTTTGAGATGGAGTTTTGCTCTTGAAGCCCAGGCTGGAGTGCAATGGCGTGATCTCGGCTCACCGCAACCTCTGCCTCCTGGGTTCAAGCAATTCTCCTGCCTCAGCCTCCTGAGTAGCTCAGATTACAGGCATGCGCCACCATGCCTGGCTAATTTTGTATTTTTAGTAGAGACAGGGTTTCACCATGTTGGACAGGCTGGTCTTGAATTCCCGACCTCGGGTGATCCACCTGCCTCGGCCTCCCAAAGTGCTGGGATTACAGGCGTGAGCCACTGCGCCTGCCGTCTTTTCACTCTTGATAGTATCCTTTGATGCAAAAAAGTTTTAAATTTTGATGAAATCCAGTTTTTCAAGTTTTTTTCTTTTGTTACCATATCGAGTTTTTTCTTTTGGTGTCATATTCAAGAAATCATTGCCAAATCCAGTGTCATGAAGTATTTCCCCTTCCTTTTTCTCTAAGATTTTTATAGTTTTAGCTCTCACATTTAGGTCTTTGCTCCATTTTGAGTTAGTTTTTGTATATAGTGAAAACTATGTGATGTTTTTGCTTTTTTTTGCATGAGAATATTCATTTTTCTAGCACCATTTATTGAAGAGACTGTGCTTTCCCATTAAGTGGCCAGGCCGGTCTCAAACTCCTGACCTCAGATGATCCACCCGCCTTGACCTCCCAAAGCGTTGGGATTACAGGCATGGGCCACCGCCTGTCCTCAACAGTGGTTTTTGCAGAAATAGAGAAACACAGCCAGGCGTGGTGGCTAGTTCAACCTAGTTTGAATAATATCAACTTAGTTTCAATAATATACAAACGCTCTGCTCCTATATGTCTCTCCCTCCCACTTCATTATGTCTCTCCTGCTTCATTATCACAGATTACAGTTTTATACCTTGGGTGCCCATTACATCAATTCATAATTATTGTTTTATGCATTTGCCTTTTAAATCATACAGGATGAAAAATGAGGAATTATAAACCAAAAGTACAGTAATACAGGCTTTTATATTTATCTATGTAGTTACTTTTCCTACATAGTAGTAAAACATACATGTTTTTTGTTTTTTTCTTGTGGTTTTGAGTTACTTTCTGGTGTCCTTTCATTTTAGCCTGAAGGATCCCCTTTAGCCTTTGTTTGTTTCTTTTTTATTTTAAAGTCAGGGTCTCACTTTTTCAGCCAGGCTGGAGTGAGCACAGTGGTGCAATGATAGCTGCACTGCAGCCTCAACCTGCTGGGCTCAAGCGATCTTCCCACCTCAGCCCCTGAGTAGCTGGGACTACAGGTGTGTGCCACAGCACCTGGCTAATTTTTTTTTTTTTTTTCTAATTTTTTTGTAGAGACAGGGGTCTCGCTTTGTTGCCCAGGCTGGTCTCGAACTCCTGGCCTCAAGTGATCCTCTTGCCTCTGCCTCCCAATGTGTTGGGATTATAGGCATGAGCTGCTGTGCCCAGCCTATTGCCACTTTCAAGATTCATTCTTTGTGTTTGGGTTTTGACACTTTGGTTTTAATGTTTCTTGGTATGAATTTCTTTCAGTTTATCTTGCTAGGAGGTTTTTGAGCTTCCTGGATGTACATATGAATGTCTTTCATCAGATTTGGGATGTCTGCAGCCATTATTTCTTTTTCTTTCTTTTTTTTTTTTTGCATGTTATTTTTATTTTATTTTATTTTTTGAGATGGAGCTTTACTCTTGTTTCCCAGGCTGGAGTGCAGTGGCCCGATCTCGGCTCATTGCAGCCTCCGCCTCCCAGGTTCAAGTGATTCTCCTGCCTCAGTCTCCCAAGTAGCTGGGATTACAGGCACTTGCCACCCACACCTGGCTAATTTTTGTATTTTTTAGTAAAGATAGGGTTTCACCCTGTTGACCAGGCTGGTCTCGAACTCCTGACCTCAGGTGATCCACCCACCTTGGCCTCCCAAAGTGCTGGGATTACAGGTATGAGCCATTGTGCCTGGCCGCATTATTTCTTCAAATTTTTTTTCTATCCATTTCTTTCTTCTTTTTCTGGGACTCCTATGATGTGTATTTGGTATACTTGATGATGTCCCACAGGTCCCTCAAGGTTTTGTTCATTTTTTTTCCATTATTTTTTCTCTTTGCATTTTAGACTATGTAATTTTAATTACCTTATCCTCAAGTTCACTGATACTTTGCCTGCTCAAACCTGCTGTTGAACCCCTCTAGTGAATTTTAAAATTTATTGTACTTTTTAGCTCCAGAATTTCTGTTTGGTTCCCTTGTATAATTTCTGTCTCCAATGTGTTCACACATTGTTTTTCTGATTTCATTACTTCTTTGTCCATGGTTTCCTTTAGCTCATTGGACATATTTAGGACAATTGATTTGTGTCTTTACTAATAATTACAATGTCTGGGTTTCCTTAGGGGTGGTTTCTGTCAAATTATTTTTTGGTCAGGTGTGGTGGCTCATGCCTATAATCCAGTACTTTGGGAGGCCGAGGCGGGCAGATCACTTGAGTCCAGGAGTTCGAGACCAGCCTGGCCAACATGGTGAAACCCCAACTCTACTAAAAATACAAAAAAAGCTGGGTGTGGTGGCGTGCACCTGTAGTCCCAGAATCTCACTCTGTAGCCCAGGCTGGAGGGCAGTGGTGCAATCCAAAAAAAAAAAAAAAAAAAAAAAAAAAGCAAAAGTGTATTTGTCTGTTTTACATTTTATCCAACATTTCCTTTTTTTTTGAGACGGAGTCTTGCTCTGTTGCCAGGCTGGAGTGCAGTGGCGCGATCTTGGCTCACTGCAACCTCCACCTCCCAGGTTCAAGCGATTCTCCTGCCTCAGCCTCCTGAATAGCTGAGACTCCAGGTGTGTGCCACTGTACCTGGCTAATTTTTGTATTTTTAGTAGGGACAGGGTTTCACCATGTTGGCCAGGATGGTCTTGATCTCCTGACCTCGTGATCTGCCCACCTTGGCCTCCCAAAGTGCTGGGATTACAGGCATGAGCCACCGCACCCGGCCCATAAATCCACCATTTCTAAATGTTTATAGTAGAAGTAGTATTACATTATTGCAAAATAGTAAGTGAACTCATGGAAAATGGAGTTTATTTCCACTGAAGACTTCTATGCCAGGATAGTGGGGAGGAAGAGTTCACTCAGAGGTGCCAGTGATGGTCATCATGGTAGTTGTCACCACAGCTCAGTCTGTTCCTACAGTAGAGGAAATGACTTGGAATCTTTCCTATTAGGAATAGAGATGAAAGGGAAGCAGATAGACATGTTAGAACTAATCCCTTACCCATTCTGGGCTTAGAGAGCAAGATTTTTCAAAGGGGACAAAGAGTTAAACTGCTCATAGTAAACTGGGGAAAAGTCGTGTGTATCTGAAAGAAGCTAATCTATGGCCTTAGGTTTGAGACTCATCAGCTAGGAACCCTCCTAAAATCTTGTATCTATAGGAGCTAGGGTTTGTTGTCTGTTTTGTGTTTTTTTTGTTTTGTTTTGTTTTTTTTTGAGACGGAATCTCGCTCTGTCACTCAGGCTAGAGTGCAGTGGCGTGATCTCAGCTCACCGCAACCTCCGCCTCCCGGGTTCATGCCATTCTCCTGCCTTAGCCTCCTGAGTAGCTGGGACTACAGGCGCCTGCTACTACTCTCGGCTAATTTTTTTTGTATTTTTAGTAGAGATGGGGTTTCACCTTGTTAGCCATGACGGTCTCGATCTCCTGACCTCATGATCCACCCGCCTCGGCCTCCCAAAATGCTGGGATTACAGGCATGAGCCACCATGCCCGGCTGTTTTGTGTTTTTTTAACCATTACTATATAGAGTCAGCATGACTCGGCCACTCTGGCAGCAACAAGATAAAGGAGAGAAAATAGACCAGGAAAGACATGATTATCTTTGACTAGGTTCAAAGATGAGCGTGTAAGATATAAGGCTAAAAACATGGTGAAACCCCATCTCTACTAAAAATACAAAAATTAGGTGGGCGTCATGACGTGCACTTGTAGTCCCAGCTACTCAGGAGGCTGAGGCAGGAGAACCGCTTGAACCTGGGAGGTGGAGGTTGCAGTGAGCCGAGATCGCGCCACTGCACTCCAGCCTGGCGACAGAGCGAGACTCTGTCTCAAAAAAAAAAAAAAAAAAAAAAAGATATAAGGCCAAGCCAGATGGTACTGATGCTGGCTCAGAGGCAAGAGGAGATAAAACAAGCTTTTGATTGTTACTTGTGTTGAACTTTGTTGCTCATACCAGCTTAGAGCAAAAATCAGGTCCTATGTCCCAGTGAGGGTACCCATCTTAAGGATATATGGTAATTTTAGAGAAATTGCCTCCTACTCCTTAGATTTAAACATAATTTTTTTTAAATTTATTTTTTATTTGTAATATAATTTTATTCTGCTACTAGATCTTAGGGTTTTCTGGTAAATCACATTATTGTTCGTGTTTGTGCCCCTAGAATTTAGCATATTTTATACCTGGCTTATACTAGATGTGCCGAAAACATTTGTAAAAATGAATTGTTTTCCATTTTCAGGACCATTTTCAGTCTTCATACAGGGTATTATAAGAGCAATAGTCAATGATATTTATTGCTTTCTTTTCTAGCTCAGACCATGACCGGCTTCATACCTTGGTAACTGAACACTGTTTTCCAGTAAGTTCTCATCCTCCTTAGAACTGTGGGGTGACTGAGTGGGCAGATTCTAGATGGCGTCTCTGGTTTTTCTTTTCTTTTCTTTTCTTTTCTTTTTTTTTTTTTTTTTGAGACAGAGTTTCACTCTTGTTGCCCAGGCTGGAGTGCAATGGTGCGATCTTGGCTCACCGCAACCTCCACCTCCCAGGTTCAAGCGATTCTCCTGCCTCATCCTCCCAAGTAGCTGGGATTACAGGCATGCGCCACCATGCCCAGCTAATTTTTTATTTATTTATTTATTTATTTATTTATTTATTTATTTATTTATTTATTTATTTTGAGATGGAGTCTCGCTCTGTCGCCCAGGATGGAGTGCAGTGGCGCTATCTCGGCTCACTGCAAGCTCCGCCTCCCGGGTTCACGCCATTCTCCTGCCTCAGCCTCTTGAGTAGCTGGGACTACAGGCACCCGCCAGCACACCCGGCTAATTTTTTGTATTTTTAGTAGAGACGGGGTTTCACTGTGTTAGCCAGGATGGTCTCGATCTTCTGACCTCGTGATCCGGCCACCTCGGCTTCCCAAAGTGCTGGGATTACAGGTGTGAGCTACCGCACCTGGCCTAATTTTGTATTTTTAGTAGAGACGGGGTTTCTCCCGTTGGTCAGGCTGGTCTCCAACTCCCGACCTCAGGTGATCCGCCCGCCTCGGCCTCCCAAAGTGCTGGGATTACAGGCATGAACCCCACTGCGCCCTGCCTGGTTTTTCTTAAGAAGGATCAGTTTTGAGAGTGTAGGAAGTTTAAGGCACAGGCTGAAGGTTCATTGCTTGTAGCTGAATGACAATGTCTTGACACAGACTCTGGTAAGGGCCCTGGCAAATGAAAGAAGTCCCTCAACAAGCAGTAATGACACTGCAGGAGCATAGGTCCTGAGGCTTGGATATGGGCCATACTAGGCCACATCTCCACACGCCTGCACTATCATGAGGGATTTAACAAGAGTTCATGAGGCTTATATTGAGTGGTAACAGGAGTGTGAAGCACTTGGAGGGATCCCCAAGGATAAGAACTTTGTGGTTCAGTTAGAGATCCAAGAATAAGAACTTGGGGCCGGGTGCGGTGGCTCACGCCTGTAACCCCAGCGCTTTGGGAGGCCGAGGCGGGCGGATCACGAGGTCAGGAGATCAAGACCATCCTGGCTAACATGGTGAAACCCCGTCTCTACTGAAAATACAGAAAAATTAGCCGGGCGTGGTGGCGGGCGCCAGTAGTCCCAGCTACTCGGGAAGCTGAGGCAAGAGAATGGCGTGAACCTGGGAGGCGGAGCTTGCAGTGAGCCGAGACCGCGCCACTGTGCTCTAGCCTGGGCAACAGAGCAAGATTGCCGTCTCAAAAATAAAAATAAATAAAAAAAGAACTTGGGTTTCTATCAGTAGAACTTCAGTTTCTATCAGTCTTCCCCAGTCCTAGCAGTTTAGCCCTTATAGCCCTGTAAAATTCCCACTTTTCATTGTTAATATGTGAGTGGGGAAAAAAAATATATATGCAGTCAACACAAGTACATGCAATAATTGCCACATTATGAAAGTGTATGGGAGGGATGTTGGTGTATTGGGCATGCTGGCAGTTTGGAATGTGGTTTTTGTTGATTTAAAGAAGGGTCCTCAAAGAGGAAGGTGGGTCTGAAGTTGTGATATAGATGAAGAGAGAGTTGTCAGGTAAGCTTGACCAATAGCTTAATCAAAACTTGAGAAGGTGCAAGAGAAAATAGGCACAAGAGAGCATGTGGTGGGAAACGTGCTGCCTGTTGGCTGTAGTCTTGCAGGAAGTGAGAGCAGTGTGGCAGCACCAGCTTCCTTAAAGGGAGGGAAAAATGCAGTTGAACTTGTTCTCCTTTGCCCTTAGGACATGACTTGGGACATCAAATATAAGACCGTCCGCTGGAGCTTTGTGGAATCTTTAGAGCCCTCTCATGTTGTTCAAGTTCGCTGTTCAAGTATGATGAACCAGGGCAACGTGTACGGCCAGATCACCGTACGCATGCACACCCGGCAGGTAGAGGCACTCGTCTGCCTTCCTCCCAGCTTTTTTTCACTCTGAGCTTGGGCACCTCCCTCTGGAGTGCTGGGTATGGTTGCCCAGGACTGTAGACAGTAATAAAAGGTACACTGTGATCTGTCTTCCTTGCTGTGCCGCTGTCCCCTTCCCACTGTTACATGTTGGCTCTACTAAGATGTGTGAGGATATTCTCTCCCACTCTTCCTGATTTTTTTTTTTCCCCCAAGACAGGGTCTCATTCTGTCACCCAGGCTGGAGTGCAGTGATGTGATTGTGGCTCACTGCAGCCTCAACCTCCTGGGCTCAAGCAATCCTCCCACCTCAGCCTCCAAGTAGCTGGGACTACAGGGGCACGCAACCATGCCTGGCTAATTTTAGTATTTTTTGTAGAGACCAGTCTTGTCATTTTGCCCAAGCTGGTCTCAGACTCCTGAGCTCAAGTGATCCACCCACCTCAGCCTCCCAAAGTGCTGGGACTATAGGCATGAGCCATTGTGCCCCACTCCTTCTTGGTCTTGACTTCCCCGTCTCTCTGCCCCCTGTCAAAGAACTTGTAAGAATAAAGTGTCAGTAGTTGATCAGATAGTCCTAGATTCAGAATTCCGAGATAACTTTTTTTCTACCCATTAAGATTTTTTCTGGCTGGGCACAGTAACTCATGCCTGTAATCCCAGCACTTTGGGAGGCCACGGCAGGCAGATCACAAGGTCAGGAGTTCAAGACCAGCCTGGCCAACATGGCAAAACACTGTGTACACTACAAATAGAAAAATTGGCCGGGCATCATGGTGTGTGCCCGTAGTCCCACCTACTCAGGAGGCTGAGGCAGGAGAATCGCTTGAACCTGGAAGGCGGAGGTTGCAGTGAGACGATACCGTACCACTGCACTCCAGCCTGGGCAACAGCAAGACTCCGTCTCCAAAAAAAAAAAATTTAAAAAGATTTTTCTTATGGTGGTTTCAAAAATGGTTGTGTGGCAGGCTGGGTGCAGTGGCTCACGCCTGTAATCCCAGCACTTTGAGAGGCCGAAGCGGGTGGATCACCTGAGGTCAGGAGTTGGACAGCTGGGTCAACATGGTGACACCCCATCTCTACTAAAAAAGACAAAAAAAATCATCCAGGAGTGGTGGCACGTGCCTGTAATCCCAGCTACTTGGGAGGCTGAGGCAGGAGAATTGCTTGAACCCAGGAGGTAGAGGTTGCAGTGAGCTGAGATCATGCCACTGCACTCCAGCCAGGGCAACAGAGTGAGACTCTGTCTCAAAAAAAAAAAAAAGGTTGTATGGCAATAAAACAAACAACTCACACTCACACACCAAAAAAACTAAGAGGCCAGATTTGCTTTTATCCTTGCAGACTCTGGCCATCTATGACCGGTTTGGCCGGTTGATGTATGGACAGGAAGATGTACCCAAGGATGTCCTGGAGTATGTTGTATTCGAAAAGCAGTTGACAAACCCCTATGGAAGCTGGAGAATGCATACCAAGATCGTTCCCCCATGGGCACCCCCTAAGCAGCCCATCCTTAAGGTAAGGTGGCTTGCATGGTTTAAGAGAGCTGAGGCACTACTCGTGGTCTCCTAAGCCACTCTGTCGGGCTCCACCTAGTGGCGAGAGGGGGTGATGCACCACCCAGGAAGGGAAGGCCGGGTGGGTGGGTGGGTGGGAGCAAGGGATGAAGCTCTTCTGGGTCAGCCATGGGCTTGGTTGGTGGGTAACCTGGCGTCCTACTCTTTCAGACGGTGATGATCCCTGGCCCTCAGCTGAAACCAGAAGAAGAATATGAAGAGGCACAAGGAGAGGCCCAGAAGCCTCAGCTAGCCTGATGACAAAAATGACTTCTAGGGTGAAGCCTGGGTGATGAGGCTGCTGGAAGCTTTGAAGTCTCCCATTCCCCTCATGCTATAAAAAGAACTACCTTTGTTCTCTCCCATCCTGCTCAGGTCTTTTCAGCAGTCTCATCATCAGCAACCATGACTGATGACTGGGCCCTAGCAGGTGGCAGGTATAACATGGCCATGGACACTCTTCTTTTTTAAATTTTATGTCTAGCTTCTGAGTCTAGATGAAAGACAGTATGTTTCAGAGAACATTGGATATCAGTTTTTCCCACAGCAGGGACTGTGAGAGACAACCAGCAGCATCCTCTTTGTAATCACAGGGCAGGGATCAGAGTTTGAAATGAAATGTTGTCAGGGTGTTGGAAAAATTTTGGTGAGTTCTGCACATTTCCCCTGGTTCAGGCTGGGCATGGACCAGCCTTCAGATGGCAGAAGTGGAAGATGAGCCTACTTGTGAGCGATGTGACTTTAAGGAAATGAAGACTGGGGAAGAATAATTAGTGTTTATAAGACATTTAAGAGGCCCTTTTTCATATACTGACTCACTGATGAATCAGCATTTGCATTTTATGGAAAAATATAAATCCAAAGAAATAATTTATCCCTTAGCCTTTGATTGTGTTCTTAATTATTAGCTGTATCAGGAAGTGTTGGGGGAGGCAGGGGCCATGGAGAGGTTGTTACATTTGGAAAATTTATCTGCAGTACTTGGTTCCCTGATTTCTAGCACCATTTGGAGATGGGGACTGTTCTTTCCAGCCCAGTATTGAAGGTGAGTGTACAAAAGTATGAACCTGTGCAGAGGAAAATAGGCCAGCCCCTCCTTGTTCCTTAGCTCCAGATGGGCTGTTAAAAGGGTGTGGGACCTCACATGCCCATGTGTCCTAGGCCATCTGAGTGTGACAAGAGAAATCACTTTGTTTTTGTTTTATTTTGTTTTTTAGAGATGGAGTCTTGCTCTGTCAGGCCCAGGCTGGAGTGCAGTGGCACGATCTCGGCTCACTGCAAGCTCCACCTCCTGGATTCAAGCTATTCTCCTGCCTCAGCTTCCCATGTAGCTGGGACTACAGGCATGTGCCACCATGCCTGGCTGATTTTTGAATTTTTTTTTTAGTAGAGATGGGGTTTCACTATGTGTTGGCCAGGCTGGTCTCGAACTCCTGTCCTCAGGTGATCTGCCTGCCTCATCCTCCCAAAGTGCTGGGATTACAGGTGTGAGTCACCATGCCTGGCCTGTTAAGTGTTAACTATGGAAACAAAGGTATGTATATTTAGGGAAGAGACAGCCCTGGTGTCTCTCATCAACCACTCTCATCATGCTGCTTAGTCCCAACCTTTTTGGCTTAAAGTGTACATCACTTTAATTACTGCCCAAGTGAGGTTTGGTCACATCCTATTTGCCTGAGCCCTGGATTAAGGCAAAATGAGAAGGGACGTGCTTTTGAGCAGGACCCACTGCCAGGGAGTATGGAGGAAGGGGAAATAATCCTTGCAGGGTAAGGAAGCAAAGAAATGAAAAAAAAAAAAAAAGCACACTTAGTGGGTAAATGATACATTGATTCCTTTGAATATGTAAAAATAGTGCTTCAAATAAGCTGTTTCATCCCACTCCCCTGGATATCTCAGGGTTCTCTAGATAATCCTAAATAGGAGCTAAGCAGTAGCTGCCACCAGAGAGCCAGAGGATGAGTGCAATTTCCATTTCCCCTTGGGATTAAATCCAGCTGAGCAAATGGCCTCCAGATGTGAGGGGCTGGCTAGAAGGACCAGGCAGAGACCATCTGCAGTGTCAGCACTGACCTGGGCACTAGCAGAGCATTAGCCAGATAACCCAAAGTCCCAAGACTGCAGTGCACCTTGAGCTTTGGAGCAGGCATTGTTCTTTCCTTATCTATCTTCTGTTACTGTTTAAAAATGTTAAAAAAAGATAATCATGAATAAGCTAGAGCCAACTGCAATGTCAAGAAAAAGCATTCTTTATTTCCGCCCCGCCCCCCCCACCCCATGGTTTATTTCACAAGAGTGTGTTTGGCGGCAACTTTGCTGTTTCCAGCTAGACCAGACCCAATGGGATTGTTTTGGGGTGCACAGCAAAATCCACTTTAGCTCAGAAGCCGTAAGGCTAACTAGCCAGAGCCCAGAACAACAACACACTTCAATTACTGCTCCAAAAGCCCAGAATAAGGGCCCTAGGTAAGAGAATGAGGACATCTGGTCCCCAAAGGAGAGTAGGTTACTCCATTCCTCTGTTCCCTTTTGGAAATGGAGTACTTTTTTACTTTCTCTGTGAAGTCCCATAACCGCCCAGCATATTTACATGCAGACTAGATGTTAATGGCTCTTTTTCCCTTTGGGTATTTGGTCTCCCTGTTTGTCTTTTTCTCCCCATGAATGACATCAATGTCTGTACTGTTGTACTGTTAGAGGGCGTGACTTACTGCCATCTTTAGTGCCCCTGTGCAGCTCTGCCTTCTCTAGCTGCCCCTTCCCCCCTCTCCCACCTCCCTTTGCCAATCTTGGGACTTCTTTGTATGTTTTTCTCCTTCTTCCTTTCCCTCTGGTATTATCATCTAATCCCAGCAATTTGTAATCTAGTACTGCTTAAGCAAGTGTAGCCTGAACTGACGAGAGAAGGGAGCCAAGAAAGAGAGAGCTCCCTAAGAAAGAAGGCTTTGTCTTCACACAGTGCCCTTTTCCCAGCTCTCAGGCTTCTAACTTGCCCTGTAGCACTCCTCTTTTAGAGGGCAGAAGAAGTAGAGTGCTGGCTGTGTACAGGACTGCCTTTCTTGAGCTCCTCTGGAAGGAGATTGATGTGGCCTCTTGTTACTGAGCAAGTGATTCTTGGGCGGGGAGGGGTGGGGGAGGGTGGATGGGTCTTGCATCAGAACCAGAGATTCCCCTTGACTCCAGTTGCCTTGACAAAAGAGAGAGGTCCTGTTGATGGCAGCGCTGAAAAGCTAGGGGGAAGGAAATGAGCCAGTGAGACGAGCTCTGGAGACTGGTGAGAGCTAGGGCAGGAAGAGGGGGAGACCCCCTAAAAAACTAGCAAGAGGCACACAAGGATGTCTGGAAGGAAGAGCTCCCTTGACTGTGGGGAGGACCTGGGGCAATTGCTTTTCTTCTGTGTTCTCTCTCTCTGATGTTGCTTTGGATGCCAGATGCTGATAAGGGTGTCAGCGTGCCTGATTGTTTCTGCTTCAGCAGTCAAGCAGGGCAGGTATGAGAAGCAATAAAGCAGAAACAGGAGATTCAAAGTCAAAATGACAAGGTCCTTAAAGCATTTTCAGGCCCCTATTTTGAGTCATTTTAGCTTTTCCCCCAATTTATCTTCCGCTTCAATTAAATGGCTCTTCAGCTTTCTATGGTGGCCTTTATAGCCTTCTGTGGTCCACCATCCCTACGTTGCCAACACTTTGTATGGTTTAGTTTCTTCTCAAAAAATGCTCCATCGTAGACTTCAGAGAATTGGGTCCCCCTGTGAGAGAAGGTAGGCTGGGCACAACTGACTTTTTTCATCCCTAACAGTGGCTTTGTGGGTGAGTGTCCAGACTCGGGTGGTTTGTGTTGTGAGTACTGTAGGTGGATGGGAGGCGTCCTTAGAAGTAGAGTGTCCAGTCTTTGTTTCCTCAAACAGGAAGAAAAGTTAGAAGTAAAGAGAGGGTGGGCCTTCCCATTGGGGTCTAAGCTGTACCCTTTTCATGCAGTTTGTCTTTGGGATGGGTTGACTTCTGGTCTTCTCAAGGAGGGGAAGTGGCCAAGCTGTCTTTGATTCAGCTCTTTGGGAACACCTGGACTTGGAAAGGGCCTTGGCTCCTGAAAGCTAGCTCTGTGTTTGACCTCACCTAATAAGGCTGTTACTCCCAATCCCAAGGATAGACAGTGGGAGGGGTGAATTCTTCATACTGAGCTTCAAAAGCCACTTGGCCTGAGTCTTCAGTTAAGGACGAAGACTGAGACTCAGCTTCCTGGAGACTTGGCTCTGGGGCTAAGCTGGTCCTTGGCTCAAGCCCTGAAGGTCCTTGTAGTTCTCTGACACCTTCTAGAGTGAAAGTACTGGCTGGCCTGCTTACCTTGGGGCAGGGGATTTTGCTTTCTGGAAAGAAGTGATCCAGAGGCCCATGGACTAAAAGGCATAGTGGTTTTTCAGGAGCTGTGGGGAAAAATTCTCTCCGAGTTGCTGTTAAAGCCAGGAGGCCAGATTCCTCAGATGGGACTCCAGTTTCCTCCCCAGGACAGATGTCTGCCATGGTACCCTTTATTTTATTTCCTTCTGGATCTGTGATTTCCCATTGGCACAGCTCTGCCATCCTGCTTCCCATGCTGCCTGCTTCCTTGGGGCTGACTTTGAGTTCTGGGTCCAGGGCACCTGACTGGGGCAAGAGCCCTCCTGAGCCTGTGCCTTCCCCAGGGCAGACTGCCTCCTGCTCTCTGGGCTTTGCTGCTGCTTTTGAGAAGTGTTCTTCCGTCCCTCCAGGTCCTGCCTTCTGAAGGAACATCTCTCCTTGCCCTTGTGATTCTCTTTCCTGTTCCCCTTCCTCTGCTGCTCCTCCACCCGCCTCCCAAGGGCAGATCTCTGCTTTCTTGGCAGAGGGAGCCTCTACCACTTCCCACAGACACACTTCCGCTACCCTGGTCTCCACACTGCCTGCTGCCTCAGAACTGCCTCTGCTTCTGTCAGAAGCATCTGGGGCTGGCTGTGGGGACAGACCCTTGCCATCTTGACTCTCCCAGGGACACACAGCCTCCTGCTGCCTGAAGTCTGCCATCTCTGGCTTTTTCTGAACTGGCACACCTTTTGGCTCTGATTTTTCTGGGGCTCTGCCTTTCTCTTCTTGAGAGTCCCCTTTTCCATCCTGCCTTGACACCCCTTTGACAGGGATTCTTTCAGTCACTTCCCAGGGACAGGTCTCAGCCTTGGCACTGCTGTCAGATTTATACACACCTGCATCAGGAACATCCCATGGGCACACGTCAGCGGCCCTGCCCCCAGTGCTGACCAGTCTCTGGGAGCTAGCTTTAGGTTGGTCAGGGCGCTGTCTGTCTAGGTGAGAGACGGAATCTGCTGGGGCAGTGGTCTCCCATGGACAGACGGATTGTAGCTCATGGCTTGTTTTTTCCCCATCTTCAGTAGTGAATTCTTCTGTGTCTGCAGCTGGAGCTTTTTCTTGGGTTATGTGTTCTGGGAAGGAACCTGTCTTTGGGTCTTGTCTCAGGTCCCCCTTCTCTGTTGCTTCCAAGGAATGTCCCTCTGCCACTTCACTACTCATGCTGCTGGGCAAGTCTGAGATCTTGGGGGCCTGAGCAGGGGATTCCCTCAAGTCCTTGTTCTCCCAAATACAAATAGTTTCCTGTTGTTGACACAGTTTTGCCATCCCTTTTGATACGTCTTCTCCCAGGGAAGTGAGTCTCCCCTTTTCTAGAGCTTTCTCCCTCTGCTCTGCTGATTCACTCCCTGCCTTTTGGTCCAATCCCTTCCCAGTAGTTCCTTCACTTACCTCCCAGGGACAGATCTTGGCTTTTTCACTGGTAGCAGCTTCCTGTGCTTCCCAGGGACACACTTCACCTGGCCTGCAGCCCATATGATCCAGTTCCTGGAACCCAGCTTTTGGTCCATCAGCATCTAGAGTACCTGGATGCTGAGAACAGGCCCCTGGACCCACACTCCCCCAGGGACAAGCCACCTCCCACTCTGGGGTTGGCTTCTGTGGCTTCTCTGGAGCAGTAACAGCTCTCTCCCTGGGTCCAAGATCTGCAGAAACCTTGCCTGTATCATTTGGAGATTTCCTAATGGCCTCAGCTCCCAAAGCCCTTTCCTCCCCTGCTCCAGCACCCACCTCCCAGGGACAGATTTCTGCCTTCCCAGCAGTCAAGTTTTCCTCCACATCCAAAGGGCAAATGTCGGCAGCTTTGCTTCCCACACTGCCTGACATCTGGAGAAGGGTTTGGGGTCTCTCTGTGTCTTGAGGACGTGGTTGTGGG
Organism: Homo sapiens; assembly: GCF_000001405.40. Lineage (NCBI taxonomy): Eukaryota > Metazoa > Chordata > Mammalia > Primates > Hominidae > Homo > Homo sapiens. The sequence continues at coordinate 38,328,590 of NC_000017.11, forward strand.
GAGAAGCTGCCAGGGTCCACACTCTCCCAGGGGCCGACCGCTTCTTGCTTTTGGATCTGCCCCTCAGGCTTTTCCCAAGCTGTGACATCTTCGATTTCCGATTTTCCAGGCATTTTCTCCTTGTCCTTTTGAGATTCTCCTCCTCTTGGCACCTGTGCTGATGTCCATTCCTCTCTTGTTCTTTCATTTACCTCCCAGGGACAGATTTCTGTTTTGGCAGGTGTTGCTTCCTGTGCCTCCGGCCTGAGATCTTCCTGTGGACACACCTGCGTTGCTCTGCTTCCTCCATTGCATAGGAATTGGCTACCAGCTTTGGATGAGGAATTGTCTAGACATGGGCTGGAGTGCCCAGGGACCGTGCTCTCCCTGGGACAAACTGACTCCTGCTGTTGACTTAATTTCTGCACTGCTTTCACAGTTTGTTCCCCCATCTCTCCAAAGCTTCCTTTTCTGGAGGCTTTTTCCTTTTCTTGAAGAGATTCTCTACCTGTCCCCAGACTCAGCATTTCCTGCCCCATCACGTTATCATCCAGCTCCCAGGGACAGATCTCTGCTTTCTGGATAGCAGGAGCATCTCCTGCCTCCCACAGACACACTTCAGCAATGCCACTGCCCAAACTCCCTGAACACTCTGAGCTTCCTGGGGCCTGAATTGAGACTGCTGAGGGGCCCCGGAAATCTGTACTCTCCCATGGACAAAGAGACTCCAAGTCTCCTCCCGGTTTCTGTTCTTTCCAAAAGGTTGCTTTCCTGGTTTTCTGCTTTTCCTGAGGGAGATCCTTCACTGCCTCTTGGGCTGGTTTCCCATCCTCGCCTCCTTCACTTGCCTCCCAGGGACACGGCTCTGCCTTGGTGATGTCAGGGGTATGAGCTTCTGGGCCAGCAGCTTCCCACCCAGGCTTCTCCACCTTCCTGGCCTCCACACTGTCCCCCGCCTCAGATTTGTCTCTGATTCTGCCAGGGTCCTGAGGAGCTGACCCAGGGGACAGACCTCCTCGATCGGCACTCTCCCAGGGACACACTGCTTCCTGCTCCCTCACCAGCCTCTCTGGCTTTTTCCGCATCATGGGAACCACATCTATGGGCTCTGATTTTCCCCGGGCCTCCCCTCTCTTTTTTTGGGAGTCACCTGGGTCTTGTCTTAGTGCCCTCGACTCTGGGGCTCCTTCACTCGTCTCCCAGGGGCAGATTTCGGCCTTGTTGCCACTGTCTGGCTGACGCGTTTCTGATTCAGTGACCTCCCAGGGGCATACCTCTGCCACCCTGTGGTCAGCGCTGCCCAGGGACTGGAGGCCAGCTTTGGGCAGTTCCTGCCACCCGACAGGGGTTTCTTTTGATTGCTTGATGTTTTTGTCCCTGGAAACTTGCCTCAGCATGGCAAGCCCTGTTTTACCTGCTCTCTCAGCTTTCCGTTCCCCTAGACCCTGGGTCATCCTCCTGCCTCTGTCTTCTTGTTCCCTGCTGCCCTCCCGTTGACAGACTTGGAGCATCCTGCTGGTGTGAGCGTTCTGTTGGTTCTGGAGGGACTCCTTGTCATCGGAGGGGATAAGAGCGGCCTGCTTACTCACCGCCTTGGGCCGGCCTAGCCTGGGCGATCGGGAGGGTGCCCCCATACTCTCTCCCGCAGTCCCGCTGTTCTGCCCCTCGGGACTCTCCTCCACACTCTCCTTCTCTCTGTAGGTGCTCCGAGAACGGGTCAGAGCTTTAATCGCCAGCCCCAGGCTGCGCATGGAACCCTGCTGAACAGGGGCCTTGAGGCTGTGGGATTTAGGGAAGATCTTGGGCCTGTCTTCGTCCACATCATTAGCTTCCCTCTGGTGATGTGCATCCTCTGCGTCCATCTCATTCTCCCCAGCCCTGCTTTTCTCTACTGCAACAGAGAGGGCCCTCCAGAGCCTGGCTCGAGCTGGGGCAGGGGAGTGGTGGCCTCGCTCTGGCCCTGAGGGGCCTTCCTGGGGCACATTTTCTTGCTTGGCTGGCAGTTCTGCGTTCTCCCAGGGGCAGATGTAGGTGAGTAAGTTGGGGCTTTGTGGGGATACTGGGACTGGTGCCAGGGCAGGGGCTGGGGTTGGAGCTAGAGCTGGCAGCAGAGCTGGAGCCAAGGTGGAGGTGGGAGATAGCATCCTTGGCTCTCCCAGGCCCCCAGACAGGGCCAAGATGGGGGTAGAAACCTGGTGCCTGATGGGTGGATGAGGCAGCCTTCTCCTAGCCTCCTCATGAAGCCTCCCAGAGGTGTGAGAGCTGTCCACGCTGCTGCTCTTGGCAGGGGAAGGTGGAGCTGACAGGGGGGCCCCTCGAGGCCGCTCCAGCCTCCTGGCTGATGGCCTCCGCACCAGGCTGGCCATGGCTGCCTTGGCCTTCTTCCGCTCCTCCCGCTCCTTTGCTTGCCGGTAGGTCTCCTCCAGGTAGGCCTGGCTGGCCATGAGCAAGGCCTTTTCCCTGGAGCTGGCCACACTGAGCGACTTCTGCAGAGAGGCGGGCCGGGCTCTGGGTAGCCTCTCTCCCACCGTCAGGTTGTGGGCGCTGGCTGACCTGAAGCCCAGGGCAGGGGGCCCCTCCACCGACTCCCGGCTCTCTGTTCGAGAGGCCTTCTTGGCCAGCTTCCTCCTCAGCAGTGAGTCAAGAAGAGGCGGGTCCTGCTCCCTGCGCTGGTCATAGGTGCTGCGGGACTTGTGCAGAGCTGGTGTCCCCTCGGGTTCCTGGAGGCTGGAGCTGAGGAGCCGGCGGCGGGAGGAGCCGGGCAGGCTGCCGTGGCCTGGGGATCCTGAGTCCCGGGAGTGCTGCCTGGCCAGGGCCTCGGGGAATTCCGCCAGGTACCTCATGAAGGAGCGGCCCAGTCCCTGGCATGAGCTGCCTCGCTTCTTGGGCAGGTGGGGGTTGTTTGCGGCCATTTCCTTGGTTTTGTGGACCTCTAGCTGGGCATAGAGCTTCTTCAGCTCGTCCTGTGGGGCAGCAGGGAGGAAAGCAGGGCTGCAGGTGAGCTCTCTCCATCCCCTGGCTGTCTGTTCCTCCACCCTTGCCTAGACCTTTTTCCCTTAGGGATCTCTTTCCATCAAGCTGTATCTCTTCCCTGCTTCTAAAACTCTCGTAATTCACCTCTTTGTTCCTGTGAGACCAGTTGCCAACCTGAGTCCCAGCCAGATCCAGTCAGCTCGGAGGACTCATGTGTACCCCCTTCTCTGGGGCATTGTGGTCTAGTGGGAAGTTAGTAGCTTGGGGACACTCAATATGCTGTGTCCCTGGAGGCTGTTTTCATGACCCCTCCCTCTGAGCCTCTGGATCTTCTGTAAAGCAATGTTACCTGGGTGACCAGTGTTAACTTCCTTAAGAGCATTATATGAGATTGATGAGACTAGTGGGTTTGAAATATGCAGTGTTCAGGTGTAAATGATGGAACGGGGCTTTAGAAGTCTTCTGTTCTGGGTTTCTCCCCAGATCCAGCATAGGGGCCGCAGATTGGCTTGTGTTCCAGAAAGTGGAGGGTCAGGGGTGGAGCTGCCCCTCCATACTCCCTGGCCCTTCAGCTGGATTGGGGTCTCAGGAGGCAGGGCAGGCAGAGCTCAGAGGGTGAGGACACAAGGGGGAAACGGGCAGAGGCACTGGAACAAGGAAGGACTCAGGAGATGCAGAGGACTCTGCTTTGTGGGCCTGTAAACAAGTCAGGTGTGAAGACGGCCCCAGTAGAGGTGGAGGGGGTGGACAGAATGGCTTCCCATGATGGTTCCTAGACTCTGGATTGTATAAAACAATGGGCTTAGATTATCAGCTCTCCTTGTATCTTACCCACTGAGCCTCTTGTTAGGGTTCTGGTGACTATAATGATCCCCTTGAGCACAGAAATGAGAATAAGCATGCTTTTCCAGTGTAGACCCAGGAAGAACTTCCTCTAAGACCTGCCAGGTCCAGGGAAAGGGGATCCTGGTGGCTACTCACTGCCTGAACTACCCAGCCCCACAGCTGGCCCTAGGCTGGCCCTAGGTGCCCTAGGCACCAACCATCCTGCTTTGCTGGGGGCTGAGGCTTTTTTGTGTGTGTGTGTCAGAATCTTACTCTTTCACCCAGGCTGGAGTGCAGTGGTGCGATCTCAGCTCACTGCAACCTCAACTTACCAGGCTCCAGTGATCCTCCTCCCACCTCAGCCTCCTGAGTAGCTGGGACCACAGACATGTACCACCATGCCTGGCTAATTTTTGTATTTCTAGTAGAGACGAGATTTCGCCATTTGGCCAGGCTGGTCAAACTCCTGGCCTCAAGTGATCCGCCTGCCTTGGCCTCCCAAAATGCTGGGATTACAGGCATGAACCACTGTGCCCAGCCAGCTGAGGGGTTTCTTAGACTGCCCCCGACCTGATGCCCCTGCTGAGTGAGAGTGGAGGATGCGAAGGAGTAGGGCTCCACTCTCGGCCCTGCCTCTAGCTTGCCACATGGCCTGAGCCTCCGGGATCTGGTTCTGGGGCTTTGGGGTCTTCCCACTTGGGTGTGTGTGGCCTCCTTTGAATAGAGTCAGGGGAATCAGTTTAGGCCAGTGGAGAAGGGAGAGGGCAGGTCTTGGAGGGAAGAGGACTTGCAGTGGCACATAGCCCAGGTGGCAGGGCCCAGTCCTCCCTCTGCCCAGTTCCTAAAAGCTAGCATTGAAAGGAGGCAGGGAGGGTGGCACATACCCGAATGTCTCCAGGGTCCAGGCTGTGCTCACTCCAGGCTGAGGCGATGCTGCTGCCAAGGTAGGAGCCTGAGTGCTGCAGGTCCAGCTCGTCCTCACACACCTCATCCACCATCTCCTCCCGGGGAGGAGCCCCCAGCTTCCAGAACTGGCAGGGGTGCATAAGAGTGGGAAAAAGACTCGCCCTGGCTCCTTGTCCACTCCTGCACTCACCTGCCCTGTGGAATGCGTCCTTACTTTGTGACGCTTCACCCCCTTCTCTGACTTGGAATTCTGGGGATCTTTAGAGTTTTACTCCCCTCATCCTCCCTGACCTTCTCTAGCTCAGACAGCAGGGTGGTTCTAAGCCCCTGACCCTGCAATTCCTAGCCGGGTCCTTCAGCTCTCCCACCTCTCCCTGTATACCTGCTTCTGAGTAGATTTTCAGAGTGTGCCAACCTTCCAGCTGCAGGAGGGAGCCCCTCCAGCCCTGGGTTTTCTTTCCCTTGCCCAGGAACTGGAAGCAGAGAGTGTCCCCACTCAAGTCAGCTCCTAGCTTAGGGCCCCTGGCACTGTGCTCACTCACCCAGCACCTTCTGTCGTCCTCACCCTGGCCTGCAGAGGGCGCTGCGGGACAACCGCTCCACAGTGGCCCTGACAGAGGGGCTGGGGTCCACCTCACAGGCAGGAGGGGAGGGCCTCACCTTAGGGATGAAGATCAGAGCCAGCGTGGTGGTGACTGTGCTGTGGGTGTGGAAGAAGAAGAGGAGGAGGGTCCAGTCCGGGTGCAGAGAGGGAACCAGCACAAACCTGGGGCGGGATAGGGGCGCAGGTCATTACTGCAGGCAGGAGTTGCCTCTTCTGCTTTGCCTTCTCACTGGCGTTTCACCTCAGCCCCAACCCTGATACGCTTAGGACGAGGGGGCATTCTGCCCTCTCCTGCCCTCTCCAGGATTTAGGTCCCACTTCAATCCTGTTAATCCCAACCTCCAAGACGCCCTCCCAGAATACTCCAGCTCACTTTCTTTGGCTGTGTATAGCACAGACCTGTGCTCCAGACTCTTAGGCCCACTCTGTGGGTTAACTCTGCCTCCACCACAGGGTCTGGTCGTTATGGACAAACAGCAGCCTGCTGCTCTTATGGCTGAGGAGTGAGGGGAGAAGGCAGGGAGGACTGAGCATGTGTGGAAAGGGGTATGTTGGGGTGCTGGAGAGGTGCTTTGGGAGGGGTGAGGAGTTAGGAGGAAGGTCCTCTTCCTCCTCTTCTGTGTTGGGGGCCTCCTCACCTGGGCCAGGCATGGAGTACAGAAGGGGCATCTGGGGGGTAGGGAGAGAGCCAGAAGTGGGGGCCTTCGTCAACGTGCTGAGGCGTAGCAGTGTTGCCAGGATGGCATGGGATGGGGGCACCTCACCTGGGAGAGGTGAGGAGTACTGTTAGAGTGGAAGGGGGTGTGGGGAGGTGAGTCCGTCCTCACCTGGCTGTGTGGAAGGCAGCGGAAAGCAGTAGCTCATTGTGCAGGGCGATGCCCATGTAGCGTGGCTCATGGAAGGCCGAGAGCACAGCCCGTGTGGCGTAGCAGAGGAAGCTGCCCCAGCACAGCAGCAGCAGCTCAGCTGTGGGGAGACAGGGAGGGAGAGAGCCGGCACCACCTCAGCAGCTGTCCCACCCCTTTCTCTGAAAGATGTGCTGGGGGGAGCCTGGGCTCGGGGTCTGGGGACAAGTCAGGAGAACCAGAACAAGAGGAACCCTGGAGGCACAGAGGCAGGGACCAGCGTAAGGCTGGGCTCAGCAGAAGCAGCTCACCCACAACCATGATGTAGTCCCAGCGGTCGTGGTGACAGAGGTAGAAATGGCGGCCACTGGGAGTGTGGCCTCGGATCACCAGAGGTGCGTGCTGGATGCCTCGCTCCAGGGCGCCCACGGTCCACACAGCCAGGAAGCCCAGCACAGGTAGCAGGAGCAGCCCCAGGTGCCGCAGCAGCCGCCCGCTGCTCAGAAGGGCACTCCGCTGGGCCGTTCGAGACAGAAACAGCTGCAGCACTCTGCGAGGGTTAGAATACACAGGGTGGATGGCAGGGACCTGGGTGGATCACGAAGAGGGTGCCAGCGCCCTGGTCTCTGTCCATTGCTGCCCTCTCCTCCACACAGGTACTTGTCCTTCCATCCTTTTTGTGATTTGCTGCCTTTTGCTACCCCCCCACAAAGTAACATGGAAGACAAGGCTATGGTGATGGGGGTTGGCCTTGGGGGTAGAGGGGAGTGGGGCTGGCAAGGGTCTGGCTTTGAAAAACACCATTCCATGAGTGAGCTGGGGTGGTCTGGGATGAGCAGCATGAGAGCAAAGTCTGCCCCAGGCCGTACCTGTAAAGCTTGAGTATGATGGTGCCGTAGACGATGGCAAAACCCAGCAGCCGCACCCAGCGAAGAGCGATGCAGCGGAATACACTGGGCTTGAAGTATAGGATGAAGACCTGGTGGGAAGGGGCAAAAATCTCTGCTCTCTACTATGCTTCTGCTGTGGGCCAGGCCTATGCTAAGCACACTGTGGATCCTCCCAACAGCCCTGCAATAGAGCCATCACCACCTTCATTCTGCAGAGGAGCAGCTGAAGTGTCAAAGAAGTTAGGTAACTTGCCCTAAATCACACTGCAAGTCACAGAGCTCCTAATAAGCCTGAGGCTCCAGAGCTCATAGACCAGCTTGCCATTTGTGGGTAAGAGTAGGGGAAATCTGTGGTCTCTGAATCCCTTCCAGAGGGCAGAGAAGGGTTCTGGGGCTTGGAGGGTGCCAGGTTTTGGCTATGGGGGATGCTGGAAGGTGGGGCCAGCCTGTGGCCACAGACTCACAGGAAAGTAAAGCAGCAGGAATCCAAAAAGGACAGTTTCCAGCAGGACCACTCCAGATGCCCAGATCCTCTGTGAAGCAAGGAGAGAGGCATGTGAGCAGAGTCTGGACGATGGTTCTAGAGGCTCTCAGGCCTATGTGAACGGTCACTCAGTGACCCTGAGCTAAGGCTTCACCCTGTAACACTGGCTCTGCCCTCTCTGCCCACATCCACGTCCCTTGTTACCCCAGGCTCAACTCCACTGGCACTAAACATGGCTAAGGCCAAGGTTTTACATCATTCCCACACACACATCCCTGTGTTCCTCCCAGTCTTGCTCAGGGCCTTGCTGCAGACCTAGGCTCAAATCAGAGGCTGCTGGAGCTGGAAGGGATCTCATGCATTCCTCAAGCGTTGGGTCAGGCTGCTCCCTTGTCTAGAATAGGGTACCCCTTCTTGGCCCAGTAAGTATCCAGTTAACCTTCAAGCCTGGCTCATGTCACATCCAGAAAGTCTTTCCCATGCCATCTCAGGCAGGATGACTTTCTGTAAGCTCCCACAGCAGCTGACAGACACCTCCATCCTTGCCCCCATCTCACTGTGCTGTCATTTTATTTACATGTCTGCTTCCTCCATTAAACTGGGAACTCCATGCAGGCCCAGATCACTTCCATTTGAGCCTAGGCAGTGTTTTGCTTAGAGTAGATACTCAACTAGCATTTATTGAATCAAGTTCAATGCCCTTATTTTACAGATGAGGAAGCAGGTCCAAGGCGGAGAAATCACTTGCATCATGCTACACAGTGAGTTAGATTTAGAATCAAGATTAGAACCAATTTCTCCTAAATTCTGGTCTTAGGTAGTCTCAGGCCTCCAGTTGAGATGGGTCGGACATGTGTGTAGGAGGTGTGGGGCCTTCCTTGCCTTGTTCCGGCGGCAGCGGTAGGAGACCAGCATGCTCAGGAAGATGGCCAGCATGCAGCAGGCCTGGCAGGCCAGCACAGCGGCCCGCAGCACCGCGGCCTCTTCCACCAGGCACGGTGTGGCATCCATGCAGCTGGTGCAGCCCTCAGGACATGGCAGACACTGCAGCAGTCTCCCAGATCTGCCTTCTGGGAACCCGAATTGCCCGGTAGTCTGGAAGTCACTCTCCTCTAACCCTATAAAGAACAAGATGAGTGCAGGGAGAGGGGCCCAGCTAGAGCATCCTGACATCCCAGCCTTTTCCCTGATAGTCACCACAGCCCTCTCCCTGTTCTCCTGTGATCTGGGGCTCCAGGGACAAGTGGGAATGGGTGCTTCCTTGGGAGGGCAAAGTACCAGGAAGAGGTGACACCAGGCTAGGGCTCCTTGAGAGGCCAACTTGCATCATATTTGCATGTTACAGGCTCATACTCAGAAGGTGTAGACACCCCCACACTGCAACCTGCTTGCCTCTCCTGCCTCTCTCAACCTTCTGCCCTTGCCCCACAAGTTCCCTCCCAGTGTCTCACCCCAATCTGGCTTTCTTCCCCAGATGTACCCTCCCAACCATCCTCTCATGTAAAACACATGCCTGGCCCCCACCACACTTACATACCCCCAGAGGGGCTTGCCCCGTAGAATCCAGGTCGGCAGCGGCAGAGGTAGCGGCCAAGAACAAAGCCCTGACTCTCCAGGGGGACACACTATGGGGACAACAAACACAGTATGTGTTTATGTGGGGCTTTCTCTGGAAGAGCTTTCCCTCCTGGGAGAGATGGAGGGTCCATCTACCTCCCTATCCATGGGACTTGGGTCCACACTAGGGAATCCCTCCAGAAGCCCTCTCTAGTCCTTGGGAAGCCTTCCCTCTGTGGAAACCCTACCTGACCCCTGCTGTTGCCTCTCTTCCCAAAGAGACCCTAAGCAAAGAGTACAGGGAGAAATCACCCTTTTGTTCAGACTGGCAGTGACAGGAGCCTCATAGGACCCATTTCCTAGTGGCCAGCTCTTGCTAGGGCAAGGTACTGGGGGAGATGGAAGTAGGGAAAGTTCTGAGCCCAGCCATACCTTGTGTGCCTACATCCTACTTCAAAGGGTCCCCATCAGCTTCCATCTTTGGCACACAAATGGACTGGAAAGGCCCCCCACGGAGGAGCAGCTTCCTTCACCAGGGACCATCTGGCTTTCGCACAGGACTGTTTTTCCCAGCCTTAATGCCAGGCTAATGCCAGGCTGGTGGGATGCCAAGGCCAGCCTTTATTCCACCTCCTCCTATTGATGTTTGCCCGGCAGGGGACAGAGCAGACCTCAGAGCCAGGCAGGGAATATGAACAAATGAGGTCAGATCTATTGTGGGGAGTGGCTGGGAACAGACATCAGTGACGCAAATGAAAGGGTTAACCTTGGAAGATTCTATATCGAGCCCCTGACCTCACTTAGTAGGGTTAGTGTGTGGTGCTTGTGAAGCTGTGGCCCAACTTCCCCTCTTGCTTGGACCACTGGACTACACAGTCTGCACAATTAGACAAACATGCACCCAGAGAAGTGAATGTGTCTGGGTTAAACAGTGAACTGGATGGTGGGAGCCCTTTTCCATCCCTCCACCTCTAGCTGCAGACACATGTGCCCTGAAGAGCAGTAGAACCACCTGTGCACACAGAACAATATGCCCACCAGCCCCAGCAGGCCACAGGGCTCGCCCTGGCTTTGGCTCAGCTCAGGAACAAGCATGCAGTGATTGTAACCATGGAGCGGGTGAATTCACTGGCCTCCCAGTTTCCCAGTACTGGGTTTGCATGATTTCCAGCCAGTGCTCTCCATCACTGTGAGTCACCTGCACCCGTAGCTTTGAATCTACCTGCATCTGGCCCAGGTTCCATCACATTCACTGGTCCCAGGCCTCTTCGAGCTCCTTGGTTGGTTAGATTCCTCCCATACTCCAACCAGCAATTCCATTTATTTCAGCAATATGGAACACCCTTTTGTAGACAGACCAATGGAACATCCTTTGTGGGCCAAGAGGAGCCCAGAGCTGTGTTACATGAAGAATGTGTTCCCGGGGGAAGGAAAGGAGATAAGTAACTGAGGCTCAGGAAGTCACCCTGGGGAGGGGTCCTGGAGCACTGAGTACCAGAAAGGAGAGCAGACAGGAAGAACACTGAACTTTCAAAGGAATGAGGGCAGGAGCAGGAGGAATAGGGGGTGGGGGGGCAGGCTGTAGGTGACCTGACTTTTTAAAAGCCTGGTATCTCACCTCTGCCAATCACTAGGAACTCCCCTGAAGCCCTGAGATGCTGGGGTAGCTTTGTCTGCTGCTCCTGGGAGCTGCATGGTGGCGGTGATGGGAAAAGGGGAGGGAGGCAGGACTCTAGTAGCGCCCCCCATCCTCCTCATCCTTACCTGGGTGCTGTTGAGATCACACAGGTGTGTGTTAGAGTACCAGCCTGGGCCACTTGCACACTGATTGATGTCCACACTCTGGAGATCTACGTCCATCTGCACCTGCCCCCTACGGCAGTGAATTGGCAATTAGGGGCACAGTGATTGATGCCAAAGTGGACGTGTGTCCCTGGGCGTTGTTGGGGCCCAGAAAATGATGCTCGGAATTATGGCACTTTGGCATGCTGAGGACTTTGAACTAAAGGAGATTAGAAGGGTTCAGAAGTAAGGTCTCTCCGACCTTCTCCTTCTCTCTTGTCTCCTGCCCCTCTTTCTCCCCGCTGAAGTGAGTTCTAGAAACCAGAATTCCCCTTCCCCAAGGCAGGTCATAGAAACTAGAATCCCCCTCCCCCAGAGCAAGATATAAAACCAAGAACTATTACTCTCATCTTCCCCTGCCTTTCTGTGTAGGAGCTGGTCATAAAGAAATTCTCTGGCCTGCCTTGACTGATAGTAAGTAGGTCATATGACCCTCATTCCAGAGGGATCCTGCCCTGTACCTGGGAGGAAGGATGCTACATAGACAGGCCAAGAGGAAGCTGAACAGAGGCCTGGCTGAGTTTCCCTATTTGGTCTACTACCATTAGATCATAGACTTTTTTGTCCAATCACAGTTCTACAGGGCTGACCATGCTTCATGGAATCTAAGCATAACAATGAACAGTTTTCCCTGAGTCTATTCTTTCTTTTTTTTTCTTAGACACACAGTCTTGCTCTGTTGCCCAGGCTGGAGTGCAGTGGCATGATCATAGCTCACTGCCACCTCCACCTCTTTGGCTCAAGTGATTCTCTCACCTCAGTCTCCAAAGTAGCTGGGACTACAGGCATGTGCCACCATGCCTGGCTAGTTTTTAAAAATTATTTTTAGTGGAGACAAGTTCTGGCTATATTGCTCAGGCTGGTCTTGAACTCCTGGGCCCAAGCAATCCTCCCACCTCAGCCTCCCAAGTAGCTGGGACTACAAACATATGCCACCATGCCTGGCTAGTTTTTAAAAATTATTTTTAGTGGAGACGAGCTTTGGTTATATTGTTCAGGCTGGTCTTGAACTCCTGGACTCAAGCCATCCTCCCACCTGGGCGTCCCAAAGTGCTGGGATTATATGTGTAAGCCACTGAGCCTCTGCCACTGGGTCTTCATTTCTGAAGGCTCCTGTGTCATGTAAAACTTTGGCTAAATAGGCGGGGTGCAGTGGCTCATGCCTGTAATCCCAGCACTTTGGGAGGCCGAGGCAGGTGCATAATCTGAGACCAGGAGTTCGAGACCAGCCTGGCCAACATGGAGAAACCTTGTCTCTACTAAAAATACAAAAATCAGCCGGGCATGGTGGCTCATGCCTGTAATCCCAGATACTCAGGAGGCTGAGGCAGGAGAATCGCTTGAACCCAGGAGGCGGAGGTTGCAGTGAGCCAAGATGGCGCCACTACACTTCAGCCTAGTGACAGAGCAAGAGTCCATCTCAAAAACAAACACACAAACAAACAAACAAACAAAAAACTTTGATTAAATAAATTTGTTATGCCTTTCTCTTGTTAATCTGTCTTTTGTTATAGGAGTATTGTGACCCTTATGATGAGTGAGGAAAGGGATCACACTTTTCTGCCCCTACAGGCACTAGATCTGGGGACAATGCAGTCTTTGCAAACTTTAGCCCAGCACCTGCAGTGTGTGCGAAGGGCATGCATGTATTCCATTTCTCCAGTATTATGAATGTTCACTGTCTCTGTGGACAACAGTCTTCTTTCTACTAGGTTGTTCTCTCCACCCCTCAGCTTTTTGATATCCTATCATTTCCTGGTTTCTGTCAAGGAGGAGAGACAGGGCGCATGTCAAGACATGGCAGGAGTCAGGGCTCTGATGATCTCTGAAGAGGATTTTCACACTTCCTCATGCATGTACACACGCACACACACAGAGATCAGCTCAGCTATTAACCATCTCCTCTCTCTGCCCAAGCCAGGTCTGAATTGATCACAGCAAAGGAGATATGAAATAGAGGAGCCCTGACCTGGCACTGCCTGGACCAGCAGTTCCCCAGCCTTTGCTCTGGGCTGAGCTGGCAAGGAGCCAGGCTGCCTGCTGGCAGGAGGAGAACCCTGCTGGGAACAATGAATGGGGACACAGAGCTGGAGAAGCAGTGTTGATTGTTGAATGCCCTGCAGTCCTAGGCTCAGTCGCTGCTCCCTTCCCAATAGGACCCTCAATCCTTCTTTCCTGTGGTTGAGGGAGGAGGTAGTTTACTGGAGGAGAATCACAAGCTTCTGCGTCAGGACAGGCAGGATAGTGCGGCCTGCTTGGTTTAAGAAGATGGCCCTGGGGACTCAGCCAGCTCCTTGGCAGAAAGAGCATTGATTCCAAGCCCCCTCAAGAGTTTTCCTTCCGCTGGGTGTGGTGGCTCACACCTGTAATCCCAGCAATTTGGGAGGCCGAGGCGGGCAGATCACTTGAGGTCAGGAGTTCGAGACCAGCCTGGCCAACATAGTGAAACCCCATCTCTACTAAAATACAAAAAGTAGCCAGGTATGATGATGCGCACCTGTAATCCCAGCTACTCAGGAGGCTGAGGCAGGAGAATCATCTGTACCTGGGAGGCTGCAGCTGCCGTGAGCCGAGGTTGCACCACTGCACTATAGCCTGGGCGACAGAGCGAGACTCTGTCTTGAAAAAAAAAAAGTTTTCCTTCTCCGGGGAAGCCTCATTTTACAGCTCTCAGTTGCTAGAGAGCAGTAGGTTGAACGCCTGGAGTGCCCACCCAGCTCTCCACTAACAAGCCTGGTGCATAGATTGTCACTGTCATCCACACCAAGACCTCTCCTGCCTCTTGCACTCCCTTCTCAGGCCTGGGGGCCAAGACCTCTGCCTGTCTATACTGACACATCTTTTTTTTTTTTTTTTGAGACAGAGTTTTGCTCTTGTTGCCCAGGCTGGAGTGCAATGGCGTGATCTCGGGTCACCGCAACGTCTGCCTCTGGGGTTCAGGTTCAAGTGATTCTCCTGCCTCAGCCTCCTGAGTAGCTGGGTTTACAGGTACTCGCTACCACACCCAGCTAATTTTGTATTTTTAGTAGAGATGGGGTTTCTCCATGTTGGTCAGTCTGGTCTTGAACTCCTGACCTCAGGTGATCCACCCGCCTCAGCCTCCCAAAGTGTTGGGATTACAGGCGTGAGCCACTGCACCCAGCTATACTGACATATCTCTACACACATGTGTATACCTGCATATAGATGTATGCTACATATGTATACCTATTTGTATATGCACAGGCTCACAGACATTCCTGCATGTGCTCAAGCACATAAACCCAGATAAATATGGATTGATTTATACACATGTACACTCACACCTGTATGTGTTAACAGATAGTTGCAGATTCCCAGAGCCGACTGTAAGTACACACAGCTGAGTACAAATACCCACATCTGTGTGCCCCCCAGGCATGCACATGTTCGTGCCAAATGGCCCAGGCACAGCTGAGGGGACCTGTACTTCCTTCCCCTACATCCCCACACATGCATCAAATCCTGCACAAACCCACTTACCTGACTTCTGGGCTGAGGTCTGGCTTGAGTCCATAGAAGGTGGCAGAGAGTGTGATCAGCCATCCAGGTCGGAGCCGTCCCTCCTGGCATTCCAGGAAAGGAGGAGACAGCCTCACCTGCTGCGTGTCCCCCACATATCCATCTGCCTGCGGCCACTTGGGGCTGCCGAGGCTCCCTAGGTCATTGGTCAACACTCGCTTCTTCAGGGCAGGGGTGTCCAGGTCCCCAGGAGGGTTCTCCTCCTGCACCCAGTTCCCAGACAAGTCCTGCAGGATGGTTTCCTCCCCAGTCCGGGTGGCCTGCAGGGCCAGCTGTAGGTGGCTGGCCCCTGGTGGAGGGTTAAAGGTCAGCAAAGCCCTGTACACTCTTGGGTCCCCCTCGGCCACGCTGCGGACCAGTGCCTGGTACCATTCCACATCCTCCTCCACACTGGACTCACGGATGTCGTTGGCTTGCAGCAGCATGTTGAGAAAATTGGCGGCCTGGGCAAGGGTGCCCGCTGCCCCCTGTAGGCTTGGGGGGAGCCCTGGCATGGCTCCTGCCCCACGCGCTTCATAGCGCTCACTGCAATTCACCTGTGATAGCTGCTGGGCATCTCCAGAGTAGAGATAAGCGAGGGCGGCCTCGGCCCCCTCTAGGGGCACCTGCATGGGTACAGATCCTGGCTTGACTTGGGAAGACAGAGGGGGCAGAGAGCGGATGGGCCGTGGACCCCCCAGAGCCCAGGCACAGACAAAACAGCAGCCCAGCAGCCCCCACATAGGAGGGGGCATGACCGCTCCCCTGGTGCCCATCCTTGGGGCAGCTCTCAGGACCCTGGGGTCCAGGCTCAGGAGAGCCCAGGCAGAGGCTGGCTGCAGTCTGGGGGCTGTCGGCCTCCACGCCTCCTATGCTGGCGTTCCTTCTTCCTCTCTCCGTCTCCCTCTCACGCTGGTGCCAGCTCGCCTGCTTTTTTCTTCTCTCTAACGTCACCAGCTGGCTTCTGGATGTAGGTATGAGGGCCCTGCCCCCTACTGTCTCAGTGCGGCCCCCTATCTCAAACCTCTTAATCCCAGCACCCCACTCTTTCCTCCCCTCCTATCCAGTATTCAGGCTCCCTCCATCCCCCATCCACATCTGCTCCCGAGGGAGAGAGATGGGAGGGAAGGGGAGACGAAGGCACCAGTTGTGCTCTTTCTCCCTCCCTCCCTCTGCCTGCCCTTTGCTCCATTAGGAGAGATGGGCAAATCCAGGATGGGGCACCATAGCAACCGCAGATGAGCTTGTGCCCCTCTCTCCACCCCTCTGCTCCACTCAGGCTCCTGGCAGCAATTGCAACAGGCACACTAAGGGGCCAAGCTGCATCTCCTGGCAGTCTGCGCTGGCTGCCTGCACCCCCCTGACCCTGTGCTGCTGAGCTGGGATTTGAGAATGGGGATGTTGAGGGCAGGAAAGACAGCCTAATAGTACCGTAATTGGTCTTTGTACAGACTGAGGCAGCTTATAAGGTGCTTTTCATGTGCCTTATCTGAATGAGTCTTCCCCACAGCCATGTATGGTGAATGTTCTTATCCCCATTTCACAGATGCAGACACTGAGACTCACCCAAGGTCACAAAGCAGCTCACTCAGAGACTTACATCCAGAGCTCTGACTCCCCTACATTGCCCATCCAAACCACCACCATCACCGTTACTCAGCCTCAGGGACTATAACAAAGCCTCCTAGCAGAGGCGTCAAGGGACTTCCCTAGAACCACAGTGTTGTTTATGACAGAGCCGCAGCCTCCACCCAGGTGTCCGTCCCTACAACCCAGGCCTCCTTCTGAACCAAAGTCGACAAGCACAGTGGCAATGGTGGCGGGAGAGAGGTGGGCAAGGAGAAGACAGTGAACACAGTTTTGCCTCCATTTCTTACACCTTCATTTTGTCATCCTAAGTTCTACCTTCTTCTTTTTTTTTTTTTTTTTGAGATAGATTCTTTGTCCACCCAGCTGGAGTTGCACCAGCGTGATCTCGGCTCACTGCAACCTCTGCCTCCTGGGTTTAAGCGATTCTCCTGCTTCAGCTTCCTGAGTAGCTGGGACTACAGGCATGTGCCACCATGCTCGGCAAATTTTATTTTATTTTTTTTTTTAAATTTTTTAGTAGAGACGGGGGTTTCACCATGTTGGCCAGGCTGGTCTCGAACTCCTGACAAGTAGTCTACCTGCCTCAGCCTCCCAAAGTGCTGGGATTACAGGTGTGAGCCACTGCACCTGGCCCCTTCTCCTTTTCTTCATGAAAACTGTGGCTACTCTCTCTCGCTTTTCCCCATTTTTCTTACCCCTCACCTCCTTCCTGCTGCTAGGCACAGTAACTGGGGGGCCCTGAGTCAGTGCTGTCTGAGCCGGCCTCCTTGGATCCGGAAGGGCATGGATTCTTGGGGAAGCCACAGAACAAAGCTCCTGCCTGCCCACCCATCACTTTTCCCTTGATGATGGGCTTCCTGCTTCACCAGGCAATCTGGCCCCGCAGGCGCAGGCTGTCTCTTGGCTTCTTCCCTTCAAACCCCCTCCAAACCCCCAATGTCTGGAACCTTTGATGTCCAAGATCATTGAGTGTATGTAGGTAGGGATGGGTGGTGGTTGCCAAACATGTCCCTTGCTTTCCAGTTGACCTCTGCAAACAATAATTCTTTTTTTTTAGACAGAGTCTTGTTCTGTTGCCCAGGCTGGAGTGCAGTGGCACAATCTCGGCTCACTGAAACCTCTGCCTCCCGGGTTCAAGTGATTCTCCTGCCTCAGCCTCCCAAGTAGCTGGGAGTACAGGCGTGTGCCACCACGCCTGGCTAATTTTTGTATTTTTGGTAGAGATGGTGTTTCACCATGTTGGCTAGGCTGATCTTGAAACCCTGACCTCAGGTGATCTGCCTGCCTTGACCTCTCAAAGTGCGGGGATTACAGGCGTGAGCCACCGTGCCCGGCCTTGCAAAGAACAATTGTGCTATGCAACCTAAGTGGGAGTGCCCAGGCTGTGGGGATAGCGGGGCTAGAGGACAAGCCCCCAGGAGAATCTCTATGATGGCAAAACTAGCAGGGCCCATAGCCCAGACTTTTTTTTTTTTTTTTTTTTTTAACAAATTAGGAAACTAAAACACTGAAAGGAAAGTGACATTCACAAGGTCACCCAGCCAGTTAGTGGTATTGCTGGGAGCAGAAACCTGTATTGCACATCCATAGCTCTTTCCTTGGCCTTTCTGAGTGACTTATTCAATTTCTTGGTATTTATTACTGGTTACTGTTAGTTGAGGGTCAACAAAACACACTGGGTGAAGACAATAGTAACTTATCATGAAAAGCTTCTTGGGAAAAAATGTATTAAGTTATTACCATGAAAAGCTTCTTGGGAAAAAATGTATTAACTAACATTTGTATAGCACTGTAGAATTTATTAAGTACCTTTACACGTAAGTTTTCATTTAATTCCCCACAATAGCCATGTCAAGGGGGGATTATTACTGACCCATTTTAACAAATGAAACACGGGTTCGGAGATGTTTAATTATTTGCGTTTGCTCATATATTCAGAAAGTGGCATGATTAAGACTAACTAGACCAACCACAAAGTCCAGAGGGACAGGGATTGTGTCTGTCTCATTTATCACTGCATCCCCAAACCTAGCCCACCGTTGAATGACCAAATGAATCTCAGAACTTCTTTAGATTCTTTATCATTTTTTTGTTTTGAGGCAGGGTCTCGCTCTATCACCAGCCTGGAGTGCAGTGGTGAGATCATGGCTTCCTACAGCCTCGGCCTCCCAGGCTCAAGTGAGCCTCCCACCTCAGCCTCCTGAGTAGCTGGGACTACAGGCATGTGCCACCACACCTGGCTAATTAAAAAAAAAAAAAAAAAAAAGGCCGAGCACGGTGGCTCACGCCTGTAATCCCAGCACTTTGGGAGGCCGAGGTGGGTGGATCACGAGGTCAGGAGTTCAAGATCAGCCTGGCTGGCCAGGGGCAGTGGCTCACGCCTGTAATCCCAGCACTTTGGGAGGCCGAGGTGGGTGGATCACGAGGTCAGGAGATGGGGACCATCCTGGCTAACACGGTGAAATCTCATCTCTACTAAAAATACAAAAAAATTAGCCGGGTATGGTGGCAGGCGCCTGTAGTCCCAGCGACTCAGGAGGCTGAGGCAGGAGAATGGCGTGAACCCGGGAGGCAGAGCTTGCAGTGAGCCGACATCGCGCCACCGCACTCCAGCCTGGGCGACACAGCGAGACTCTGACTCAAAAAAAAAAAAAAAAAAAATCAGCCTGGCCAAGATGGTGAAACCCGGCCTCTACTAAAAAATACAGAAGAATTAGCCAGGCATGGTGTTGGGCACTTGTAATCCCAGCTACTCGGGAGGCTGAGGCAGAGAACTACTTGAACCCAGGAGGCAGAGGTTGCAGTGAGCCGAGATCGCACCACTGCACTCCAGTCTGGGCAACAGAGAGAGACAACGTCCCCCCGCCCAAAAAAAAAATTGTGGAGATGAGGTCTCACTATGTTGTCGAGGGTGGTCTCAAACTCCTGGGCTCAAGTGATCCTTCTACCTTGGTCTCCCAAAGTGCGAGGATTACAGGTGTGAGCCACTGTGCCAGACCTTAAATTCTTTAAGTCATCCTTCATAAAAGTTTTTAAAACTAGGACTCTATCTCTGTAGGGACCTTTTTTTTTTTTTTTGAGACAGGGTTTCACTCAGTCACCCAAGCTGGAGTGTCTATCACCCAGACTAAAGTGCAGTGGCACAATCACGGCTCACTGCAGCCTCCACCGCCAGGGCTTGCTTAATGGATCCTCCCACCTCAGCCTCCCAAGTAGCTGAGACTACAGGTGCGTGCCATCATGCCCAGGTAAATATATATATATATATATATATTTTTTTTTTGGCGGTGGGAATAGAGATGGGGTTTTGCCTTACTGCCCTGGCTGGTCTCAAACTCCTGGGCTCAAGTGATCCGCCCACTTCAACCTCCCAAAGTGTTGTGATTATAGGCGTGAGCCACTGTGCCCACCTTATTTTCTGTTTTACTTTTTTGAGACAGGGTCTCTCACTCTGTCACCCAGGCAGGGGTGCAGTGGCATGAACACAGCTCACTCCACTTCTGACCCCTGGGCTCAAGTGATTCTCCTGCCTCAGCCTCCTGAGTAGCTGGGATTACAGGTGCACGCCACCACGCCCAACTATTTTTTTTTTATTTTTTGTAGAGACGAGGTCTCACGACATCCTCACAACATTGGGTCTCTTTGTTGCCCAACCTGGTCACAAACTCCCAGGCTAAAGTGATCCGCCTACCTTGGCCTCCCAAAGTGCTGGGATTATAGGCTTGAGCCACCACGCTCGGCTGAGGACCACTTTTATAGTGCTCAGTGAAAGAGGTATATTTAAACATAAAATCAGCTCAATAAACATAAATTTGGCAGGGCGCAGTGGCTCACACCTGTAATCCCAACACTTTGGGAAGCTGAGGCAGGTGGATCAATTGAGGTCAGGAGTTTGAGACCAGCCTGGCCAACATGGCGGAACCCTGTCTCTACTAAAAACAAAAAAATTAGCTGGGCCTGGTGGCATGCGCCGGTAATCTCAGCTACTCAGGAGGCTGAGGCAGGAGAATTGCTTGAACGCAGGAGGCAGAGGTTGCAGTGAGCCGAGATCATACCTATGCACTCCAGCCTGGGAAACAAGAATGAAACTCTGAGGCCGGGCGCCGTGGCTCACGCCTGTAATCCCAGCACTTCGGGAGGCTGAGGCAGGCAGATCAATGAGGTTGGGAGATCGAGATGAGCCTGACCAACATGGAGAAACTCTGTCTCTACTAAAAATACAAAATTAGCTAGGCGTGGTGGCGCATGCCTGTAATCCCAGCTACTTGGGAGGCTGAGGCAGGAGAATCGCTTGAACCTGGCAGGCAGAGGTTGCAGTGAGCCAAGATAGCGCCATTGCACTCCAGCCTGGGCAACAAGAGCAAAATTCCGTCTAAAAAAACAAAACAAAACAAACAAACAAAAACACAAAAGAATGAAATGCTGTCTCAAAACAAACAAACAACCCCCAACACAAATTCAAGTCCTACAAATGCAAAGATACACCCTCTTTGCTTGGAATTTAACTTTCAATGTTTTTTCCAGGATCTGGGCTACGGAAATGGACAATTATGGAAATGGGAAAAGTCTACCCCATGGCTTGCCCTGCCTTAGAAAGAGCTCGCGTGTGTTCCTCTGTACCTCTGTGCACTCCGTGCAAGTAGAGATACTCCAGATAACCCACACAGTCCTCTTCTCCCACGGCCAGGAAAGCAGCTGGACAGCAGAGGGCGATGAAGAGCCAGGGACCTTGCCTGTAATCAGCTTGTAATGGGCTCTGAGGCCAGAGAGTTTCTCAGAGAGAAAGCTGGGGATCTTGGGTAGTCTTCTTAGGCCTCAGGTGTTGTGTGATTCTATAGCAATTTCTCTTCTTTTATTCATTTATCTATATAGAGACACGGTCTTGCTCTGTCACCCAGGCTAGAGTGCAGTGGTGTGATCACAGCTCACTGCAGTCTCCACCTCCTGGGCTCAAGCAATCCTCCTGCCTCAGCCTCCTGAGTAGCTGAGACCACATCTGGGCACACCACCATGCCTGGCTAATTTTAACATTTGTTGTAGAGCCAGAGTGTTGCTATGTTGCCCTGGCTGGCCTTAAACTCCTGGCCTCAAGTGATCCAAGACCTGCCTTGGCCTCCCCAAGCGCTGGAATTACAGACGTGGGTAAACATGCCCCTCTCAATCGCTCTTCTTTTCTTCAGAAACCTGAGTGACACCTGAGAGGCAGCCAGGGGAAGAGAATGAACTATCTGGAGTCAGAGCTGGTTTTGATTTTCACTGCATCCTTTTGAATTGAGTGACTTTAGCTAAATAACTCACTGAGGTTTACTTTGTCTCTTTATGTGTGAGGAAAGATAATTAATTCTGTTGTGCAGAATTTGTCTCAGGAGACTCTTACAGGGCTTAAGGTTGAACAACAATTCCAGGCACTGTCCTTGGCACTGGAGAGTCCCCAAGGGGCAAAAAGCAAACATGGCTTCTGCCCTCATAGAATTTACAGTTTTGTAGGGAGGACAGCTTTTAATCAACTGACCCCACAGACAGATTGCAAATTACACCTGCGCAAGTAAGTGCAACAAAGGAATGATCTCAGAGCCTGGGGAGGAGGAAGGGCCCAGGCAGGGAGATTTCCCTAAGGTAGTGAGGAGTGAGTTCAATCTGAAGGATGAGTAGGAGTTTACTAAGCAAAAAGAGAAAAGTCTTGCAAGAAAAGGGAATAGCTTTTCTTGCCCACATGTATGGGAGCCTGCCGCAAGGTTGATGGGAATGCAGGGAACAGAGAACAAGGTGGAGCTTAGCAGGGGATGTGGCTAGAGAGGCAGGGGTTAGATCACACAGGGGTCAGATCACAAGATCACACATTAGCCTAAGAACAATGGGAAGCCATGAACAATTTTAATCACAGGCTATGAACACATTTCCATTCTGAAAAGGTCCCTCTGGTTGCAGGACTCAACCCTCCACCCTCTTCCCCTCAATGCACCCTCAGGTATTAGAAGTCACTGAGTTCTGCAGCTGATCCTTCCTCCTTTTCCCTTGCATCTCTCAATATCTCCCACTGGGACTATTTCAATGGGCTCCCTGCCTCCAGTCTCACCTCCTCCACACAAAAAGCTTGATCTTATTTGATCCTCACAACATGCCTGCAAGCAAGCAAAATTGCAATCCTTATCCCTGTGTAAAGATAAGAAGGCCGGGCGTGGGCGCGGTGGCTCACGCCTGTAATCCCAGCATTTTGGGAGGCCAAGGCGGGTGGATCACCTGAGGTCAGGAGTTCAAAACTGGCCTGGCCAACATGGTGAAACCCTGTCTCTACTAAGAATACAAAAAATTACCTGGAGCGAGGCAGGAGAATTGCTTGAACCCGGGAGGCAGAGGTTGCAGTGAGCCAAGATAGCGCCATTGCACTCCAGCCTGGGCAATAGAGAAAGATTCCATCTCAACAACAGCAAAAACTTAATGTGTTGTCTGTAGCCGTTACATTATGAATAGCACAAAAATTGAGTAAATATTCTTCCAGTATTTGAAACCGTTTTCTGACTCAGCAAAGAAGTTGCTCCCATCATTGACAATCCAATTAAGTTTTGTCTTTTTCAGTTTTATCAACCAACATTCACCTTTACAATTACACTCCTAGGTCAACTGCAATCACAGTTTGGCTACCCATATAAGAGTTTGGCAAAAATCAATGAAAGCATTCTGTGAGAAAGAGTTATATGGAATTTGCCAATTTACTATTAATTGTAAATTGTGAACTACACATCCTTTATGTCAGTAAAACTTAACGACAAATTTTTGTACCTATATATGTGCATACATTCCCGTTCTCCCCCCAGAGAGCTGGTTGTTACACATTTATCAGTACAGCACTGGGTCTAGAACACGATTCATGTACTGATTCCACAAACATTCACTGGGTGCCAGGCGGACGGAGATACAGATTAATGATGAAATGACTCAGCCAAGGTCACACATCGCAAGCGGCGTAGATGGCAGAACCATATGTGCTCCCAAGGCCAGCGGCGCGCTCCCAGGACCAGACCATGGTTTCCAAGGCCTCTCCACTCTACCGAATGGGATGGCCTGGGCCTGGGCGCCCAGGAAGTGAAAAGCAAGGACCGGGAAAAGAGACCAACGCCAGCCAACAGACAGCTCACCGCCAATAGGGGCCGGGGGCGCGCGCGGCGTCACTCGCCGTGGAGGCCAGCGCGAGCACGCCCTGGGGAAAGTGGCGTGGCTAAGCCCTTCCGGAAGTGACGTCGGCTTGGGGGCGGTGCTCGGCGGTGGCGGAGCGCGGCCTGGGCTCGCGCTGGGCTCCGCGCGCCCCCCGCCCCCCTCTATGAGGCAGAGGCCGCGGCGGCCGTTAGCGCTGTCGCTCCGGGGGCCGCGGCGGGCGGGGCTCCGGCGGGGCCCGGCCTAGTCCCCACCCCAGCCCGGCTCCCAGCCGCCCGCCCTCCCTCCCTCTCCCCGATGCAGGAGGCCGAGCTCCGGGATGGCGAGGCGGCGGCGGCGGCCGCTTCGTACCGCGTCCTGAGCCGCCTCCTTGGCTATGGAGAGGCGGCCCCCGAGCCAGGCCCTCCGCCACCGCCCCCGGGCCATGGCCCCCCGCCGCCACCCTTCCTCGCGCGGCCCGGCCCGCGGGGCTCCCGGCCGCCGCAGCTGATGGTGTTCCGCAACGTGGGTCGGCCGCCGGAGGAGGAGGACGTGGAGGCGGCCCCGGAGCCGGGACCCTCGGAACTGCTGTGTCCCCGGCACCGCTGTGCCCTGGACCCCAAGGCCCTGCCGCCGGGCTTGGCGCTCGAGCGGACCTGGGGCCCGGCGGCTGGACTAGAGGCGCAGTTGGCGGCTCTGGGGCTCGGGCAGCCGGCGGGGCCGGGGGTCAAGACAGTCGGTGGGGGTTGCTGCCCGTGTCCGTGTCCTCCTCAGCCGCCCCCTCCGCAGCCCCAGCCGCCTGCTGCCGCCCCGCAGGCCGGGGAGGACCCCACGGAAACGAGCGACGCGCTGCTGGTCCTGGAGGGCTTGGAATCGGAGGCCGAGAGCCTGGAGACTAACAGCTGCTCGGAAGAGGAGCTCAGCAGCCCGGGTCGCGGAGGAGGAGGGGGCGGCCGGCTTCTGCTGCAGCCCCCAGGCCCTGAATTACCTCCGGTGCCCTTCCCGCTGCAGGACTTGGTCCCTCTGGGGCGCCTGAGTAGAGGGGAGCAGCAGCAGCAGCAGCAGCAGCAACCTCCCCCGCCCCCGCCTCCTCCCGGGCCCCTCCGGCCACTCGCGGGTCCTTCTCGGAAGGGCTCCTTCAAAATCCGCCTCAGTCGCCTCTTTCGCACCAAGAGCTGCAACGGTGGCTCCGGCGGTGGGGATGGGACCGGCAAGAGGCCTTCTGGAGAGCTGGCTGCTTCAGCTGCGAGCCTGACAGACATGGGAGGCTCTGCGGGCCGGGAGCTGGACGCGGGGAGGTGAGACCGGCCGGGGGCTGGCCGACAAACTTCCTTTTCTTGTTTGGTTTCCCTTTTTATCTATTGCTATCGCGATCCTGACAGTTCTTAAGATAGGGTCTTCAGGAGGAGGCAGAGACTTGGGACCAAAGGTGGTAACATCTCGCATAAGGTCAGCGCTAATTGTGGAAACAGCTTTCACTCTTAAAGAGTGCACACTCCGTGACACTTCTCAGCTGGTTTGCATCTGTCTTGTTGGAAGATGGTTTCAGACCATCCTCCCATCCCCATCCTGGCATGGCTTTTTAAGTTTTTCCAAGGCGGCTGTGTGCCATTGTCCCTGGAAGGGAGATTGCTGGAAGTGTTTGGCCTTTGGGGCAAAAAGCTGGTGTTGCACCTTGACCGCCTTGCTTATTCTGTGTACCAGCACCGCACCTCCCTTCACACTCATGCATGCAAATGACAGGAGAATCTTCAAATGCAATTGTAGGCCAGCAATCAATTGGACACCTCTATTCAAAGTTTTACTGTTTTCCTGGTTGTTCCCTTAGATGAACTTGGCATATCAAACTTGGGTGCTGACCACTGTCTCTGAGAATAGAAAATAGCAGACCGGGCACAGTGGCTCACACCTGTAATCCCAGCACTTTGGGAGGCCGAGGAGGGCGGATCACCTGAGCTCAGGAGTTTGAGACCAGCCTGGGCAACATGCGAAACCCCATCTCTACAAAACAAACAAACAAAAAATTAGCCCCCATCTCTACGAAAAAAATACAAAAAATTAGGCGGGAGTGGTCCCAGCTACTCGGGAGGCTGAGGCAGGAGGATCACTTGAGCCCAGGAGGCGGAGGTTGCAGTGAATAGTGATCGTGCCACTGCACTCCAGCTTGCGTGACAGAGTGAGAGCCTGTCTCGAGAAAATAGCTTTGCGCTCTCTCAAAGCCTTTTGAGAATTCTAAGTACCAGTAAGATATAGACAAGGTAGAGACAGGTACATGAGTTCTAGGCCGATTGATGAAAATTCCAAACATAGACGTTGAGTTTTTTTCCTGCATTTCTGAGGGGTGGACTGATCTTCGGCATCCAGTGTTACATCTGTAGCGTTGGTTTACAAAGCTGTCAACTTTGGTGTCAGTGAAATTAGTTACCTTGTAGTAACTGCCATTGTGGTTTGTACTTCTTTGGGTTCTCAGAAAGATTGGAATGGGTTTTGTTGTGGTTTACGTGATGGATTCTTGAGACATACTGGCAGCCATAAACCAAAGCTAAAGAACAGGTATAAATTGATAACCTTACTGTGAACTAAGATCACTTGGGGAGCTTTTTGAAAAGCCTAAGAGTTTGAACTTTTTAAAAGCTCCCCAGTTGATCCTGAACTGGGAACCACTCATCCATAGACTTCTGTTTTCAAGGGAACTTGGGTACTCCAACAAGAAAATGTTGGGTGGATTTGGCTTTCTTGCCCTTTCTGAACAGCTGTGCCATGGGCTTATCTTGGGGATGAGGCCAAATCCAAACTTTCTAAAGAAATCAGTGTGTTGTCCCTTTAGGTAGGCCAGTGTTTCTGCTTTGCCTCCCAGTGAATTCATGCTGGGAGTTCAGATCTTGAAAAGTGGGTGGCTGCTGAAACAGCTTTTTTTGTGGTAGGCTCTGTATTCGATGCTCCACTTACCAGCACAGATGAAATTTTCATCAGATGCAGGGGAGGGCGGGATTAAAGCTATGGGTAATGACATAGGATAGATTGCTAATTTTCTTGTGGTTTGTCTTGCCTTTGTTCCATATTGACCAGGAGTTCGTCTGAGATTCCAGAGACGCCAAATACGAGGTGTGGCGTGAAATTAGCTGCTACGTCTAATAGATTAGGAAGAGGAAAAGGCATATGACATTATACGGTTTTTTGCCTTTGGAAGCAGAATTTAATGGTCATTGGCTGCTCTGTCACCAACCCTCACACTAAGCACAATACAGATTTCTGCTGCAGAGCAAATTGGGCTGTAGCTTTGCAAAGAAGCTTAGTTCAGGGCACTGGAGAATTACATTTTTTGGTCCAAGGGCTTTTTTTGATGAATTGGAGAAGAGCTAGTTATTTGTGTATAAACGTTTGGTTGACTGCTGTTTGGAGGCAGCATGCTGTATAGAGAATGTGAAAGTCTAGATTCCGTGTAAACTCCAACATCAGCTAGGAGATGACCAAATTTGTCACCTTCATGCTTCCCTTTTTCCCCCATCTGTAAAATGGGTGAGCGTTGACTGTCTTGTTCCTGTCCTTATAAGAGTAGATTGTTGAGAAGAGAAATCTAGATGGAATATTTTGTGCTTTTTAGAAGATAAGTAATAGGACTGAGCTGGTAAATTTTTTAATGCTTAGGATTTGGTGCTGCTTGTGAGCTTTTCGACAGCTTACTATGTGCCAGTCTTGCTGGCAGCCTCGCAGCTGTGAGAAACTTGGTGAGTCTGGCCAGGGTAGTTGTGATTTCTGTGGATCTGCACCTCCTAAGTCCGCAATAGTGGGAGGATGAGTTTGGATTTTTAGCTTGTTCTCTTGTTTTGATTGGTAGGACCTGGAAATGGTGAGAAATTTCAGTCTTTTGCCAAAGGGTATATGCCTTTGTCCTCATTGTTGATTGGAGTTAATTATGGGCTTCTATAGTCTTTGCTGTATAATTTGGGGCTTTTGCAGTAACCTCTGGGCATAATTCCCTTTGCTATTCCCAACATCTGCCTTCCTACAATCATTTTAGAAGGTTTAACAATTCCCACATTTTAGCACTAAGCAAAACTTCCTTTTAGTTGCTTTTGAGTCTGGTAAGTGGACCTACCTGGATATATTGTCTTCAGTGTGGTATGAGTTAGCTTAGAGAAGTCTTTTTGTTTTGTTTTTTGTTTTGAGGTGGAGTCTTGCTCTGTCGCCCAGGCTGGAGTGCAGTGGTGCGATCTTGGCTTACTGCAACCTCTGCTTCCCGGGTTCAAGCGATTCTTCTGCTTCAGCCTCCCCAGTAGCTGGGATTACAGGGGCCCACCACCACACCCGGCTCATTTTTTTATTTTTTATTTTTAGTAGAGCTGGGGTTTTGCCATGTTTGCCAGGTTGGTCCCGAACTCCTGACCTCAGGTGATCTGCCTGCCTTGGCCTCCCAAAGTGCTGGGATTACAGTCATAAGCCACCAAGTCTGGCCAACTTAGATAACTGTTTTTAAGTGAGGTAAGAAATGGGCCCACCAGTTGGGTGTGGTAGTGTGCACCTGTAGTCCCAATACTTGGAAGGCAGAGGCAGGAGGATTACTTGTGCCCAGGAAGTTCAAGGGCACAGTAAGCTATGATGTGCCACTGCATTCCAGCCTGGGCAACAGAGCCAGACTCCATCTTTTTTTTGGGGCCGGGGGGATGGAGTCTCACTCTGTTGCCCATGCTGGAGTGCAGTGGCCCGATCTTGGCTCACTACAACCTCCGCCTCCCAGGTTCAAGCCATTCTCCCGAATAGCTGGGACTACAGGTACACGCCACCACGCCTGGCTAATTTTTTGTATTTTAGTAGAGACGGCGTTTCACTGTGTTGCCCAGGCTGGTCTCGAACTCCTGAGCTCAGGCAGTCCGCCCACCGCAGTCTCCCAAAGTGCTGGGATTACAGGCGTGAGCCACCACGCCCAGCTGACTCCATCTCTTTAAAAAGAAAGAAAGAAAGAAAGAAAGAAATGGGCCCAGCAACTAATCAGGTTTCTGTTCTGGGGAACTGGGCTAGGGCTTATAACACACATATGTTGGAATTCAAAGAGCTGGGCTTGATGCCTGTGGTCCTCAGTGTAATCTAGCATTGCTATTTCAGGAAAACCAGTGGAGTTCCCATGTCTGTTTCTCATATGTTGAGTTGATTGCCTTCCTTTGGATTTGGTGAGAGATCTAATTTGATCTGACCATTTTGAATCATCACGTAATACACACTTGGTTGGAAATAGGTACCTTGTTCACTTTTCAAGATTTGTTTTTTACCAAGTTAACAGATGAGGCTATTACTGGCTGTCTTCATGGTAGTGAGGTGGAGAAATGGAGGACGGTTCTGTAGTGGTTTCCTATCTATTTATTTGGGGGGGAAAAAAACAAAATATAGAATTCTGGAAAGAGAGGCAGGCTGCTTTGGCATCCATTTGGGGCCCTGCTGTCGTGGACAGGCCTGGCAGACGTGAGAAACTTTTTTCACTGTATCCTTGGGTCTTCAGGTCTAAAGGGATCTTTTTGAGTAATAGCATGACATGCTGAGAGCAAAATGATTTTATGGTGTGGCGAGGAAGTTCTGATTTTATGTTTGGGTTTTGGGTCCACACACTGTTGATCTTTTTAACTATTTTTTCCATGAAGTGGTTGTGGTTGGCAGCTCTCCTTTAGAACGAACTCCTGGGCTTAAAAAAAAATCTCTGTCCATTTGAGTCCTGTGCAGTGCTTCTCACTCCTTAACATTCTCTCTGCCAACATCATTTCTAAGGTTTTAGACCTTGGACCATGCCTCTTGGCTTTTCCCTGGAAGTTCCCTCTATAGGTTCTTTAGTTGGTTTATGATGGAGTTTTGGATCTGACCTTGCTGCACAGATGTCTGTGTATTGGAACTAAAAATGAACACATGGTTTTTGTGCCTGTAGCACATGAACAGACACTGGCTTATGACGTGTTGGAAATGGCACAGGCTGGCTGACTTGGCACCGTGTGCTTTAGCAGGGGCAGAGGTACATTGGAGCCATAAAATCTGGTATTTGGACATCCTAGTTTGGAAGTTACTTTAGAAAAGGACATGTGTAAATCTTAGGGCATCAGTACAGGAGATTTATGGGCAAGATAGGTTATTATTCTTTCATTGTTTTTATTTTAGGTTTCAAGGAATTTGAAAACCAGCCAATGGTTACATCTATGTGTTGTTGTTCTGTCTAGTCTAATGCTTTTAACTCCTTTATCCCATAAATCTGTTGCAGTACAGTTAATAATTTGCAGGGTAGAAATGGACAGAGGCATCCTGTTTTTTTGTTACCTACAGCATAGGCAGTAATTTAGCTGACACAAAGGACTGCTGGCCTCAAAGACCTTTGCCTAAGGCCTGCTGCCCTGTCCTTTTCTGTCACCTGAAGCACAGCCCACCAAATGCTATTCTTTCCCACCCTACTCCTCCAGTCTTTGTTGCTGCTAAGATGAAAGTGGTCTACTGGCAAAGTTAGAGGGGTATAACTTTGCACCCTAATGCTTTTTGAGGTGATCTGGGGAAGAATAAATAACATGGGAATGTAGTATAGAGGGTTAGTTTAAAATGTTATCTGAAATTCCTTTATTCATATTGCTCTCCAAAATATAGTGTGTCAGCTTAGAATGGCCTTTTATCATTCCAAATGGTTCATGTATACAAAAGGGGATATATAAAGTGTATGTCTTTGAATAATAATAAAATACAAATGTAGGTACCCATCACTAAACTTAACAAATAGAATGTTATCAGTACCTTTGAAGAGTGTTGCTTTCTAATTACATCTTACCCCTCCCCCAGGTAACCACCATCCTCAATTTTATGTATTAGTATCTTGCTTTGTTGTTGTTTTTTTTTTTTTATTGTCATCTAGATTGGTTTTTTCATGAATGACTGCCATTAGAATGCTCTCAGGATCCTTGAGACAGATACTGCTTTGGGTTTGTAGTTAGGCTTGTCTCCCCAAAGAGAGAAAGAAGCATGCATATTTATTAGTAGCCTTTTAGCCTCCTAGACTTTAGACCTTTTACCTTTCCAAGCATCCAGCCATGAGGCCCCCTTATTTGCCAGGAAAAACCATTCTGGCACTCTCGAACAGCTCTCCCTGGATTCAGATGTTTTTCTTTTTCTAGATCCTAGAAACTATGATTTTTCTTCTTCAAAATGCCGGGGGTGGGGGAGAAGATGAGCTGAAGTGAGAAGGCCTCCGCAAGATGTGTGCATTTGGGTCCTGCCGTTCTTCAGTGCTTGGCACTGAAGAGACTCGTCCCCAGCATGGGCAGATGGCAGAGTAATGCAGCTTCCTTTGAAAAGAGGCAAACGGCCAAATGGCTGAGGTGTGAACCTTTTGAAAGGCCAGTGCTTCAGGTTTCTACTTGCTGGGTTTAATGTTGTACCCACAAGTTATCAAATAAAAATCAGCTTGGAAGCTCTTCAGCAGTCCTAAAGTTCATGTCCAGTGGAATTAACATTGCATTCCATTCCTCTGGATTTTTGGAACTAAGCTGCAGTCATGAGCCACTTTTATGAGCGGAGAAACTGTGTGGCCATATCTTATTTTTATGTAGCCACCTCTCCTGTGGGTGCTGTGGGTGGAATATTCATAGTGAGCGTGATCATCAGAACCCTCAAGTATGGAAGAGGTTGCCAAGGGAATGTAAAGCTAGGTCAGGAGAAAGACGGACCAGGGTTTCAGCTCTTTCTGAATAAGATCTTCATGGTATGGTTTTAGAATTTTGTTTGAGGTGAATTCTGAGAAGCTCAGACATCAGTGTTAAAACATAAATGCATAAATATCTTCTGAAGTCAAATAATTTAAAATAGAATTTCATTTTGGATTTTCTTTGCTTTTGCCCCTCTCTATTGGTGCAGTTTATAGTTGAAAAGAGTTTAAGTTCTATTTAGACCTTTGGGTAAGAGTATTTTTGGAAGGTGAGCCAGCTATAATGCTAGGAGACAGGCACTCAATTCTGCGGTAGGATTTTCTTTAAGTCTGTTTTACTGTTATATATATATATATATTATTTTTTTAAAAAAATTTTTAATTAAAAAAAATTTTTTTTTGAGACAAGGTCTCTGTCACCCAGGCTGGAATGCAGTGGCTCAATCATGGCTCACTGCAGCCTTGACCTTCCCAGGTTCAGGTGACCCTCCCATCTCACACTCCTGAGTAACTGGGACTAGAGGTGTGCACCACCACGCCCAGCTAATTTTTATATTTTTTGTAGAGACGAGGTTTCATCATGTTGCCCAGGCTGGTCACGAACTCCTGGGCTCAAGCAATCTGCCCACCTCAGCCTCTCAAAGTGTTGGGATTACAGGTGTGAGCCATCGCACCGGGCCTGAGGTATAATTTATATACCGCAAAATTTACCCTTTTAAGTGTCCAGCTCTATTAATTTTGACAAATTTATATATAGTCATCATAACTTCTACCATAATCAGCATGTAACATATTTCTTTTTCTTTTTTTTTTTTTGGGGATGGAGTCTCACTCTGTCACCCAGGCTGGAGTGCAGTGGTGTGATCTTGGTTCACTGCAACCTTCACCTCCCGGGCTCAGGAAATTCTCCTACCTCAGCCTCCTGAGTAGCTGGGATTACAGGTGCATGCCACCATGCCCAGCTAATTTTTGTTTAGTAGAGATGGAGTTTCACCATGTTTGCCAGGCTGGTCTCGGGCTCCTGACCTTGTGATCTGCCCACCTTGGCCTCCCAAAGTGTTGGGATTACAGGAGTGAGCCACTGTGCCCAGCCAGCATATGGCATATTTCTTTTTTTTTATTTTTTTATTTTTATTTTTTATTTTATTTTACTTTATTTTGAGACGGAGTCTCGCTCTGTCGCCCAGGCTGGAGTGCAGTAGTGCGATCTTGGCTCACTGCAAGCTCCGCCTCCTGGGTTCACGCCGTTCTCCTGCCTCAGCCTCCCGAGTAACTGGGACTACAGGCACCCGCCACCACACCCGGCTAATTTTTTGTATTTTTAGCAGAGACAGGGTTTCACCGTGTTAGCCAGGATGGTCTTGATCTCCTGACCTTGTGATCCGCCTGCCTTGGCCTCCCAAAGTGCTGGGATTACAGGCATGAGCCACCGCACCCGGCCAGCATATAACATATTTCTATTACCTCGACAAGTTCAGTAATTCTGAGGTGAGTTTTTTTGGTTTAACACACTTCTGGCCGTAATGTCTTTGTTGGAGTCTTTTGAGTTTCTTTCATTTCTTGCTGAAAAGCCACTTGAAAGTGTGGTAAGAAGTGAAGTTATCTTTGGTATATTAACCAAAAGATCTGGGTTTTCAGACTGGTTCCCTGAAACAGCATCAAGAAGTCATGGGGAGGGCTGTGTGAGTGGCAGCTCAGAGAGACGAATGGGCCCTCTTGGATGCTAGGCAGAGCCCCTAATCTGAGGAGGCCCACTTAGTAGCTGATGGCTTTGACCCATGCCTTGGGGCAATTGTGCAGAAATCAGAGGTCTTCAAGGTTGAAGACTGCACATGCATCCTGCAGTGCTATTCTCAGGTCAGAATCTGTTCCTTGGTTCACTTTGGGATGACCTATCCTATAGGCAAGCCCAGAGGGAAACTTTGCTCTGAGCTGGTGCCTGTCCAGGTTAAGAGCCCTTTTCTTGGCTCCCAGATGGAAATTAGCTCTGCATCAGACTTCCTTCCTCTTGAAATGGACTTGCTAATTACCACTCAAGGTGTTTTACTCTTTTAATGTACTGGGTATGGTGAGCTCCAAAGGGATTTCTCATTGCTTTGTAGGTTGGTGAATTCTGTAGCCAAATCTATTTAAGGAATTGCCTTAATTATTTCATTCTCCCCCTTTATTTTATGCTGTATTACAAGAGTGTTGCTGACAACGACTAGGGTTTGCTTTATTTCTCAGTGCATCTGGAACTGAGTGTTGTGGTGACTTAAATGCATATGTGTTCATTTCTCCCCTCTATTCTCTCTCTGCTTTCTCACTCCCTAGGAAACCCAAGTTGACAAGAACTCAAAGTGCCTTTTCTCCGGTCTCCTTCAGCCCCCTGTTCACAGGTAAGGGTAATATCTTTCTCTCTTCTGACATCTGAAAACAGGGGCGTTCTGAGACCTGTTGGGAAACACTTACAGATGCATCACAGGGAGCTGTAGGCGTGTCTGCAGTTATTTCCTTCATTCCATGCTTAGTGGGTTTGGGGTGAGGCTATTTTTATGGTATGGAATGTGTTCTTGACTTTGGATGCTTTATAGTTGGAGGTAAAGGCTGCTTGTTGGTAATTAGGTGGCCTGGGTGGCCCTAGCAGTTATGCAGTGCTTAGTTCAGGGTCATCACATATAAATTAAAACTAGGAATTACAAATTTATGGGCTCACAGTGCATAAAAGACTCTCTAGAAGTCATACAATTTCTGTCTCTGCTTCCAAGGGAGTTCATGGGTTATCTCATAAAAATGATCCATGATTATCTGGTCTATTTTTAAAGACTTTTTTGGGCAAAGGGGATTACATGAGCTCTTGTCTTTTTAGGGGCTTGCAGTTCCTGCAGCTGTTAGACTTCTTTATTGTATCTAATTTAAGTCTGCCCTCTTGCAGCAGGGAACACAGTTGCTAAACTAGGAAGGCTGTAGAATCTCCTTTGGATGATGGGTAACTGCCTTCTCGTTTCGTAGGGAGCTTTTTCAGAGAGGGAGACCTTCTGTTATGTCAGTCACAGGTGAAGCTCCTGCATGAATAAGCTGGAGAAAAGTGGGGCTTTGCCCATGTCTCAGAAACTGAGTACTTCTCATTGGTTGTGACTGAGAAGCCTTTAAAAAAAATCCCAATCTCAAACTCCTTTGGATATCATGTCCCTCAAAAAGGTGATTGGAAGACTTACGATTTGGGAATGGATGCTTCCAGGAAAATGTTAAGCAGGCCAATGAGACTTGCAGCTGGGTAGACTGCTGTGAACTGTCAAAACAAGTGAATTGGTACCTGTATAGGCATCTACTGTAGTGGAGAAGGAGGTCTCTGTTCTTACCCAAGCCCAGAATTAAAAAATCTTATCTTGCGATACCATGTCTTTCTAGTTAATAGTTGTTTCCTCATTAAAGTAAGGAACATGGCTTGGTCACGGTCACGGTGGCTCATGCCTATAATCCCAGCACTTTGGGAGGTTGAAGTGAGCAGATCATCTGAGGTCAGGTGTTTCAGACCAGCCTGGCCAACATGGTGTGAAACCCCGTCTCTACTAAAAATACAAAAAATTAGCTGGGGCATGGTGCCGCACGCCTGTAGTCCAGCTACTCGGGAGGCCGAGGCAGGAGAATCGCTTGAACCCGAGAGGCTGAGGTTGCAGTAAGCAGAGATTTTGCCACTGCACTCCAGCCTGAGCGACTGAGCCTCTGTCTCAAAAAAAAAAAAGGAACACCACCTACATTTGTAGTTTGAGGTTCAGGTCAGCCTCAGCCCTCTTGAATGACGTCCTTTATGTTAAGTGCTCTACCAATAGTCTAGACTGCTCTGGCCTGTCAGGAAATACACTTGTCTGGCTCCATCGCATTGCTCTGGGCAGCCAGGCTTTCAGTTACCAAGCTGTATGGTGAGTCTGGTACCAGCTTTCTAGAACTTCCACTGATGGCTTTTGTTTATTTTTGACACAGGGCCTCACTTTGTCTCCCAGGCTGGAGTGCAATGGTGCAGTCTCAGCTTACTGCAGCCTCGACCTCCTAGGCCCAAACGATCCTCCCACCTCAGCCTCCAGAATAGCTGGGACTATAGGCATGCACCACCATACCTGAATAATTTTTATATTTTTGTAGAGACGGGGTCTTAACGTGTTGCCCAGGCTGGTCTTGAACTCCTGAGTGCAAGTGATTCGCCTACCTTGGCCTCCCAAAGTGTTGGAATTACAGGTGTGACCCACTGCACCTGGTCTCACTGATGACTTTTAGAAGAGCTTTTCTGTTTATCTTAATTAGTATTCAAGAGCTTTGTAAAAAAACTGTGTATTTAGGTTCTGAAAGCCCAGTTTCCTTTGGTAGATATTGGTCACCTCATTTTCTTAACGGGGAAACATTTAAAATACTAGCTGAGGGGCTCATTCAGCCCTGAATTAAAAAAAAAGGTGTTGGAAGGAACACCGTAAGGGCTAAATTAGAGAAATCCTGAGTTCTGACTTGTGCATCAGGCCTGCCAAAATAACCGTATTCCTGGCTATCAGCTTGTGTTCATATTAATAAAATACCTTTCATCCTCTCGTGACTCAAGTGGAGAGGGAATAGACAGAGTTGGGTGGCAAGGAGTATTGTATATGGCAGGGAACAGAACTGCATGACATGCTGGGAAGAAGAGAGGCCATGTGCCTCCTCCCACCAAGTTCCTATGGAGAAGCTGCCTCTTAGATTACCTGACTTTTGTCTGACTGTGAAAGTAGTTAATTTTTAGGACTATAAATTGTACTTTCAGCCTTTGTAGCCTCAGCTGTTAAGAACAGATATCTTATTCAGGTAGATTCTCTTATGTGTGAATACTCTGGAAAATCAAGATATGGACTGCCCTCTAGGAAGAAGTTAGGACTAACATTGGGAACTTTATCTGCATTCAGCTTACCGTACAGTTCTTAGGTTTTCTGGCCCTTGCTTTCCATGTCTGTTTGGGCATATAACAAGCCACTTGGCTTGCTTCCTAAGGCAGAAATTGATACACAATTCTGAAAAAATAAATGGTATGGGTTCTATTGGATAAAGAAGACCCCTTGTTTGAGGGTACGTTGTAAGTCAGTGGCGGAACCAGAATTAGATGGTTTTTCCACTGTCAGTCCCATGGTTTTGTCCTAAAGAATCCTTGACCCTTAACAGGGCAAAGGAATGATAGAATTTAAAAATTGACTTCCTGGTGTTGGGGTGATTTCAGCCCTGGGGGCATTAGGTTTTGAGCTTTCTGAGAGCAGCAGACCCCCAGCCTCGCCTGCTTGCCCTTTGCTTCCCTTTGCTTTCTGCATCAGCTTTGGGCAAGGCGCTTCTGTAACTTGCTTGCTCCATGAATCCCTCAGGTGAAACTGTGTCGCTTGTGGATGTGGACATTTCTCAGCGGGGCCTGACCTCTCCACACCCTCCAACTCCCCCTCCTCCTCCGAGAAGAAGCCTCAGCCTCCTAGGTATAGTTTCTTCCCCTCTCCACCTTCTTGCCTAGTGGGAGGGTGAGCTCCAGGGACTTGTTCTTTGCTGGGGGCCGACCACGCTTCTGGGTTTCCGATGATGACTCAATTATTTCCCAGCTCTTTCTCAGCACCCCGTCATCTCCCTAAGCAATTAAATGGGTCTCACCCGCATGCTGTAATACTTACTATACATATATTAATTCAGTTTACATTTATCTTGCCTTGAACCCACTGCTATTGGGCTGCATTAGGAATATCCTTACTACCCTGCTTTCCAAAAGCAAAACAGAGTAAGATGATTGTTGCCCTCTGTGCAAAAAGACTGGGTGAAGGTTGGGCCATCCTGCCCCAGAGGGCAGCCTGATAGTCCTTCTCCCTCTCCTCTGCCTTCAGCGTGCTCATTCTGTGCTCACATTTCTGAACCTCTTGCTTTTGTTCTCTCTTCTAGATGATATCAGTGGGACGCTGCCTACATCTGTCCTTGTGGCTCCGATGGGGTCTTCCTTGCAGTCTTTCCCCCTACCTCCGCCTCCTCCACCCCATGCCCCAGGTTAGCTTAGTTTAGAGGCAAGACTTGTAAGAGTTGGGAGTACAAAGTGATACTTTCTACCATAGAAGGATGGGAGAAATCTATTTATGGAAATAACAGCTTAGTAGAAAGTTTAAATCTTTTCCCCTTGGCTGGACCAGACTCCTTAGAAATGAGGCGGAGAACTGGTTTTCCTAACCCGTTTTCTTTATGGAGGTCAATCTGATTTTTGTTAGGGATGAAAGACTACTGAATTTTTCATCAGTCTTTGCTGCTGAGACTGTTTTGCAATCCTTGAGTAGATATCACTTAAGAAACTGCCTTAATTTCAGGATAGTGAGGTTTAATATGTTGGTGGTTTTCAGCATTCTATGGTTTTTCTAAGCTTTTAGTATTTACTGCAGCCTTGTAAATAAGTACCAAGCATTTAGCAGCCCATACCTGCTTTGCCAGCTTACAGTACCCAAGGAATAAAATGAATGAAATCAGCATTCTTTTCTACTTGCCTGGCAAAATCATTACTCTTCCTGGGCAAGTAAGCGAGTCACTATTTCCAAGGCTGCCTTATCGGCACTTCACTTCGAGGTGGGAGAAGTTGGAATCGCTCTAGGCTGGTGAAGCCCCTGAAGTAGTCACCTTAGTAAGGTTAGTGAGCAGCTCCCCTCCCCCTTTCTTGGGGTCAAGTGCCCCCACCCATCCTTCACAGCTTACACAAGCCCACACAGCTTTTTGTTCCAGCCCATCCAGCTCTTTGCCACTGCTTTGGCTTCTACCCTTTCCAGCTTAGCTTCTAATGCCTTGCCCTCTTCAGTTAGCATCCTCTGTTTTTGGGGGAGGGTCTATTTGTGGTTGGGAGCAGTGAGGGTAAACAAGTGACCACCACTGTCTTGCCCTGCAGATGCATTTCCCCGGATTGCTCCCATCCGAGCAGCTGAATCCCTGCACAGCCAACCCCCACAGCACCTCCAGTGTCCCCTCTACCGGCCTGACTCGAGCAGCTTTGCAGCCAGCCTTCGAGAGTTGGAGAA
This sequence comes from Homo sapiens, assembly GCF_000001405.40. Lineage (NCBI taxonomy): Eukaryota > Metazoa > Chordata > Mammalia > Primates > Hominidae > Homo > Homo sapiens. The sequence continues at coordinate 38,366,417 of NC_000017.11, forward strand.
GGTAGGTGGTACCTAAGGACTGGCAGGTCACTTCTCCTCCCATTAGCTAAATTCTGTATTCGGACACACCTTTATTTATGTGTTTATTTATTTTTAGAGACAGGGTCTGGCTCTGTTGCCCAGGCTAGGGTGTGGTGGCATAATCATAGCTCACTGTAGGCTCAAACTCCTGGGCCAAAGGATCCTTCTGCCTCAGCCTCCTGAGTAGCTAGGACTGCAGGCATGCACGACCAAGCCCAGCTAAAATTTATTTATATTTTTTGTAGAGACTGGTCTTGCAGTTTCCCAGGCTGGTCTTGAACTCCTGGGCTCAACGTGATCCTCTTGCCTCTGCCTCCCAAAGCTCTAGGATTATAGGCGTAAGCCACCACACCCAGCCCCTGTTTATTGTTTTCAGAGGAAGAATAGTTTACTTGCTTCCATATTTACAGTGACAAAACAGTGTGCTCCTGCTATTAGTTCCATGAGATGTAATAAAATTGAATTTGGGGAAAAAATTTGGACATGATAAAGGTTGTTGGAGAAATGTTTTACATAGTCTAAGCTGATTTTGATAGATTAACTGACCCAGTTCCCTCTTCTTTTCTTGGTAGGGTCTTTGGTAACAAAATTGTAGAATTATTATTCTTTGTTTTTTGTTGTTGTTGTTGTCTTGTTTTGTTTTTGAGACTGAGTTTCGCTCTTGTTGCCCAGGCTGGAGTGCAGTGGCGCAATCTCGGCTTACTGAAAACTCCGCCTCCTGGGTTCAAGCAATTCTCCTGCCTCAGTCTCCTGAGTAGCTGGTATTACAGGCGCCCACCACCATGCCCAGCTAATTACTGTATTTTTAGTAGAAATGGGGTTTCACCATGTTGGCCAGGCTGGTCTTGAACTCCTGACCTCAGGTGAGCCACCTGCCTTGGCCTCCCAAAGTGCTGGGATTACAGGTGTGAACCACTGCGCCCAGCCATTTTGTTTTTTGTTTTTTGTTTTTTTGACACAGAGTCTCACTGTGTAACCCAGGCTGGAGTACAGTGGCGCAATACCAGCTCACTGCAACCTCCACCTCCTGGGTTCAAGCGATTCTTCTGCCTCAGCCTCCTGAATAGCTGGGATTACAGGCATGTGCCACCAAACCCAGCTAATTTTTGTATTTTTAGTAGAGATGGGTTTTCACCATGTTGGCCAGGCTGGTCTCGAACTCCTGACCTCAAGTGATCCACCCGCCTCAGCCTCCCAAAGTGTTGGGATTACAGGCATGAGCCACAGCTCACGGCCAGAATTATTATTCTGTTACTTTGGAGGGCTAAAAGTATAGTGAGCCTGATGTTCATTGCTAATGGTTGAGACACTTGTAAGTGGCTTTTACCTATTGAAATATTTTGGAGAGAATGCAGAGGGTTCTCCCATGTTAAGATAGATTGCACTGAAAACTTTGACATTTCTCTGTCCTGATAACTAGTGGACTGCTTCTTGTCTTTGATAGTGTGGTTGGTATTGGGGGCCAATGAATTGGGAAGATGCAGAGATGAAGCTGAAAGGGAAACCAGATGGTTCTTTCCTGGTACGAGACAGTTCTGATCCTCGTTACATCCTGAGCCTCAGTTTCCGATCACAGGGTATCACCCACCACACTAGAATGGAGCACTACAGAGGTAAGAGATACTGGTAAGAGAGGCTTCTTCCCCCCTTGATTTGCTCTACCTTTGCTGTCTGACTTTTTTGTGGAAGAGATTCATAGGAATGGAACTACAAATAGGGGAAAAATTATCTTAGACTCAGTTGAATATTGATATGAGCGCTGATTTCCGTCACTAGAAGAAATGGAGGGGGTAGGGAAGGGAGAGTAAGGGTTCCATTTAAAAGTCTTGTCAGCAGCATCTTGTTTCCTAAATAGGAGGGCCTGAACAAAACTGTTGGAGAGGCTCCCGAGAAATGAGCCGGTAAAACTCTTTAGGTAAAAGGAAGAAAGAACCTAGGACCATTAGGCAAATTCTCACAAGCTTTGTTTGTAGTTAAACTTATCATCTAGAGATATTTTGTTAAATCACGTATACAAAGAGGGTGAATTTAGTGTTGATCCTGTAACTGTTCTGTTCTGAATTTCTTTCTTTTTTTTTTTTTGAGACAGAGTCTCGCTCTGTTGCCTAGGCTGGAGTGCAGTGGTGCGATCTCAGCTCACTGCAACCTCCGCCTCCTGGGTTCAAGTGATTCTTCTGCCTCAGCCTCCTATGTAGCTGGGATTACAGGCATGTGCCACCAGGCCTGGCTAATTTTTGTATTTTTAGTAGAAACAGTGTTTTATTCTGTTGGCCAGGCTGGTCTCAAACTCCTGACCTCAGGTGATCCACCCGCCTCGGCCTCCCAAAGGGCTTGGATTACAGGTGTGTCTGAATTTCTTTGTCTGATAGTCACTTTCTCCCAGGCAGCATGGTGATAATTTCCTCTTTTTGTCAATGTTGTAGTCTCTTAGGAAATATTCATTAAAATGTTGAGAGTTTGTGGGATCAACATGCTTTAGACTATCTGCCATTCTCCTAGTGGTACCTCTTCCTTTGTGATCAGATGGTACTTCATGTGCCAGTCATGCCTAGAAGCCGACTTGTTAAACACAGCTCTCTGGATTGACTTTGTATCGAGACATTCTGTATCTAACTTGGGCCAGAAACTTGTGATGGTCATTGTTTCTGAGGCTGGGTAATACATCCTTTGTCAAAATACCTGTGTATGCTACAAATTGAAAAAGCATAGAGAACTTTGGTGTGTTTCAGGGACTTGCTTCCCATCCCTCACAGTCTTACCATGGTGGTCAACCTTAAGTGAATGCTCTGAGACATTGCATCTGAGGTAAGAGCCTCTGTCCTGCCTCTTCTCAGGCCCCACAGCATCTTCCCCACTCAGCCCACACTGCATCGGGTTCTCTTGTGAGGCAGGAAGTAGCTGTTTAGGTCAGCATAGCTTTGTCCATGGTTTCCTCTGTACCCACTTCTACCTTAGAGATAACACGAAGAGAAAGGAACTTCAATCCAATGACCTGGGAATGAATTAGATAACTAGGTGGGATAGGTGAGGGGGACTGCCTCCTGTTCTGCTGTTTGTGAAAACAAAAACACACAAGGAAAAAAACAAAATGTGAAGCGGAGCATTTCAGAGTGAAGTATTTTGTTAAACCTGTTCAAATGACTAGGCCCTGGGAATTATAAATAAATACTTGACCTTTAAGTTCTTGATAGGTGAGATGCCAGGAACAAGAGGTCTTTCAAATAGTTCTCCGATTACTTTTTTTTTTTTTTTTTTTGAGTTGGAGTCTAACTTTGTCACCCAGGTTGGAGTACAGTGGCACGATCTCGGCTCATTGCAGCCTCCACCTCCTTGGTTCAAGCAATTCTTTTTTTGTTTGTTTTTTTTTTTTTGAGACAGAGTTTCGCTCTGTCACCAGGCTGGAGTGCAGTGGTGTGATCTTGGCTCACTGCAACCTCCGCTTCCTGGGTTCAAGCAATTCTCCTGCCTCAGCCTCCCATGTAGCTGGTATTACAGGTGCCCGCCACTATGCCCAGCTAATTTTTTTTGTATTTTTAGTAGACACAGGGTTTCACCATGTTGGTGAGGCTGGTCTTGAACTCCTGACCTCGTGATTCGCCCGCCTTGGTCTCCCAAAGTGCTGGGATTACAGGCGTGAGCCACCATGCCTGGCCGGGTTCAAGCAATTCTTGTAACTCAACCTCCCAAGTAGCTGGGATTACAGGTGTGCACCACCACGCCCAGCTAATTTTTGCATTTTTAGTAGAGACAGGGTTTTGCCACGTTGGCCAGGCTGGTCTCGAACTCCTAGCCTCACGTGATCTGCCTGCCTCGGCTTCCCAAAGTGCTGGGATGACACGCGTGAGCCACCTCACCTGGCCACCAGTTACTTTTTGTTAAAGGGACTTTGCTTCCTTGAATAAGTAGAATTTCTTTTTTTTGAGACGGGGTCTCACCCTGCTGCCCAGGTTGGAGTGTAGTGGTGAGATCATGCCTCGTCGTAGCCTCAACCTCCCAGGCTCAAGTGATCCTCCTATCTCAGCCTTGCTAGTAGGTGGGACTAGTGTGCATCACCATGCCCAGCTAATTTAAAAAAATTTTTTTAGTAGAGACAGGGTCTCACTATGTTGCCCAGGCTGGTCTTGAACTCCTGGACTGGAGCAATTCTACTGCCTTGGCCTCCCAAAGTGCTGGGATTATAGATATAAGCCACTGTACCTCGCCTATAACCGGAATTTTTTTTTTTTTTTTGAGACAGAGTCTTGCTCCATCGCCCAGGCTAGAGTGCAATGGCGCGATCTCAGCTCAGTGTCAACCTCTGCCTTCCAGGTTCGAGCTATTCTCCTGCCTTGGCCTCCCAAGTTGCTGGGACTATAGGCACCCACCACCATGCCCAGCTAATTTTTGTATTTTTAGTAGAGACGGGGTTTCACCATATTGGCCAAGCTTGTCTCGAACTCCTGACCTTGTGATCCGCCTGCCTCGGCCTCCCAAAGTGTTGGGATTACAAGCATGAGCCACGGCGCCCGGCCTTATAACTGGAATTTTTAATGGAAACCTTGCGGGCCTTTCCGTTACCAGTTTGCAGTGGAGCATTTGTCTTTGTCTTTTTTAAGTGATACTGTAAGAGTAGGTAGAGAGACTCAAATCTGCAGTTCTCTTGACTGATTAGTATCCCTTTTTTGTGTTTGTTTGTTTGTTTTGTTTTGTTTTTTAAAGACAGGGTCTGGCTCTGTGCCCAGGTTGGAGGGCAGTGCCACGATCTCGGCTCACTGCAGTCTCCACCTCCTGAGTTAAAGCGATTCTCCTGCCTCAGCCTCCTGAGTAGCTGGGATTACAGATGGGTGCCTCCATGCCCAACTTTTTTTTTTTTTTTGAGACGGAGTCTCGCTTTGTTGCCCAGGCTGGAGTGCAGTGGCGCGATCTCAGCTCACTGCAAGCTCTGCCTTTTGGGTTCAGGCAATTCTCCTGCCTCAGCCTCCTGAGTAGTTCCTGGACGCGTGCCACCACGCCCAGCTAATTTTTGTATTTTTAGTAGAGACGGGGTTTCACCATGTTGGCCAGGTTGGCCTTGAACTCCTGACCTCAGGGGATCTGCCCACCTCAGCCTCCCAAAGTGTTGGGATTACTGGCGAACTCCTGACCTCAGGGGATCTGCCCACCTCAGCCTCCCAAAGTGTTGGGATTACTGGCATGAACCACCATGCCCGGCCGGGACGGGTATTTTTCTGTGTTGTCCAGGTTGGTCTTGAACTCCTGAGCTCAAGTGACCTGCTCACCTCTGCCTCCCAAAGTGCTGGGATTACAGGTATGAGCCACTGTGCCTGGCCCTTTTGTGTTTTTTTTTTTTTTTTTTTTTTTTGTGGGTGATTCCTTTGGAATCTGGTGCTTCAGTTTTTTGAGTTTTTTCTTGTTTTATTTTTTTAAGTCATAGGAGTTCAGATTCCCTTTTCCATTTGGGATTTTAAAGTTTGAGGTGGGATCTTTGTAATATGTTGGCGTGGGGTTTTAAAGTTAAAGAAGGAAAGACTTAGATTTCTATTTTTTGCACTCAACACGCACTTGAATGAATGAGACCCACAAAACTGCTGTTCCTGTCTTTCCTCGACTATTCCATATGGTCTCTAAGAAGTATATATAGTTGACCCTTGAACAACCTGGGTTTGAACTGCGCAGGTCTGCTTATACATGGATTTTAAAAAGTAAATATATTGGAAAATTTTTTGGAGATTTGTGACAATTTGTAAAATCTTACAGATAAACTGTAGCCTAGAAATATCAAAAGAATTAAAAAGGTATGTTATGAATGAATAAAATATATGTGGATACTAGTCTATTTTAACATTTGCTACCATAAAATATATACAAATCTGTTATAAAAAGTTAAAACTTTATCAAAACTTATGCACACAAACCGTACATGGCACCATTCACTGTTGAGAGAAATGTAGACAAATATAAAGGTGCAGTATTAAATCATAACTGCATAAAATTAACTGTTACATACTGGGTGTACTACCGTAATATTTCATAGCCAACTAACTCCCTGTTACTATTGTGGTGAGCTCAAGTGTTGCAAGTATCCGCTTAAAATGTTGTGTGACGCTAGTCATCACCATGTGAGTGTTTATCTCTCCAGCTAATTGTGTATCACAGTAAAAATTGATCTCTCATGGTTCTTGTATAGTTTTCATTGTGTTTAGTGCAATACAGTAAACCTTGAGTAATACTATGGGACCCACTAGTGCCACTAGTGTTGCTGGAAGTTCCCCTAAGAGGCAGAGAAAAGTTAGAACATTACAAGAAAAATTGCTCAGTTTGTACATAGTTTGAGGTCCACAGCTGTGGTTGTTCACCATTTCAAGATAAGTGAATTCAGCATAAGGACTGTTGTAATAAAAGAAAAAAGGCTGGATGCGGTGGCTCACACCTGTAATCCCGGCACTTTGGGAGGCCGAGGCGGGCGGATCACATGAGGTCGGGAGTTCGAGACCAGCCTGACCAACATGGAGAAACCCCATCTCTACTAAAAATACAAAATTAGCCGTGTGTGGTGGCGCATGCCTATAATCCCAGCTACTCAGGAGGCTGAGGCAGGAGAATCGATTGAACCTGGGAGGCAGAGGTTGTGGTGAGCCAAGATCGTGCCATTGCACTCCAGCCTGGGCAACAAGAGCAGAACTCTGTCTCAAAAAAAAAAAAGAAAAGAAAAGAAAAGCATACCTATAGATAAATATGATTTAATAAAAGTAAAGTCATTATATGACAACTTAAAGCAAGAGGAAAGTGAAAAAACTAGAGCTGGAGAAGTTAATGCCGGCAATGGATGGTTTGATAATTTTAGGACAGTTTGACTTGAAAAATGTCAAGATAACAGAAGACGTAGCTTCTGCTGACCAAGAGGCAGCAGACAGGTTCCCAGACACCATGGGGAAAATCACTGAGGAGAAAGGATATCTGCCTGAACAGGTTTTTAATGAAGATGAAAGTGCCCTATTCTGGGGAAAAGAAAATGCCACAAAGGATATTTATTAGTAAGGAAAAGAAGTAAGAACCAGAATTTAAGGCAGGAAGGGGTAGGCTGACTCTCTGGTTTTGTGCAAATGCAATTGGGTTAATAATCAGGACTACCTTTATCTATGAAGCTACAGTCTTTTGGTTGTACAGCAAGAAGGCATGCACAATGAGAACCTTTTTTTCTGGATTGGTTTCATCAGTGCTTTGTCTCTGGAGTAAGGAAGTACCTTGCCAGTAAGGGATTGCCTTTAAAGCTCTTTTGATATTGGTCAATGCCCCTGGCCACCCAGAACCCCATCAGTTCAACACTGAAGGTGTCAAAGTGGTCTGCTTGCCCCCAGACGCGACGTCGCTAATTCAGCCTTTAGATCAGGTGGGTCATAAGGACCTTTAACACTCATTGCACTTGGTACTCTATGCAAAGGATTTTAAGTGCTGTGGAAGAAGACACCGATAGAACATCATGAATGTCTGGAAAGATTCCTCCATTGAAGTTGCCATAGTTGACCGGGTGGAGTGGCTCACGCCTGTAATCCCAGCACTTTGAGAGGCCAAGGTGGGTGGATCACCTGAGGTCAGGAGTTTGAGGCCAGCCTGGCCAACATGGCGAAACCCTGTCTCTACTAAAAATACAAAAATTAGCCAGGCTGGTGGCACGCGCCTGTGATCCCAGCTACTTGGGAGGCTGAGGGAGGAGAATCGCTCCAACTTGGGAGGTGGAGGTTACAGTGAGCCAAGATTGCTTCGCTGCACTCCAGCCTGGGCGACCGAGTGAGACTCTGTCTCAAAAAAAATGCCATAGTTGTTATAGAAGAAATTGTGGGCCAGGTGCAGTGGCTCATGCCTGTAATCCCAGCACTTTGGGAGGCCAAGGCGGGCAGATCACTTGAACCTGGAAGTTAGAGACCAGCCTGGGCAACGTGGTGAAACCACATTTCCACAAAAGATACAAAAATTAGCTGGGCACTGTCATGCGTACCTGTAGTCCCAGGTACTCGGGAGGGTCAAGGCTGCAGTGAACCGTGATCATGCCACTGCACTCCAGCCTGGGCAACAGAGTGAGACCCTGTCTCAAAAGAAAAAGTTGTGAAAGCCATCAAGCCCAAAACAATAAATTACTGCTGAAGAAAACTGTGTCCAGAAATTGTATGTGACTTCATAGGATCTGTGACAGAGCCAATCAAGGAAATCATGAAAGAGATATGGCAAAAAAAGAAGGTGAAGGGTGAAGGATTTCAAGATAGGGATCTTAGAGAAATTCAAGAACTCATAGATACCACATCAGAGGAATTAACTGAAGGTGACTTGATGGAGATGAGTTCTTCTGAGTCAGTGCCAGATGACGAGGAAGAAGACGTAGAAGAAACAGTGCCAGAAAACATTAATGTCAGGCAATCTGGCAGAAGGGTCGAGGTTATTTGAGACTGCTTTTGAGTTATTTTAGACTTGGACCCTTCTATGATATGGGCACTAAAACCAAAGCAAATGGTAGAAGAAGAATTGGTACCATATAGAAACATTTTTAGAGAAATGAAAAAGCAAACCTGAGTGTGGAGGCTCAAGCCTGTAATCCCAGCACTTGGGAGGCCAAGGCAGGAGGATCACTTGAGGCCAGGAGTTCAAGACCAGCCTGGGCTGGTAGCTTCAGCTATTCAGGAGGCTAGGGCAGGAGGATCACTTAAACCCAGTAGTTCAAGGATGCAGTGAGCTGTGATCATGCCACTGCACTCTAGCCTGGGTGATAGAGTGAGACCCTGTTTCTAAAAATAGAAAAAGCAAAAAAAGTCAGACAAATTATAACATTTCCATAAATTTATACCACATGTGCCTTCCTCTCCTACTTCCCCTTCCACCTTCTCTACCTCTTCTACCTCTGCCACCCCTGAGACACCCCCCTCTTCCTCTTCCTCTTCCTCCTCAGTCTATTTGGTTTGAAAACAATGAGGATGAAAACCTTTATGAAGATCCACTTTATGATCACTTTATGATGATCCACTTCCATTTAATGAATAGTAAATATATTTTCTCTTATTTTCTTAATAGTGTTTTCTTAATAGTATTCCTTTTTCTAGCTTAATTGTAAGAATACAGTATATAATACATATCACATACAAAATATATGTTAACCGACTGTTTATATTATTGGTAAGGCTTTCAGTCAACAGTACGTTGTTAGTAAAGTTTTGGGGGAGTCAAATGGATTTTTATATGTGGATTTTTTATTTTGGTGGGGTTGAGGAGGATGTTGGGCCATTGGGATAGGGTTCATGCTCCCCCCCACATTATTCAAGGGTCAGTTTATGTATGTAAATTGGTCATTCCTCACTTAAAGGTCATTAATAGGTTCTTGGAAACTGACTTTAAGCAAAATGACGTATAACAAAACCAATTTTTTTTTTTTTTGAGACAAAGTTTCGCTCTTATTGCCCAGGCTGGAGTGCAATGGTGTGATCTCGGCTTACCGCAACCTCTACCTCCTGGGTTCAAGCAATTCTCCTGCCTCAGCCTCCCGAGTAGCTGGGATTACAGGCATGTACCACCATGCTTGGCTAATTTTGTATTTTTAATAGAGACGGGATTTCTCCATGTTGGTCAGGCTGGAGTAAAGACCAAACTTCTAAATAAAGACCAAAACACTTCTAAATAAAGACCAGTATTAAACAGTGAAATATATGTAAACTATACACACATGTAAGAAAGATTAATGAAAATAAGTTAGGTAATCATTTACCCAAGTATTCCAGCTCAGGATCACAAATGGCCGGAGCCTATCCTGGCAGTTCAGGATGCAAGGCAGAACAACCCTGGACAGAACACCATTCCATCGGGGTGCATATACCCACACACCCACACTCAGACTGGCACAGCTTAGCATGCCATTTCACCTTACACGCACATCTCTGGGATATGGGAGGAAACCAGCATACCCAGAGAAAACCTGTGCAGATGTGCAAACTCCACACAGACAGTGGTCCTGGCCGGAAATCAATTTTTTTTTCTTATCAACGTTACAAGGAAACAAGCATGGTGGCTCACGTTTGTAATCCCAGCACTTAGGGAGGCCGAGGCGAGTGGATCACTTGAGGTCAGGAGTTCGAGGCTAGCCTGACCAACGTGGTGAAACCCTGTCTCTACTAAAAATACAAAAATTAGCCAGGCGTGGTGGCAGGTGCCTGTAATCCCAGCTACTCAGGAGTCTGAGGCGGGAGAATCACTTGAACCCAGCAAGTGGAGGTTGCAGTGAGCCAAGATCACGCCACTACACTCCAGCCTGGGTGCCAGAGCAAGACCCTGTCGCAAAAAAAAAAAAAAGTTATAAGGTAACAACACTGAACAAAATGTTATTCAAAGACCTGCTTATATGTGTACACAGTCATACACTGTTTAGCAACATTTTGGTCAATGATAGACTACATATATGACAGTCGTCCCATAAGATTATATTACTGTATTTTTACTGTAGTTTTTCTATGTTTAAATGTGTTTAGGTACATGAATACTTACCATTCTTTAGAGTTGCCTCCAGTATTCAGCACAGTAACATGCTATACAGGTCTGTAGCCTAGCAGCAATAGGCTGTACCACATAGCCTAGGTATGTAGTAGGCTACACCATCTAGGTTTGGATAAGTACACTCTGATGTTCGCCTAATGATGCATTTCTCTGAACATATTTCTGTCATTAAGTAATGCATGACTGTACCTATACTTAATATACATAATAAGTACATCTATATAGAGAGAGGAAGCCTGTGATTTAAAGATTAATGTTCATACTCAGTGAACAATTTTATATCATTTTTTCTGATTTGAAATTATTAAAGGTTGAGTATCCCTAATCTGAAATCCAAAATGCTTAAAAATCTGAAACTTTTTGCACACTGACATGATGCTCAAAGGAAATGCTCATTGGAGCACTTTGGATTTCAGAGTTTTGGATTAGTAATGTTCAACTGGTAAGTATAATGCAAATATTCCAAAAATATGAAAAAATCCAAAATCTGAAACACTTCTGGTCTCAAGCATTTCGGATAAGGAGTACTTAGCTTGTATTTACTTAACAAAAACCTTGTAAGACCTAATTTATGTCTTACAAAAGGCAACATCTTTTTACAGTTAACTGTGAGATAAGCAGGAACAGGTAGCTTCAGAGACCTTTGAGCCAGCTTGCCCCCAAACTGCCCTCCCAAAAGTGAGAATCATAGTTAAAATATTCAAACCAGCCTCTCATGTCTTCTGAAGTAAGTTTTAAAATTTTTACTTCTTAATTTTCCATGGCAGGAACCTTCAGCCTGTGGTGTCATCCCAAGTTTGAGGACCGCTGTCAATCTGTTGTAGAGTTTATTAAGAGAGCCATTATGCACTCCAAGAATGGAAAGTTTCTCTATTTCTTAAGATCCAGGGTTCCAGGTAAGGCTGTACTTCTGTTAATTATTTAACTTAAGTTGGGTATGATCCAGTTTAGTGTCAAAAAACACCATCCCCACAAAAGGCCATGGTTAAGCTTTTTTTCCCTGGCTGTTGGAGCCACCACTCCTCTTACAGAGTCCCATGGTTAATCCCCTGCCTTTGTACATTAATCTCTCAGCATACTGAGGAGGAATCTTTGCTTCTCTAACCACGTGAATGAGAAAACTGCTTCCACCTCTGATGTCCAGGCATCATGTGAACATTTGACATTTGGAGGTATCCCTGATCTAGGCATCTCAACATTTATAAGTGAAGCAGAAAGATGAGAGCTCTCAGGTCCTACCCATAGGAACGGGGAAGGTAGGAGAATGTTTACCAGAAAGGCAGGGGCGAGCGTCAGTGGGGCTCAGTATGGCTAGGCGTGGTGGCTCATGCCTGTAATCCCAGCACTTTGAGAGGCCGAGGTGGGAGGATTGCTTGATCCCAGGAATTTGAGACCCCATCTCTTAAAAAAATAAAAAATTAGCCAGGCATAGTGGCACATGCCTATAGTTCCAGCTAGTTGGGAGGCTGAGGTGGGAGGATCACTTGAGCCCAGGAGGTCGAGGCTTCAGTGAGCTGTGATCATGCCACTGCACTCTAGTCTGGGTGATAGAGCAAAACCCTGTCTCCCCCAAAAAAGAAAAAGTAAGGGCCAAATCCAGTTGCACATTGCACTCTGTTAGGAAGTATCTGCTGTGGGTTTGCCCATGTTGTACTAAACTTGCTGCCGAATAGTAAATACTTTGTTTTGTATCTTGCCATCCCTACCATTGATGAATACAAGACCTCTCTCCATTTGGGAGCACTGGGCAGTTGCTATCCTTGCTGATGTGATTGTATAGTCTTCCTGCCCACTAAGTTAGGGAGGTGTCTGTATAATCTGTGGAGGGCAAGAGGGGATTGTTTGGAGCAATCTGCCTTTATAGTGTTGGGTAAGACAAAATGACACGGACATTAATATGAGGAACTTGTAAGATGCAAACAACTTAAGCCAGGCATGGTGGCTCACACTGTAATAATCCCAGTACTTTGGGAGGCTGAGACAGGCAGATTGCTCAAGTCCAGGAGTTCAAGACCAGGCTGGGCAACATGGTGAAACCATGTCTCTACAAAATACACAAAAATTAGCCGGGTGTGATGCCAGGCGTCTGTAGTCCCAGCTACTTGGGAGGCTGAGGTGGGAGGATCACTTGAGCCTGGGAGGCAGAGGCTGCAATGAGCCAAGATTACGTCACTGCACTCCAGCCTGGGTGACACAGCGAGACCCTGTCTCAAAAAAAAAAAACAAAAAAAAACAAAAAAAAAAAAACAAGGCAGGGGTTGGTGGCTCACACCTGTAATTCCAGCACTTTGGGAGGCTGAGGCGGGCAGATCACCTGAGGTCAGGAGTTCGAGACAGCCTAGCCAACATAGTGAAACCCTGTCTGTACTAAGAATACAAAAATTAGCCAGGTGTGGTGGCAGGTGCCTTGTAATCCCAGCTACTCAGGAGGCTGAGGCGGGAGAATTGCTTGAACCTAGGAAGCGGAGGTTGCAGTGAGCTGAGATTGCGCCATTGCACTCCAGTCTGGGCGACAGAGCCAGACTCTTTCAAAAAAACAAAAACAACAAAAAAGAAACAACTTAAAATGAGAACTTCATGCTTTCCCATTGAATCAAATTAAGATTCTTGAACAGAACACCTAGAAATTGCTCTAAACTGTAGGAGCTCAGGGGAGCCTCAGGCAGAAGACTAGGAACAGGTTGAGCCAGGTGACAGGAATGTTTCTTGTAATCTTGGGGATTTGAATAAGGCATGACAGGGTGTGAACTGTATTAATTCTCACTTCATTTAGTTTTGCCTCAGTGCTGTCAACACAGTTGGGTCTTGTGCAGTTGACTTGCTTAAAGGGAAAAGTTAGATTCCTTCCTTATAGGAGTTGACTCTGCTTAGCAGTTTTTAAAGTTTATGGCTTTTTGGGGGGTTTTTATTTAACAAACATTTATTTTGTAACTTAATTATCAAAAATAAGCTACCTTTCTGCCTTCAGAGAAGTCATAGTCTAAAAGAAGGGACAGGAAGGAAGACAAAGGTCAGAGCACATGTTCAAGTCAGTATAAAGCATGTGGTGGTAACCAGCAAGAGTAGGGTAGTCAGCTCTGCCTGTGGACAAGCCCGGGAAATCTCAAAGAAGATTCTGGACTCTGGAACATCACTCTATTTGTAGAATATTGAGAAAACTTCGTGGAATATTGGACTCCTCAGATACAGCTTATTTCATTGTACAAATGTACCCTGTCTGCAGATATTTTAACCAAGATTCTTAGCATTGTATTAAGGGCTAGAGTGTGTAGTGTTTGCAACTATTAATATTGAGTGCCTGTTAGATGCCAGGTACTTGGCCAGGCTCTTTATTTAAATATATTGACATTTTTACAACAACCTCAAAGTTAGGTAATATAGATCAATCTATTAAAATAATATGGCTGGGCTCGGTGGCTCACGCCTGTAATCCCATCACTTTGGGAGTCCGAGGTGGGTGGATCACCTGAGGTCAGGAGTTTGAGACCAGCCTGACCAACGTGGTGAAACCTCGCCTCTACTAAAAATACAAAATTAGCCAGGTGTGGTGGTGCACGCCTGTAATCCTAGCTACTCTGGAGGCTGAGGCAGGAGAATCGCTTAAAACCCAGGAGGCTGAGGTTGCAGTGAGCTGAGATTGTGCCACTACACTCTAGCCTGGGCCCCCAAGCAAGACTCTGTCTCAAAAAAAAAAAAATAATAATAATAATGATAATGATGTGTCCAACATGGTGAAACCACACCTCTACTAAAAATACAAAAATTAGCCAGGCATGGTGGCGGGCACCTGTAGTCCCAGCTACCTGGGAGGCTGAGGCAGGAGAATCACTTGAACCTGGGAGGTGGAGGTTGCAGTCAGCCAAGATTAAGCCACTGCACTTCAGTCTGGGTGACAGAGGGAGACTCTGTCTCCAAAAAATAAAAATAAAATAAATTTAAAAATAAAATAATACATGAGACTTCATTTTGCCAGTGAGGAAACTGAGGCTGAAGCTCAAAAGTTAAGTTACTTACTCTAAAGGTAACTCGGTTGATCAGTGCTGAAGCCAGAATTCAAACCTGGGCTTGACTACAAATCCTTGACTTTATTTCCCACCGGTCTGTTATTGGAAGAGGTAGTAGTAATCAGATTGAAAGTTTGCTGGCATTTGTGGAAACTACCTAAAGAAGGTAGAACCATGTTTACTGGGGGCAGGAGGGTGCACATGCTCCAGTTGAATATCTGTGTATACTTAAAATTGTAATCAAGTTGAGAGGGCAAAGCAGAGCTATTGCCCCTCGACCCTAAGTGACCTCTCTTTGAAGGATAGGGCCAAAGAAGACAAAGCCTTTACCACTGTTTGCTGCCCTCTTTTGCTTATAAAGGGGAAGGCATTATATAAGCTTGATTTTATTAGAGGAGACTATTAGGGTGAGGAAGAGGTAGGTATTAGCATTTAGGTTGAGCTCTGTCAGTCTGCGTCAGGGATTTTAACTTGATCGATTCAGAAAGGAGGCTGTGTGTTCAGACTTTGGAATGATGACAACTGAACACCTACAAGGAGCCAGGTGTTATTCCATTTAACCAAGTGTTACCCTTTGAGGGGATAGTACCGTCTCCTTTTTATTTTTTTTCTTTTTGAAAAAGCAAAAGAAACTGAGGTCCAGTGAGTTGCAGAACCAGGATGAGATCTCAGGTTTTTCTGGCTCAGATCCCAGAGCTGGATGCAGTAGGAGGGTGTTAAGACTGGTATCAGGCTTGGCGCAGTGGCTCACGCCTGTAATCCCAGCACTTTGGGAGGCCAAGGTGGGCGGATTGCCTGAGCTCAGGAGTTCAAGACCACCCTGGGCAATATGGTGAAACCCCATCTCTACTAAAATACAAAAAATTAGTTGGGCATGGTGGTGCACATCTGTAGTCCTAGCTATTTAGGAGGCTGAGGCATGAGAATTGCTTGAGCCCCAGAATTGGAGATTGCAGTGAGCCAAGTCATACCACTGCACTCCAAAGACTCTGTCTCAAAAAAAAAAAAAAAAAAAAAAAAAAAACCTAAAAAAACTAAACCCCTAACACCAGACAGCAGTGAGAGTGTGACTGATGTCACACAAAACCTCTGATCCTATTAGAGCCAGGCTAAAAGCAAACATACCCTTTTTAATTGAGAGAATCTTCATCTGTAAAGTTCGTGAAGAAAAAAATATCTTTAAAAAATCATGCTTTGATCAGGCTTGGTGGCTCACATCTGTAATCCCAGCACTTTGGGAGGTAGAGGTGGAAGGATTGTTTGAGCCCAAGAGTTCTAACTAGCCTGGATAATGTAGAGAGACCTCATCTCTACAAAAACAAAACAAAACAAAAAAGCCTAGCCACATGTGATGGTGTGTGCCTTTGGTCCCAGCTGCTTGGGAGGCTGAGGTAGGAGGATCTCTTAGGCCGGGTAGGTCAAGGCTGCAGTGAGCTGTGATTGCACCACCACACTCCAGCCTGAGTAATAGAGCGAGACCCTATCTCAAAAAAAAAAAAAAAAAAAAAAAATCATGCTTTGAATTGGACAGCTCATTTTTGTTTGTTTGTTTCAAGATGGAGTCTACCCCAGTCACCCAGGCTGGAGTGCAATGGCACGATCTCGGCTCACTGCAACCTCCTCCGCCTCCCGAGTTCAAACGATTCTCCTTCCTCAGCCTCCCGAGTAGCTGGGATTACAGGCGCCCGCCACCACGCCCAGCTAATTTTTGTATTTTTAGTAGAGACGGGGTTTCACCATGTTGGCCAGGCTGCCCTTAAACTCTTGACCTCATGGTCCACCTGCCTCAACCTCCCAAAGTGCTGAGATTACAGGCGTGAGCCACCACGCTTGGCGGAATTGGACAGCTCTTTAAGGAAATTGGTTACTTCCTCTTTTGTAACCCTTGTTAAGTTTATAATTACTTGTTCAGTGACATGTCTTCCCTGTTTACCAGGGTTTCTCAGCTCTGCATTATTGACATTTTAGGCTGGACAGTTTTTTGTTGTGGGGTCTGTCCCGTGTATTGGAGGAAGCCCTAGCTTTTGCCCACTAGATGCCAGGAGCACTCACCCCCACCCCAAGCTGTGACAATCACATTATGTCTCCATATGTCCCTGGGGGCCAAAATCATCCCCAGTTGGGAAACATTGTTATATACCATAGGGGTTAAAAAGTACAAGTTCTGGATCCAGAGCACCGAGTGCTACCCCAGGTCCTGCCAGTTACTAGCTCTGTGATCTTAGGCATGAACTGAACCTCTCTTGCCTCAGTTTCCTCAACAGTAAAATGGGGATGATTATAGTACCTCACTTATAGGGTTGTTTTGAGGAATGCAAGAGTTAACTCATGTAAAATATTTAAGACAATGCCTGACACAGAGTAAGCACTCAACAGATGTTACTTTTCTCAGTGCTCTCTAAGATGTAGGTGCATAGGAAGTGTTTAAGGTGGTATCTCTGGTGTTCTCCTGGCCCTATAAAGGTGGTACCCAAGATAATATGTGTTGAATGATACTCTGGGTGGCCCCTCAGATATCCTTGTGATATCCTTTGAGATGCCCTTTGTCGTTATTTTATCTTACCTGTCTGATTGCCAGGTCATCCAGAGCAAGAACTGTCTTTCCTTAGCTCTATATTATTTTGAGATGAAGTCTCACTTTGTTATGCCCAGGCTGGAGTGCAGTGGCGCAATCTCGGCTCATCGCAACCTCTGCCTCCTGGGTTCAAGCAATTCTCCTGAGTAGCTGGGATTATAGGCGCCCACCATCACGCCCGGCTAAATTTTTGTATTTTTTAGAGACGGGGTTTCACCATATTGGTCAGGCTGGTCTCGAACTCCTGACCTTAGGTGATCCACCCGCCTCGGCCTCCCAAAGTGCTGGGATTACAGGGGTGAGCCACCGCGCCCAGCCTGCTCTATATTATTTTGTATATTAGAACACTCAAACATTTGCTGATGAGATATTAGACATACTCAGAAGAGGTTATTTCACTTACGCTTGTGAAAGAAGCCAGGAGTCCTTTCCTGGGGATTTGTGACCAGTGTCTCTGAGCATCTCCCCAGTAAGCGGTTCGTCCTTGTTTTATAGGTACAGAGTCATGCCACTGATGGGGCTCCCCTCCTTGCTCTGGCTGCATGACCCCCTTTAGCAACACCGTAAGACTCCCTTGAGGATATTTGCAAACTAGACTTATTCCTGGCTTATTACCTGCTTTATGTTTATTTGTATGGTGTGCAGAATGGTGTAATAAACCCTGTGTATCCATCACCCAGCCCCAGCAACCATCAGCCCATGGCCACTCCTGCCCTGTTTGTATACCTGTCCACTTCTTCATTGCATATTAGTGTTTAGTGTTTAAATATACTTTTGTTTTGTTTTGTTTTGTTTTGAGACAGGGTCTCACTCTGTCACTCAGGCTGGAGTACAGTAGTGCAATCATGCCTTGACCTCCCAGGCTCAAGTGATCCTCCCACCTCAGCCTCCCAAGTAGCTAGGACTACAGGCATGGGCCACCATGCTCGGCTAATTTTTCAATTTTTTTGTTGAGACAAGGTGTTTCTATGTTGCACAGGCTGGTCATGAACTCCTGGGCTCAAGTGATCTTCCCTTCTTAGCCTCCCAAAGTGTTGAGATTACAGGTGTGAACCACCATGCCCAGCTTCTTTTTTTTTTCTTTGAGATGGAGTCTCCCTCTGTCACCCAGGCTGGAGTGCAGTGGTGCGATCTCGGCTCACTGCCACCATCCACATCCCGGGTTCAAGTGATTCTCCTGCCTCAGCCTCCTGAGTAGCTGGGATTACAGGCACACACCACCACACCTGGCTAATTTTTTAATTTTTAGTAGAGGCAGGGTTTTACCATGTTGGTCAGGCTTGTCTTGAACTCCTGACTTTGTGATCCACCCGCCTCAGCCTCCCAAAGTGCTGGGATTACAGGCGTGAGCCACTGCACCCAGCTCTTTTTTTTTTTTTTTTTTTTTTTTGACGGAGTTTTGCTCTTATTGTCCAGGCTAGAGTGCAGTGGCGCAATCTCAGCTCACTGCAACCTCCGCCTTCCGGTTTTGAGCAATTCTCCTGCCTCAGCCTCCCAAGTTGCTGGGATTACAGGCATCCGCCACCACGCCCAGCTAATTTTTTGTATTTTTAGTAGAGACGGGGTTTCATCATGTTGGTCAGGTTGGTCTTGAACTGCTGACCTCGTGATCCACCCGCCTCAGCCTCCCAAAGTACTGGGATTACAGGTGTGAGCCACCGTGCCCAGCAGCACTTCTTTTTTAATTTGTAGTTTTCTTCCTCCATTTCTTTTTCCCTTTTTTTCTTGCAATTTATATATTTAAAATATTGTTATGTTTGGAGTTTACCTATTGCTTCTCCATGACGTTGTTTAATATGTTCCTCTGTACTCTGAATTTCCTGTAAAATGGTAATTGAATTCAAAGGCTTACCCAATTTGGATTCGTTGGGGAGGGGGAGCAGCGTGACAGCATTACTTCATCTGAATTTCTTTTCTTTCTTTTTTTTTTTTTTTAAATAGAAAACCACAAAAATCATATGCATGGTTTAATATTATTATAAGGTGAACACCACTCAGGCAAAGGAACCAAAACTTTTCCAGCCACTCCAGAAATCCTTCCGTGTGCCCCATACTAATCTCTACACCTGTCTTTATAATAATCACTTCCTTTCATTTTTCCATGAATGCTTTTATCACCCCAGTGTATATCCCTGAACACTATAGTTTGATATTGCTCATTTGAAAAAAATTTCATGTCTTTTAAATATCTTAATCTGTGGCTTTTTCTTTCATTTCCTTACGATTTACTTATTGAATAATTGGGCTGTTTGACCTGGAAAATTTCCTTGGATTTTACTAATTACGTACTCTTGTTGGAGTTTAGCATGTTGTCCTGTCTTCTGTATTTCTTACAAATTAGCAGGAGTCTGATTCAAACTCAGGCTTGACTGAACATATAATAGTAGCTCATGCCTAAAATCCCAGCACTTTGGGAGGTGAGGCAGGAGGATCGCTTATACCCAGGAGTTCAAGACCTGCCTGGGCAGCATGGTAAGACCCTGTCTCTACCAAAAAAATAAATTAAAAACTAGCCGAGGCCAGGCGCGGTGGCTCAGGCCTGTAATCCCAGCACTTTGGGAGGCCGAGGCAGGTGGCTCACCTGAGGTCAAGAGTTTGAGACCAGCCTGACCAACATGGGGAAACCCTGTCTCACTAAAAATATAAAAATTAGCCAGGCATGGTGGCCCAGACCTGTAATCCCAGCTACTTGGGAGGCTGAGGCAGGAGAATGGCCTGAACCCAGGAGGCGGAGGTTGCAATGAGCCAAGATTGTGCCACTGCACTTCAGCCTGGGCAAAAGAGGGAGGCTGTGTCTCAAAAAAAAAAAAAAAAAAAAAAAAATTAGCCAGGTGGCCGAGGCAGGGTAATCGCTTGAGTCTGTGATGTCAAGGCCACAGTGAGCTGTGTTCATGCCACTGCACTCCAGCCTGGGTGACAGAGTGAGACTGTATCTCAGAAACAAACAAAAAAACTGAGGCTTGATCCTTTTAGCAAGATTATATAGGTAGTATTTGGCATGCCCATAGGAAACACATGATGTCTGGTTGTGTCTCTTTTTGTGATCTTAGCAGCTGTTCATTGGGAGTTGCAAAATGATGATACTCTAATTTTATCACTTTTTATTTATTAGATGGAATAGTTTTATAGAGACATTTCTCCTCATTTATTATTTACCAAATTCATATAGAAAAAGCAGGATAAATGCTTGACTCTTTTTCTTTATTTACTAATTTTCAAGATAACGAATTGGTTCCCTATCATCCTTTGAAGGTGACCATTTGAAAAATATAATTAATGGCCGGGCACAGTGGCTCATGCCTGTAATCCCAGCACTTTGGGAGGCTGAGGTGGGCGGATCATGAGGTCAGGAGATTGAGACCATCCTGGCTAACACGGTGAAACCCCGTCTCTACTAAAAAATAGAAAAAATTAGCTGGGCGTGGTGGTGGGCACCTATAGTCCCAGCTACTCGGGCAGCTGAGGCAGGAGAATGGTGTGAATCGGGAGGCAGAGCTTGCAGTGAGCTATCGCGCCACTGCATTTCAGCCTGGGCGACAGAGCGAGACTCTTATCTTAAAAAAAAAAAAAAAAAAAAATATATATATATATATATATATATATGTATGTATATATATATATATATATGATTAATTCAGCCAGGTGCAGTGACTCACGCCTGTAATCCCAGCATTTTGGGAGGCCGAGGCAGTTGGATCACCTGAGGTCAGGAGTTAAACACCAGCCTGGCCAACATAGCTAAACCCCATCCTCTACTAAAAATACAAAAAAAATAGCCGGGCGTGGTGGTGGGCACCTGTAATCCCAGCTACTTGGGAGGCTGGGGCAGGAGAATCACTTGAACCTGGGAAGTGGAGATTACAGTGAGCCGAGATCACCCCACTGCACTCCAGCCTGGGTGACAGAGAGACTCTGTCTCAAAAAAATATATACATATATACACAATATATAGTATATATATACACAATACATAATATATATACACAATATATTGTATATATTATATACACAATATATAGTATATATATACACAATACATAATATATATACACAATATATTGTATATATTATATACACAATATATTGTATATTATATATACAATATATTGTATATTATATACACTATATATTGTATATATTATACTATATATTTTATATATTTATATATTTATATTATACATATTATATATATACTATATATTATATACATATAAAATTCATGGAATTAAACATACTTAATGGCTTTCTTTTTTTTTTTTTTTGAGACAGAGTCTCACTCTGTCACCCAGGCTAGAGTGCAGTGGCGTGATCTTGGCTCACTGCAACCTCCGACTCCCGGGTTCAAGCGATTCTCCTGCCCCAGCCTCCCATGTAGCTGGGATTACAGGCACGTGCCACTACACCTGGCTAATTTTTTTGTATTTTTAGTAGAGACGGGATTTCGCCATGTTGGCCAGGCTGGTCTCGAACTCCTGACCTCAGGTGATCCAACTGCATTGGCCTCCCAAAGTGCTAGGATTATAGGCATAGGTGTGAACCACCGTGCCTGGCCCACTTAATGGCTTTTAATTCATTACAGTTATAATTATTGAAGCTCGTATTGTCTCACCTTTAACCAGCAGAAGGCTCTTCATGTCGGGGTATTTTTCCCTCTCTCCCTCCCTTCCTTCCTTGCTTTTATCTAACAGCTTTATTGAGATATAATTCACATAACATGAAATTCACCCATTTAAAATGTGTGATTCAAGGCCAAAGAAGGTAGATTACTTGAGCCTAGGGGTTCAAGTCCAGCCTGGACAACATGGCATGAAACCCCATCTTGATAAAAAAAAAAAATACAAAAATTAGCTAGGAGCGGTGGTGAGCACGTGTAGTCCCAGCTACTCAGGAGGCTGAGGCAGGAGAATTGCTTGAACCCAGGAGGCAGAGGTTGCAGTAAGCTGAGATCACACCACTGTACTTCATCCTGGGTGAAGACAGAACAAGACTGTGTCTCAAGAAAAAAAAATACTGTGCAATTCAGTGGTTTTTAGTATATTCACAGAGTTGTACAACAATCACCACAATCAATTTTAGAATGTTTTCATCACACCAAAATGAAAACCTCAGACTATTAGCAGTTACTCCGTATTCCCTCTACTTCCTGGCCCCTACCAACCACTAATCTGTTTTCCGTTTCTATGGATTTGACTGTTTGGTACATTTCACATAAATGGAATCATACAATATTTTTATGTCTTGTTTCTTTTACTTAGCATAATGTTTTCAAAGTTCACCAGTGTTGTAGCATCTGTCAGCACAGCATTCTTTTTTATGACTGAATAACATTCCACTCTGGATGTACCACATTTTGTTTCTCCATTCTTTAGGTTGTTTCCAGTTTTTGGCTATTATGAAATAAATAATGCTTCTTTGAACATTCATGTACAGCTGTTTATGTGAATATCTTTTCAATTCTCTTGGATATATTCCTAGGCGTGAAATTGCTGGGTCATATGGTAATCCCATATTTAACCCCATGCCAGACTCCCAAAACAATTGCACCCAAGATTTTGTTATTGTCCATCTTTTTGAATATAGCCATCCTAGTGAGTATGAAGTGGTAGCTCATTGTGGTTTTGATTTGCATTTCCCTAATGACTAATGATGTTAACATCTTTTCATCTGCTTATTGGCTATTGTATCTCTATTCACAACCTTTGCTCATTTTATAATTGAGCTATTTGTCTTCTTATTGAGTTATGAGTTCTTTACAGGCTGGGTATGGTGCCTATAAGCCCAGTACTTAGGGAGGCCAGGGCAGGAGGATTGCTTGAGCCCAGGAGCTCAAGACCTGCCTGGGCAATACAGGGAGACACTGTCTCTACAAAAAATTTAAAAATTAGCCCAGTGTGGTGGTGCATGTCTGTAGTCCTAGCTACTTGGAAGACTGAGATGGGAGGATTGCTTGAGTCCAGGAGGTGGAGGTTGCAGTGAACCGAGATCACGCCACTGCACTCCAGCTTTTATTTTATCTCAAAAAATAAAGTTCTTTATATATTCTGGATACAAGTCCCTTGTCAGATATAAATTACAAATATTTTCTCCCATTCTGTGGGTTGTCTTTTTACTTTCTTGATGGTATTCTTTGAAGCATGAAGGATTTTGATGAGTTCCTATTCCAACTTTTTTTTTTTTTTTTGCTTGTTATATTTAGAAAAGTTTGCCTAACCAAAGGTGATGGAGCTTAATGCCTATATTTTCTTCTAGGAGACTTAAACTTTTAGCTTTTACATTAGGTCTACTATCCGTTTTGAGTTAATTTTTGTTTTTTAATTTTTTTGTTTGGTGTGTATGTGTGTACATATATATATATATGTACATATATATATATACACATATAGAGAGAGAGAGAGAGAGAGAGTGAGAGAGAGAGAGACAGAGTCTCTCTCTGTCACCGAGGCTGGAGTGCAGTGGCACGATCGTGGCTCACTGCAACCTCCGCCTCCTGGCCTTAAGTGATCCTCCCACCTCAGCCTCTCAAAGTTCTGGGATTACAGGTGTGAGCCACCGTACCCAGCCTTGAATTTTTGTGTATGGCATGAGAAAGGAGTCCAACTTTATTCTTTTTCATGTGAATATTCAGTTGTTCTAGCGCCATTTGTTGAAAAGATACTCTTTCCCCATTGAATTGTCTTGGCATCTTTGTTGAAATCAGTTGATTGTAACTGTGAAGGTTAATTTCCGGACTCAGTTCTATTCCATTGAGTTGTATGTCCATCCTTATGCCATTACTGTCTTGATTCCTATAGTTTTGTAGTACTTTTTGAGATGGAAAAGTGTGAGTCTCCAACTTTGTTGTTTTTCAAGTTGGTTTTGACTATTTTGGGTCTCTTGCATTTCCATATGAATTTTAGGATCAGATTGTCAATTTCTGCAAAGAAGCCTACTGAGATTTTAATACCCCCATGTTGGCAAGAGTGTGGAGTTGAGTCAGTACATCAATTTGGGGAGGGAATATTGGCATGTCAACAATATTATGTCTTCTGATCCATGGACATAGGCTGTCTTTCTGCTTATTTAGGTCTTTTTAAAAACTCTTTGAACAATGTTTTATATTTTTTCTTTTGTTCGTTTTCCTTCCTTCCTTCCTTCCTTCCTTCCTTCCTTCCTTCCTTCCTTCCTTCCTTCTCTTTCTTTCTGTCTTTTTTTTTTTTTTTGTCCCACTGTCACCCAGTCTGGAGTGCAGTGGTGCCTGGCTCACTAACTACAACCTCCACCTCCCTGGCCCAGTGTGTCCTGCACTTCAGCCTCCTGTGTAGCTGGGACTATAGGCACACACAACCATGCCCAGCTGATCTTTATATTTTTAGTAGAGATGGGGTCTCACCGCATTGCCCAGGCTGGTTTCTAACCCTTTGGCTCAAGCCATCCACCTTGCCTCAGCCTCCCAAAGTGCTGGGATTATAGGTATGAGCCACTGTGCCTGGCCCATATTTTTTCATAATATAAGTTTTGTATTTCTTTTGTTAAATTTATTTTTTAGTATTTGTTTTTGATCCTATTGTAAATTGTTTTCTTAATTTTAATTATTTTTGGATTGTTTATAGCTAGAGTATAGAAATTTAATTGCTTTTTGCACATTCATGTTATATCCTGTAAACTTGCATAACTCATTTATTAGTTCTATTATGTATTTCTTTTTAAATTGTGAAATAACATGTATGTGGTAAAAAGGTCAAATAGTGCGCAAGGGAATATAAGGAAAAGTGAATCTTCTGCCCTCTCACCCCTGCTCCCACTAAGCTAAACTATTGTTTAGTTTTTCTTAAGCTGTTTCAAGCTGAAGAAAGGAGTGGGATATTAAAAAACAGTGCTTCACTGTTAGCTGAATATCTTTTTTTTAGACAGGGTCTTACCCTATCACTCAGGCTGGAGTGCAGTGGTACAATCATAGCTCACTGCAGCCTCAGCCTTCTGGGCTTAAGCAGTCCTCCCACTTAAGCCTCCTGAGTAGCTGGGACCACTGTTGTGCACCACAATGCCTGGCTAATTTTTTTAATTTTAATTTTTGTAGAGGTAAGGTCTCCCTCCCTATGTTGCCCAGGCCAATCTTGAACTCCTGGGCTCAAGCAGTCCTCCCACCTCAGCCTCCCAAGGTGCTGGGATTACAGGCGTGAGCCACCGCACTGGGCCTTCTTTTACTTTTGACCTTGTGCTTGTTTTTTTCTTCTTGGAGGATTACATATAAGTCAACTAGACTCCCTAGTTTATTCTCTTTTTACTTACACTGTTAAGAAAATGAGATCTGGAATGTGAAACAGATGTGATTCCTTATCTGATTCTGTCTTCAGGGGTCAGAAAAACCTTTGGTGTGGCAGAAAGACATGGGTATTTGGGTGTTTATACCTGGAAGAGATTTCTTACCCCTAACATGGTCTTTGTTGGGAGAAACGAAAAATAGTGCATGGCTAGAAACTAGGTTTGTGCCCAGGACCTCTGGCATGAGGACTGGAAGAAAGTTACTGACGATTAATGTTCGACTTCACCCTTACTCTTTTAGTCCCAGTTGGGTCTTATCCTGGATTCTTCACATTTTTAACTGCTTCTGTTAGCATGCTCTAAATGTGAGAGTTCTAATTGTTTGTTGGCGTTTGTGGGCAAACAGTAAATGGTCAGATTAATACCAGGGAATATCAGAAAATTAACAGGTTTCAAATTGCTATTTGTAAACCTAAAGGCTAAAAGTAATACAATTAAATAGGCAAGTATATGTGGTCATTAAAATTCAAGTAGGCAAACAATCAGATAATTGTATGTTGCATATTATCCTGATCTCTTTAAGCACAGTGTTATCTTTGGGAATAAATTATTAGATGTATAAATTACTTTTATCTCTGAAACATCATGTTGAGTTTACCAGTATTACAGCCAATCCCCCAAAGCTTTCTGTTTGCCACAGTTTAATTTACTAAAGAATATATAAATACCAGTGAGGGACAGGACAAATTCAAAGAGGCATTTGAACCCAAAATTATTTCTTAAAACCACTTGAGTTAAATATATTCAGGTGAGAAATTCACGTGTGAGTTCTTTTTCTTTTCTTTTAATGGAGAGGACCAGCCATGTGGGTAGAGGAGAGAAGTAGGGCTTCAAAATACAAGACTTAGTTTTGAAGGGGTGGGAGTGCCAGGGAGGGGACTAGGAGAGGCTGGTCATGAACCAGAGTGCTGTGACTGTCCTGGACAACCTCCCTGTTAGATGGGCAGAGGTGCAGGCACTCTAGAGACCCTCCTGGAGAACCCTGCTGAGAGGTTCCTCGGCTATGGCAGAGCTACCGATAATTCTTCCTTAGGGCAGGTGTTCAAGGCAGGCCGGCTTTAGTGGCTCCATGCCACAGCAAGTTCTCTAAGCTCAGTGGGCCTCAGTTTCTTTATATGTGAAATGGGGATGGTGGTGTTTGCCTCAAAGTATAGTTTTAAAGACTAAATAAGTTATCATTATTATTTTTGTTTTTTTTTTAGAGACAGGGTCATACTTTGTCACCTAGGCTGGAGTGCAGCGGCACAATCTTGGCTCACTGTAGCCTCGAGTTCCTGGCCTCAAGTGATCTTATCTCCTTGGTCTCCCAAAGTACTAGGATTATAGGCGTGTGCCACTGCACCCAGCCTGAGTTAAATGTTTTTAAGATGAGCTTAACTTGTTCAGTAACAATAAAATAATGTATTTTGATTTTTTTTTTCCCCTGGAAAGTATGTTGTCAGTGATCATGGAAAGGCCTTGGGATGCGGTGTACATGCTTTCATTTGTTTTGTTTTCATGCCTTCAAATAAAATTTTAAAACTATCTGGGCCGGGCATGGTGGCTCATGCCTATAATCCCAGCACTTTGGGAGGCTGAGGCAGGTGGATCACCTGAGGTCAGGAGTTCGAAACTAGACTAGCCAACATGGTGAAACCCCGTCTCTACTAAAAATACAAATATTAGCTGGGTGTGGTGGCGGGCGCCTGTAATCCCAGCTACTCGAGAGGCTAAGGCAGGAGAATCGCTTGAACCTAGGAGTTGGAGCTTGCAGTGAGTCAAAATCGCGCCACTGCACTCCAGCCTGGGTGACAAGAGCAAGACTCTGTCTTAAAAAAACAAACAAACACTTTGGGAGGCTGAGGTGGGCGGATCACAAGGTCAGGAGATCAAGACCATCCTGGTTAACACAGTGAAACCCCGTCCCTACTGAAAATACAAAAAATTAGCCCGGCGTGGTGGTGGGTGCCTGTAATCCCAGCTACTCGGGAGGCTGAGGCAGGAGAATGGCATGAACCCGGGAGGCAGAGCTTGTAGTGAGCCGAGATCGCGCCACTGCACCCCAGCCTGGGCGACAGAGCAAGACTCCGCCTCAAAAAACAAACAAACAAACAAAAAAACTATTTGAACTTAAACCCCAATAATAGTAGATATTTTATTTTCCAATCAGTTGTGTCTATAGAATGTCTTTTGATATGACAATGGCTGAGAATTCTTTGACAGGTTTTGCAACTCAGATTTTCTCAAAGAATCTTGTTTACCTTCCATAGCCCCTTTGTTTATTGAAAGCAAAATATTCTTAGTTCCCTTGAATCCCAGTGTTCCTGCCATTCTGGATGTCTCCATGCTGTGGCGTGGGGCCCTTTTTGGGGTGGGATTCCCCAGCACAGAGCCTGCTAATACATAAGGGTGTGGTACTCCCATTGAGTCTATTTGGCATCAATCAGCAGGCGGGTTTGCACTGAGCGGTACTAATCCTAGCTTGCCCAAGCGATTGTAGTTGTTCTTTTAAAAGCATCATCTTTTTTTGGTCTCCTGGCCTAAAATTTCAGAAGCAGGAACTGGGGGTTATGGGGGTTGGGTATAAAAGGTAGCTAAACCTGATTATCCTGGCTTGAAATAATGGCAGGAATAATAGGCTTGTTAACTTTGATCCTAGCTGTTACCTTCTACTTACCAGCCTCCCTGCTGAACCAGCCTCTCTGCTGAACCAGCCTCTGCTGAACCAATTGGAATTTGGTGGGGACTCCTCTGAACGGCTTTTCTGGGTCCTCACCTTCAGGATACTGCTAGATGTGCCCAACAAGTATCTCCCATTCCCAGCAGGGATACTTTTGATTCTTGGCCTTCCCGAGAGCCTCAGGCCTGGGATTGGCCACTTGGGTCCAAGCAGTGTCTCTAGTTTGGCATAATTGGGCTACTCCGAGGAGCAGGACTCTCAGCTGTTATGAGTGATGCTAGGAGCCAGGCACAGTGGCTCACGCCTGTAATCCTAGCACTTTGGGAGGCTGAGGCGAGTGGATTGCTTGAGCCCAGGAGTTCGAGACTAGCCTGGGCAACATGGGGAAACCCCGTCTCTACTAAAAATACAAAAATTATCTGGGTACGATGGCATGCATCTGTGGTCCCAGCTACTCAGGAGGCTGAGGCGGGAGGATTGCTTGAGTCTGGGAGGTCAAGGCTGCAGTGAGCTGAGACTGGGCCACTGCACTCCAGCCTGGGTGACAGAACGAGACCCTGTCTCAAAAAACAAAACAAAAGACACACAAAAAAGTGATGCTAGGGAGGCCTTTGGCAGAGAATGGATTTCCTTAATTGTGAATGTGGTGGTGGTGCTTCTGGAAATGGAAATCAACAGCACTTTGTGGAGGGGCTTTTGCACAGAATACATATATGAACCATAAAGAAGTCCCATTTCCCCTCCCTAGGTTCTCTTCATACAAGAAATGGTAGTTAGCTCCATTGTTTCCTCTGAATACTTTCCTTTGTTTTCTTTCTTGAAGGACTGCCACCAACTCCTGTCCAGCTGCTCTATCCAGTGTCCCGATTCAGCAATGTCAAATCCCTCCAGCACCTTTGCAGATTCCGGATACGACAGCTCGTCAGGATAGATCACATCCCAGATCTCCCACTGCCTAAGTACAATGGGGTTGTCAGGTTTGGGACAGGAATGAGTAAGGGGGTTGTGGGGAGGTAACAATGTCAGTGAGGCCTGCAAGCTACCTTCACAGGCAGAGTCTGGCATAAAATATTTGCAGATGTCATTCTTACACATTTCCTGTGTCTTAGCACCTAACTCTAGAACTGTCATATTGCAGCCAGAGGGAGGAAGGTGTGTGTGTCAGCCTTCCTTCTGCAGTCTCTAGGAAGAATAGAGTAGAAGTGGTAAGAGTAAGGAAGACAGAACTATAATAACTGAGAAAATGGGGATTGTGTTAGGTCTCAACCATGTAGGGAGTGAAGAAGAGTTGAACAAAGGAGTTACTTCTTTTATATTTTGTATAAAAACCTTTTGTGTATATCCGTCATTTGTTTTTCACAGACCTCTGATCTCTTATATCCGAAAGTTCTACTACTATGATCCTCAGGAAGAGGTATACCTGTCTCTAAAGGAAGCGCAGCTCATTTCCAAACAGAAGCAAGAGGTGGAACCCTCCACGTAGCGAGGGGCTCCCTGCTGGTCACCACCAAGGGTATGAGCTCTCTGCCTCACTGCCCAGCCACATTTCTTCCTGGGCAGTCATCATCATGCATTGAGCCTTGGGCCCCCTCCCCACAACTCCCAACATGGATAGCCCCGATCCAGGCATTTGCCCATAGAATGACAAGATCTGACCGTGGAGTCCTCAAGGGGCACACACCCCATTTGGGAGAAAAGCAGACAGACGAGAAAGACAAGAAAGTAGATTGCCAGGAAACGTGCAAGCTAATCACTGAATGTGAGCAAGGAGGGGGACACCCAAGTGTAGCTAAGAGTGCGGCCTCTGGCAAGGAGAGGGTAATTGAAAAAAATAAGAAGAAGAGTGCAGCCTCCTCTCATACAGACTTGGGCTGATCTCCCTGATACTGCACAAATGGCATATAAAGCAGGAAGCTAAAGGGAAAGGAAACTTCATCAAAGAGAATGCAAACATGCCTTTAATTGCAACAGGCATGCACTTCAGTGAGACTCCACCATGTCCCACAGCTTGGAATATGGGGATGAGGAAAAACAGCCCACTCTTCTATTTAGCGTTCCATTTGGGCCATTACAAAGTAAATTGTTGAAACTAAGGAATTCATTTATCTACGAGGCTCTTCTCCCATCATTACACAGTTCTACCCATTTATTTTCCCATAAAACATCTTGCAATACTGGTTTGTGCAGATGAATTCCAATTAGTCTTTTAAATTGCACTAAAGTGAACATTGTGGGGCCAAGTTCCTGAGTAGGGAACACAATTGCCAGGGAGCCATGACTTTGGTGGTGGTGGTGACAAGCAAGATTGACTGCCAGTGTGCAGTGACTGCTTTCTTCTGGTGTGGATCCTGGAGTAGATGTACAGTCTCATCATGTCTTCAATTATATGCAAATTGTATGCCTTTGGAAATGACTAAATATCTAATGTCTTGTGTCTAGGTGGATTTCTCTGCATGATGGCTTTGCAGTTGAGATTAGGGTGAGAGGTAGAGCACTAGGGAGGTCCACCTACCTGACTACCCTTGAAGAGTAATTAGGCCATTCAGTTAGAGGACCACGTCTGTGGGTGCAGTGCTGTAGAAGAACCCATATAAACAGGGAGCATGTTCAGAGAAAGGCCTTGTGGCATTGGAGAGCTCAAACTTCATCATATGGGAATAAATGGCCTAGAAAGAAATGTGATTAACCCAGAGCACGGAGGTTTTAGGGAGGGATAGCTGAAAGATGCATTTGATGGGTTTTCCTAAGGAAGAGAGTGATTAACCTCCTCTCTGTGGTTCCAGTGGGGAGCAAGTTCAGCATTACGCTTATTCTTTGCCACAGGCAACAATCCTGATGTCACAGCAAAAAGAGATCCTGAGAGTTCAGTTCAAACCTTTGCCAGTGCATGACTGCTCCCAACACTCAAGACAAGTGGCTCCCTGCCGGCCTGTTCCTGATCATGCCACACCTTTCCCAGTTGAGGCAGGGCCTTTATACCTCTAGGTCCCCTTGCCCAGAATGCTCTGCCCCAAGGCCCTCCCATGTCACAGCAAAAAGAGACATGGATAAGGACCAAAATGAATGTAAGTTACAAGGAACTAGATTTCAGTCCAACTTTACAAGAACCTTTTTAACAGAGAGGTCCAAAACTGGGATGGTTTTCCTCAAGAGCTTCCATTCAGCAGATAGCTGTATATTTGTGTTTATTTGGCACCCAGTATGAATTGAGAATAGAGTGCTGAGCAAAGCAAAGGCCCTGTTTTCACTCAGCTTCCCTTCTCCTAAGGAAAGACAGGCAGCAAACATGAACATAAATGAATGGGCTAATTTCAGGTGACTGTACAGTGTTGTGAGGAAAGTAAAACTGGGTAAAGTTTAGTGATTAGTGGTGGGATACTCCTCAAGTTTAGATGGTCAGGGAGAGACTTGTGAGGAGGTGCCATTTCAGCCGATACCCAAATATCAAGGAGCCAGCCATGGGAGTGCCTTGGAGCAGAGCATTCTGGGCAAGGGGACCTAGAGGTATAAAGGCCCTGCCTCAGCTGGGAAGGACGTGGCATGATCAGGAACAGGCCAGTGGGTAGCCATTTGTCTTGAGTGTTGGGGGCAGTCATATATTGGCGAAGGTTTGAACTGAACTCCCAGGATCCCTTTTTGCTGTGACATCAGTATTGATGCCTGTGACAAAGAGTAAGCGTAATGCTGAACTTGCTCCTGGTGTAGACCCTAGGAGCCCTGGAAAGGGAGGAAGTAACACTTCCCAAGGGAAAGGTCTTTTTTTTTTTTTTTTTTGAGATGGAGTTTCGCTCTTGTTGCCCGGGCTGGAGTGCAATGGCGTGATCTTGGCTCACTGCAACCTCCATCTCCCGGGTTCAAGCAATTCTCCCACCTCAGCCTCCCAGTGGGAGGCTGGGATTACAGGTGTGCACCACCACGCCTGGCTAATTTTGTATTTTTAGTAGACTGGGTTTCACCACGTTTGTCAGTTGGGTCTCAAACTCCTGACCTCACTCAAGTGATCCACCCACCTTGGCCTCCCAAAGTTCTGGGATTACAGGCATGAGCCACTGTGCCCCATTGGGAAAGGTCTTTAGGGTATGAAATTTGGCCTTTATGACTTCTTGTTGTTCAGGCTGATTTTAATTTGGGAGTTCTGAATGGCCTGCTTGGTCTATGTGTGCTGTTACCTGGGGAATTTCATGCCAGGGGGTTTGGAGTCAGACTATAGAGTAATGGCTAGAACAGTGCCTGTCTCAAGTCGGAAGGTGGAAGCAACAGTGGCCTTTGTGTTTCTGTGTCAACCCTGTCCAGTTGACAGAAGCTGCAGAAATACAGAGCTCTCTGGCCAGGTGTGATGGTTCACGTCTGTAATCCCAGCAGTTTGGGAGGCCAAGGCGGGCTCATCACGAGGTCAGGAGTTTGAGACCAGCCTGGCCAACATGGTGAAACCCTGTCTCTACTAAAAATACAAAATTAGCCAGGCATGGTGGCGCATGCCTGTAATCCCAGCTACTTGGGAGGCTGAGACAGGAGAATCTTGAACCCAGGAAGTGGAGATTGCAGTGAGCCAAGATCATGCCTTTGCACTCCAGCCTGGGTGACAGAGCGAGACTCCGTCTCAAAAAAAAAAAAAAAAAAGAAAGAAAGAAATATAGAGCTCTTTCTTGCCAGGTTCAAAAGGGGTTACTCCAGGGGCTTACTTCCCTTTTCAGTCCCTAGAGCAATTGAGCCTCAGGGAAAAAATGGGTAGGAAATGAAGGGGTAAGGGAAAGGGAAAGAGAGAATTTATGCAATGTGGTAGGATGTATTTATTAGTTATTTCAGGACCTTGTTTTGTCATCCAAGTCATAGGCTGCTCAGGTCCCCCTGACAAAGGCCACTGCTGCATCCCTAGTCACATGTGGCCCTCATGGAAGCGTTCAGCTCTCCAGGCTCCGTTCTCCTTTTGAGGTGTGCTGCTCCACCTCCAGTGGCTGGCTGTTATTTCACTCCATTTTGGTTCTATTCTGTTGAACTGTTTTAATTTTTTTTCCTTTTCTACCTAGGCATTTGGTTGCCAAGCTCCAGCTTTGAAGAACCAAATTAAGCTACCATGAAAAGAAGAGGAAAAGTGAGGGAACAGGAAGGTTGGGATTCTCTGTGCAGAGACTTTGGTTCCCCACGCAGCCCTGGGGCTTGGAAGAAGCACATGACCGTACTCTGCGTGGGGCTCCACCTCACACCCACCCCTGGGCATCTTAGGACTGGAGGGGCTCCTTGGAAAACTGGAAGAAGTCTCAACACTGTTTCTTTTTCAGAAGTTTTGTTTTTGATATTTATATTACTTGGTATGGAAAACTCACCTTGAAGGCAGTTGGGGTTTGTGCCCGTTGGATTGAAAGTGGTGCGAAGGGTGAGCAGGTCCAAAGAAGGGGTGGGAGGAGGGAACAGGGGACGGCCATTCAGCTGGTGCCAAAGGCAGAGTTAGAGTCTGTGCTGTGGGCCTGGAAGATGGGAGGAGGGGCTTGAGGTTTGCAAAGGACTGGGAGTTCCTGAGGAAGGGGGAATCTGCCTCTTGTTGCCATGGGCAGCTGTTGTAGGAGCAGGAGAGAAAGGAGGGTGGGTGGTCTCGAAAAGAATATTGGGCAAAACCTAGCCAATTGGCCTTAGCTGGGAGAAGTAGTGACTCCTGCATCCTTTTTTAAGGTTTAGGAACCTGAGTTCAGAAACACCTCTCATGGAAGCTGTACTAGTTGTGATTTACTTAATTCCTTAAGTTCCATGACCTGAAGTTAACCCCGTTCTTCCTCTGCTCTCAACCCATTGCCCCTTGAGATAACTGTACATGTCACTCTGATCATGGTAACAGCATCCCTATTGCTTCTGCCAGCTGTCATGGCAATCGTGTTTCCCATCACCTGGGCGGTTCAGAGCCAGTCATGGGCTGCTGAATTTAATGGAGCATGTTTCCAGGTTCTTCATGGCAAACTGTACTCATGACTTAGGAGTGAGTGTTACTTCCATGTGCCTGTCAGCTTGTGAGGGGGAATGTGGAGGAAGGTGAGAAATACAGCTCCCACAGTTGTGCTCTTCCTAGAGGAAGCTCTCAGAACGCAGCCCTCACGGGATTTCCTTAGGTCAGAGGAGAGCATCGCATCTCACGTTTTTAGGTTTATCACTGCCATCCCACTTCTGGGATGGGAGGTAGCAAGGGCTTCTGTATTTTCTTGTGTTCATTCTAGCAACCCAGACATTTCCGGATCAGATCCTGCTGGTCTCCACTCACTGGAAAGTCTGCCAGATGCCGATTTGAGAGCTGCCTGTCCCTGCTTTCAGGAGGAGCGGGGAGAAAAACTCCAATGGTCTTTAATGGTTTCTGCAGCTGGCCATGGCCAATTCATATGACATTGTGAGTTTGCTTTCTTATAGAGCTGCTCTGGGGAGAGGTTTGCTATTGAGATGTAACAGTGGAGCTGTTGGGTCTTCATGACTCCTTTGCGTGTGTTCCATGGGACTCTCTTTCTGGGTTCCCCATGCTTATAGTTGCCTCGTGTCACAAGACAGATACTAATGTCAGGTTTGTGGCTTCCTGATGGTTTGGGTGGGGCCCCAGTGTCCTGGTAATTTATAGGACTGCCTCATCTGGGAGCATTGCCTTCTTCCTTAGTCCCACGTGGAGTGACCAGTCTTCCTCCTTGTAGCTGAACAGGGAGGAAACTTGCACCATTACCTGACTGTGGAAGGGTGGCCCACAAGATGAGCTGTGCACCATAAACACAGCCCACCTCTGATTTGTCATGTGGTACCTCTTCTTTCCTTGGCTTCCATGGTAGTATTATCAACTAAGCAAGATTGTGATCCCAGAAATTGGCTTAGCATGTGAGTGTTGCCTCGTGAGAGTACAAGTAATATAACTCGCCATCTTGCAGGAAGTGCCACCCCAATATAGAGCCTGAAGTTGGAATCTGTTGAGATCCTTGGGTGGCTGATATACAGCCTGGGATCTTTCTTTTTTTTGTTCCTTTTCAACCACCCATAATTTTAATATTATTTTTTAGTGTGTGTGTGCCTGGCTTTGCGCTAGATATTGTAGAAAACAAAAAAGGTAAAAGACGTAATATGTGGCCTAAGGGAGCTTTTAGGTGACTGCTGCACATCAAGCAGAAAATCAAGGACTATCTAAAGACGTTTATAGTAGATAAGATCAGGGTAGACCAGATGGTCTGGGAAAGTTCTGTGCCTCTGAGGCTTTGGGTTGTAGTCAATGGCAGGACAGACAGTGAGATGAAAAACACATGAGCAAAAGCAAGGAAGCAGAAATCTGCATGGCATGTACTGAACAGTGCACAGCCCTGTTAGAGCAACATGGTTAAAGAATCCTTTCCAGTGCGGTTTTCTAGATGGAAGCTTCCCAGCCACCAGGCAGACCTGAGTGCCAAGGGGTTATGATGGTGAGGTGGAGCCCAAAGCCCAAAGGAGTCAGCAAGGCTCCTGCCCATTGCCAGGGCCTCACTATGGTCAGCTCAGGCCATGTGAGGGAGGCAGAGCCTCTGCACCCCCTGTGTTACTGGGGTTTCTTCTGGAGAACTCATACATTCAGGTACAAAACAAACCAACTGAGGAGGTGTGACCCAACCTCACCACCCACCTTTCTCCTCCTGGGGAGTGTCGTGTTGAACTGTGTCTGTGTCAGTGCACTGGTCCCAGCCCTGGCCGCAGCCTAGTCCTTTCTCTGTGGAGTGGGCTGCAAAACAGCAGCGCAAGAGGAGACAGTCTTCGTCAGGTGTGGGTGTTTGGTGCCTGCATGGGTGGCCTTGCACAGAGCAGTTAGGGGAAGATGAGGGGGAGGCATGGGGCTGGGCCAGCTCTCTGGGATACAGCCTGGTCAGAGAGTAAATGGAGCAGAGGAGCAGGTGTGGCAGCACCTGCCCTTCACCTCCCTGACCAGGCCCGTCCCTCCTTCGCCAGTGCTGTGCAGAGCTCATTTAAATGTATTCCTTTCTAGGTCTGGGCGCGGTGGCTCACGCCTGTAATCCCAGCACTTTGGGAGGCTGAGGTGGGTGGATCATGAGGTCGGGAGTTCAAGACCAGCTTGGCCAAACAGTGAAACCCTATCTCTACTAAAATACAAAAATTAGCTGGGCATGGTGGCATGCGCCTGTAGTCCCAGCTACTTGGGAGGCTGAGACAGGAGAATTGCTTGAACCCAGGAGGCGGAGGTTGCACTGAGCCGAGATTGCGCCACTGCCCTCTAGCCTAGACGACAGAGTGAGACTCCATCTCAAAAAAAATAAATAATTTCTTTCTGGTTGTATTTTCAAGTCACAAATTGGAAAAGGCTTACATCTAGGGACCCACTGTTGATTCCTAAGTTGTGGGTGGGTGATATCAGTGGCCTCAGTGCCTGCATAACCCTCACCTGTTTATGACTGATCTACTGTAACCTTCCTCAGGTTGAGAGTGAGCTGCTGTGAGCCAGTGACAACTACTGCTACAACTTGCTGTTACTTGAAATTCGTGTGCTATGTTGGTAGCACAGGAGTAGGCGGGCGGGGGTTTTGGTGTGGGCACTAGGTAAGTGGGTGGCAACCGGCTCTTTGGGACCATTGGTGCTGACCTTTGCCTGGTCACCTGCCTGTGCCTAGGCCAAGTGAATGTTACATCTTGGAACCTGAGCCATGGAGGTGGCGCCACCTCCCTGAGGAGAAAGGTGTGGCCAAAGGAAACTCCTGCATGGCTCCTGCTCCTTCCCCTTCCCTACATTTCACTTGGGCTAATGATGTAAGCCCCCCTTGAGGTTGGGGATGGTGTGGAGATAGCTGCAGACACCCCTGTAACAGACATCCAGGAAGAATTAGGGAGTGGGGGTAATTATAGTTCCTAGGTCTAGGGGTGAGAGGTGGGAGTAGAACCAGAAGTGCCCTGGAATCCAGCCGTGTCAGCCCTCACCCCAGGGCCCCCAGGAAAGCATGGCCTGCTTGAAGCCCTCTGCTCCCTGCAGAAACTGGGGCGAGGAGGAGCTTTTTCCTTCAGTTAGATCTTTCCCTTCCCTGCTGC
This sequence comes from Homo sapiens, assembly GCF_000001405.40. Lineage (NCBI taxonomy): Eukaryota > Metazoa > Chordata > Mammalia > Primates > Hominidae > Homo > Homo sapiens. Next base: position 38,403,504 of record NC_000017.11, read on the forward strand.
CTCGCTCCCTTAGCTTTGGAGCCCTAAAGTTAGTGGACAAGACACTGGGATAAAGCTCTATGGCTGCTGGAAGGAGGTCTGAGTCTGTGTGTGTGCATATGCATGCATGTGTGTGTGTGTGTGTGTCCTCATTTGCAGAAGTCTTGCTACCAGTTAGGGTGTTAAGAGCATCTCCACTGGGCGGAGACCTGGCATTTGTTTTCCACTGTTAAGAGAATGACACACCCCCTGTCATGTAAGGGAGGAGCTATTGAGTTAGACATTTTCCCTATGGGAATCCTCGGTTTGGTTTGTGGGAAAGGAGGGAATGGATAAGTGATTTTTATCTCTAATCGTCAACACAGCTGTTCTTCCACTGAATTTGTGCTATTGCATACATGTAGCCATCTTTCTTTTCACTGCAGCAGTGTTTATCAGTAGTTCAAAATGATTTATTTGCTCCTGGGGAGTAAAACCTTTTTTATTAAAAAAAGAAAAAGAAAAAAAAAAGAAAGAAAAGTGTGCCCCCCTCCTATGCTGCGATAGCTATAAAATGATTGGGTCACAAAGGTCAAGTCTGCACGTCCCTGTGGTAGACCCTGCTTTCACATTGGAGCCTTCACACTCAGCACAAAATGATTGGAGGCCTTGATAAAATGGAGAGCAAAGTCTTGGGAGCAGTGAAATGGGGGTTGGATCATAGAGACAGGCGCTGGGGACTCGGGTACTGCAGTTAGGAAAGTAGCGTTATGAGTTGTACTGAAAATGTTGATTCTCTAATCTGCCAGAAAAGGACCTGTCTTTTCATGCAGATTTCATATTGTCTTTGTCCTTTTCATTGCTTCTTGACCTTCCTGGCAGGTGTCGCTCAGTTTCTTCCTGTTTCCCTTCCTGTCCTCTCCACACCTGCTATCCCGTCCCACTCCCATCTACCTCCCGGGAAGCCAGCCCTGCATGCTGAGTTTGTGACCTGCTTCATTCCCATTTCATTTCTAGAGGGTTTAGAGGTGACCTGGAACCGTTCCCTTTCCCTCTCCTACCCCCTCCTCTGCAACACCAAGAGGCCTGGAGGGGCAGACAGAAAGCAGCCAGCCACGGCGGGAAGACATGCATGTTTGGTTGCAGCTGGACTGCGATCGTAGTTCCTCCTGGAGATAGAGTGTGAGGAACTTAGGACACTCTTCCTCAGACTCTGGGATCATCACATACCACACTGCCCCGCTCAGAGTTTCGTCCTGAGCTCCCTAACCAGCTCAGGTGGAGCAGAAGCCTGCTCTCACTCCTCCATCTCTGGTGCTCCCTTGGGCGGGGACCTGTCCCTCACTCTTAGGCCCAGAACCTGTCCAAGGGACAGGTAGGGTCCAGGTGCCACTTTGGGTAGCTGGCTGTTGGAATGCCCACACTGGTGCTGCCTGTGGCATAGCCACTGCTGTACGTTTTTGGTTGTTTTTAAGAAACTCGATGAAGAGGGGTGTCATTCTGGGCTCGGGGTGGTTGCCAATTTTTCACCAGAAAGGGAGCCACCCCTTGCAACCACTTCTGTCTCCGTTAGCCCCCCCTCTGCCCTCCTCCAAGCCAAAGCGTGGCCTGGCTTTTGTCTTCCCATTTAGTTTTCCTCTTTTACCCTTCCTTTTGTGCTTAATTTATTAAAATAGTTGCTGTATAATTTATTTTCATAAACTATAAAAAAATACTAAATGGTTAAAATAGACTTGCAGGCCAATCTTAAATGGGGTGGGAGGGGTCTGAGGGTGGGATGGGGAAAGGGAAAGAGGTTTTGATATAAACAAAACAAATGCACTTTGGGTGTGTTTTGGTATTTTTCTGGGGATAGAGGGGGTGGGGTTAGGGATGTCCCTGTAGATTAGTTCCAGAATGGGGTGTCTGTATATACTGTATTAATAGGCATGTTTGACTCTCGTAAAGGGACGTTAGTAGCTGCTGCAGGTCCTGTTTGGAAACCCCATGTACAATTCCCAGTTTTTTGTAAGTGTCAGTGCGAGAGACATTTGACTCTTGTGTTTGTATCTCCTTTTTATGATTGCTGTACCTACCCATGTCTTTTTGGGGAGGGGTGAAAAGAGATTTGAAATAAAAATGTTTAGAAATTATTTCATGTTCTTTGGTTTGGTGTTTTTCACTCCCTCTCCCATCTCATGTGACTCCTGACATGCCCCAATAGGATCTGATGACCCAGCCCTGGGGAATGGGTGATCCCTGTGATGTCAGCCAAGCAGAGTGCACCCAGCACTAGGCTTGTCAGAATTAGAGGTGCTGAAAAATCCCTGAGGCTGATGGCCACTGCTCAGAGCTACCTTCTCCTTCCCTAGGAAGTGTAGGAGCATTCCCGAGAGCTTTCTGGGGCTGAGTGCCCGTGGCCTTTTTGTCTTGGTGAGCATTGGCGTGGGGCTCTACCTAAGGAGAGTTCATATTTACCATAGCAGTCATTCCTAGTATTCCCTGTGGCTGGCACCAAGGTTTTTCCTAAGTTCAACCCATAGCCCTCCTGCTGCCTTTCTAGCCTACTATTGCTTAAGCTGTGCTCTTCGGAGAGAAAGGGACTAAGTTGTTCCTCTGGTTGACAACGTGTGTATCGGCATATCCCGGGGATTTTGTGGGTTCCATTCCAGACAACCGCAATAAAGTGAACATCACAATAAAGCAAGTTGCACAAATTTTTTGGTTTCCCAGTGCATATAAAAGTTATGTTTACACTATGCTGTTGTAAGTGTGTAATCTTAAAAAATAATGTGCATAATTTAAAAATACTTTATTGCTAAAAAACACGATCATCTGGGCCTTCAGCAAATTGTAATCTTTTCACTTATGAAGCATCTTACCACGATGTTGATGGCTCCTGATGGGTTAGAGTGGCAGTTGCTGAAGGTTGGGGTGGCTGCGGCAATTTCTTGTTCTTTTTTTTTGAGACGGAGTCTTGCTCTGTCGCTCAGGCTGGAGTGCAGTGGTGCGATCTCGGCTCACTGCAAGCTCCGCCTCCCAGGTTCACGTCATTCTTCTGCCTCAGCCTCCCGAGTAGCTGGGACTACAGGCGCCCACCACCACGCCCAGCTAATTTTTTTGTATTTTTAGTAGAGACAGGGTTTCACTGTGTTAGCCAGGATGGTCTCAATCTCCTGACCTCGTGATCTGCCCGCCTCCGCCTCCAAAAGTGCTGGGATTACAGGCGTGAGCCACCGCGCCTGGCCTACTGTGGCAATTTCTTAAGATCACCAATAAGGTTTGCTGCATTGATTTGACTCTTATTTTCAAAAAAGATTTCTCTGTAGCATGTGATGCTGTTTGATAGCATTTCCACACAGTAGAACTCCTTTCGAAATTGGAGTCAGCCCTCTCAAATCCTGCTACTGCTTCATCAACTAGGTTCATGTAACATTCTCAGTCCTTTGTTGTCATTTCAACAAAGTTCACGGCATCTTCACCAGGAGTAGATTCTATCTTAAGAGACTACTTTCTTTGCTCATCCATAAGCAGTAACTCCAGACAGGTGTGATGGTACGCACCTGTAGCCCCAGCTACTCAGGAGGCCAAGGCAGGAGGATCCCTTGAGCCTAGGAGTTTAAGGCCAGCCTGGGCAGCAAAGCAAGACCCAGTCTTGTCCCTTAAAAAAAAGCAACTCCCATCTGTTTAAGTTTTATCATAAAATTGTAGCAATTCAGTCACATCTTCAAGGCTCCACTTCTAATTCTAGTTATGCTATTACCACCACATCTGCAGTTACTTCCTCCACTGAAGTCTTGAACCCCCTCATAGGGGAATTAACTTCTTCGTGGAATTAACTTCCATTTTCGTGGAATTAACTTCTTTCAAACTCCTGTTCATGTTGATACTGTGACCTCCTCCCATGAATCATGAATGATCTTTGTTTTTTGGAAATGGAGTCTCACTCTGTCACCCAGGCTGGAGTGCAATGGCATGATCTCGGCTCACTGCAACCTGCGCCTCCTGGGTTCAAGCGATTCTCCTGCCTCAGCCTCCCGAGTAGCTGGGATTTCAGGTGTGCATCACCATGCCTGGCTAATTTTTGTATTTTTAGTACAGACCTGGTTTCACCATGTTGGCCAGGCTGGTCTTGAACTCCTGATCTCAGGCGATCCACCCGCCTTAGCCTCGCAAAATGCTGGGATTACAATTGTGAGCCACCGTGCGTGACACGAATATTCTTAATGGCATCTAAAATGGCAAGTCCTTTCCAAAAGGTTTTTAATTTGCATTGCCCAGATCCATCAGAGGAATCACTATGGCAGCTACAGCCTTATGAATGTATTTCCCTTTTTTTTTTTTTTTTTTTTTTTTTTGGAGACAGAGTGAGACTCTGTCACCCAGGCTGGAGTGCAGTGGTGTGATCTCGGTTCATTGCAACCTCCGCCTCCCCGGTTCAAGCGATTCTGCTGCCTCAGCCTCCTGAGTAGCTGGGACTACAGGAGCCTGCCACCACGCCCGGATAATTTTTTGTATTTTTAGTAGAGACGGCGTTTCACCGTGTTAGCCAGGATGGTCTCCATCTCCTGACCTCGTGATCTGCCCGCCTTGGTCTCCCAAAGTGTTGGGATTACAGGCATGAGCCTCCGCGCCTGGCATGATTGTATTTCTTAAATAGTAAAACTTGAGGGCCAGGTGGAGTGTCTCACGCCTGTGATCCCAGCACTTTGGGAGGCCAAGGTGGGCGGGTCACCTGAGGTCAGGAGTTCAAGACCAGCCTGGGCAACATGGTGAAACCCCGTCTCTACTAAAAATGCAAAAATTATCTGGGTGTGGTGGCACACACCTGTAATCCCAGCTACTCAGGAGGCTGTTGCAGTGAGCCAGGATCACACCACCACTGCACTCCAGCCTAGGAAACAGAGCAAGACTCCGCCTCAAAAAAAAAAAAAAAAAAAAAAAGCTGGGGCTGGGCGCGGTGGCTCATGCCTGTAATCCCAGCATTTTGGGAGGCCGAGGTGGGTGGATCACCTGAGGTCAGGAGTTCAAGACCAGCCTGGGCAACATGATGAAACCCCATCTGTACTAAAAATACAAAAATAAGCCGGGTGTGGTGATGCATGCTGGTAATTCCAGCTACTTGGGAGGCTGAAGCATGAGAATCACTTGAACCCAGGAGGCGGAGGTTGCAGGGAGCCGAGATCACACCATTGCACTCCAGCCTGGGCAACAGAGAGAGAGAGACTCCATCTCCGAAAAATAAATAAGACTTGAAAGTCGAAATTACTCCTTGATCCATCAGCTGCAGAATGGATGTTGTGTTAGCAGTCACAAAAACAACACTCATCTCCTTGTGCAGCTCCATCAGAGCTCTTGGGTGACCAGTTGCATTGACTTCCCGCCTCAGCCGCCTGAGTAGGTGGGCTGCATGTGCCACTACGTCTGGCTAACTTAAAAACTTTTTTTTTAAATTTTGGTAGAGAAAGAGTCTCGCTATGATGCCCAGGCTGAAGGGCAGTGTCACGATCATAGCTCACTCCAGCCTTGAATTCCTGGCCTCAGGCAATTTTCCCTCCTTGGCCTCTCAAAGCACTGAGATTATAGGCATGAGCCACTGTGCCCAGCCTAGCATTCTTTTGGAAACAATGGGCCCCAAATAAAACCCCTTCCCACTGTCTTCACCTCCAAACCTGAAACTACCTGCTTCATCTCCTCATCACAAAGGCTGTTCCATCAAACCACTGCAATGGAGTCTTCTCACGCACATACTTACTTGAATTCAATGATAAGCACTTGGCAAGTAATAGTGCCGGAGATTCCTCATTCATTCCATTGTGTGCCCCCCCGATTGAAGGTGAGATGGGAACAGTAAGTTTTATGTCTCTTGGTTCCCTCCAGCCTCTCATAGTGTGAGCATCTCGCGTATAAGGATTCCAGTGCATATTTGTACTACGTGGATTCTGAAGACCAACTGTTTTCACTGGTGCTCAGCCAAAGGCACAAGAGTTGACTCCAGCTCAGGAGAGGCACTAGCTGATCCCTAATGGAGCCCCTCCGCAAGGGGTTTTTGAGAGGAATTTTGCAGCTTCCTCTGCTGCACACATCCCCATTGAAGCTATGATTTCACCATCCGTCTATTGCCATGTCCTCATTAGGCATTCTCCTTCGTGAACCTGGACAATTTCAACTGGTCTTCCTGCTTCTGTTTCTCCTCTCTAGTCCTTCAAAATGTCCTTCTGGCCGGGCGCGGTGGCTCACGCCTGTAATCCCAGCACTTTGGGAGGCCGAGGCAGGCGGATCACGAGGTCAGGAGGAGATCGAGACCATCCTGGCTAACACGGTGAAACCCCGCCTCTACTGAAAATACAAAAAATTAGCCGGGCGTGGTGGCGGGCACCTGTAATCCCAGCTATTTGGGAGGCTGAGGCAGGAGAATGGCGTGAACCCGGGAGGCGGAGCTTGCAGTGAGCAGAGATCGCGCCACTGCACTCCAGCCTGGGCGAAAGAGTGAGACTCTGTCTCAAAAAAAAAAAAAAATGTCCTTCTATAAGATCTCACTGTGTTGCCCAGGTTGGAGTACAGTGGCTCAATCTTGGCTCACTGCAGCCTTAACCTCCCAGATTCAAGCAATCCTCCCACCTCAGGCTTCTGAGTAGCTGGGACTAAGATACAAGCCAACATGCCTGGCTAATTAATCTTTTTGTAGAGACAAGTGTCTCACTATGTTGCCCAGGCTGGTCTGGAACTCCTGGGCTCAAGCATCCTCCACCTTGGCCTCTAAAGTGCTGAGATTTCAGGCATGAGCCACCATGCCCAATGGTGTCATTTCTTTAGTTTACAGTCTTTGATGTCTTTCAACCAAGAGAAATCCCCATTGAAATCTTGACCATCAACCTGCCTTCCAATGCTGTTTTTCCTTCCCTGACACGTAGGCTTCAGTCTGGTCACATGTGTGACCTGAAGCCTGTAATCATGGCATCCCTCCTGCCACTCTGCCTTCCCTCATGGTTCACCCTGTGCCTGGAGGACCCTTACCTGTCACCCTCTTTACCTGCTGAACTCATTCTTCAGGGCCCTGCCCCAGGGTCACTCTGTGGAATTGGAATTGTCACTAGCCACAAACAAATGGCTCTTTCCTCTCTTATGACATTTGTTCATCTATCTCTGCCTGCTTGTTCCGACTGTGACCTCTGCGAGGGACAGTGTCCTATTCATCTCTCTCCCCACTTCCAGGGCCTGGCACAGTTAAATGGCCGTGCCAAGGTGGTGGTAAGTTGAGGAGATGAGATCAGCCCCCTTCCCACGAATGTTGCTAATATTCCCTCCCCTCTAGTTAGCCAGTCCTTGAACCTGGATCTCCACCTTTCACACTGGACAACTGGATTGTTTAGAGGTGGGGATTTTTAGTCACCAAATGCCAGTCTTTTTCTTCTTCTTCTTTTTTTTTTTTTTTTTTTTTGAGATGGAGTCTCGCTTTATCACCCAGGCTGCAGTGCAGTGGCGCGATCTCAGTTTACTACAACCTCCGCCTCCCCGGTTCAAGTGATTCTCATGCCTCAGCCTCCAAAGTAGCTGGGATTACAGGCATGCGCCACCATACTCGGCTAATTTTTGTATTTTTTAGTAGAGACTGGGTTTTGTCATGTTGGCCAGGCTGGTCTCTAGCTCCTGGCCTCAAGTGATCCACCTGCCTCAGCCTCTCAGAGTGCTATGATTACAGGCATGAGCCACAGTGCCCGGCCCCAAATGTCAGTCTTCTGCAAAACTTTCTCAAGAGACTGAAATTTTCATGGTTGGAGTAGGAGTGTGAAAGGTGTGATACAAGGTGGATGCGGTGGCTCACGCCTGTAATTCCAGCACTTTGGGAGGCCTAGGTGGGTGGATCACCTGAGGTCAGGAGTTTGAGACCAGCCTGGTCAACATGGTGAAACCTCGTCTTTACTAAAAAATACAAAAAATTAGATGGGCATCGTGGCACATGCCTGTGTGTGGAGGATGAGGCAGGAGAGGATCACTTGAACCCGGGAGGCGGAGGTTGCAGTGAGCTGAGATCGTGACACTGCACTCCAGCCTGGGCAACAGAGTGAGACTCTGACCAAAAAGAAAAAGAAAAGTAAAAAGAGAGAGAGGAGAGAGAGAGGAAGGAAGGAAGGAAGGAAAGGGAGGGAGGGAGGGAGGGAAAGAAAGAGAAAGAAAGACAGAAGTATACAGCGGTAACCCAAGATGTTCCAGAGGTGGGATGTGGACTGCTTCCTCTTGACATCATAGAGGATGACAGAGCTGTCGCTGCTCTTGGATGGAAGACGCCACTGATCTAGGGTCAGCTGGCTTTGTCCAGTGGCCAGAGACTGCACTGAGCCACCTGCTACTCCCTGCTGAGTTATCACTTAACAGAAACCCTGCATTTAAAGAGAGCTCAACCCAGGCCCCCTTCTCACATCCTAGGCTTACATCCCAGGTTTCTCATCTCATCAGGGTCAGGGTGGGGGGTGGGTGTCAAGGCCTGGCTTCCTGGCCCCTGCACTGCTGAGAAACTTGATTTTATTTCTGGGCCCTTATTCTGCAGATCCAGGGATGATGGGAGAACGGGAGAGGCTAGCTGGATTTATACTGGGAGAGAAAAGTAAGAGGAAATGGTAATGGCTGAGCTTGGGGGACATTGAGAAGGTTTGGAAATGGGTAGGAAGGTCTTTGGCAACAGCTGTCCTGTGTGTGAGACCGATAAAGTCAAGATGTTTCACTATGCAGTGGGTGTCATCTCTTGGTGCCTCTTCTTCCCCATGCCCTGGTATTGAAAAACCTGATATATGGGTCCGGCGCAGTAGCCCACGCCTATAATCCCGGCACTTTAAGAGTCAGGAGTATGGGGAAGGCATGGTGGCTCATGCCTGTAATCCCAGCTCTTTGGGAGGCAGAGGCAGGTGGATCACCTGAGGTCAGGAGTTTGAGACCAGCCTGGCCAACATGGTGAAACCCCATCTCTACTAAAAATATAAAAATTAGCTGGGCGTGGTGGTGGGCACCTGTAATCCCAGCTAATCAGGAGGCTGAGGCAGAAGAATCACTTGAATCTGGGAGGCGGAGGTTGCAGTGAGCCGAGATCGTGCCACTGCACTCCAGCCTGGGTGACAGAGGGAGACTCGGTCTCAAAAAAAAAAAAAAAAATAGAGAGTCAGGAGCATTGCTTGAGCCCAGAAGCTCAAGACCAGACTAGGCAATATGGCAAGACCCCATCTCTTTTTTTTTTTTTTTTTTGAGATGGAGTCTCGCTCTGTCACCCAGGCTGGAGGGCAGTGGCGTGATGTCGGCTCACTGCAAGCTCCACCTCCCGGGTTCATGCCATTCTCCTGCCTCAGCCTCCCGAGTAGCTAGGACTACAGATGCCCACAACCACGCCTGGCTAATTTTTTGTATTTTTTTTTAGTACAGACGGGGTTTCACCATGTTGGCCAGGATGGTCTTGATCTCCTGACCTCGTGATCCACCCACCTCGGCCTCCCAAAGTGCTGGGATTACAGGCGTGAGCCACCGCGCCCGGCCGGCAAGACCCCATCTCTAAGAAAAAAAAATAAAAAATTAGCTGGGCATGGTGACATGTGCCTGTAGTCCCAACCAATTTAAGAGACTGAGGCAGGAGGATTGATTGAGCCCAGGTGATCAAGGCTGCAGGGAGCTGTGATTGAGCTACTGCACTCCAGCCTGGGTGACAGAGCAAAACTCTGTCTCAAAACAAAGAAAAACCTGTCTGGATACGGGGCAGATATGTCTTTGACTGGGATCCCATACGGCTCTGGACATGTTAAACGCCGACTGCATGTGGAGAGCGGGCTCTGTGTCTTGCTCATCTTCTGGGATGACCCCCATCCCCCAGCCGAGCACATGAAGGGATACCTGTGAATGTTTGCCAAAAACCATGGAGCAGGTCAGAGGCAGAGCCAGGCCAGGAGGGAGGTGGCAGTGGGGAAAGGTCTTCTAGGCTGGAATCACCTTTGGGCCTGGACCGGGGAGCTCCCATATTGGAATGGGAGTTTATGTGGGAACTGTTTTCAGCAAATGCTGGTGGGGGAGACCGCAGAATGCATTGTGGAGTCTGGCGGAGAGGCTTCGGGGATGGTGCCGTGGTTCTCAGCCAGGGCAGAGGCTTTGTGAGCTTGAATCACTTAGACAACATTTTCACATCTCACTCCCAAGACTAAGACACCCTCCTAGAATCTCAAGGGGTTGTGGGGGAGAGCGGTGGTGAGGATAGCAGATGAGACATCTCAGGGGCATCCACGGGCTCTTCGCTTCCTCCCATGCTCCTGCCTGCCTGTTAAGACTCCTGGGGAGGGCCTGGCCCAGGATTTGCTGACCCAAGTTTGAGTCCCGGCTCTACTGCCTGCTCGTTTTGTGATCTTGGGCACTTTATGCTTTTTTGGTCTGTTTCCTCCTGAGTTTTATTTCCTACCTCATGTGTGAGTAAATGAGACATGTGTGTAAAATGCCTGGTACATCTTGAGCACTTAATAAATATCCACAAAAGCCTGCGCGACATAGCAAGACCCTGTCTTCATAAACAGTAAAAAATTAGCTGGGCATGGTGGCGTGCGCCTGTAGTTTCAGCTACTCAGGAGGCTGAGGTGAGAGGATCGCTTGAGCCTGGAAGGTCCAGGCTACAGTGAATGGTGATGGTGCCATTGCACTCCAGCCTGGGCAACACAGCGAGACTCTGTCTCAAATGTGTGTCATCTCTCTCTCTCTCTCTCTCGGCACTGATTATGATCATTATTATTATTATTATTATTTTTGAGACAGGGTATCTCTCTGTCACCCCGGCTGGATTGCAGTGGCAAGATCTCAGCTCACTGCAACCTCTGCCTCCTGGGTTCAATTCTCCTGCCTCAGTCTCCTGAGTAGCTGGGATTATAGGCGTCTGCCACCACGCCTGGCTAATTTTTGTATTTTTCGTAGAGACTAGGTTTCACCATGTTGGCCAGGCTGGTCTCGAACTCCTGACCTCAGGTGATCCGTCTGCCTCAACCTTCCAAAGTGCTGGGATTACAGGCGTGAGCCACCGTTCCTGGCCCCATGATCATTATTATTAGCGGGCTTTTTTTTTTTTTTTTTTTTTTTTTTTGCTGGGAGAGGGAAAGAGTCTCGCCCATCACCCAGGCTGGAGTGCAACAGCGCTATTGTAGCTCACTACAACTTCAAACTTCTGGGCTCAAGCCATCCTCCCACCTCGGCCTCCCAAAGTGCTGGGATTACAGGCGTGAGCCACTGTGCCCGGCCCTGTTAGCAGTATTTTGAAAACTAGGATTGAGATTCTTTTTGCCAAAGGCAGAGGAAGAATGAAAAGCTCCTCTTACCGGAGGCCGCAGAGGAGCGGGCTGTAGGGAAAAAGAGAGGAGGGAGCTTCCAGGTGGGGAAGGGCCCGGAGGCTGCTGGTGGCCGCGGGCAGAGCTGGGTGAGTCATTGGGCTTCTCCTGCCACCTAGTGGCTCCTCAGGGCTAAGCCACCCTGCTGTTCCCTCAGGTCCCCTCGGTGGTGGTGGGGTGAGGCCGCACTTAAATATTCCTAAACACGGTGTCTCCAGTCCTCTTCTGTTAGCCCATTAAACGCCCTGCCCTTTCAGGGACCCTGGCCCATGAGGCATCCCTCACCTGGCCCTGGTGTGTGGGACACGACCCCCTCCTCCAGGTGGAGGGAGAGCGAGAAGCCTTTGTTCTCCTGGCTCCGGGGCAGAGTTGGGGGGCCGAGGCGGACACCTGGGGACGGTGGATGCCACGTTCATGCACCCCGCCCCCGCTTGCTTGATGGCTGCTCATGGGAGAGACTGGGGCCCGGGACCATGTCCGTGTCTGCTGCGGGTTCTAGTTAATTCTATAAATAGGCACTATTTTGTGCAGGGTCCGGGTTAGGGCTCTCCTGAACCTTCCCATCTCACCTTCTCGGAGGACTTTGCCTTTTTGTCTCCAGTATGGAGAGGGTGCGGACAGAGACCGGCCGCCCGAGGCCTGAGAGCCGGATGGGGCCTCTCCTCATGCCCCTCCCTCTGAGGAGGCTGCCTGGAGTGATGGCCTGGTTGCATCATGCCCTACTCCTGCCTATTAGGTGGCTGTGACTACTGGGGAGGGGTCTGGCCCTGGGTGAGGGGCTTCAGGAGGAGGCTGAGGGTCCTCATGAAGGGGCCACACGTTGGCTGTGAATCAAGGTCAGGCGTCCTGCCCTGCTGCCCACTGCCCTCCCCGCCCCTGACACCCACTTCTCTCTCGGGGCCCTGCAGCCTCAGCTGCACCAGGCCAGGATTGCATCATTCTTGGCTTTGTTCTCAGAGCAGCAGGTGCAGGAGTGGGGCCTGCCACCCGCCGCCCCCCTCCTTCCCTCTCATCTCCTTCCACTCCCTCCTGGGTAATCCCCCTCCTTCCTCCCTTCCTAGGCCCATGGCACCCCGGGAGTTGTCTGCCTTACCCGTGGCTCTTAGCTCCCTTTCTACCTTCTCCCTGTTCCCCAGGGAGCCCTGGAGGCTACCGAGGTGGAAGGAAGTAGACTGGGGGGCAGGGATGAGCACCAGGCTGGAAACCGCCATTCTTCACCTCTAGCCCCCAACTGGCTGAAAGCAGGTGCCACCCGCAAAGGGAACACCCGGTTGTAGCCAGGGTATAGCCTCCTAGAATTTGGGGACAAGGTCAGAAATCGTCACCTGCTGAACTAAAACTAATAATAATCAACATAAAATGAATTAATTCAGCCCTTTGTAGAAGGCACTTAACTTTTTTTTTTTTTTTTTTTTTTGTGAGATGGAGTCTCGCTCTGTCACCCAGGCTGGACTGCAGTGGCACAATCTCGGCTCACTGCAACCTCCGCCTCCCAGGTTCAAGAATTTCTCCTGCCTCAGCCTCCCTAGTAGCTGGGATTATAGGCATGTGCCATCACGCCCAGCTAATTTTTTGTAATTTTGGTGGAGACGGGGTTTCACCTTGTTGGCCAGGCTAGTCTCGAACTCCTGGCCTCAGGTGATCCGCTAGCCTCGGCCTCCCAAAGTGCTGGGATTACAGGCGTGAGCCACCACACCCTGCCGGTGCTTAACTTTTATTGATCACTTCTGTGCCCACCAGTAGACCGAGCATTTTAGACTCACATTCTCATGTCATCTTTCAACAGCTCTGTGAGGTGGTGCGGTTAGCATGTCTGGTTTACAGATAAGGGAGCTGCAGGGCAGAGAGGTCAGAACACTTGCCCAAGACTGCGCGAATATTAAATGGCAGGTCTGGGAGGTGAGTCCTGGTCTGCCTCCCTCTTGAAGCCTCTGGAAGAGATGGTTGGAAAATTCGATGCTGACCCACCCGGAACATTTTTTTTAAACCCCTAAAAGATTGTTTTTGGCCAAGACACTCATCAAGAGATAAGTATCTTATTTTAACTTTATCAAAGAGATAGAATAAATAACAAATATCCATGGAAGCCTGGGCTACATACTGAGACCCCGTCTCTAAAAAAATAAAAAATTAGCCAGGCATGGTGGCATGCACTTGTAGTCCCTGCTGCTCAGGCTGAGGTGGGAGGATCATTTGAGCCTGGGAGGTGGAGGCAGCAGTAAGTGGTGATTGCACCACTGCACTCCAGCCTGGGCTCATATCAAATGAGCCCTGCCCCTCTCCACACTGCTGTACCTCTGAGGCAACATTGTTGCTGAAGGTTCTGGTCCCTGTGGGATGTAGAAGAAGAGAAGCACTGGGGGATCCAGCCTGCCAGGGAGGAGGGAGGACTGGGGGACTGCACTTGTGGACCCTGCAGGCTGGCACAGAGACTGTGGGTGGTACTATCCCTTCCTTATTCAGGAACTCTGCTTGTGAATCTTCCTGCAGTGTTCAAGGTGTGTTGATAAGATAGCATTGGGTTTAGCAATCTAGCCACCATGACTTTGGCTAGTAGGAGTTTACTCCTGAGAGCCAGATTAGCATCTCTGAGGACAGACAGTCCCTGATCTTGCAAAGCCCAACACCAGACCCTAGGCCTGGCCAAGCAACAGCTATTTGAAGGCCCAGCATGGGTGGCTACCGCCGCCACCACCTTCTTGTTCTCACTTCCTCAGCACTGAAAGAGAACCTGAGGGAAACCAACTGGAGAGAATGGAGCCTGGCTTCCACAGCCAGGGCCCTGCTACACCACAGCCCGGGAGAGTGCGGCTCAGGGCGAGGGGCAGGCTTGCTGGCTGACACTCTTCTCTGTCTCCAGTCTCTTTAGCTCAAGACAGACTCCGTCTGAAGGGACAAAGGGCCCCATTGACCTCATAGCCTTGTGACCCCACCCAAGTCTGTCCCTCCCTCCCCAGGCAGCCAGCAGGGTCCTTGAGTAGCAGACAGGAGCCACAAGGCCGCTGGGAGGGCACTGGCGGGGAAGCCAAGAGAGGCGGCAGCCAGCTGGTCAGGGAAAACTGGGAGTGCGTGGGCAGTGCCCACCAGATTGCCACCAGGGGAGGCCAAGGATGAGGGCTCCGGGTACTCCTGGCTGTAGTCCCAGGAGCAAAGCAGCAAATACCCTGCAGGGCCACAGCATGGGAGGCTGGGGGAGTCCAACTTCAGCCCCAAAATGGGCTGCCCGGAGCTCAGGGCCTCCCTGGCCCACATTCCTGTCTCCCTGCCCCCAACATGCCCCCCACACCCAGCCTATAAAGCCCCCTTTGTCTGAGCCACTGAGGATCTTAACTCTCCCCATCTCAGCTTCCCACCCCCTCTCCCTCATCCTCTGGTGCCTAACAAAGAGGCCAGGGCTCAGTGAGAAGTGGTGAAGCCACCTTCATGCCAGCCTGGGCATTGGCCCAGGGGGTGTGGGCAGCCAGTGCCTGTAAACCAATGCCTCCACCCCACCGCCCACCTCGGGGCAGGTTAATTTCCACCCTTGTCCACTGGGGATTGCGTACCCCTGCCCAGGGCAGCGTGCCCACCTCTCACATGACCATTTATGTGATGCCCCTCTCAGTTTGTCCTGCCCTGTCAGATGCAGAACAGAGGGCAGTGGGTGGTCAGGAGCCACACCTGATGGAGGGTGTCAGAGAGCGAAGGTGTCTTTTTGCCATCTCCTTGGTCTTCACCAGAGTGGGCGGCCCCGCTGCCCACACATTATGTTCTCCAGTAGTATCTGGGGGTTCAGATCCCCCTTCTCTGGGAGTGGATAAACAGATCAGCCCCCTCCTCCTGCTTGGCAAGTGCCAGGAACATGGCTCACTGGGTGGGCAACAGGAATCCCCATCTCTTTTTCCCACACCCAGCCAAGGGCCTCAGAACACCTTCAACTATAGGCTGGACGTCGGCAACAGCTCCCTGTTCCCACAGCGATCTCGAGGTGGGGGTGGCACAGTGTCTCCCTGAGTCCCAGTGCTCTGGGTGTCTCTGGCCTGCTGTCAGTCACCCCCTGCAGCGGGTCGTCAGCTTGGGAGGCAGTTGGTCTGGGATCAACTGGGATCAGCTCTGTTGCCAAGGTGCGGTGAGACCGCTGGCAAGCCACTCTCTGGCCCCTGTAGCATGAGAGTAGGGTCCTTCCGACTCCGATGAGCCTCAGGAATGAGGAAAGCGGCTTCGCTTGCAGGGGTCTCCTCTCCCCTAGCAGCGCCCCCAGGACGGGCAGAACAGGGGGTGCCGGAGCGGGCTAGCCAGGGATGTGCGAGGGTCGGGTGCGCGTTGTGTGTGTGTTCGAGTGTGTGTGCCCCCACGTGCGTGCGTGCGATTGTGCGGTTGCCTGTGAGCGCGTGTGCTCGCCGGTGCGCGGTGCTGCCACGGGCCGGGCGGGGTGAGGAGGGGAGGGGGCGGGCGGAGGGGCGGGGCCGGCGGGGCGGGGCGGTGCGGGGAGGGGGCTCGAGCGCTGACACCAGCCGCTACTTGCGCTTGGCGGTCGCCGGGTGCAGCTGCCCGGACAGGGCGCATGGAGGGGCCGCCTCCCCCTGCGCCCCCCGGGGCCGGCGCGGCGAGGACGGCATAGCAGGGCCCAGCATGGAGCAGGTGAGCGGGCGCCGGGCGTGGGTGCGCGGCCGAGAGGGGAGAGAGAGCTGCGGGCGTTGTGACCCGGCGAGGTGGGCGCGCCGAGCGCCGAGGGCCGCCACCGAGGGAGGGGTTGGGGCATTGGAGCTCCGGGCGGAGCGGGGGCTCTGGGGGAGGGATGGGACTGATGTGACACAGAGCTCACACACACACACACACACACACACACACACACGAGTACTCCCTTATCACTGACACCTAGGAAGGCGTGTGCAGAGGGCACCTCTCTCCCCACCCCCTTTCCAGAAAGAGATCACCCACACGGAGAAACCCCCATCCCCACTTGGTAAGGGTACAGCCCCTGCTCCCTGAACCCAGGCCCAAGGAGGCTACAGACTCTGCAGAATGAAGGAGTGGGTGGGCTCTGTGCCATATGACTACTGGTTCGTTGACCCCCAGTCCCTCCTGGTGGGACCTCAAGATACGCCGGTCCCCTCCCCCTACACATCAAGGGGTTTCTTCCAGCCCGGCTCCCCTCCTTTCCCAGTCACAGCAGCTGCAGCAGCTGCTGCCACCATTTCATGTCAGTGAAAAGATGGGGTGGGCTAAGAGGCTTTCTCCAAATGCACCCCAAAGGCAGAGCTGCAGCCCCAGCCAGGTTTTGGGAGGGGGGTGCTGCCTTCCTTTCACACAGGCTCCATCAGAATACACTGAGTGTGGGCTGGGCTCAGTGGGCGGGGATGAAGACCCCCTCTGGTCAGAGTTCTCATTCCCTGCACGGAGCTCAGCAAATCCCAGACAGGCTGGACCAGTCCCCTTCAGTGAGCAAGGGGCTGTATCCTGACTTGCAGCCCCCTGATCTAAGAGAAGCCAGCAGCCTGATGGGGGGCAGAGCGAGGGGGCTGCTCCAGGGGTTGCCTTACTCCCTTCCCAACCCCCACTTGGGGTGAGGTCTCAGGTGGGGTCTGGAGAGGCGGGATAGGTTTTCTATTTGGGACACACCTTTCAGTGCTCAGCCGCCCTAACTCCCTTCTTTTCCTGGCCCAAGTTCTTTGGGGCTGTTCTGCCTAAAGCAGTGGCTGGGGGCCCTGGCTCTGAGACCCTCCCCTCCAGGCTGAGCACAGGCCCCCTATCACTCTGGCAGAGGGCTTGTGGGTGGCCTGTGATGGTGGTGAGGAGAGGGGTGAGGAGGAGTGGAGGGTGAGGAGTCGGGGGAGGTGGAGTCCGTGGAAGGGGTGACCCTAAGTTCTGGGGGGTTGGAGAGGGGCACTGGGAGGCATAAAGTGCTCTGGGCATCCTCCCTGGGCTGGGTGTGAGTCTGGGGCGGGGCTGTGGCTGGTCCAGTTTCCAGGCCTGTTTGGCATCTTGGGCATTAATTTAAATGGCCAATGGCAGCTCCCCAGAGCAGCAGGCCTGGCTGCTATTGTCATTACTGACTGAACACAAAAATAGTGGTAGGGCGGGGAGGGAGGGAAGAGTAGTAAATGCCACTGAATTGCTCACTGTAAAATGGCTAATTTTACGTTACGTGAATTTCACCTGGATTTTTTTTTAAAAGAGGGGCAGGGCTAGGGGCCACTACTGCTTCCTGTCTAGAGAATCCTAAATGCATCTCACTGGGCCTGCAGCTCAGCCTGAGTTGTTCCTCCAAGTAGCCCATCTGCCCATCATTGGCCTTCATCAGCCCTCCGTAACTGTTCTGGGGATCAGCCGCTTCCCCTTTCCCAGAGGACAGACCACAGCCTGCTCCCCTGTACCCTCCCCTGGGAGGAGAAACATCAAGGGGAGTCAGGACATTGGGCTTCTGCCCTTGGCTCCATTACAGAATCATTGGGAAGCCTTGGACATTCATCCTGTCTGGGCTGCTGTGAAATCTCTGCCAGCTATGCCAAGTGGTGGCTTCTTGGTCCTTTCTGGATGTCCTAGGACACCTCTGCCAAGCACAGCAGCTCAGCCTGTCCCCTGGACTGTGAGGTCCCTCCCCACAGACATGGACTCTGATGATCGGCACACTCTCCGAGGTGCCTAGGCTGATGTGGTTAACGCCCGGCTTTCTGGATGCACCGGAAGCGTGGTGTGTATGGAGTGCGTCTGAAATCAGAGCTTCTTTCATTGCACCAGGGGAAGCTCCTATTTTAAGTTTCCCATGTGCTGAGCCCTCTTGTAAAGCAAAGAATCCTTTTATAGTGCGTGAGCCGCCGATGTGTCTGTTTGGTATGTGTGGATTTTGGCATGGAGGGCTTCCTTAAAGGGGAGCATGCCTGGAATCTCTCACGGGGGCTGGAACTGCTGGGTGGGGTGAGTGCCAGGACTGAGGGGCTTGCCCCACTGTGGTCAGTCCCGCCCCTCTTTTCTCCTCATCTGACTCCCAACACTCCCACCCAGGGCTGGCTCAGGGCCAGACAGAGGAGAGGGGAGCAGCTGCAGGGGGATTTCCAGAGCTTCGACGGGGAGGTGGGAGCCTCCTCTCTAATCCCTTCCCCTTTGCTTCCTCTCTCTTCCCTTCCTCTATGTTCCCCTTCTTTCCTCTTTGCTCCTCTCCTTCTTCCCTTCCAGAAGGGCAAAATGGAGACAGGGAGGAGGATGGGTCCCATGTGCAGTGATGTGTGGGGACCAGGTGGGGCTGGGCAGGGGCTGGGAGCCTGGAACAGAAGCAGGAAGAATTGAAAAGCCCTATGTAGAACTGTAGAATTTAGCATCCTGAGCTGGAATGAACTCCCTGGCCTGACCCCTCCCAGAGGGATCATTCGATAGAAAGAGCAACATCAGACTTCGGCTAGAATCCTGAATCCTAGCTGGGAGATCTTGGACAAGCTACTTAGCCTCTCTGTGTCTGTTTCCTCATTTACATAGCGGGGCTAATAATACCCACCTTACAGTGTTGTCATGGGGACTAAATGAAATAATGTTTATAAAGAGCTTGGCACATAGTGGGTGCTCAACGTATTTTAATTCCTTTCCTCTCCGTCTTGGTGTTTGCAAGCCCCTGCTGAGTGACGGCATGGTTTTTGTAAGGCATCTTTGAGCCTCGCGCACACTCACTCATACACAGGGTCCGTGCCACCGGCCTTCCCTGACAGGGTGTCACACAGTGAAAAGCCTGCTGGGCTGGGTTTCCCAAACGTAGTTTCCCTAAAGATGGCCAGTTCAGAGTGGCAGGGGTGGATTTTCTGTCGGCCACCTCCTGACCTGACATGGGGCCTCGCTGGGTGTGGCTTGCTTACCCTGCTGCCAGCTTACCCTGCTGCCAGCTCAGACAAGATGCAGCCTCTCGCTCCCGCCGTAGCCAGCTGTCCAGAGGTTTTCTGCGTAGGCCCCAGCTGCTTGGCAGATTACCAGAGCTCTTTGGCCCCAGCCTGGCCATGGGTCTTCAGCCTCCCTCCCCAAGGGGTGTTCAGGTGGGATTCTTCTCACAGGATTCCTGGGAGACCTGACACCAGGGATGAGTGGGAACTGGCATCATCTTGAGTGGACCATTGCCCCACCCTCCATCATTAAATATGGTCAGTGAGGTTCACTCTATGGGATGTCTGGGGCTGTGGCCAGCGCCTGTGCCCCACCCTCTCCCTCCTTTCTCTGACGTTTGCTAGTAGAGGGCTTTGAGGTCTAGGACAAACCCTGCCTGCCTCCCAAGACCCCTTCTTCCTCCCCTAGTCACTGGAGGCTCCTTCTTGTTTTGCTCAACACTGTGCTTGCACCACAATCTCAGCACCATCCCAGGCACCCTTTGCTGTGTTTGTTGCCCTCCGTGGAATATGGGGACGGTTCCCTCCCTACCACCCAACACAGCAGTTTGCATGTACTAGGTGCTCAATAATTTTTTTTTTTTTTTGAGACGATGTTCTGCTCTGTCACCCAGGCTGGAGTGCCGCGGCATGATCTCGACTCACTGCAGCCTCTGACTCCTGGGTTCAAGCGATTCTCCTGCTTCAGCCTCCCAAGTAGCTGAGACTACAGGCACGTGCCACCATGCCTGGCTAATTTTTTGTTTTGCTTTTTGTTTTTTTTTTTGAAACAGAGTCTCATTCTATCGCCCAGGCAAGAGTGCAGTGGCATGATCGCAGCTCAGTGTAACCTCCATCTCCCCAGTTCAAGCAATTCTCCTGCCTCAGCCTCCTGAGTAGCTGGGATTACAGGCGCACACCACCACGCCTGGCTAAGTTTTTGTATTTTTAGTAGAGATGGGATTTCACCATGTTGGCCAGGCTGGTCTCGAACTCCTGACCTCAAGTGATCTGCCCTCCTCAGCCTCCCAGAGTGCTGGGATTACAGATGTGAGCCACCGCGCCTGGCCAATAAATGTCTTTTGACTTGATTAAATGGGGCCCCTCTCGCTTTGGAGATACAAACTGTGGTGGGGGTGTTGCCTGTGGGGGACAAGTAGAGGACCTGGGGGCTGAAGCCATAAAAGTGCAAGAACCGCTGTCCCCTTTAGTCCTGCCCTGCCATCCTTCTCCACCAGGGGATGCTCTTTCTCCTTTGGTGGAAGGGCCTGAGCTGGGGCCAGGTGTAGGTGCCCGTGCCCCATAACCCACCTTTCATACATTATGGTTTTTCCTTTTCAGCTCACAGAGTTTTTCAGATTCTTTGTCAAATGTGAGCCTCAAATCAGAGGCAGGCCGAGAAGGCCTTATCGTTTTCATCTTACAGAGGGTGAAACTGAGGTTCTGAGAATATACTTGTTCTCAAAAGTCATACAGCTACTGGGGGCTGGGGCGCAGGGAGGGTGCAGCACGAATTTGAACCCAGGTCTTCAGATTCTTGATTCAGGGCTCCTTTGAGGACATCATAAACCTGGGTTCCTCCTCTGGAGCCCCACCCTCCAGATACTTTTCCTCCAGTCCGCTCATCACGCCCTCCTTGCGTCCCCTCCGGCTGTCTCTCCTTGGCACCTGCTCCTCAACCCAACAGCCTGCTGAAGTCTTCCCCACCCAAACAGACACCTGCCTTGTCCACACCCACCTGTGCTGCCTGCCTGTCGCCTGTCCCTTCCTGTTAATGCTCAGTGGGCAGATTCGACTCCCTCCTCCCTGGGGCCCCTCCTCCCTGCACAGTCTGACCCCCACACCCACTGGCCCCCGAGGCTGTTGTCTCTGCCCCACACAGTGCCACCTTCTCTGGCTGCCTGCTTCCTCCCAGTCCTTGTTGCCTCCTCCTTCTCTGCCTACCCCCAAGCCAGGGTTCCTCTCACTCTTCACTCTCCCTGGAGAATCTGAACCACACCCCTGGTCTCAGGGACTACCAGAGTCTCTAGCTCAAGCCTCTCTTTCAGAAGATGGACCCACGGTTTAAGCAGCCTGTCACCATTCCACCAGCCTCACAGCCTGCGGGTTAAGTGTATAGACCCTGGAGCCCAAATGCCTGGGTTCAAATCCTGTGTGGCCTTGGGTAAGATACTTGAGTTCTCTGGGCCTCATTTTCCTTATCCATAGAATGAGGATTGAGATCTATTTCACAGGCCTTTGTGAGGCTTAACTGGGATCTCACATACAAAGGACTTCGTGCCTGGCTTGTCCCCTCTCTCTGTGAACACCCTAGACAACCTGATATTCCAGGCCTTGGCCTTGCCCTGCACTCTTCCATTTCCTTCCTCCTGCTCACCAAATCCCAGAGCCTCTGTTGTTTGTTGCCCCTGCCCCTTGCTTTGGTACCTTTCTCCTAGAATCACTTTGCTTGCCGCCCTCCATTCCTGTTCCCGTTATGTGCCACGGTGGCCATGGCACATCGCTGCTTCAGCTCCCTGCCCCAAACCAGGCTAGCACGGAAGCGCCTCTGGGCAGCCCCTCCAGCGTCACACCCCCGCCTGTGTTTCCTTCCTCATCCCTCCATGCTTCCTGCCCATAGGCACCCTCCACTTGGCTCCAGCCACGATGCCGATGCCGGAGCCTGCTCTCTCTCCTGCCTCCCTGGTTCGCCCTGAGCATCACTCTCCCTGGAGTGCCTTTTTCCCTATTCCCACTCTCCCCTGCCCCATCCAGGAAGCCCAAGAAGCTCAAGGCACCTCCTGGGGAAGCCTCCTCTGCTTCTCCAGCCGAATGTGCTCCTGTGCTGGGAGTTCTTTATAGAGTCACAACTGGAGGAGACCCAGGCCCCTCAAGGGAAGGATCTAGGCCTCACCTCTGTATTCCCAGGGCCAACCTACCCCACCCCCTCCTCTCCTCTACCCCCTCACATAGTAGACCTTGTGAATGAAGGATGGTGATTGGGCTGGGGAAGGAGTTTGGAAAGAGGGGGAGTATGAGGAGGGTCCTCAACCAGGGAGACTCTCCCCATGTTGGGCTCTATGGCTCCAAACCCCAAAAAAATAGGGTACAGGAATACAGTGGGTGCTGGGGCGGATGGCAGGATGCATGGAGTGAGACCCAGAGTGTCGAGAGAGGAAGGGGAGCCCGGATGGAGAGGAAGGTGAGGAGGAAGAGCAGCTAAAGAAGATAGATGAGGTGGGCTGGGACAGGGTGGGGGTGCAGGTCAAGGTGCAGGAAGAGGTGGGAAGGGCGGCAGGGTGGGGAGAGAGCCGCACTTTCTGGGAAGTGGGAGCGGGTGGGGGAGGCTGTGCAGTGCATTGTGGAGGGAGGAATTCGCCTGCCGGTCAGTGTGAGCTCATTTCCTCTCACCCCCTCCTGCGGGGTCTGAGGGCATCAGGCTCTGGAAAAAGTGAGCCAGGGGCACCCCACGGCCACCACCCTCCCTCCTCCCCCATGGCCTCAGTTCAGTCTGATTTCAGATGCCAACCTTTCTCCCTCACAGAGACAACCCTTTATCCTGGGAGGAAAGGACCTCTGAGCCAAGGTGGCAACAAGCATTGGACCACTGGAGCTACAGGGCAGAAAGAGACAGGAACAGGGACCTGGTGGAAAGTTAAGCAAGAAAATCCAAGCAGTAGGCCAGGCGCGGTGGCTCATGCCTGTAATCCCAGCACTTTAGGAGGCCGAGGAGGGTGGATTACGAGGTCAAGAGATCGAGACCATCCTGGCCAACATGATGAAACCCTGTCTCTACTAAAAATACAAAAAATTAAAAAATTAGCCAGGTGTGGTGGTAGGCGCCTGTAATCCCAGCTACTTGGGAGGCTGAGGCAGAAGAATAGCTTGAATCTGGGAAGCAGAGGTTGCAGTGAGCCAAGATGGCACCATTGCACTCCAGCCTGGGCAAAAAGAGTGAAACTCCATCTCAAAAAAAAAAAAAAAAAAAAAATCCAGGCAGTATGACAGATTACAGTTAGACAGCAGGAAGGACTTTCCAGAAGTGGAGGCTAATTCTGGCTGCACATGACCTTGATAAAAAGGGATGAGGAAGGGAGAGGAGTCATTTAACTGCCCCTCCATTATTATGAAACAGAATCCCTTTCTCTTGACTGCCAGGGGATTTAAAATACATTAAATAAAGCATATGAGCTAAACCCCAGTCAGTATCTCATTCCTCAGGTTCACAGGAGTAGGGATGGCCTAATTGTTGTCTGGGGCACCCCAACCCCTCTAAGACCTGAGTTCCCAACCCTGATCAAGGTTAAAGGGGTGGAGGTCTTGGGGCTGCTCGGCTCTCAGGGGTCTCCTTGCCCAAGGAAGGTGGTGACTCCAGCAGGCAGAGCTGGCCTTCCCGCTTTCACTGCCTCCTCTCTCCAAGTCCTATTTTATCCTCCGCCTTCTTTTCTACATAATCTGGGAAAAGGAATATGGAAGCCCCTTAAACTGAAAAAGTCATGGGAAAGAGGTAAGCATAAGCTGGAGGAAGTAAGAAGCAGGAAGAATGGGAGTTAGATAGTAGAAAGAATTTTCTAGCTATTTTCTAATAATGAAGGACAAGGCCAGGCATGGTGGCTCACGCCTATAATCCCAGCACTTTGGGAGGCTGAGGCAGGCGAATATCACTTGAGGTCAGGAGTTTGAGACCAGCCTGGCCATCCTGGTGAAACCTCATCTCTACCAAAGTACAAAAGTTAGGTGGGCGGTGTGGCATGGGCCTGTAGTCCCAGCTACCTGGGGAGGCTGAGGTGGGAGGATCACTTGAACCTGGGGGCAGAGGTTTCAGTGAGCCTAGATTGTGCCACTGTACTCCAGCATGGGTGACAGAGTGAGACCCTGCCGAAAAAAAAAAAAGGAAAAGAAAGACAGAAGGACTGTCCCTCCCTGGACTGTCAGGGGATGGGCTGGAGGGGGTCCTTCTGGGGGACAAGGAAAGAAGCTGGCTCAGGACCAGGGCATCTCTTTAGGCCCAGCTCAGAGTGAAGCCAGGAAGGGTGGCTGTGGGGTGCTGGTGATTGGGAGCCTCTGCTGTCACTGCTGTTCACTGCAGAGCAGGACTGTGGGCTGGCCCCATGGCCTGAGCCCCAGGACTGGCTGGGTGGGGGTCCGAAGGGCTGGGGCACCTGCCAGCCTCTCTTCTATGCTCGACTCCCCCTCCTCTCTGGGATCCTGGGCTGAGACTCTGGCTGGGAGGGGCTTACCCTACACTGAGGGGCACCCCGTCTCCCCACCCCCTGCACTAAATCTTCCCTTGTGTCTCAATGTCTAGGGGTCTCTAAAGGGAAGGGGGCCTCTAAGCCTTTTTCTGTCTTCCCCCCTTTCTGATCCTGGGTCTCCTCATCTTTGTTTCTGACTTTCTCTGCCTCTCTCTGCGCTGTCTCTATCTTGTCTCTGCCTTTCTCATGCTTTCTGGGTCTCTGGATCTCTGTTTCTGACCATCTCTGGCTGGCTGTTTCTCTTTGCTTCCCTCTCCCTCCCTCCCTATCCCCGTGCTAGTTCTGGGTTCGGTGCCCTTGTCCTCTTTCCTGGGCCTGGATGGCCCTCTATCTGGGCCGGTCCCTTAGAGGCCGGGCAAGCGTCTCCTGGAGACCGCCTCTCTTCGCCAGGCTGGGCTCTGACGTCCAGCTCTCAGGCAGCGCTCGCCTCTGCCTCAGCCCGGTTGCAGGTCTGTGGCCCTTGAGCGAGGCCGCCGGGGCACCCAGAAGGGAGCGCGGGGTGGGTGGTGGGAAGGGGGAGGGGCGAGGGGGCGGACCCCGGGGGGGGCCCCCCCACACCGCGCTCGGCCCCGCCCCCGGCCCCGCCCCTCCCGGGTCCCTGCCGGCGCCCCCAGCCGTGCCCCGGCCGCAGAGCCGCCGCTGCCACCCGATGAATGGAGTCGCCTTCTGCCTGGTCGGGATCCCGCCCCGCCCGGAGCCCCGGCCCCCACAGGTGAGGGTGCTGGGCCAGGGAAGTGGGCGGGGCCGGTAGCTGCTGGGGAGCGGGCTGCCAAGCCAGGGTCGCTGCGACCCCGCTCGCCCTGCACAGCCTGGGGCGCACGGTGGGCGCGGGCACCGCGGGCACCGCTGCGGGGAGATTCAGCTGGTGGCAGGCCCGGGAGGGGGCCCGAGCAAGAGCTGTCCGGGGTAGAGGGGTGGGAAGGACGGAAGCAGGCAAGGGGTCGGGACGGGCACGGGGCTGTCAGGACAGGGGGCACAGACCCAGGTGGCGGTGCCAGGCCCCCAGCGGCTGGGCAGCGGGGGCGGGAGGCCCGCGGCTTTTGTTCGGGTTTTTCAGGCGGGGCGCCTGCCGCCGTTTCCTCTGCCCGAGTTTTCGTTTTCCGTTGGCGAGGCCCCGGCACAGCTGGAGGGAGAGGGGGTGGGGGAGGGGGTTCCCGGAGCGGGACGTCCTCCACTAAGGCGTCCGGACACCCCCTCCCCGCGCCACACTCGCCCCCTGCCGGGTCGGACTGCGGGACGGGTTGCCAGGCGCGGTTCCGCCGCCCTCCTGGATCCTGGGGAAGTTCTAGACACAGGCCCAGGACCCCGGGCTCTGCCGGCGAGGCTGCCCTCCCCTCTGCCCTCTCCGACCGGCTGTGGGTGGGTCAGAGCGCGGGGTGCCAGGGGCATTACTCAGCGCTGGGCTGCTCTGCCTGGGTTCTTTCATCTGCCAGCTGCTGAGGCTGGGGAGGGGCCAGCAGGGGCCTCCCAGCCCCATCCCCCCATCAGGGCCATTCCCTTACCTCTGAGCCTGGCTGCCCGCCCTGCAGGAGCCCCCCAGCAGGCCTCCCTGCTCCTAAGTTGAAGGGTTGAACACTGTCAGGCCAACAGTTTCCCTGAGCTCGGAAAAGAAATTCCCCGGGGTCCAGGTTGAGGTCAAGGCCAGGGCTGAGGCCTGTTCCTCTTTAGACAGGGCTGAAAGACTTGGGGACCCTCCTCCCCAGCTTTCCCGGCAGTGTTGAAGGTGGGATCTGGTGCTTGCAACTCTTTTGGAGACTGGTGTGTTCCTTGGTTGCTGGATGTGTGTTCAGTTCTCCCTCAATCTGCATCTCTCCCCGACTCCCTTCAGCCAAAGTGTGTTTCCTAATTATGAACTTGAAATTCAGGATGGACGGGGGGTGGGGGTGGAGGTCATGAATCCAAGCATGAGTCCCTTGGATTCAATCCCCCACCAGCAACACATACTTCATCTCTATCCCCTGCACCCCTCTCTGTCTCCACCCCAACCCTGCGGCCTAGCTGGGGGTGAGTGGCTTTTGATCCCATGTGGTTCTCCCCTCTGCCAGGGCAACAGACCCCATTCCCCAAAGTGACAGCTCTCACTGCCATGTGCTCCTTGGCATGCGATTTGAATCTCGATTATATAACCAGTCATTTCGCCTCCAAAGGCAGCCCAAAGGCCCCCGGCCCCAGCGGCTTCTTCCACTTGCCCACAGTGTGGTTGGGTCCACCCCAAGGTGGCTGGGAATTCCAAGATCCTGCATCTGAGGACCTGACCTCTTCTTGGGAACCATGGGAGCAGTAAATCCTCTACATTCAGTGCTGGATTCAAAGGCCTCAATAATAATAAACAGGAAGAATGGGAGTGGGCAGGGTAGGTGTTGGTGTCCCATTTCACAGAGAGGGTCTGAGCCTATGTAGTGACAGTGCCCAGGCAAGAACCCAGGACACTTGAGGGTAGTCAGGGCACAAGATGAAGCTTGGGGAGGAAAGCTGTTAGGAAGGTGTCTGACTACGGGAATAGGTCAGGCTTGTGTGGATCCCAGCCCAAGCAGAGAAGGACTGGGTGGGGGGAAGAGGCCCTGTGCTTGTGCCCCTCTCCTCGGGCTGACCCTGGCTCACGGGGAAGAAGTGCAGCATTCTTGGCATGGATGGGAGTGGGGGTGAGGGAGGGTGCTGGTTCTGAGCAGAGCAGTGCAGGAGTGGGTAGTGGATTGCTTCATCCTACATTGCAGGGATACTCAGAAGGACTTCTTGATGTGTAAGGTTAAAAGAGAGACTACAAAGCAGCAGCATGGAAGAAGTTACAGTGTGAGGGACTGCAGTTAGATACTCAGGAGAACTTCTAGGGAGGGGCTTGTGACCCACAGCATCCCAGGCTAGCCATGCAGGGAAGTTTCCTCCAGTATAGTGGGTCAAGTGGATTCTTGTGAAGTTGGATTCCAATGTAGAAACCTGGAGATGGTCATTGGAGATATCAAATATTCCAGCAAATATATTCAAATGAGCACTGGTGCCTGGAAACAAAAAATGTGTTTTTAAGAAAGGGGAGTTGCTTTCACAGTATAGCTCATAGTTAATACACAGACAGCAAAAACTCCTGGCCAGTATTTATAAAAACTACCTCATTTGATCCTCACAATACCACTAAGAGGTAGATACCATTATTATCCCCATTTTACAGTTGAGGACACTGAGGCATAGCCAATATTGCAGCCCAAATCACACCCCCAGTGCACTGTGGAGCCAGGGTAGGAATGTGGCAGTCTGGCTCTAGAGTCTGGCTCTCACCCTCACTATCTGGCTTCTCAGGACCTGCTATGTCCCGCTGTCACTCCCACCCCAAATCCGTGTCCATTTTCTACACAGCCCAAGATCAAGGTCAGCTTCTGGCTGGATTGCAGCTTAGTTGCTTGTCTTTTGTTCTATTTCTTTACTCCTCCAATCTTTCCCACCCTGCCCCATGCTAGCCCATAGCACTGGGCCAGGGCTCGGTTCACTGGTGTTTTCCTTCCAAAGGGGCATGAAGCCCTGCTCTGTTGGCTGCAGGGGTTCAAAGGTAAGATATTGGCTTGGTCAGGGATTTGGACAAAGCCTGGTTTTAATGATCCTGCTCTCACCATCTCGGGAGAGAGACATGAATAGGGCCTGTGGGAGCTGGTGCTGCCTTTCCCCTAGCACCCTCCACCCGCTTCAAACAACCCGCCTTCAGATCCAGGCCCCCCTGTTTCTTGTGAAATTGTGCCAGTTTGTCAGCAGGGCAGTACCAATCTGTGCCAGGTGGGTGTCTCCTCCCCCATTGCCTCAGTGGGACATCAGGCTGAGATGGCCTTGGGGCTGGACTTTGGGGAGATTTTAAAGCCCTTTTGGGTTGGGGTGTATTTACCACCTGTCAGAGTGGGTGAGGACCAAAGGGGTGATCGTGTCCAACTCTGTTACGCTACAGTGGGGAAACAGACTGGGGAGTGCCCAAGGTCCCTCAGCCTCGGCAGACAAGGACCCATCTTCTGACTCCCAGCTCCCAGGCCATGCCTTTCCCTCTGTGGTTGGTTCTGTCCTTCGTGGCCCCCCTCAGTGCAGGGTTCATGGACTGGGCTCCAAGAGGGAGAGGGGAGGGCAGGGAGCTGCAGGGATGAGTGGACAATGTATCCTGTTCATCTCTGTGTCCCCAGTGGCCAGCACAGAGCCTGGCACAGAGCAGTTCTCCATAAATGTTTGTGAAGTACAAACCAGGGAACAGCCCCGCCTGTGGCCCCCCAGGGCGCCCCATGCCCAGCTCTACCCCTGACACTGTGATGTTCCATCTCATATCCGTCTACCCTACCAGGTAGGAGTTATTTGAGGCCGAGAAAAATGATAATAGCAACTTCTTCCATAGTGCTTACCACTATGTTGGTATATTACCATCACCCCACTTGACAGATTAAGAAACTGACACAGGCCGGGTACAGTGGCTCACACCTGTAATCCCAGCACTTTGGGAGGCCAAGGTAGGAGGATCACTTGGACTCAGGAGTTTGAGACCAGCCTGGGTGACACAAGGAGACCCAATACCTACAGAAAAATTTTAAAAATTAGCTGGGGCCAGGAGCAGTGGCTGACACCTGTAATCCCAGCACTTTGGGAGGCCAAGGCGGGTGGATCACCTGAGGTCAGGAGTTTGAGACCAGCCTGGCCAACATGGTGAAACACTGTCCCTACTAAAATTACAAAATTAGCTGGGTGAAGTGACACACACCTGTAGTCCCAGCTACTTGGGAGCCTGAGGCAGGAGAATCGCTTGAACCTGGGAGAGGGAGATTGCAATGAGCCAAGATCACGCCATTGCATTCTAGTCTGAGTGACAAGAGCAAAATGTAGTCTTAAAAAAAAAAAAAATTAGCTGGGCATGTAGTCCCAGCTACTCGGGTGGTGGAAGTGGGAAAATCACTTGAGCTGGGGGGTTCGAGTCTGCAGTGAGCTGTGATTGCACCACTGCACTCCAGCCTGGGCAACATAATGAGACCCTGTCTCAAAAAACCAAACCAAACGAAACAAAAAAGCTCTGCCTGCCTTCAGCCTGCTGAGGTCCAAATTTTAGATGTACTCCTTGTTCACTGTGTGCCCTTGGACAAGTTACTTCATTGTTTTAGCCTCGGCTTTCTTTTATTCTTTTGAGGCAGGGTCTTGTTCTGTTGCTCAGGCTGAAGTGCAGTGGTGTGAGCTTGGTACACTGCAGCCTTGAACTCCTGGGATCAAGTGAGCCTCCCTCCTCAGCCTCCTGAGTAGTTGAGACTACAGGTGCATGCCACCATGCCCAGCTAATTTTTCCATTTTGTATTTTTTATAGAGACAGGGTTTTGCCATGTTGCCCAGGCTGGTCTCAAAATTCCTGGACTCAAGTGATCCTCCCACTTTGGCCTCCCAAAGTGCGGGGATTACAGGTGTGAGCCACCACACCTGGCTGGTTTTCTTATCCCTGAAATAATCCCTCAAAATTACAGAGAGGGCTAAATGAGGTAGTATTGGTAAAGTGGCTGAGATTTAGTAATCTCAATTATTGGTAGCAACTATTATTAAAAAAAATCAATGGATAGAAATGAGAACAATGCACTTTTGCCTCAGTAAAAAGTACTGACCTTTATGGTCAGAGCAATCTAAAGAGAAAGTGACCTGCCTCTGGAGGTAATGAGGCCCCCATCACTGGAGGTGCAGTGAGGTCTGGGCAAGCACAGGCTGGAGAATGATGTGCACTAGAGAGAATTCAGCAAAGGCTTGGCACAGGAAACTTTAAGGGCCCTGCCTTGGGATCAGCACTATATGATAGGAAATTAGAGGAGCAGGTGAATCCTACTTCCTACTGTGGGGCATTGAGGAGAGCAGGCAGAGATGTCCCCAGCCTCTGGGAACATCAGGGGTTGGCTGCTATGGTTTGGACTGTGAGGCTCCCCAGAGGATAGGTAGTCCTGAGAGGCTGCCTGGAGGAGGCCTGCAAGGGTGGGTATGGTTCTGATAGGTGGGAAAATGTGGGATTGTATTCTAGGCCCAGGAAGGGCTTGGTGGCCGAGGGACAGAGAGGAGCCTGGGCCACTGGT
Source organism: Homo sapiens (assembly GCF_000001405.40). Taxonomy (NCBI): domain Eukaryota; kingdom Metazoa; phylum Chordata; class Mammalia; order Primates; family Hominidae; genus Homo; species Homo sapiens. Next base: position 38,433,890 of record NC_000017.11, read on the forward strand.
CCTGAGGTTGGCCCCGGGGTTGCGTCATCATCCTCGTGCCTCAGTCTCCTGGGCTGCTGGGATTACAGGTGTGCCACTACACCTGGCTAATTTTTTTTATTTTTTTAGAGACAAGGTTTCGGCATGTTGGCTGGCATGTTGGCCAGGCTGGTCTCGAACTCCTGACCTCAGGTGATCCACTTGCCTTGGCCTCCCGAAGTGCTGGGATTACAAGCGTGAGCCACCGCGCCTGGCTGGATTTTGTCATCATCCTGGGTGCCCAAGGGGTTTGGGTGTATGGTGGTGGCAGTGGGGAAACTAGTAATTCCCTGTCCCGCCAACCCCCCAGCTTCTCCTGGAGGAGGAGCCAGGGCTACTCCCGGTGGCAAGGAGCCCGGGCCCGTAAGGAGCGGAACTGGGGAAAGAAAGACTTCTTATGCCCAGTGCATTTGGGGGCGTCCGGGGGTCGGGGAACAGTGGGGCCTTTGTCCCCAACCGCTGGGAATCTGGCCGAGGAGCTGGCCCTGGGTCTGGCTAGGCCCTCGGAAGGCAGGTCCTCTTTGAAGTGACCCTTTCAAAGCTCGGCCTGAATCCCTGGGAGGAGAGACAGCATGGGGCGGGGCGTGGGGATGACTGAGACCCAAGGGCCGAGGCCTGAGGGATAGAAACAGACCCGGCCTTGGCCTCTTGGGGTGTGGAGGTTGGTCGGAGGTGTGTGGGCCGGAGGAATGTGGTGGGCTGGGAGACCGCGTGGGAGCCATGTGGGAGGACAACCACGCAAGGGGCCTTAGCCCCAAGTGGGGGTGCACCTAGGCAGGGGCCGAGTTCATTCTGGCCCGAGAGTGTTTCTGTCTCCTATCTGACTTCTGTCTGGCTCTGTGCTCCTGTATCAACAGCTGCTTCTTCCTTTTTAATTTCCCCAAAAGTGTGAGAGCTTGGAAAGAATCGGGTGTGGACGCCAGACTCAGAGCTCTTGGGAGGAGGGAGAGGTGGGGACCTGGGCAATCCAGAGCTTTTCCTGCTTCTGAGAGCCCCCGAAGGCTGGAAGGAGAGGCTGGAGGGGACACCCCCACCTCCCGCATAGAGTCTCCCTTATGCTCAAGGTGGAGGAACTCTGTATTGTTCCTGAAAAGGGACAGAAGGAGGAGGAAAGCTACCCAGAGAGGGGACATCTTCCTTTGCTTCAGCTGGAGGAATATCAGAGGCCACCCTCCTTCCCTGTCTCTCCATTTGCCTCATGGGGAAACTGAGGCCTAGAGAAGGGACAGGCCAAGGGGATAGAGCAGAGAGGAAGGGACCAGCAAGAGTGGAAGGAAGCCAGCCCTGTGTGGTTGGAACTGTAGGGACTATGGTGGCTCACACCTGTAGTCTCAGCTACTCGGGAGGCTGAGACAGGAGGATTGCTTGAGAGGATGGATGCCAAGTGGGAGGAGGAAGGGGCCTCAGGTTGTTGAGTTGTCATAAGAGGGTTGTAGAGAAGTGCCCAGAGTCCCTTCAGCTCTGACCTGCGGTGATTCCATGAAAAGAGGGAGAGGAAGGAGTGGTTCCTGCTGGTGAGTTCCCAAGGTCCAAGTAGAAAGGGGCACCCCAGGCTTTTGGACTGAGCAATGCACAGGGGAGCCTTTGGCAGCCCAAGGGAGAACCTTGCCCCCGAATCTGATGCTGTTTGTACTTCTTGCCCTGGAACCCGATCTCTCCTTGGCCTCACGGCAGTCTCTGTACTGGGGAAAATTTTTTGTTGTTGTTGTTTTCGAGACAGAGTCTCGCTTTGTCACCCAGGCTGGGGTGCAATGGCGCGATCTCGGCTCACTGCAACCTCTCCCGGGTTCAAGAGATTCTCCTGCCTCTGCCTCCCGAGTAGTTGGGATTACAGGCGCCCTCTACCATGCCCGGCTAATTTTTTTGTATTTTTAGTAGAGATGGGCGTTCACCATGTTGGTCAGGCTGGTCTCAAACTCCTGACCTCAGGTGATCCGCCCGCCTCAGCCTTCCAAAGTGTTGGGATTACAGGCGTGAGCCACCGTGCCTGGCCTGGGAAGATTCTTATAAATCTCCCTTTCCTCTTCTGGAGGTGTGGCCCTGGGCTCCTCCCCAAGAGAGGTGGAGGAGGGGGCGGAGGCCCCAGGCTGCAATGGAGGCTGTCTGCGCACTGTTATCTTGCACTGGCATCACAGAGCTGAGCTTCATTAGCTCTAATGAAGCCTTGGCACTGTGCCCCTCCCACACAGCACCTAGACGTTTCAAGGAAGGCGAGGGGGACAGCTGAGGTTGGGTCCAGAGCCCAGGAGATGGTCGGGGGGATGTTTGCAAGAGGAGAGGGTAGGAGGCAGAAAATGGGGACCACACAACCAGGCTGGGGTTGCCAACATGAGGGAGAAACAGCCCCTCTTCCTTCCCCACTGGGAGCTTTTTCTTCTCCAGTGGCCCAGAGGCCTAGGTACCCCCAGTGCTAGGGAAAGCCTTATCTGAGAGACGGGATGTGGTCTGGGGATGCTGAGGATATTCCCCTCAGCTACCCCTACCCCCCCAAAAAAAACGCTGAGGAGAGTGCCCCTCCTGCCCTCTCCGTAATTTCAGCCGGGGGCAGGAGAAGGCCCTGATCCCAGCATGGGAGGCCCAGGGCTTGGGAAAGTCCGCCAGTGGGCTGGAGCCGAATCGAACCCACTGTCAGTGGTGATCACTGGTTGCTCGTGCTCTGCGTTCCAGGCTCTCTCTTGGGACCTGGATGAATGAGAAACAACCCTGCTCTCAAGGGCCTCCTTGTCTGCTTTTCCTACCGCCCAAAAGCCAGACAAAAAGTCTCCACAAAGACTGTAGAACCATGAGTTCTAAGATTTGCATCCAGCCCATCGATCAGTCCAGAACACCCCTCAGGGGCCCCCTGCCAAAAATATTAATGTAAAAACGGCCCAGTCTGACTGGGGTGATGGACCTGCAGCCTACACAAGCCAATGTCTTCACCATGGTAATCGTTGGAAAGTGAGTGTGGTCACAAAGGCGATAACGGGAGTTTAAAACTGGAAGCCGGAAGCTGGGTAGAATTGCCACAGGGATTGGTTAAAAACCAGTTGGTGATATGATTAATCTCCTTTCTCTCATCTGTTTCCAAATCTATCATTAACCTGAGGATTCTATAGTGAAATCCTTTTTGATCGATTTTCAAGTGCCGTCATAAAGGGGGTGTATAATTACAGATGCAACGACTGAGACCTGGAGTGGGCAAATAACTTCACTCAAGGTCACCAAGCATCAAATTTCAAGCTGGGCCAGGCATGGTGGCTCACATCTGTAATCCCAGAGACTTGGGAAGCTTCGACAGGAGGATTGCTTGACGCCAGGATTTTTTTTTTTTTTTGAGAGAGGGTTTTGCTCTGTCACCCAGGCTGGAGTGCAGTGGCACAATCAGGCACACACCACCATGCTTGGCTAATTTTTTTGTAGCGATGGGGGTCTCCCTATATTGCCTAGGCTGGTCTTGAACTCCTGAGCTCAAGTGATCCTCCTGCCTTGGTCTCCCAAAGTATTGGGATTACAGGCATGAACCAAAGATCAATTTGAGACCAACATGGGCAACATAGCAAGACCCTGTCTCTAAAAAATTAGCCAGGTGTGGTGGTGCACACCTGTAGTCCCAGCTACTCGGGAGGCTGAGCTGGGAATATTGCTTGGACTCAGGAGTTTGAGGCTACAGTGAGCTATGATTGCACTGCTGCACTCCAGCCTGGACAACAGAGCAAGACCCTACCCACCCCTACCCCCCCCAAAAAATATTAAAGCTGGGTCTTTCAGAATCCTAGGTCTGTCATTGTGGTGACTGCTGTATTCTCTGACAACAAGGAGCCTGGGAGGACACCCCTCACCCAGGGAAGTTAGACCCTCTTTTCCACAGCTGAGCCCTGAAATCCAAGCAAAGGTTGGCATAACGAAGGGGGGGGAGGGCAGATGTAATGGGTGGTGGGTGCAGAGAGATGTAGATTAAGTTCTGCTTCTCTGTGTCTTCTGTGATTCAGTGTGGAGTCTGGATTTGCTCGTGAGTGGCGTGGGGGACCCCAGGGTTCTGTCAATAAACATGGCTGAGCCCCTGCCTCCTCCAAAGATGGTCCAGCTCTCAGGGGAAGAAGGCTTCACTGTGGGGAGATGAGGCTTGCCAAAGCTTGAAAGATGTTTGCTAGGGCCAGGCACGGTGGCTCACGCCTGTCATCCCAGCACTTTTGGGGGCCAAGGTGGGCAAATCACGAGGGCAAGAGATCGAGACCGTCCTGGCCAACATGGTGAAACCCCATCTCTACTAAAAATACAAAAATTAGCTGGGCGTGGTGGCATGCGCCTTTAGTCCCAGCTACTTGGGGGGCTGAGGCAGGAGAATCACTTGAACCTGGGAGGTGGAAGTTGCAGCGAGCCAAGATCATGCCACTGCACACTCCAGCCTGGTGACAGAGTGAGACTCCGTCTCAAAAAAAAAAAAAAAAAAAAGATGTTTGTTGGGGCAAGAAAGGGATGGAGGAGAAGGGAGAGAAGGGTGTGCCAGGCAGAGGGACCAAGCATTAGCACAGGCAAGGAGGCATGAACCAGCTTGGCCTCTTAAGGGATTGATGAATACAAGGCCCAGAATAGAGGGAGGAGGTCAGGTTGGCAAGGCCAATGAGACCAGATCCCGCCCCTTCCCTCCCCCATCAGGTCGTATCCCTCATGCCATACTGAGGAACTTGCTCCCATAGCTACTTTGGAGCCACACAAGGGTCTCGGGCAGTGGAGGCAGCAGACCAGGTGAAAGGAGATGGGAGCTGAAACTGGAGGTACAGTTGGAAGGGTAGGATAAGAGTGGAGTATGTTGGCTGGGCGTGGTGGCTCACACCTGTAATCCCAGCACTTTGGGAGGCTGAGGTGGGCGGATCATCTGAGGTCGGGAGTTTGAGACCAGCCTGACCAACATGGAGAAACCCCGTCTCTACTAAAAATACAAAATTAGCTGGGAGTGGTGGCACATACCTGTAATCCCAGCTACTCAGGAAGGCTGAGGCAGGAGAATCGCTTGAACCTGGGAGGCAGAGGTTGTGGTGAGCCTAGATTGCACCTTTGCACTCCAGCCTGGGCAAATAGAGCGAAACTCCATCTCAAAATAAATAAATAGATACATACATACATAAAAATACAAAAATTAGCTGGGTGTAGTGGCGGGCACCTGTAAATCCCAGCTACTTGGGAGGCTGAGGCAGGAGAATCACTTGAACCCGGGAGGTGGAGGTTGCAGTGAGCCGAGATCGCACCATAGCACTCCAGCCTGGGTGACAAGAGTGAGACTCTGTCTAAAAAAAAAAAAAAGAGTGGGAGTATGTCACCCTCTTCCCCTTTCCAGAAACTTGCTGTACCGTCTCTTTCCCTTGTCTAGAAGGGCCTTCTCTGCCTTTTCCATTTCTCCAACTCCTATTCCTCTTTCAATGCCCAGTTCAAATATCTTCCGTAAAGCCTCCCTCCACCACTCAAATATATGGCGACTTCCTCCTCTGTGCGCTAGACCTTGTGCCCCGTGAGGGTAGGGACTTTGTCTTGTTCACTGCTCTATATCCAGCTTCTAGGCCAGGCCCTGTTGAGTGAACGCTGCTGACTGATGAATTGAGTGTTCCCATAGCACTTGACACTGCATTGCCCACCAATAATAATAACAATGGGAGTATTGGTTATAGCAAACTTGTATTGCGGGCCTCAGGGCCAGACACTGCTGTGCTGAGCACTTTACACACACCGTCTCTTTAATCTGCACAACAATCCCATGGGCGATGGATTATCTCTATTTAATAACTGTGGAAACAGAAGCTTAGGGAGGTTAGTAATTTGTCCAGTGACATACAGCTAGGAAGTGGGCCTGAGTCAGGATTCAATCCAGCTTCCTCTGAATCCTGCTTAGGAACTTTTTTTTTTTTTTTGAGACCAAGTCTTGCTCTGTCACCCAGGCTGGAGTGCGGTGGCGCGATCTTGGCTCACTTCAACCTCCAACTCACAGGTTCAAGCGATTCTCCTGCCCGGCTAATTTTTGTATTTTTAGTAGAGATGGGGTCTCATCGTGTTGACCAGGCTGGTCTAACTCCTGACCTTAGGTGATCGGCCTGCCTCGGCCTCCTAGAGTGCTGGGATTACAGGCTTGAGCTACCGAGCCCAGTCGGAACTTTTTTTTTTAGACAGTCTTGCTCTGTCACCCAGGCTGGAGTGCAATGGCGTGATCTCTGCTCACTGCAACCTCCTCCTGGGTTCAAGCGATTCTCCTGCCTCAGCCTCCCGAGTAGCTGGAACTATAGGCACGCACCACTGCATCTGGCTAATTTTTGTATTTTTGGTAGAGACAAGGTTTCACCATGTTGGCCAAGCTGGTGTCTAACTCCTGGCTTCAAGTGATCCTCCGAACTCGGCCTCCCAAAGTGCTGGGATTACAGGCATGAGGCACTATGCCCAGGCTCTGCTTAGGAACTTTTAAACACTATGCCCTACAGCACCTTTATTTGTTGCATGTCTATGTCTTTGGTTTTATAAAACCAGGGACTGCTTTTGTTAGTTTTTGAAAATCCTCAGACTACGGGACTGATTTGTTGAGCAACTTCTACATGCCAGGCACTCAATGCTGAGTCCTCTCCAGGACCCAGTTTACAGCTGAGGAGACTGAGGCTTGGAGAGGGAAAGGACTTGACCAAGGTCATGCAGTTGGGACCTGAAACCTGGCCTCTGACTCGTCTTCCCTTGTGTCACTGGCCCCCCTAGCCCGGTGCCAGGCCCTTGGTGGCACCCAGTGAACAGTCCTAGAATGAAAGAAAGAGGAACCGGCTCTGAAGGTGACTGCTTTCTTTGGGGGCACACAAGTGGCCGGACAGGGGCCGTGGACTGGGCCTCCAGCCTCTAAGCCCAGTGTGTGTCCCACCGGGATCACTGATGAGGAGAGGGATCTAGAGGCCGGGACTGGGGATGTCGTAATTTCCAGGTGCCCAGCTGTCTGTCAGACCTGTGAGCTCCAAGGAGAGGCTGACCTGGTGCTGGGGTGGTCAGAGATGGTGTCCAGGGCAGGCAGAGCCTTACCACGACCTTTAGAGGCCTCCAGAGGCTGCACAGCGTCAGTGGGATTTTGGCCACGGGTGACCAGAAGGAACCTCCAAGCCTGGGAAATGCAGCTGCAGTGGCCACAGCGCAGGTGGGCAGAGGCCCTGGGTTGTGCTGCAGGTTGGGCACTGCCTTTTGCTGAGTGACCATTCGGCCTATGCTCCCAGCCCCACAGGGATCCACCAATCAGACCTGCCTGCTGCTGTGTATTTGCATCTCACTTGCATGACAACACCCCTTGCTCTGTCCCCAAGTGTGCTTCCCCAGCCCATGCCCCATTCCCCATTTCAGGCCCCCTGTGCAGAGCTCCCGTGGGAGGGGCAGAAAGGCCCACCTGGGCTGCCAGCCTGGCGCACTATTCATAGCTCAGGGCTGGCGTACTTCACATACTTGGCGTTTCTCATGTCTGGCTGGCCCAAGGCAGCCACCCCTCTGTTGTCCTCCCCTCCCTCCTCTCTTCTCTCTTTCCCCCTTCCCCTCCTCCCTTAACCTCTTCCCCCACCTTCTTCCTCTCAACCAATCTTCCTGAAATCTACAGATGTCCAAGTCCCTCATCATGGAAGAGCCCACATAAGGAAACTGAGGCCCCAGAGAGGGCGGGGACTGGAGGGAGAAACCAGTAGTGATGAGGCGTATAATGAGGTGGCCGAGAGTCTGGGCTCTGCCCACAGCTTCAATCCTGAGCTGACATTAGCTGTGGCACCATGGCAGATTCCTTAGCTTGCTAAGTTAAACAAGCGTTTCAGAAAGTCAAGCTGAGACCTGGAGGGTAAGGGTTGAGTCAAGGGAAGAAGGGGACGGGGAGGGGGCAGGCAGGCACTGTATTATAGTCCAGGGAGAGGGGAACTTGGATGTGGGGAGCAGGCTCTGAGTCTCAGGACAAGGGCTTGGCACGTTGCAGAACCCACGAGGAGGGCTCGTGGCTGGAGTGTGGCCAGCTGGGGTGAGGGCACAGAGATGCAAAGAGGATTGAAGCAGCTCCCCCCTTTTTCCCCACCCCTTTCTCCCCCACTCCTTTTTTTTGAGCCTGGATCTGGCTCTGTCGCCCAGGCTGGAGTACAGTGGCACAACCATGGCTCACTGCAGCCTTGAACTCTTGGCTCAAGCAATCCTCCCACCTCAGCCTCCCAAGTAGCTGGGACTACAGGCGTGCCCCACGGCACCTGGCTAATTTTTACTATTATTTTTGTGGAGATGGGGTCTTACTATGTTGACCAGGCTGGTCTCAAACTCCTGGGCTCAAGGGATCCTCCTGCCTCTGTCTCCCCAAGTTCTGTGATTACAGGCATGAGCCACCATGCCCGGCCCCCCTTTCTTCCTTATTCCAGCACCCCCGACTTCTGGATCTGGTTCCCTCTGAGGAAGGGGTGGGGATATAAAAAGCCCCTGCCTCTGCCAGACCCCTCCTGGGGACAGGGTTCTGGTTACCTCTAACTCTCTGAGGAAAGGCTCATTCATTCTCCAACATTTAGAAACAGTGTGCAGAGCACCCACCCTGGGCCAGGAACCAGGGATTTGACCACCAGCAAAGCAGACATGGTCCTTGCCTTCCAGGACCTACAGCCCTGTGGGGAGATGTTGGTCAAAATAAGCTCATAAATAAGTAGACACTGACAAGAGGGTGCACAGGTAACTGACCTGGTCTGGGGCCAGAGGAGGTGTGCCTGGGGAAGTGACATTTTTGTTAAGAGCAACAGGGTGGGTAGGAGTGAATCAGGGCATGGGTTGCATTCCAGAAACAGCATGTGCAAAGGACCCGAGGCTGGAAGGGTGCCTGGTCCTCACAGGAGGTGGAAGGAGGCCAGGGTGGCCAGAGCACAGAGGAAGAGGGTGTGGTGAGTGTGGGGGCCAAGGCGCGTCCCACAGGGCCTGGTGGTCATAATATTAAAATAATCAATCTGGACTGTCAGATGCCAGAGAGGTGACTGCCGCTTGGAGCAGGGCAATGGTGTAATGAAGTGAGCAGACTCCAGAGACATCTAGGAAGCAGAGTCTACTCCGATGGGGGGATGGAGCGCTGGGGCCATAATACCTGATTCTTGGTTCTCAGCAACTTTTTCAGGCTGCTATCTCTGTCTTTATTTTATAGCTGAAGAAATAAGGAAACTTGAGTGACCTTGAGTGATGATCTTGAGGTCACACAGCCAGAAAAGGGCCAGGGCCAGTACCAATGGCAAGTGTGGCCTTTTCTCTGTGTTAGCCTTCTTGATGCCAGGACAGTGGTCACTTTCTCACCATCCTCCCTGTCCCCAAGCCTCGGTGCCCCTGCAGGTCACCCAGCATTCCCTGCCTAGCACCCAACCCGGTGGAGAGCCAGGAGTTGCAGGTGGTGGGTGCTGGGTGCTACCTTCATTTCCAGAGGTTGGTTAAATGAGTTAGCGCATCTAACAGCAGCTGCCTGGGGCATAGTAAGCACTCAGCAAGTATTCTTGACTGTGTGGCTGTTATCCTGTCCCCAAATGTGGGGCCAGGCAAACTGGCAGGGGGAGGCGGGAGGAGGATCTGGAGTGAGGATGATGCCATCTGTCTTCTTCTGACCAGAGAGCCCAGCCCAGGGGGCTCCCTCATGGTAGTGACCCAGGGGAGGCTGTTTGTCCCTGCAGAGCCACTGTCCCTGCCACCTGTCCAGCTGCCTCTGGGCATCACAGACTGGATTAGGGAGTGGTTCAGTTCATAGGCAGGGCCACATGTGTGAAGGGGAAGGCAGGGGTAACCGGGAGGGATGGGCAGGGCTGGGGTGAGGGGGTGGGTGGTTTCAGGGGTGGGGCTGACAGCCTCTCCCTGAAGGGAGCCCCATGTGCCCCCGGGAGACTTTCGGAATCTGCTGAGACCTGCCCTGGGAGGGGACATGGTCTTAGCTTGACTGGGACCCAGCTCTTGCCTGAAGGAAACCAGTGTGTGCACCTGTTACCTCTGCCCAGGCTGTCAGACAACAGGAAGCACTCCTGGGGGGCGGGGGGCAGGCGGAGTCACACCTAGAGCTTTCCCCTAGTCTCCTCTGAAATGCACTGTCCAGCGTGAGACCAGGGGATGGATCTGCTGACCTTAGAGAAGAGTCATTGCAGGCATTCCCCTGCCTCTAGGAATGACTGCTCCAGTCTAGTCTGAAAAGGGGCTCTGGCCTCTCTCCTTGACCAAAGGGAGACCCCGAGATTCCACAGTTGCTCTGTCCTTCTGCAGGAGATTCTTCTCCTTTGTAGGAGATGGGGAGGGGAAGATCCCAGGGCAGGTTGGAGCTGAGGGGCCTGGGGAGCGAGGTTGAGGGAATGAGGACCCTTCTGCTCGCTCTGGGTTGTCAAGGAGACGAGGCATGCCAGCGCTGGGCCAGCAGGGGGCTCTGCTGGCCACGGGACCTGCCTGCCAGGCAGCCGAGATGTGCACCCTTCATTGTGCGGGCTCATTTCCAGGAGTGCCTGAGAGGACGCGGCGGTGTCTCTGTGGGCACACCCTTGTGTGTATGTTACAGGTGGGTGTGAGCGTGTGGCGCGTTGGAATGGGCATGTGTGTGCTTGGTGGGTTTGAGGGCCCCCACACTGAGCCAGGTTTCTGCCAAGAAAACTCTTCCAAGTTCCTGCCGGCAGCCTTGGAAGAGTTTGTGCATGACTGGGGATGGCAGCCTCTGTGGATGGCAGGCCCCCATCAACGCCAAGGACCTGATGCGTGCCAGGTTCAGGCTGGGCGATCCCCCTGTGCGGGGACCTCTAGGGCTCCAAAGATGACAGTAGAGACTCTGAGGAGGTGCAGTGGAGAAGGGACGGCAGGGAAAGGTCTTCCAGGCAGGAGGTGCCCAGCTCCTGGGCAACCTCTGTGGGCAGAGACTTCTCCTGGGCACCAAGGAGAGACCTGTTCATTTGTTTCATCTTTCAACATTTTTTTTTTTTTTGAGACAGAGTTTTGCTCTTGCCGTCCAGGCTGGAGTGCAATGGCGTGATCTCGGCTCACTGCAACCTCCACCTCCTGGGTTCAAGCAATTCTCCTACCTCAGCCTCCAGAGTAGCTGGGATTACAGGCACCTGACATCACGCCCAGCTAATTTTTGTATTTTTAGTAGAGATGGGGTTTCACCATGTTGGCAAGGCTGGTCTCAAACTCCTGACCTCAGGTGATCCAACTGCCTCGGCCTTCCAAAGTGCTGGGATTACAGGCCTGAGCCACCGTGCCTGGCCTTTTATTTTGTGTGTGTGTTTGATTTCTGACTTGGCCTTTTTAAAAAAATCACAAAATATATAATACGGCCGGGTGCTGTGGCTCACGCCTGTAATCCCAGCACTTTGGGAAGCCGAGGTGGGCAGATCACGAGATCAGGAGATCGAGACCATCCTGGCTAACACAGTGAAACCCTGTCTCTACTTAAAAAAAAAAAAAAAAAAAAAAAGATAGCTGGGCATGGTGGCTCGCATCTGTAGTCCCAGCTACTCAGGAGGCTGAGGCAGGAGAATCGCTTGAACCGGGGAGGCAGAGGTTGCAGTGAGCTGAGAGCACGCCATTGCACTCCACACTCCAGCCTGAGCAACAAGAGCGAAACTCCATCTGAAAAAATATATATATATAAAACAAAATTTATAATTTTAACCATTTTTAACTGTAAAGTGGCATTAAGTACATCCATATTATTGTGTTATCACCATAAGTGGTGATATTCCACTATCACCGTAAGTGGAATAATATAATATTTATTCATTCATTCCTTTTTTTTTTTTTGAGACAGGGTCTTGCTTTGTCACCCAGGCTGGAGTGCAGTGGTGTGATCACGGCTCACTGCAGCCTTGACGCCCTGGGCTCAAGGGATCCTCCCATCTCAGCTTCCTGAGGAGCTGGGATTATAGGTGCATGCTACCACGCTCTGCTATTTTTTTATTTTTTGTAGAGACAGGGTTTCACCGTGTCGTCCAGGCTGGCCCTGGACTCCTGACCTCAAGTGATTCTCCCACCTCAGCCTCCCAAAGTGCTGGGAATACAGGTGCTGGGATTACAGATGTGAGCCACCAAGCCCAGCCAATATTAATCCTTTCACTTAGCATAATGTCTTCAAGGTTCATCCACATTGTAGCATGTGTCAAATATCTTTCTTTTTTTTTTTTTTTTGAGACAAGGTCTGGCTCCCCTAGGCTGAGGTGTAGTGGCGCGATTTCAGCTCATTGTAACCTCCATCTCCTGTGCTCAAGCCATCCTCCCACCTTAGCCTCCCAAGCAGCTGGGACTACATGTATGTGCCACCACACCTGGCTAATTTTTTTTTTTTTTTTTTTTTTTGGTAGAGATGTTGTTTCACCATGTTGCCCGGGCTGGTCTAGAACTCCTGGGTTCAAGTAATCCTCCCACCTCAGCCTCCCAAAGTGCTGGGATTACAGGTGTAAGCCACCCCGCCTGGCCTTCACTTATTTTAAAAGGCTAAATAATACAATTATTATTATTCATATCATGTATGTATTATATGTAATACAATAATACAGACAATTTCATTGTATAGATATACCTCATTTTATTTGTCCATTCATCCGTAGATGGACACTTGGGTTGCTTCCATTTCTTGGCTGTTGTGAATAACACTGCTACAAACATGGGTGTACAAACATTTCTTCTAATCCCTGCTTTCAGTTGTTGTGGATATATACCCAGAAGTGGAATTACTGGATCATATGGTAATTCTGTGTTTAATTTTTTTTTTTTTTTTTTTGAGACGGAGTTTCACTTTTGTTGCCCAGGCTGGAGTGCAACGGCGCGCTCTTGGCTCACTGCAACCTCCGCCTCCCTGGTTCAAGCGATTCTCCTGCCTTAGCCTCCTGTCCATGTTTAATTTTTTGAGAAACTGCCATACTGATTTCCATAGCAACTCCACCATTTTATTTATTTATTTTTTATTGCTTTTTTAGAGAGGGAGTCTTCCTCTGTGGCCCAGGCTGAAGAGCAGTAGTGTGATCATAGCATCATAGCTCACTGCAGCCTCCAACTCCTGGGTTCAAGGGATCCTCCCACCTCAGCCTCCCAAGTAGCTGGGACTACAAGTGTGTGCCATCACGTTTGGCCAATTTTGCATTTTTTATAAAGATGGGGTCTCTATATGTTTCCCAGGCTGGTCTTGCACTCCTGGCCTCCCAAACACTGGGATTACAGGTATGAGCCACTGTGCCTGGCCACAGACACACCATTTTACATTCCCACAGCAATCCAATTTCTCCACATCCTCACCATTAAGAAATAATTTTTGAGCTGGGCATGGTGGCTCATGCCTGTAATCCCAGCACTTCGGGAGGCCGAGGCGGGTGGATCATTTGAGGTCAGGAGTTCGAGATTAGCCTGGCCAACATGGTGAAACCCCATCTCCACTGAAAATACAAAATTTAGCCGGGCGTGGTGGCACGTGCCTGTAATCCCAGCTACTCGGGAGGCTGAGGCAGGAGAATCACTTGAACACAGGAGGTGGAGGTTGCAGTGAGCCGAGATCTCGCCACTTCACTCCAGCCTGGGCAACAGAGACTCCGTCTGAAAAAAAAAAAAAAAAAAAAAAAAAAAAGAAATAATTTTTGAGAGCCCGCTATGCACAAAGCTCTCTAGGAGGGCAAATCCATTCTGAAAACCCAGCAGCCATTGTCCTTAGGGAGCTCTCAGTCTAAGGGGGAGACTCAGGCCAGGCCCTTGGGCATCCTCCAATCTGAGGGGAAAGACACAGGCCATGCCTTTTGGGAGACCCTAGACTGATGTGGGGCAAAAATCCCTTGTTTTCAAGGAGCACACAGTCTGATGGAGGAGGCATAGCTTCTTCCCTTTGAGGAGTCTGCAGACAGGCCTAGAGACCAGAATGGAGACCCCAGAGACAGCCAAGGGCTGCTGAGTGGGTAAATCAGGGGTACGGAGGGGTTGTGGTAAGCCCTGTCCCAATGCCAGCCTGCTGTTGCCTGGGCAATGGCCCTGGTGTTTACTTTGTGGCTGGCTAGACGCACCCTTTTCTGTAAGTGCTCATTTCCCACCAAGAGGAAAGAGGCTCCTCTTTAGTTTCCCCTTCCTCTGTTGTCCCTGAGGGAGGAACTGGCCCTCCTCTGGCACTGGAGACCCTGCCAGCCTGGCACCTTTGCCATGCTCCTTGCCTGCTGGGAGAGGCCCCATCCTGGGGTCTCATGTTGCCCACCCCTTCCCTACTCCCAGAGGGCCCATAAGGTAGTGCTCTGGGCTTGCCAAAGTTCAGCCAAGGAAGTGGGAGATCCTACTGAATCCTCCCTGCTTGGGAGGAACTGGGGCACGTCAAGAGCCTGTAGGAACCTGAGGCTGGCAGTGGGAGGTGGGGGTGATGCCGGGAAGGATGAGCTTGCCTGGGTCTATGAGCGTCCACATGTGTCACCGTGTCTTTGTGTATCCATGGCTGAGTGTCTGCATGTCTGAATGTCAGTGTGACTGTGATGACTATCCAAAAAGCCGTCGAAACAGCCTGCATTTATTAAATCCCTACTATGTGCTCTGAGCCTGTGCTAAGACTTTCTTTAATTTACTTAATCCTCCCAACAACCTTTGAGGTGGAAATACATGTCATTACCATTTTATTGATGAGGAACCAAGGCTTAAAGAGGTTAAGTAACTCACCCAAAGTCTCATATCTAGAAAGTGGTAGAGATAGGGCTCTGACTCAGCCTCCAGAGGACTCCAGATCCCGTGTGTCAGCCCCTGAGCTGTGCTGCCACTGAAAGAACTTGGGGAGTTTTTTTTTTTTTTTTTTTTTTGAGACAGGGTCTTGGTCCGTCACCCAGGCTGGAGTGCAGTGGCGCGAACACAGCTCACTGCACCCTTGACTTCCTGGGCTCAAGTGATCTTCCCACCTTAGCCTCCTGAATAGCTGGGACCAGAGGTGCACGCCACCATCCCCGATTAATTTTTAAATTTTTTGTAGAGATGGGGTCTTGCCAAGTTGCCCAGCCTTTTTTTTTTTTTTTTTGAGACCGGGTCTCACACTGCAGCCTTGACCTCCCTGGGTTCAGGTGATCCTCCCCACCTCAGCCTCCTGAGTAGTTGAGACCACAGGCATGCACTACCACACCTGGCTAATTTTTATATTTTTTGTAGAGACGGGGTTTCGCTGTGTTGCCCAGGCTGGTCTTGAACTTCTGGGCTCAAGCGATCCTCCTGCCTTGGCCTCCCAGAGTGCTGGGATTATAGGCATGAATCATCATGCCCAGACAGATTTTGAGGATTTTGTGCATTTGGCATTATCTCAGCCCACCTCCCTGATGGTGGTGGGATGTCTGGAGTGACAAGTGCTTCCTCATCTCCCTTCCCAGGCTTCCGTGGCTCTGGCCTAGTTTGAGGGAGAGGGAGCACAGTCCATCCTAACCCTGGGCAAGAGTGGCCCTACAGGGGAAGAGCACTGGGTCTGGGGAGACCCTGGGAACCATCCCCTACCCGTGGGCCAGACATAGTGCCAGTGCGGGGTGCCCAGGTTCCCGGTGATGGGGGTTATGTGTACATGGAGGGCGCTGCGGAGACACAGGCTTGCTTGGCCGGCTCATCAACTTGGCCTGCTGGGGCTTGTCAGGCGGGAGTCTCTACCCAAGCAATGCTGGGAACCAGGCATCTGAATGGGGCAAAAGGGTGGAAGAGGCCTGAGGGGGCCGCCGCCCTTGACTGAGGAGACTGGAGCAGGGTTCAGAGGCCCAGGCGTGGGCGGGGCGGGCATGTGTCAGTATCGCATTGCCTGCATGCCTGGGATGCACGGATCTGTGGTGGGATTTGCCCTGTCTGTGTGCGAGGTTGTGGAGTGGTCATGGGTCTGCGTTTGGTGGTGTGCAACTGGTGTACAGGACCAGATGGAGCTTCAAACATGCTGGATGACTCTCTTGGGGTGGGGGCATTGTTTGTCACCTGGCAGTTTGGGGCCCACATTCTGGGAAGAGTGCTGAGCAAGCTGGAGGAAGGAAAAGCAGGCAGAATCGACCCTGAGCCCCTCTCTCACTTCCTTAACCACACGCCCTGCAACACGTCAGTTTCCTTCTTGCTCCTATCTCTGACCCTTGGGACTCAGGACGCTCTCCTCCCCTTCCCCAGTGCCTACTTGCTTCTACTCCTCCAGTCCAGACCATCCTCTCCTGTGAGGGATAGCCTGGGAGGTGTCTGGCCCCACCCTCAAAAAACTGTCACCTCCCAGAGAGAAGAGGCCCTGTGCACCTGAGAGCAGGGCTCCCTTGGTTTGTGGGGGTCTCCCTTGGTGGGGGTGAAGGCAGCCGGCTTTGGCCAGAGTCTAGAACTTGGGGATCCCTAAAGGTTTCAGGAGCTGGGACAATATTCCTGAAAGACTCTCCAAAGTATCTCAGCTCCTGGCCCACAGCAGGTACTCAAGATGTGGTTAAACAAGAGGGTAATGGAAAAGGATCTGGTAAGCGGTTAGAACCCTGGGATCTGGTCCCAGCTTAGTGAAAATGAGTCCTTGAACTAGTCACTTGTTCTCTTTGAGCCTCAGTTTCTTTTTTAAATTTTATTCTTATTTATTTATTTATTTTGGGACAGGGTCTCACTCTGTCTCCCTGGCTGGA
Organism: Homo sapiens; assembly: GCF_000001405.40. Classification (NCBI taxonomy): domain Eukaryota; kingdom Metazoa; phylum Chordata; class Mammalia; order Primates; family Hominidae; genus Homo; species Homo sapiens. Next base: position 38,450,467 of record NC_000017.11, read on the forward strand.
GAGCAATCTCTGCTCATTGCAACCTCTACCTCCCAGGCTCAGGTGATCCTCCCACCTAAGCCTCCTGAGTAGCTGAAACTACAGACACGTGCCACCACACTTGGCTAATTTCTGTATTTTTTGTAGAGATGGGGTTTCGCCATGTTCCTCGGGCTGGTCTCAAACTCCTGGGCTCAAGCGATCTGCCCACCTTGGCCTCCCAGTGCTGAGATTGCAGGTGTGAGCCACCACGCCTGGCCAAGCCTCAGTTTCTGTAACTGAAAAACGGGTATCAAAAAAATCTCTGGTTATCTGATTCTTAGGGTGTCAAATGAGAACAAGTGAAAGTGCTTTCAAATGGTAAAAGACAATGATCTCTTGGAAGGAGGGAAGACTGGATGCCCTCCCTTTGGGGATGCAGCCTTCAAGCCCCTCCCCAGGGACCCTCAGGAAGATGAGGTTGAATGGATTTTGCAAGCTGGTCAAACTAGAGGGGGATGGAAGGGGCAGCTCAGCAGGGTAATTTCTGATGCAGGGGGAGGAAGCTGGGCAGGGCGTGGGGGGAGGACTCATGCTAGGCAGGAAGGCTTGGAATAGAATCTCAGCTACGCCTGGTATTTCCCAGCCCTGGGCCCCCTCCGCCACCACCCTCTGGGGCCCACCCCACATTCCTTTCCCAGAGGAAATGGGGGAGGGAGCGGAGAGGCTCCCCAGGCCTGGAGGATCATTTATTCAAGCTACATAACCTTTGAGGCCCCACTGTGTGCACTCTCCCCCTGAAGTCCCCACAGAGGCAGCTGGGTGTGGAGGTGGTGGGGGTGGGGAAGGAAGGTGTGGTTTGTGTTGGAGGAATCTGTTACCTCCTTGGCTGGGCCTTGCTCCCCTGCCAGGTTAGAGGGCAGGAAATGGACATTGTATATGGTTGATCCTTTCCAAGGTCTCTGCAGTCTGAACACAGAAAACCCATGTTGCGTCTCCACCTCTCTCCTCCCTGCTGTCCCAGAACCCTCAGCGGTTTTGAATTCCGCAGAGGTGGATTCTTGATCTGGGCACACAGCAGCACCTGTTGGCCATCAGAGGCTCCATGGGGGATGAGAGGGGAGAGTCATTCCATTTCCTTAGAACCAGGGACTGGACTAGCAGCAAGAGGAATGCAAGTTAGGCACCTGAAAGGACTTACTGGCTGCTTGCTGGGAGGAGAGGCCAGACTTGGAGCTGAAGACATCTGGTTGCCCTCCGCCTGGGGCCCCAGAGTCTGACATGGCTGGGGACATCTTGATGGTGGTTCCAGCTGGTCTAGGAGGGTCTGGCCTTTGGAGAGTATGACGGAGTCACAGGGCAGGTCAGGGCAGGAGTGGTCCCAACACCGAATCCTTAGTTTTCTAGCGATGGAAGTGGGGCGGGAGAGGGTGCCAATGGAGATGGCGCGTCCTGCTCTCCCCGGCTGCAGTCCTTTCCCGCTCTCCCCCTAAGCTCTCCTGACTCAGCTCGTGGCAGCCTCACTCTTCCCATCTGGCTTCCGCCAGGGTGGGGGTGGGGGGTCCAGCTCTTGCACGGAGGGGGAGCCCAGCAAACAGGAAACAGGAGAACAAAACCAGCTCCCTGGCTGACACAGGCAGCCGCCCCCACACGCCTCACCCTCACCCTTCCTCTCTCTTCCTCCTCCCTCCCTTGATCCCGACCTCCCTCGTGGTCCGCTCTGCTCCCTTCCCCCTCCCCTCCCACCTCCGTCCCCTAGGCTCCCTTCCCGTCCCTTTGCTTCTCCACCTTCTGACACTTTGTTGTCTGCTGCCTTCCCCTCCCTCTGCCCCCAGGCCCCTCCCCATCTCTGTCCCTCCATCTCCCCCCCAACCCCCTTGCTGGATTTCCTACCTCCCCATTGGGCCACCCTCCCGCAGGTTCTTGCTGGGGACAGTGGATGGTGGAATGGGAGGGAAGGGGAGCTGCATCTGCTTGGTGCTCCCTTCTGGTAGCTGCCTCAAAAAGGTCCAACCCTTATGACGCTTCCTCCTGGACTCCTCCTAGATTCAGGAGTGGGGTTGGGCTGGAGCTGCCCCGCTTTCCTGGCTGCTGGCTAGGATTTTGGTGTAGGATAGAAGTTGGGATGAGAGGCCCTGGGGTTGGAGTCCCGGTGCTGCCATAACAAGCTGGGTCCTCTTGGACCTCAGTTTCCTTCTCTACAAATGAGGCCATAGAAATGGCCCCGGGCCACAGTAAGTGGCTGTGGTGATATTGTTGGTGAACAGTCAAGTGGGCTAGAAATGGTGATGGTGATTACACATCCACTAGCCAAGGCCTCTGCTAGCCCCATCCGGATGGGGCCTGGGAAGAGCAAGAGCCAGGAAGGCGAGCAGGGCAGGGGCTAGCACAACATGGCGCTTCCCATCTGGCTCACATGCCAGGGGGTGGGAGAGGGGGCAGCTTTGAATGATTGTCAGCTTGTAGTGACCCTCTAGGTAGAGCTAATGGGTAGGGAGTCCTGGGAAGGAGGGTGGTTCCCACAGGGGTGTTGGGGACTCCATCTGCGCTTAAGAGTGTGTGGCTGTCACTCTGTGCAGGGCAGTGTGTGTAGCACTCGAGGGGCTGTGGCATCCATGCCTGGAGTGCCTGAGCTGTGCAGTGTGTGCGTGGCATCTGCCATGTTGTGGGGGTCCCTGTGGGGTATGTGTGGAGTGCGTGGGTGGGTAAATGTGGGTCTGGTGTGCTTGCACATGCATCTCTCTGAGTATGTGGACCGTATACACTTGGGCGGATGTCTGAGGTGTGTGTATACGATGTGGAAGAGTGTCCTGTGTGTGTGGGGGGGATAGTGTGTTTCTGGGGTATGTCCACATAGGGTGAGTGTGTGTGGGCAGGTGGATGTGTGTGGTGCGGGTCTGTACAGAGTGGGTAGGGTGTGCAGCAGAGTGAGGGACACCTGGAGCATGTGTGGCTGTTTCTCTGGGTGGATGGGGCTGATGCGCGCGCGTATGCGTGCGTGTGTGTGTGTGTGTGTGTGTGTGTGTGTGTGTGTGTGCGCGCGCGCGCTGGAAGGGTGCAAGGTGTGCGGGCCGGGGGAGAGTGCGTGTCTGGGTCCAGGGCTGCCGTCTGCGTGTGAGGGTGCGAGGGTGTGGTCGTGCGGGGGACTGTGTAGTGCCCTGGCGTGTGGGGTGTGAGTGTGAGATCTGGGCGGCCGCGGACAGGGGCCGCCCCGGAGGGGGAGGCGTCAGCCCTGCGAGACTCGCGGGCGTGTCGGGGCTCGGGCGCCTTCAGCCGGGAGGCGCAGGAGGCGCGGAGCCAATCCAGCCGTCCTGCCGCCGTCCGCGCGGGCCGTCCGTCCCTTCGGGGCCCCCGGGCCCCGGGCCCGCGGCTCCGGGGGGCGGGCGGGGACCCCCGGGGCCCGCCGGCCGCCCGGGGGGTCGAGGACGCCGTCTGCCGGGCGCCTAGCAGCGGCCCCGGGCCCCCGCGCGGCGCGCGCGTCTCCGGAAGCCCGGCCTGGGGCGTACTGGGGCCGGGGCAGTGGCCGGGCCCGGGAGCCCCCGCCGGCCGCGGAGCTGGTGGGCAGCGCCGTGTGGCGCGTGGAGCGCGCGGGGGCCGGGGGCTGGCGCTGGGAGCGCGCCGTCGGCGTGGACTGCAGCGCCCCGGAACCGCGCTGCCTCTGGCTGCCCTGCCTCAGCCACAGCGACCGCCGCGCGCCCGGGCCGCGCCGGGCCAGGGTGAGAGCCGCGGGGCCGGGGCCGGGGCCGGGGCAGGCCTTGTCGGGGTCTGAGTGGGACTGGGTCACCAACTCCCTGCGGCCTTTGAGCTGTGTGCGCCCTGCATTCCAGGACTGATGCCCCTGGAACGGGGAGTGAGTGAGGCACTTGAGAGATGGGGCTGAGGGTGGCAGGATTTGTGGCTTGGAGCTCTGCCAGGGCTTCTGGGATGACAACCCCCAGTCTGGGTCGAGGCCTCCACGGGGCTCAGCCCTCTCGGTTTCCAGGCAGTGGAAGGATGGAAGGGACCAGAGCGTTTGAAGAGACGCTGGGGCTTCTAGGAATCCCAGAGGGTATGGGTGGGCAGGGACCCCGAGTTCCGAGGCAGGCAGAGGCACCACTGAATGGAGCAGGGCCCACGACCCACCCCACCCCTGGTAGGGGACCTGGACACGGCACACGAGGGTTTCCTAGTGGGCAGAGGAGGCTGAGTGGCAGACGGGCCCCTGCAGGTAGTGAGTGCTCTCAGGGCTGACAGGGCTGGGCTGGGGGACTGCCGTGTTTCTGATGTCCGGGATGGACCAGGCTGGTAGGGTGTGAGTCACAGTGGGCGCCATGCCCGGCCTGAACACTGTGCTCCCTGCAATGACCTCTTTATGCTCCCGGGGGGAGGAGCAGGGCTCCTGGGTTCTAGTTTCTGGTGCTGCCAACCCACCACGTGTCCACCTCTGCCTAATTTGTGGCCTAAGGCCGTCTGCCCTGCTGTCACCATCAGCTGGTATTTTTGGACGTCTCTTTCTTTCCTGACATGAGGGTGGGAGTGTTTGGAAATAGATCCAGGCCAGGAGAATTTAATCAGCAATGTCCCTGTGTCCCCTGAGCAACTCCCTCTCAGTCCCCTTGTCTCTGTGCCTAAGTCAGAGAGGCAGAGCTGTGTGTGTGAGCTGTGCACCTTTCTAGTTGTTATCAATGGCTCCTTCTGTGGTTTTTGCACCTATCACTTCCCCCACCTCAAGATGAGAACAAGACTCAGTTCTGTCCCAGGTCACAGGGGAGGAGAGGAAACATGCATGTATTATAGCATGAAGGATTGAGGTTAAACAAGGAAGAACTTCCCACAGGGGAGATGCCAGCTCTGGCTTTTGATGGGTGTCCTGGTGTCTCCTCTTCAAGCAGGTGTGTGGTAGCTGTGGCTGTGTGGTAGCTGACATTCTCAAGAGCCTAGTTGGAAGAGGTGGGAGGAAGGGGACTGGAAGGAAGGAACAGAGGAAAGGGAGAGGTAGAGATAAGGGAGGGAATGCTGGTAGTGCTTGGTGAGGAGGGGACCCGGAGAGGAAGGCATGCCTCCTACCCTGGATTCCATGCAGGCCCTCCCAGGGAGCAGCCCCCCCAGGCAGCTGGCAGCTCCAGGCAGGATGTGTGCTGGGGGAGGGGCGGGGGGCGTGCGGGGACCTGTCCCAGCCACTTCTCGTCACTGGGGCAGCTGGTGGCTTGAACCTTAATCCAGGACAGCAGCAAAACAATGGGCCCTGCAAACAGCCTCAGCTCTGAGCCTGGGTGGGGGACAGGCAGGGGGCAGCCCACACTGGGGAGGAGCAGGGGCTTCTGGTAGGAGAGGGCAGTTGGTGAGGGGACCCCCAGACCCTTTTCGCTCCCTGATCAGTTCCTTGCCAGGTCAGCAGAGATGGGAAATCCGGGGGATTTCAGACCTCAGCAGAATTCCCAGAGAATTTTCTCCTCTGGGCTCCCCAGGCCCCCATGGGGGTGCAGGGCACCGTGGGAGAGACTGGGCTAAAGCTACAGGTGGAAGATGCTGGACTACCCCTGATGTCAAAACCCCTGCTGAGACCTCCTGGACTGGGGGTCTTCCAGCTTTTACGTGGCCCCTGTCTGGTAGGGGGCACTCATAGCCTCATCTGGGTAGTTTTCCAGACCGTATAGGAGTAGAACAGTCTAGAACGGTCTGTCTCCCTTGCCTGGAGCTCCACTCAGCCTCTTGTATATTCCACCTGGCTCTGTCCCCTGGGGCTGTATGAAGCAAGCCTATAGCCTATTGTCTCTGTCACATTTTTCTTTAATCTTCTGAGATGGGAGGATCTAGCCTCTTCCCCAGACCTGCTCGACAGCAGCCAGGCTCTCCCCCATGCGGAAATCCTTAGCAGAGGGCAGCTGTCTCCCTCCACTGGGTGTGTGGACAGGAGGGTGGATGGTCCATGAATGAACTTATTGGCATCAGGACATTTGAGCTTTCTCCAGCTACGAGAAGGGGACAAAAGGGGATGTTGCTAGTGAAGCGGGAGCTCCTCACTCCAGAACTGATGAGCTTCTTCCTCCACACCCAGCCCCTCAGCCTTTCTCCTGTCAGCTGATGCTTCCTGCCTGGTGCCGAGGAGGAGTTGAGGGGAGTAAGGAGTGTTGGTGGTGAGGGCTTTTTGCCCTCTGAGGGGCTTGGACTAGGGGCAACATAGAGGTTAGGCCACATGATGTTATGGATTTAAGAGTCCTCTAGGGGTCCTCTTGGCTTTTCAAAGCCAGGCAGCTTCTCCGTGGCTCCCATCTTCCCCAGTTGGGCTCCGTGAGCACCCTCTATCTGACACCCTCCTGTCACCCACCTTCCCTCTCTGTGTCCCAAAGGGAGCCCTGTCTCAGGCACTGTTTTTCTTCTTGCCCCAGAAACAGACCTGTGTGCCCCCTCCAAACTCTTGTCTTCAGATACCCTCTGCCACATCATCTTGGAGAATCCTGAGAATTTTGGGAGGTCTGACAGGAGGCTTTAGTGTCTCTGAAACCTCCAGCCTTTTTTTTTTTTGAGACGAAGTCTCGCTCTGTCACTAGGCTGGAGTGCAATGGTGCGCTCTCAGTTCACTGCAACTTCTCCCTCCTGGGTTCAAGCGATTCTCCTGCCTCAGCCTCTTGAGTAGCTGGGATTACAGGCGCCAGCCACCATGCCCGGCTAATTTTTGTATTTTTGGTAGAGACAGGGTTTCACCATGTTGGCCAGGCTGGTCTCGAACTCGCCTTGGTCTCCCAAAGTGCTGGGATTACAGGTAGAGACAGGATTTTACCATGTTGGCAAAGGCTGGTCTCCACCCGCCTTGGCCTCCCAAAGTGCTGGGATTACAGGTGTGAGCCACCGCGCCCAGCCACCCCAAGCCTTTCTGGTGAACCAGCCAGGCCTCTGGGCTGGGCTCTGGAGCCTCAGGAAGTCCCTTCAGGTGTCTGATGTCCAGTCCGCTCCCTCTTGTTTCTTGGTTCCCCCTGTGTTCCTGCTGCTGTTCTTGAAGGATGCGTGTGTGCCGGTCTGCTGTGCATGTGTGTATCTGCATGTCTGTGATGCATGCGCATGCGTCTGTATGTGCATTGTGTGTGCAGGACTTTGATTCTGTGCAACTCTGTGCATATCTATGTGTCTACAAAAGTGTGCACATGTGTACTCATTTGTGTGTGTGTATCTGTGTGTCTGCATATTTGCACATGCTTGTCTGTATGTTTGTGGTATGTTCCGTCTACATGAGTGTATGTGGCTGGGGCTGTGTCTGCATAAGTATGTGTCTATCTGGGAGTGCATATATGTGTGCATGTGTGTGTGTGAGATTGTGCATGAGCTAAGACAACGACAGGCACTTCCTGGGCAGGAAGGCTGTATCCAGGGTCCTGCACATAGTAGGTGCTCAGTGAACATTTGCTGAACTCAGCTGAACTGAACTGAATGAACTTGCTTCAGTGAGTTATTTTCCCAAGGGCAAAGACATTATGAGGGGACTGAGGGGAAAGGAAAGAAGGAAAAAGCTATTGGGCTGATGAAGGTGGGAGAGTAAGGAAGGGGTGAGGAGGAGGTCATGGGCAGGGAGGATGCCTGGCAACCCTAGGGCGAAAGACCCCTTCTGGTGCCCCTCCGGTCCTGTGGGCTGCAGGAGGTGGTGCAAACAGCCAGAAGTGTCAGCCACACGGGCGCTCAGCCTGGCCTCTCTGTCTCCCACAGCTGCCACTGGGCCCAAGAGATGGGTGCTCTCCTAGGCGCCCCTTCCCCTGGCAGGGGCCGAGGACGCTGCTGCTGTACAAAAGTCCCCAGGACGGCTTTGGCTTCACTCTGCGCCACTTCATCGTGTACCCACCCGAGTCGGCCGTGCACTGCAGCCTGAAGGTATGCCCGGCTCGCCGCTGCCCTGGTCTGGGGAAGCTTTCATGAGGGAGGGAGACTCTTTTGTGCCAGTCCCCTTCATGGTCCTTTCACCCTCTCAGAGAGGCAGTCCTTCCTGGGGTCCGGCCTGACTCCCTTCTGCTGTGGCCTGGGGAGGAGGACTGCAGGGAGGCAGTGCCAGCCTTGGCTGGGTTATTTGTACTGTGTGACCGTGGACAAACACTTGAATCACTGTGGCCTGGGGCTTCTCAGGAGACAGGGAGGGGTGGCTGGTGCAGGGCAAGGACCTTGCAGGTGGGCAGCCAGGATGCTCACCTCACACCCCCAGACGCTTGTCTCTGGCAGGTGAACAGTTGTCTGGGAGTTCCTGGGACCCCTGATCTACCGGCTGCTTCTGAGCTGGGGTTGCTCCTCCCCTCTCCAGCGTGAGCTCTCAGGGGCCTAGCCCACCTGTGGGAGCCCTCCCAGCACGCCCCTGGCCCCTGCTGGCCACAGCTCAGTGCGCTGGAAACAGACCCAGGCTGGGACACAGGAGCCCAGAGTTCCGGTCCTGGGACAACTCCTCACTCATTGTGAATTTGGGGCTGCCTCCCCATCTCTGGGCTCCATTTCTCCTGCTGGAACCTGAGGACATTTATCAACTTGACCCCTCAGAGTCCCTCCTGCCCTAATGTAAACGTTGTGTTCTCTGAGTCCAGGAACCAGGGGTCCTGACCCCAATCCAAGGCTGTGAGCTAGGGGGAGGGGTCCCTGACAGCGAAGCAGAAGTGTGGGAAGAAGACAGAAGGGGCCCCAGGGAGCAACCAAAGCCCCCGACTAGGGCTCTGCTCCCATCACCACTTCTTTTCCAGCAGGGAGGAGACACTGATTTTGCAGTGAATGAACCCCTCTATCCACTTTCCCTAGGACCGGGATCTGCCTGTACAGCTATTGGGGGACTCCCCCTTGGTCCCACCTATCAGAGAACCAAACAGGGGACTTCACTGTCTGTGTTCGTGTGCTCACATGTCTCTCTGTGTGCATCGCGTGCTGGCCATGGACATGCATGTGTGTATCTCTCTGTGTGCATATAGTGTCTGCAAATACATGTCATGTGTACATGTAACTGTGCAGCTCTCACATGCATGCCGGAAGCTCTGGGGCTCCTGCATAACTGTTCTCATTGGCTACAGCTGTGCTGAAGAACATAAGTGGGGGCTGATGGAGTGTGGAGGGGGCACAGACCCCTACTTCATGCCCAAGGACACCAGCCCCTTAGTTCTCCGGAACCCCCAGTACTTCCTTCACTCTTTCCCCAGAATGCCCCTCCTGCTGCCCCCAGCATCTTCTCTCAGGAGACCCTGCTGAAGCGTGACAGCATAGAGTCTAGGGCTGGAAGACCTAGGGCCAGGCAAGCCAGGGACAGGCTGCCTCTCCTTTCCAGAACCTGCCCAGGGCTGGGAGGGGCCTTTGGCCTGGAGGCAGGAGGAGGCTGTGTTCTCCCGTCCTTCATGCTGCCACCTGGCAGCCTGCAGGGAGCTCAGCCGTCCAAATGCATCTGTCTGCCTCTGCCACTCTCTCGCAGTGCTGTCAGCTTGCATCAGCCGGAGTGCACCCCACACAGGAGGACGGGGGCAGAGTGCTTGCTCCCCAGAAGGGCCCAGCAGCTTTCCTGTGACCCACCCTGTCCTCATTGGGGTGCCACAGAGGCCTGGGTTCCAGCCCTGGCTCTGCCACTGAGTCTCTGAGTGGCCTTGAACACACCATACCCTGCGAGCTATACAATGGGTACATGTGTGGAGAGGGTTAGAAGAGATGACGCTGAAGGTCTGATCCAGCTCTAAAATGCCACATCCAGCTGACTTAGCCTGTTCCTCTGACCTCCATGCCCTCCTTCCTCATTCCCCCACAAAGTCTAGTGCCATCACCTACCAGGTGATCCCAGAGGCCTCCCAGTGGGTCCCCTTGACACCCTGCACCCAGGTGCCAGAATCCTCTCCCCTAACTCTCATTTTCACCTCCACTCTCTCTCACAGAAGAACTTCCATTGGCTCCCTCTTTCTGTCCTGTAAGCCTGAGTGCTTTAGCCTGAGTATTGTCACTTGCTGTTGTTGACTTTCTCCTTTAACTCAGCGATTCAGCCCCTGGTGTGCTGTGAGCGCTTATCCCTGCCAGCCAGCGTCTGCACACCCCGCCTCCCTTGTCCACAGTGCCTTCTACCCGCCACCCTCAGATGTCTTTTGAGTCCCCTCCCCAGGAGGACTCTAATCAGTCCTCCCCTTGGTATTCCCTGGAGCTGATAGCTGTAGTTTGCGCTTGTCACGTGCCTATCTGTGACTGCCCGCGTCTTCTGTGTGTGTGAGCCTGTGTGATGCCTCCCTCGTTGGGCTGGGAGCTCCCCCAGGGAAGGGGTCTTGGGTCACTTGTTGGATTGCGGGTTCCCTGATGGTTAGGGTGTTGAGGCGATGGGAGCACATGTCACTGGGGAACTTGGCCTCGGACTTGGTGCCCCTCGGACACCCCTCCCGCACCCTCCCCTGCTGGGCTACTTGGGAGGAGATAAGGGGTGGCGGGAACCTGAAGGGGCCCTGCCCACTGGAGCTGGGCCACCCCTGGCTGCTGAGGGCTGGACTGACGCCCACACCCACTCCTCTGTTCCCTGCAGGAGGAAGAGAATGGAGGCCGTGGAGGAGGTAAGGGAGGACTGGCGGGCGCTGGACCTGCACGGGACTCCTCTTCCAGCTCCTGTCTCTCCCTGTCCTCCCCTAAGACTGCCTGTCCTTTTCTGTGCCCCCCTCCCTTGACTCCTGTTCCTGCCTTTGCTCCTGTCTGTGCCCCTGGTCTGGCCCCCTCTGGGCACCTCCTCCTCACTCTCTCTGTCCTCCCCCTTTCTTTTCGCACATTTGTCTCCCTTGGGCATTTCCTCCACAGAAGTTTGCTGAGCTCGGCACACTGTGGGCGGCACTCTGGGGCGCAGATGGGTGTCTGCCACCTGGCCCCTGCCCTCAAGCTGCTCCCAGCCTAGAACAAGGCAGGGCAGGGCTGCAGGGCCTGGGGGCTGGTGGTGGGAGCGCTGAGCAAAGGCTGTCCTTGGAGGCGGAGACAGTGGAGTCCTGGTGGAAGTCAGGGATCCCCCAAGGTCTTTCTCTCATATGATGTGAGCCTGACTCCCCTTGCTGTGGCTCTTGCTCCCCAGAGGCCCCTGGTGGACACCCAGGCCCCCAGGTTATTCAAGGCAGAGTGCCTTCTCTGGCAGCCTTCCTGCTCTGCCACTGGGGCTTTCGCTGGGCAGCCATAGGACACTCCTGCATCCCCATCCAGAGGCCGTGATGAGGGAGGAGCCCGCTGACCTAGAGCGGCCCATTTCTCTGTTAGCTTAGAGTTAGCAGCACTTAGGAGCAGAGAAACTTTGTTGGGGTGCAATGCGATTTGTGCCCACCCTAGGGGCCTCGGACCTCTGCTTGGAGTCCCTTGAGCCTGGGGAAGGGAGGAGGTGGGGGATGTGAGTATTAGGTGTCTTGCTGGGTCTGCGGGAGTGGGCATCCCTGTGAGGAGGGCGTCTGACTCTGCCACATGTCTTCAGAACTGTTATGGCCTCTTGTATGGCGCCCTTTCCTCTGTCTCGTGACTTGTGTGTGCTGCACATGTGTGTGTGAGAATCTGCCTCCCCCACTGGACAGGGAGCTCTGGAAGGACAAGGGCTGTGCTTGTTCATCCTTTTTTTTTCTTTTGAGATGGAGTCTTGCTCTGTCACCCAGGCTGGAGTGCAGTGGTGCTATCCGGGCTCACTGCAACCTCCACCTCCCGGGTTCAAGCAATTCTTCTGCCTCAGCCTCCTGAGTAGCTGGGATTACAGGTGCCCGCCACCGCGCCCGGCTAATTTTTTTATTTTTTAGTAGAGACAGGGTTTCACCATGTTGGCCAGGCTGGTCTTGAACTCCTGACCTCATGATCTGTCTCGGCCTCCCAAAGTGCTGGGATTACAGGCGTGAACCACCGCACCCGGCCTTTTTTTTTTTTTTTTTTTTTTTTGAGACAGTGTCTTACTTTGTCACCCAGGCTGGAGTGCAGTGGCACAATCCCGGCTTACCACAACCTCTGCCTCCCAGGTTCAAGTGTTTCTCCTGCCTCAGCCTCCTGAGTAGCTGGGATTACAGGCATGCGTGCCACCACACACAGCTAATTTTTGTATTTTTAGTAGAGACAGAGATTCACCATATTGGCCAGGCTGGTCTCGAACTCCTGACCTCAAGTGATCCACCCGCCTTGGCCTCCCAAAGTACTGGGATTACAGGCGTGAGCTACCATGCCTGGCCTGTTCATCCTTTTTAGTGTAGTTTTTAGCACATGAAGAGGACACAGGAGGTGTTTACGGAGTGACTCTTTGTATGTCCCCATAGGTTTTCTTTCTCCCAGGTCTGTGTCCTCCTGTTGGGTTCTGTGCCTCCATGGACCTGTCCAGTGTCCTCGTGGATGTTTGAGCCTGTGCATGTTTGTGACCGGACGAGTGCAATCATTCTCTGAGTGTGTGTCCCCTGTGTGTGTAGCTGTGCATGGGTGTGACCTTCCCCAGCCACCCCCAGCTAACCTGGCTGATGCCCACTAGGACCCTCCCCCCGGTACCGCCTGGAGCCCATGGACACCATCTTTGTCAAGAATGTGAAGGAAGACGGCCCTGCCCATAGGGCGGGGCTTCGCACAGGTGAGCTGGCCCAGTTACCTGGGCTCTACTTTCTACCTTCTGGCTAGGATTTTATTCTCAGATCCAGGTGTTGGGGAGGCTCCTGTCCCCACAGTGTTAGCCATGCCTGGTACAGGGGTTCTCAGATGGGGCCTTTGATGCCCTTTGGTCACCACTCATGCGCTCCTTGTCCCCAGGAGACCGGCTGGTAAAGGTGAATGGGGAAAGCGTCATTGGGAAGACCTACTCTCAGGTCATAGCTCTGATCCAGAATAGGTGAGTGTCCCTGACCCCTCGTCCCATATTATCTCCCCTCCCCTTTGCCCTGGGGATGCCCTGGAGACCAGGATCCCTTCCTCCTGGACCCTGTTCCTTGACCCAGCCTGACGTTCTGCCTGTCTCTGTAGTGATGACACTCTGGAGCTGTCTATCATGCCCAAGGACGAGGACATCCTCCAGCTGGTGAGTCCAGCCCCTGTGGCCTGAGAGGAGACCCCTGAGCCCTGGGGCAGCACCGGCTCCCCTGGGAGGCAGAGAAGGAAGTGTTTGGAGGGCACAGGCCGACATTGCCCAGTTGGGGATGCCAGGCCCCTCCCTGGGCTGGGGCTGGTTGTTGCTTCATTCGGAGCTGCTCTGTGCTGGGGGAGCGGGAGACCTGGCCTTGGCAGGCAGGATTCCTGCCAGGGTATCTGGAAGGAGGGTGGCCCAGCAGGCTCTGCCAGCCTGGCACGTTCTTGTCAGCTCCTAGGAGAGATGCCTCTTCCCTGCACCCCCTCCCTGTCTGGCCCTGAGTGAGGGTGTCTCTGGTGGGTGTGTCCACACAGGCACCGAGCACACATCGAACACTGCTCAGCACACTGCACCCCACCCACCGTCATGTGCACCACACAGTACCCGAGCAGTACACAGCCACACAGCACAGCCCCACAGTCCCACCCTCTGTATAGCACGAAGCACACCACAACACACATGCAGCACCAGGCACGTGCCGCAATACAGACAACCACACAAGCACCCACTGCCACAGTTCACCCTCATACAGCGAAGTGCACCACAACACACACCCACAAACATTAAAACACGACACACTCACCAGCCCCTTGGCTCCCTGCAGTACAAACAGCATAGTACCTTGCACACTCGGACCTCCACAACTACACACCCACGCCGCACTATCACAACATGTATGCTCGCAAACACCGCGGCATCCTCCTGCCCATCTCAGCACGTGCGCCCACCCGTGTCACAGGACTCCAAATTTATACATTCGACACCTCAGCATACCTAGAAGACAGCATCCAGCCTGCCACACAGAGAGCGTGGCCCAGACACTGCACGAAGCAGGCCCTGCACTCCCAAGCATACCCTTCCACACACACACACACACACTCACACTCACACACTGCCTCTTTGTGCCTGGAGCCCCGGCGGTCCGCTTTGCCCAGTGCCCACCTCCCTGGTCTCATGGGTCCCAGCCAGATGGCGGCTTACTTGCCCCTGAGGTCACTGTCCCTGGGGAGGCCCTGGGAGCCGCTGTGCTGGCTTCTGCCTTGGACGCACTCTCCTAATCACTGTAATCACAGTGCCATGCCTGGCATGATGCCCTTCTGGAAACCTCCACCCCTGACCTCGATTGTCCCCTTGCTCTTCCTGGGGAGAGGGAGGAAGGAGGGGGGGATCTGAGGTGGACTGCTTACCCCAAGTCTCAAGGCCCTGCCTGTACAGCTCCCCCAGGCTGAGGCGAGGCCAGCTATGGGGCAGTGACAGGGTGGGACCCTAGGGTGTCCCCCACTCTCTCCAGTTGGCAGGGGCAAGGAGTGGGAAGGGCAGTAGCCTCAAGTTCTGCTGCCCAGGCTGGGGTGGGCTGGCAGCGCCAGATGACAGCATCTGGGGGCCTCCACTGGCCCCCGCATCTCTGCCAGCCGGAGGGTGGGGCCCAGGCATTCCTGTGGTTGGAAGCCAAGGCTGGAGGCCAATCGGGCCTCGGCAGCTGCTGACGCCACCACCGACGCGGCGAGGCCCCTCCACACCCATCCTCTCCTCCCTCCTCCTCCCGCCAGCCAGCCGAGAGAGAGTCGGGTGGGGGTGAGGGGGAGCCGCAGGGAGGGCAGACGGAGGGGGACCGGAGGCCCTGGCCAGGGCAACACAGTGGTCAGTGGCGGGGTTAGCCGGAGCTGGGGGTGGGCGGAGGCGGGCTGGGATGCTGCCGCCGCCGTGATGATGCCGGGAGCCTGGGGAGACGGCGGGATGGCAGGAGGGAGAGGTATGTGTGTGCCGGCCCTGTGCCAGCTGGAGGGGGCTGAGTGTGCGGGGGTGTGGTTTAGCTTGTCCTCATCACATGATGTTTGTGCCTGGGACTGGAGGTGTAGTTATTTGTGTGTGTTTCATTGTGTTCTACTGTGTGTGTGTGTGTCTCTGGGTGTGTATCTTCCAGTGTCTCCTTGTAGTGTGGTGTGTGTGTGTGTTTGGTTTCACCCTCCCACCCTTTGGTTCTTTGCCTTGAGTTAGGCTCCTGGGCAGCTCAGCAGGGGCCAGGCTGGGCCCAGGCCACAAGGCCGCTGTCCCTGGGAGCTGACTCCTTTTTTGGCTGGGCCTGGGCGCTGGCCCTGTCACTCCTTAGCAATGCAGCGTCAGCCTCAGCTCCCAGTGCCAAATTCCAGGCCCAGGGGTGGCAGAAGGTGGCTCAAGTCCCCTCCTTCAAGCCTGGCAGGAGGTGGGCAAACTCCTTCTCACCCCTGTGGCTCAGGAGCCAGCTCCCCATTCCCGGGGATGGAGGGACAGCTGGGCTCTGCCAGCCTCTGCCCCACCCAGACACACCCCTAGCCGGCTTTCTTCTCTCATCTGCCACCTTGACTGGTCTCGGTGGGGTTTTCCGGCTCCACCCGAGGAGCTTTGGGCATTGGTGGACATAAGGGGGCAGGCAGGCGGTGGAGGCCAGGACTGGGGGAGGACCCCAGGAAACAGATGCTGGAATGTTTGTGGCTAGGGCAGTCCTTGTCACAGTCTTAGCGAAATCCCACTTTTGCTGGAGTTTGCCTGCGTCTCAAAGGCTTCTTGCTTCTTCTTTGTTCTCTCCCTGGACCTGCCCTTCCACCCCCACCCACTTATGCCTCTCCCTCGTTCCCCCCACCGCTTGGTCCTCTCCCTTCATTTCCCTCCTGGGCTCCTTGACCTCCTCGGGCTGCCGTTCCCCTACCCTGTGGGACTTGTCTGGCCCTGCTTACCTGTCTCTGTGTCTCTGGCCAGGCCTACTCCCAGGATGCCTACCTGAAAGGGAACGAGCCGTATTCTGGAGAGGCCCGCAGCATCCCAGAGCCACCCCCGATCTGCTACCCCCGCAAGACCTACGCCCCTCCTGCCCGGGCCTCCACCAGGGCCACTATGGTGCCTGAGCCCACCTCAGCACTGCCCAGTGACCCCCGGAGTCCTGCTGCCTGGAG
Source organism: Homo sapiens (assembly GCF_000001405.40). Lineage (NCBI taxonomy): Eukaryota > Metazoa > Chordata > Mammalia > Primates > Hominidae > Homo > Homo sapiens. The sequence goes on from NC_000017.11 coordinate 38,466,361, forward strand.
TGACCCGGGGCTCCGTGTGCCACCTGCTGCCCGTGCCCACCTGGACAACTCTTCCTTGGGGATGAGCCAGCCCCGCCCCAGCCCTGGTGCCTTCCCCCACCTCTCCTCGGAGCCCCGGACGCCCCGTGCCTTCCCAGAGCCTGGCAGCCGGGTGCCCCCCAGCAGACTGGAGTGCCAGCAGGCCTTGTCACACTGGCTGTCAAACCAGGTACCCCGCCGGGCGGGGGAGAGACGGTGCCCAGCCATGGCCCCCCGGGCCCGCAGCGCCTCCCAGGACCGGTTGGAGGAGGTGGCTGCCCCCCGCCCGTGGCCCTGCTCCACCTCCCAGGATGCTTTGAGCCAGCTGGGCCAGGAGGGCTGGCACCGAGCTCGCTCAGATGACTACTTGAGCCGGGCCACCCGTTCTGCCGAGGCACTGGGGCCAGGGGCACTGGTGTCACCCCGCTTTGAGCGGTGTGGCTGGGCTTCCCAGCGTTCGTCTGCCCGCACCCCCGCCTGCCCAACTCGGGACCTGCCAGGGCCCCAGGCCCCACCCCCGTCTGGCCTGCAGGGCCTGGATGACCTCGGGTACATCGGCTACCGGAGCTACAGCCCATCATTCCAGCGCCGGACCGGCCTCCTCCATGCGCTCTCCTTCCGGGACTCACCCTTTGGGGGGCTGCCTACCTTCAACCTGGCCCAGTCCCCTGCGTCATTCCCACCAGAGGCCTCCGAGCCACCCAGGGTTGTACGGCCGGAACCCAGCACCCGGGCCCTGGAGCCTCCTGCGGAGGATCGCGGCGATGAGGTGGTCCTGAGGCAGAAGCCCCCGACGGGCCGCAAGGTTCAGCTGACCCCCGCAAGACAGATGAACCTTGGATTTGGTGACGAGTCCCCAGAGCCAGAGGCCAGTGGGCGAGGGGAACGCCTGGGCAGGAAGGTGGCCCCTTTGGCCACCACCGAAGACTCTCTGGCTTCCATCCCCTTTATTGGTGAGTGATGGTACATGTGGCTGTCCTGGGGGACTTAGCTGTCGGCTGTCTGTGTCCTGCTGTACCCCATCTGCCTGTCTGCCATGGGCAGAATTCGGCTGGGTGCTGGTGGGATCATCTTGTTTCTCTGTCAATTCATTCATCTGTTCATCCATCCATCCATCTGTTCTTCCATCTTTCTTTCTGTTCTCTGTCATCCTTTCTTCCATCCTACCTCTCATTCATTTATCCTTTCAGCATCTTTCCACGCACTCTTTCTTTTTTCCCTCTCCCCATCCATCCATCCATCCATCATCTGTTCTTCCTTCCTTCTTTCCTTCCTCTCTCCCTCCTTTGTTCATTCATTTGTTCCATCCATTCATCCATCTATCCATCCATCTATTCTTCCTTCTTTCCTTCCTCTCTCCCTCCTTCTTTTGTTCATTCATTTGTTCCATCCTTTCTTCCACCCATTCATCCATCTTTCTTTCCTTTGACTCTTCCTTCCATTCTCCCATTCTTCCTTCCATCTTCCCTTTGTATCTTTCCCTCTTTGTCCTTTCCATCCACCCTCCATCCCTCCATCGACTCAACAGATATTTGTGTCAGGCCCTGTGCATGGCTCCATGCTCTCCTGGACTGGATGGCCCAGCAGAGGGTGTTGGACATGCAGGGACAATCCATTGGGATGGGCGTGTCGTGGGACAGGGAGCTTGAGGAGACGGGCTCAGAGAAGGGCTATGGTGAGAATCTTGGAGAAAGAACATTTGGGCTAAGACTTGAAGGATGAGAAGGAGTTTATCAGGGGAAGAATATTCAAGGAGAGGGAATAGAATATGCAAAGACCCTGAAGGGAGAGAGGCAGGACCCCCTTCCAGGTTGTGAGGACCCTTTCAGGCCCAAGGGTCTCATTAGTCACTGGGGTTGGCTTTTGAGAGCAGAGGGAACCCTCTAAGGCTTGCCTTGCCTTCGACTGGATGCAGGAGAGGGAGAGGCAAGAGAGTAGAGTGGCTGGGTGATGCCCAGGTTTCTGGCCGGGCTTGGGGGTGGTGCCTCACCCCCGTGTTGGGAGTGAGAGGGGGACAAAGTTCAGGACTGTTGAATATGAGGTGTCCAAGAGGGAGCAGGATAGACGGGGCTGGGGAGAAAGAGCAAGATGCAGGGTAATGGAGAGGGATGGTGGTAGATGGGAGATGAGCTCACCCTACCAGACAGTGAGAGGGAGGAGGCCTGGGGCAGGGGGAAGACACAGCCCTGGCTCCCCCAGCCAGCCTTCGGTGGAGCAGAGACACAGCCCCTTCTGCTAGTAAGGAAGGCTCTAGGCTGTGGCCGGGAGAGGCAGTCTCTTCTTCCACAGCACAGTCTGTTTGAGGGGGAGATGTCATCTCTGCCCTTGAGGAGCCCCAGCTGATGGGGGAGCTTTTGCCCTTAGGAAGCTCTCAGTCTGATGGGGAAGACACTGCCCCTGCCCTCAGGAGGCTCTTGGTCTGAGAGGGGAGACATAATTCATTCTCTCTGAGTGCCCTCAGTCTGATGAGGGAGACACCGTCCCTGCCCTCAGCAGGCTCCCAGTCTGATGGGGGAATATTGGCTCTGTCCTCTGGAGCCCGGTCTAAGGAGGGTGGCTCAGCCCCACTCCTGAGGGTAAGGATTCCATGGCCACAGTCTGGACAGTGGGCCAGTCATGCTTGACAGTGGGCATGTTGCCAGCAGGACCCTTTGGGATGTGTCTGAGCCTGGAGGCGAGTGGCACGGGGGCTGGCAAGGCTAGGGTGGAGGCAGGCAGGCTCCGCTGTCTGCTGCCTTCACACCTTTCTCCTTCCACATGCATAGATGAGCCCACCAGCCCCAGCATTGACCTCCAAGCCAAGCACGTCCCTGCCTCTGCTGTGGTCTCCAGTGCCATGAACTCAGCCCCTGTCCTGGGCACCAGCCCATCTTCCCCGACCTTCACTTTCACCCTCGGACGCCATTACTCGCAGGACTGCAGTGAGCACTCCCCACACCCCCAGCCCCACCCTCTCCCTCGCTGCCCAGTCCCAGGGGTCTCTGTTGGGCCTGCTGCTTGATGTCTGGCCTCTTCCTCTGGTTTCCGCTTCTCCTGCGGCCCCTTGGGAGAGTCACCTCCTGCCCCTGCCCAGAAGGGAGGGCTCTGGGAAGCCCCTGACCTGCTGCCCCGCTGACCCTGAGGCCCGATGTGGGCGGCTTTGCAGGCAGCATCAAGGCTGGCCGCCGCTCCTCCTACCTGCTGGCCATCACCACGGAGCGCTCCAAGTCCTGCGATGATGGACTCAACACCTTCCGCGACGAGGGCCGGGTTCTGCGGTGAGGCCCTGTCCGGACACGGGGTGGGGTGGCCACAGCCACCGTGGCCAGCTGCTCTGGGGCAGGGCTCTTGGCCCTGGGGGTCCTCTATGCATGGGACAGTGTGCCTCCCCCGCTGGAAGGCTTCTGGGCTTGGGGTTTGGTGGGTGACGAGATAGTGAGGTCCCAGCTTTGCTGCCCACATCCCTCACCCTCGACCCTCGCTTTCCAGGCGCCTGCCAAACCGCATACCCAGCCTGCGGATGCTCCGGAGCTTCTTCACCGACGGGGTGAGAGCTGCAAGTGTGTGTGCGTGCGCAGGAGCGAGGGTGTGGGGAGAGAGGGTGTCAGGGAGGTGGGGCCACAGCCTCGGCATGGGGGTTCCTGCTCCAGCTCCTGCCTTCCTCCTCCTCCCTGCACCCCTCACCCTCGTGTCCACCGCGGGACCCGCCCTCTGCTGTGGGCCCCGACATCCCTGAATGACACCATGCAGCCCCGCCCATGGGCCCTCGTCTGGACTGCCTCTTTCCAGACCCATCCCCCATAGCCACATGACTCACTTCTCCCCTGTCTTCGCGGCTTTTTAGGTCTTCCCTGAAATTCCAGCCTCCGCTCCTGACATTTCACGCCTCCCTTCGCTACTCTATGTTTTCCTCCTCAGCACGCCTCATGCACAATTGGTGTTTCCCTTCCTCCCTGCCTGGCTCCCCAGCTAGAATAGAAGCTCCCTGAACTTATATTTGGGGCTTCATTTGTTTCCTTCACTACCCTCAGTCAGTATTTGCATCGCGTCTTGTCTTCATGGGATGGGGTCGGGGTGGACACTGGAAAGGTGTGGCCGGGACACAGGGTTGAGACTGGTGGACAGGTAGAGTTCCCAGCCTCAGGACCTGGGGAGGCAGGATCAGGCCTGTGATAGCCCTGGCTGTTTGTTTGTTTTGAGACAGAGTCTCACTCCATTGCCCAGTCTGGAGTGCAGTGGCATGATCTTGGCTCACTGCAACCTCCACCTCCTGGGTTCAAGCTATTCTCCTGCCTCAGCCTCCCGAGCAGCTGGGATTACAGGCGTGTGCCACCACGCCTGGGTAATTTTTGTATTTTTAATAGAGACTGGGTTTCACCATGTTGGCCAGACTGGTCTCGAACTCCTGACGTCAGGTGATCCACCCACCTCGGCCTCCCAAAGTGTTGGGATTACAGGCGTGAGCCACCGCACCTGGCCTCAAATGATTTTCTTGCTTCGGTCTCCCAAAATGCTGGGATTACAGGCATAAGCCATCGCACCTGGACATATTTTTGTTTTTAAAATCATACATATATTTTTCATGCATGATTTTTCTTTCTTTTTTTTTTTTTGAGATGGAGTCTCACTCTATTGCCCAGGCTGGAGTGCAGTGGCACGATCTCAGCTCACTGCAACCTCCACCTCCTGGGTTCAACCGATTCTCGTGCCTCAGCCTCCTGAGTAGCTGGGATTACAGGCATGCGCCACCACACCTGGCTAATTTTTGTGTTTTTAGTAGAGATGGGGTTTCACCATGTTGGCCAGGCTGATCTTGAACTCCTGACCTCAAGTGATCCACCTGTCTCAGCTTCCCAAAGTGCTGGGATTACAGGCATGAGCCAGCGTGCCCGCCCCACCTTTCCCTGGCTGTTTTTGATTATAGATGGACTGGAAAAGCCATCTTGATGTCAAGCGCTCTGTCTCATTGGTTGGTTGAACACCCTGGTGATATTGGCACCTAGCTTATTTCTTATCACTTTTTCTGCTTACTTAACTCTCCCTTGACTTGCGCCCTCTGGCTGGAGTCCTGTTGAGACTGTCACTTCCTCTGTTTAACTCCTCGTGGACATGACTACCTGCTCCACTCACTCAGCCTTTGTTGATGTTCCCACTTCCCCTGTTTATTTAACTCCTCGTTGACACGATCACTTCCTCCATTTCCTTGATTCTTCTAAGTCTATAAAGTTATGGGAGGCTCCGAATTGGCTCCTGTAGTGTGGTGAGGCGTGTGGTCTGCTGACAGGTCGTAGCCTTTCCTCCTTTCTGGCTTCTCCTTTATGTACGTCTCATGACCTCAACACAAGTGGTCCAGAGAGGACAAGCAATGCCCATGAGGTCGCACAGCACATCGGGGTGTAGCACAGACATATATCAGGCCTGTGCGGCCACAAGTGGTCCATGGGGTTCCTGAGATGCTGGCATTGTGGGAGCCACCCTAAATTGTCCTCTGTTGTCTCCCTGCAGTCCTTGGATAGCTGGGGCACCTCTGAAGATGCTGACGCTCCTTCTAAGCGACACTCAACCTCTGACCTCTCAGATGCGACCTTCAGCGATATCAGGAGAGAAGGCTGGTTGTATTATAAGCAGATTCTCACCAAGAAGGGGAAGGTAAGATGGGTGGAGGAATGAGGTGGAAGCTGGCTCCAGCAGAACCCTCCAGCCTCTCCTAGGCCTACCCTGACAGCCTCTGGAGCCAGAGAGAACCAGTGTAGGTTGTTGCATGAAGGATGGAGGTTAGATGCTAGGAAGAACTTCCTGGCAGGGGGATTTAAAGAACTTATGTAAAAGAAGTTAACAAGAGAGGTGGATTTTGCTGTGGGATGGATCTGATCGAGTCGTGCTTGGAATATTCTGGCAAAACCATCCCACACGGGCCCTGGCTTGACAGGCCATCCTGAAGATGGCCGCTGGGGCTCATGGAAAACAAGGAGCAAGGCCGGGGTGATTTCCGTAGGAGAGCTAAGGCCCAAGAAGACGCAGGCAAGCCAGCAAAGGGCTTAGTGTTCATCCTAAGGGCAACCAAAAGCTCTCGGGGGCTCTTGCCAAGGGAGTTACAGCTTTAAAATATTCATTTGGCTCCCTGGGAGTGAGTTAGGGAGGGGCCATGCTGGAGGCAAGAAGACCAATTAGGAGCCACCGTGGAGATCCAGATGAGAGGCGAAGGGGGCTTCGGGGAGTAGTTGGGGAGGGCCTGGGAGGGAACCAGCAGGACTCTGAGAGGAGAAGGGCAGGGCCCCTGGATCCATGGGGTGCAAATCCTGGCCCCAGGCTGCGCTGTGGGCTGGAGAAGTGGGAGGAGAGACCACTGCCTTCCCTCCTGGCGATTAGGATGAACCCGGGTTTGACTCTTGACTGCATCACCCATTGCTCTGAGAGCCTGGGTGACTCACCTGGCCATGACTCAGTGTCCTCTCCTGTAAATGGAGCTAACAGTAATCCCTAGCTCATAAGCCTATTGCTAAGGATTAAATGAGATGATCTAAGTAAAGGGTTTACCCAGTGCCCGGCACTTGAAGCTGCTGTACTTCTGCTTACTGCTATTTGTTTTCTTTTTTTGAGACGGAGTCTCGCTCTGTTGCCCAGGCTGGAGTGCAGTGGCGCGATCTCGGCTCACTACAACCTCCACCTCCTGGGTTCAAGCAATTCTCCAGCCTCAGCCTCCTGGGTAGCTGGGACTACAGGCACTCACCACCAAACCCGGCTAATTTTTTTTTTTTTTTTTTTTGTATTTTTTTAGTAGAGACGGAGTTTCACCATGTTGGTCAGGCTGGTCTCGAACTCCTGACCTCAAATTATGTGTCTGCCTCGGCCTCCCAAAGTGCTGGGATTACAGGCGTGAGCCACCGTGCCCAGCCCGCTTACTGCTATTTGAATTTTCTACCCTGCCTTCTGGGGTCTTGGGGGTCCCTGGAAAGAACATAAGCTTTGAAGCAGACAGACTTTGAGTTCCTATCCGGCCACATATCAAGCACGTGGCTTTGGGCACCCCACTTACCTTCCCTGAGCCTCACTTTCTGATCTGTACGATGGGAACAATGTTATCCTACCCCAAGGGCTGCTGTGGATTAAGTGAGGGTGAAGTCGAGGCGGGACTGGCGCTCCTCTGTGGAGAATGACTAAGGCCGCCCTGCTCGGGAGCCTCCGTGGAGGTTCTGGGGAGTTAGTGGTAAGGGAGCCAGGGCAGCCCTGCCCTCCTGGGGCTCCTGTCGCTCCTGTTGAGCAGAGAGAACGCATGTGGCGTCATGGTTCCCAGTGCACAGACTGCCGTGATGCCGGGGTGCGGGGGCGGGTGGGCGTGGGTAGGGAGGTATCCAGAGGCTGAGACACGAAAGGGTGAGAAGCCACAAAACTGGGAGACAGTGGAGGGGCCTGACAGGGAAGATGTCTCCTTAGAGGGTCCTGGGGAGAGGGGTGCTGGGAGCCAGGGCGAGAGGTGGAAGATGAGCTGGGGAATTGGGTGCCTGCCCAGAGTGTGGGGCCTTGATACCCAGGAAGAGCCTGTCCAGGGTTTTATTATTTTATTTTATTTTATCTATTTTTGAGACGGAGTTTCACTCTGTTGCCCAGGCTGGAGTACAGTGGTACGATCTCAGCTCACTGCAACCTCCGCCCCCCAGGTTCAAGCAATTCTTGAGCCTCAGCCTCCTGAGTAGCTAGGACTACAGGCGCCTGCTACCACACCCAGCTAATTTTTGTAGTTTTAGTAGAGACTGGGTTTCACTATGTTGGCCAGGCTGGTCTTGAACTCCTGACCTCAAGTGAGCTGCCTGCCTTGGCCTCCCAAAGTGCTTGGATTACAGGCGTGAGCCACCGTGCCCAGCTCTGTCCAGGGTTTTAAATGTGGGCTGGGGATGGCAGGAGACTGGGGTTATGTCTGTGACAGGAGGAGCCAATCCCATTGCCCTTGTCCAGGTGAGTGAGGCTGGGGGCCCTGACCCAAGGCAGTGGTGTGAGGCCGGGTGGAGCAGACACTTTAGAGAGAGATTCCAGGGGAAGGAGGGCCAGGGCTTGCCGGCTGCTGGGAGGTATGGAAGGAGGAGGAGGCGATAAGGTTCCTGGATTCCTGGCTTGGGCTGAGGGAGGGTGGTGGGTGGTGGGACCCTCCCTGGGCCATGGCATACTGGAGGAACAGGTTTGGGGAGAGGAAGCCAAGTGGCTCCACTGGGGCTATGTGAGTCTGAGGGCCCTGGGACAGACCCCAGTGGAGGTGTCCTGGGGACAGAGGCTCTGAGGGCGTGGCACTAGAGGGAGGCCCACCTGGGGATGGCCTTTGTCTGTCAGCACCGACGAGTTACCTGTGCCTCTGTGCAGGGGCTTGAAGGAAGAAGGCAAGAGACCCGGCTGAGCCTTGAGAGAAGTGGGGGGGCCGGGGAGGCTGACAGAGACCAAAAAGAGCCAGCAAGTTGGCAGTGACCCATGGGGTGGGAGCCATGAGGCAAGGAGGGACCAGCCATGTGCACTGTGCGAGGAGAGCCACGTGTGGGCCAGCCCTTCCAGTCTAACGTGTGAGCCACATGAAGGGTCCTTGTGAGGGTGGCTGGCTCCCCCTGCCGGGGAGCCTGACCCTCAGCTCCTGGGGGCCCTGAGCCCAGTTCAGGGACAGGAGCTGTCCCCTTCCTGCTCACTGGCCAGTTCTGGAGGACCAGGCCTCCACTCCCTTGCTGGCCAAAACCCGATATCACTTGTTCTCTTGGTGCCGTGGCCTGGACGTTAGAGGAGAGTCTTCAAGTCAGCCTCAGGCCCTTGGTCCACCCAGGCCGTGGGCACCCTCTCTGTGCTCCCTCCCAGCCCCAGCCTCTTTCAGAGACACGGACTGTCAGGCAGAGGAGGGAAAGGGACAGTGACTTGTCCCCGCAGCCTCAGCCCCAGCATGGGAGCTGCATGCAGCCTTGGTGACCAACTCTCTCACTCATTTACCAGCCGGAGACACTGAGGCCTGGGAGTGCGGTTGACTTGTCCTAGGTTATGCCTCTGGTTTAGCCTCAGAGAGGTGCCCTTGTCACCACCTCACTGTCACATTAAAATTCTCCCTGGAGGGCTCTGCTGTCTCCTGCTCTGAATGTCCCTGTCCCCATCCAGCAGTTCTGTGATGAGCAGGGCTCACAGCTCAGGATCCACACGATGGGAGGCCAGATGTGGGCTGTGCCCATCTGCCAGCCACGGGGTCTCTTTGTCTGGTTTGTTCGGAGAGCTGAGGCCTGTGCTGGATGTGGAGCCACCAGCCAGCAGAGAGGAGCTCTTGGTCTGATGGGAGATGGAGCTCCTGCCCTCAGGGTGCTCCAAGGATCATTAATTCATTTATTCAACAAATATTGATGAGCCCTTGCATGCTGCTGCTGTAGGCCCTGGGATATGGAAATGAGAGGACGGACAAGCTCCCTGTCCCCAGGACAGCCTGAGGCTGCAGTAAGTTCTTGGAAAGGATCAAGCTGATCAGAAGCGGGAGCTGCATTGAGGGAAAAATATGGCCAGAGAAGGCCTCACTGAGGAGGTGACGTTGGTGATGCTGGAGCTCAGATCTGAAGGGGAAGAAGGAAGCAGCCACATATAGAAGTGAGGGAGGGGGCTTAGGCAAAAGGAACAGCAAGCGGAGAGGCCCTGAGAAAGGAAAGGCTTGGCTCGCTCACCTGCAAGGGCCCCCTGGCTTGACATAGTGAGAAAGGTGTGAAGATGAATTTGGAGAAAGGCAGGGACAGACCACAGGAGACCTTAGATTTGATTCTGAGGGCGATGGGATCCCTTGAGAGGATGCTGAGCAGGGGAGAGATGTGATCTCCTTTTCATTCTAACATGATCGCTGCAGCTGCTGCTGGAGAATGGTTGCAGGAGCGAGAGTAGAGACTGGGAAGGTCTGTGCATCCTCTAAGCAAGAGGCGTTGATGGCGTGGACCGGGTGGTGGCAGGAAAGACAGAGACGGGATGTTTTGGAGGCAGAATAGTTGTGACTTCCTGATGGATGGGATGTCAAGGGCGAGGAAAAGGGAGGAGTCAAGGGCAGCTCCCAGGTTTCTGGGCAACTGGATGGATTGACTGGGCTGGAAAAGATGGGGGTGGAGAGTGGAGAAGGGGTTTGATGGTAAGAAATCACATGGCCTGGCAAGTATTGTGCAAAGTGCCCATGGGACCTGCAAATGAAGCCACTGAGCAGGGTGGGGGTGCCGGGCTGTGGCTGGGAGAGACGCTGGGCTTGGGAATGGCCATCAGCAGATGGACCTAGTTTAAAGGCACGGCAGAGGTGACATCCTTGAGGGAGGTGTGCAGGGAGAGGAGAGGAGAGGAGAGTCAGGACAAAGTTCTGGAGCTCCGCCTCCTTTAGGGCGGGGTCTCTTACCCTCAGCTCTGCTGACATTTTGGGCCAGATAATTCCTTGTTGGGGGAGGCTGTCCTGTGCATTGTGCAATGTTTAGCCGCATCCCTCAGATGCCATAGCACACCCTCCAGCTCCCTCCACACAAATGTCCCGTGGGGACTAGTCTCCTGGCTGTTTAACTACAGGTGTAGAGGGTGGGGGAGGGCAAGTAGAGAAGACTAGGAAGGAGCCAGTGGCATTAGGAAGAAAGCTGGGAACGTGGGGTCTCAGGTGCCGAGATAGGGTCTGGAGAGGGAAGGAGGGGCTGGCTGTGTCAGATGCCGCTGAGGGGTTAAGGCAAGTTGGGGAGAAGCAGCCACTGGCTTTGGCCACATGGCGGTTCTGGGTGTCCCTGAGAAGGAGCTTCTGGGCAAGTGGAGTCTTGGGTGGGCGGCAGGAAAGTGGGGAGAACAACCCTCTAAGAGTGCGGACGGCTTCTGAGCAGGTTTGCTGGGATGAGGGGCAGCCTGGGGAGGGGCGTGGGCTGGGAATGGCATCCCCAGGATTTCATGTATGGAGGGCCATGCTGGGTGTCTGAGCATTGCCACCGCTCGGTGAGTGTTGATGCTGGTGTTTAGAGGGGGAGAGGGTTGGGGTCTGCTGGGGGGCTTTAGGATGATGGGTAGGGGTGTCTAGGCAGGCAAGGGGCTGAGAAGGCATTGGTGGGCTGTGGGCAGGAGGCTGCCCAGGTCTAGCCGGGTGGAGCAGGGGGCTCCTGGTAGGCAGCGTGGGGTCCATCCCCTGGCTGTCCTCTGTCTGCTACTCTGAGAGCAGTGGGCAAAACTGGCCTCTCACCATTCCTGTCTCCCCCAACCCCGTGTCTCCCTGCAGAAAGCGGGCAGCGGCCTGCGCCAGTGGAAGCGGGTGTACGCCGCGCTGCGGGCGCGCTCGCTCTCGCTGAGCAAGGAGCGGCGGGAGCCCGGGCCGGCGGCGGCGGGGGCTGCGGCGGCCGGCGCAGGTGAGGACGAGGCGGCGCCCGTCTGCATCGGCTCCTGCCTCGTGGACATCTCCTACAGCGAGACCAAGAGGAGGCACGTGTTCCGGCTGACCACCGCTGACTTCTGTGAATATCTCTTTCAGGCTGAGGACCGGGATGACATGCTGGGCTGGATCAGAGCGATCCGGGAGAACAGCAGGGCCGAGGGCGAGGTGAGGGCCCGGCCAGCCCGGCAGCCACAGAGGGCGGGCGGGGTGGCCTCTCACCGGCTGTGGACCTGGGATGCCCGCTCTGAGCCTCACTTCCCTCTGCTAGAAAGGGGGGCTGACAGGAGTGCACCTCGTGATTGTGTCCCCCAAGGTTTCGGGGTGAGGAGGGTGCACAGGCAGGGCTCACGGGGGACCTGGCGTCCTCAGGTGCGGGGACCGGCAGTCACCATCCTGACCCTAATGATGACAGGGATGATTGTGACTGTGTTAGGATCGCCTTGAGCAGGCTCCGGTGTGGAGTGGTCAGCTCCAGGCCAGTCTCAGCTTTTCTCAGCAGGCGAGGAAGGCAGGGGCCTCCTATGGAGTGTGTTAGGGCATGAGTGTCCCCGCACCAGAACTGCACTGGGCTGGCCTGTCTGCAGAAGGATGAGCACATTGACCTTGTGAGGAGGCCGAGAGGCTTGGCCTTTGGCCACAGGTGGGCAGGGGTGGAGCCAAGGGCCTCGGCAGGGATTTTGGGATAATTTTTTTTTTTTTTTGAGGCAGAGTCTCGCTCTGTTGCCCAGGCTGGAGTGCAGTGGCGCGATCTCAGCTCACTGCAACCTCCGCCTCCCAGGTTCAAGTGATTCTCCTGCCTTAGCCTCCCGAGTAGCTGGGACTATAGGCGCATGCCACCATGCCCGGCTAATTTTTTTTTAGTAGAGATGGGGTTTCACTGTGTTAGCCAGGATGGTCTTGATCTCCTGACCTCGTGATCCTCCCGCCTCAGCCTCCCAAAGTGCTGGGATTACAGGTGTGAGCTACTGTGCCCAGCCGAAGAATTTTTTTTAATGGTGCCCATTGTGGTCAGCCATAGCTACACTCCAGGGGCCTAGGTAGGGATTCCTCCCTGTTTACTTCTTTGGCCAGGAACCTACACAGAAGTGCCTTGAGACACCCACACAAAGTCATGTGGGCGTCCCAGGCCTGGGGTCTCTGCCAAGAGGGCAGTGGGCCTGGGCCTGCTGTGGCCGTGGGAGGGGGTGCTAGTGCATGGCCTCTTGCTGAGGTCACATCCTCTTACTGACCAGGCTCTGCTCTCCCGGGAACAGCTTTCCCCACTGCAGGGAGGAAGGCACCTGGAATTTGGGCCTCCTCCTCTGGGGGCCTCTCTTGGCTGTCCCCAACAAGGCTTAGTCAGGGGATCCCAAGTCACCATCACTATGGCAGTAGCAGTCCCTCCTGGGGCACCTCCTCCATGCCTGCTCAGTGTCTGCCAGGACGGTGGCGAGTGCTGCATGATTCTGCACCCGGCCCTGAGCCTTCCCTGTTAGCCCCCCATGTTTATTACCGAGGAGACTGAGGCTCAGAGAGGCTAAGAGGCTTCCCCAAGGCCTCAGCTGGTGAGAGGGTGCTGGGGAGTCCAGGCCTGGTCTTTCTCACTCCAGGGTCTGGGCTGTCCACCTGGCAGGTGGACAAGAGGGGAAGCAGGGCTAGGGATGAGCCCTGGGGTGGGCTGGCTGTGGGCACTGACATGATCCGCTCTCTCCTCTCCTGCTTCAGGACCCCGGCTGTGCCAACCAAGCTCTGATCAGCAAGAAGCTTAACGATTATCGCAAAGTGAGGTGAGGCCCAGCCCTCGTGGAGCAGTCTCCTCTGTGGGGGTGGTAGGGGGCTGAAGGCAAAGGATGTCTTCCTGGCCCACCTCCAGGGCTGCCCTCTGCTGGGGGAAGGGGTATCCAGGGTCTCCAGGCTGCAGTTAGGCATGGAGGCATTGCCTCAGGGTGGAGGGGAGGTCCCGAGGGGCGGGAGGCCAGGGTGGGTGGCCTGCTTGGCCACCCCAAATGAAGACCTCTCCTCTCCCCCTTTTTCCTACACAGCCATAGCTCTGGGCCCAAAGCTGATTCCTCCCCCAAAGGCTCTCGCGGCCTGGGGGGCCTCAAGTCTGAGTTCCTCAAGCAGAGTGCGGCACGTGGCCTCAGGACTCAGGACCTGCCCGCAGGGAGCAAGGGTAGGAAGGTGGCCACTGAGACAGGGTGGTGTGTGGGGGCAGGGGGCATGGGGAGGGGAGGGCACGCGTGTGTGTGTTGGGCTGTGTCTGCTCATGTGTGCCTGACTGTGTGCCAGGGCTACCGGTATGTCTGTCTGCGTGTGCATGCCTGTGAGGGTCTAGGGGCTCTCAGGGTCTCGGGGTGGAAGGGCCTGGAGCCTGATTCCCGTCCCTGACATCCCTGCTGGGTGGTCCTCTAATCTTTGCTGGTGTCTCTGCAGGGATGAGAGGCCCACCCTTTCCAAGAGCAACCTTTCCCATTTCACTCACCTTTGGCTGTTAGAAAGTTCTTACCTGGCTGGGCAAGGTGGCTCACACGTGTAATCCCAGCACTTTGGGAGGCCAAGGCAGGGCAGATCACCTGAGGTCAGGAGTTCAAGACCAGCCTGACCAACATGGTGAAACCCCAACTCTACTAAAAATACAAAAGGCCGGGCGCGATGGCTCACGCCTGTAATCCCAGCACTTTGGGAGGCCGAGGTGGGCGGATCACGAGGTCAGGAGATCGAGACCATCCTGGCTAACACGGTGAAACCCCGTCTCTACTAAAAAATACAAAAAATTAGCCGGGTGTGGTGGCAGGCACCTGTAGTCCCAGCTACTCAGGAGGCTGAGGCAGGAGAATGGCATGAACCTGGGAGGCGGAGCTTGCATTGAGCCAAGATCGCGCCACTGCACTCTAGCCTGGGTGACAGAGCGAGACTCCATCTCAAAAAAAAAAATACAATAAAAGTACCCGGGCGTGGTGGTGTGCGCCTGTAATCCCAACTACTTGGGAGGCTGAGACACGAGAATCACTTGAGCCTGGGAGGTGGAGGTTGCAGTGAGCCGAGATCACACCACTGCACTCCAGCCTGGGTGACAGAGTGAGACCCTGTCTCAAAAAAAAAAAAAAAAAAAAAGAAAGAAAGTTGTTCCCTTGGGCCAGCAGACATGGTGGCTGACACCTATAATCCCAGCATCATTTTGGGAGGCTGAGGCTGGAGGATTGCTTGAGGCCAGGAGTTTGAGACCAGCCTGGGTAACATAGAAAGGTCCTATCCCTACAAAATATTTTTTTTATATATTATTTATTTATTTAGAGACAGAGTCTCATTCTGTCACTCAGGCTGGAGTGATCTCAGCTCATTGCAACCTCCACCTCTTAGGTTCAAGCGATTCTTGTGCCTCAGCCCCGCTAGTAACTGGGATTACAGGCATGTGCCACCACGCCCGGCTAATTTTTTTTTTTTATTTTTTTTTGAGACGGAGTCTCGCTCTGTTGCCCAGGCTGGAGTGCAGTGGTGTGATGTCGGCTCACTGCAAGCTCCGCCTCCTGGGTTCACGCCATTCTCCTGCCTCAGCCTCCCGAGTAGCTGGGACTACAGGCGCCCACCACCACGCCTGGCTAATTTTTTTGTATTTTTAGCAGAGACAGGGTTTCACCGTGTTAGCCAGGATGGTCTCGATCTCCTGACCTCGTGATCCGCCCGCCTCGGCCTCCCATAGTGCTGGGATTACAGGCGTAAGCCACCGCGCCCGGCCCACGCCCGGCTAATTTTTGTATGTTTAGTAGAGACAGGGTTTTGCCATGTTGGCCAGCTGGTCTCGAACTCCTGGCCTCATGTGGTCCTGCCGGCCTCAGCTTCCCAAAGTGCTGGGATTACAAGCATAAGCCACTGTGCTTGGCAAAAAAAATTTTTTTTAATTAGCCAGGTGTGGTGGTATGAGCTTATAGTCCCAGCCACTCGGGAGGCTGGGGAGGGAAGATTGCTTGAGCCCAGGAATTTGAGGCTGCATTGAGCTATGATCATACCACTGCACTACAGCCTGAGCGACAGAGACTCTATCTCTAAAGAAACAAAGTTCTATGGCTTCCGCCTTGTAGTTTTGGCCCACGAGCCACACGGAAGTCCTTGCATTGCTCTGGGCCTCTCCTTTGGGGTAAGCATCCTCCCCTTCAGGCCTTCTCTCTTGCCATACAATGTCCCATCAGCCCTGGGCATCTGGTTTCTTCTCTGATGGAATCCCCATACGTCCAAATGTGTGAATGTGGCAGTGAATGTGTGTGACCCTCCTGGATACCCCAGCTCACTCTGGCTCTGTCTCCCCCACTTCAGATGACAGTGCTGCAGCCCCCAAAACCCCCTGGGGCATCAACATCATCAAGAAAAATAAGAAGGCCGCTCCGAGGGCGTTTGGGGTCAGGCTGGAGGAGTGCCAGCCAGCCACGGAGAACCAGGTGAGTCTCTGCCACACGCCAGAGCAGGCCCAGCAGGGGGAGACCGAGGCACAGAGGGTCAGAGCAGCAAGGGACATGGAACCAGCTCTCCACCTCATTGTACAAACACAGCTGGGAAAACAGCCCAGAGAGGGGAAGGCCCCCGCCTGCCCCGGGCCTCCCAGGGAGGGAGCAGCAGGGCTGAGGCTGAGCCCGGCTCCTTCTCAGACCATGGCGAGGCTTTGGTGTCATTTTTAGCTCCCAGACTGGAGGCAGCAAGGGCCTTTTGTTCCCCCCAAGGGTTCCTGGCAGCAGCTCTGGGCCTTGCATTGTCCCCTTCTTGGCCTCCCCAGCTCCTCTGGCCCCTGTCCCCCCTAACACCCCTCCCATGTGTCCCCAGCGCGTCCCCTTAATCGTGGCTGCATGCTGTCGCATTGTGGAGGCACGAGGGCTGGAGTCCACAGGCATTTACCGAGTGCCCGGCAACAATGCAGTGGTGTCCAGCCTACAGGAGCAGCTCAACCGCGGGCCTGGTGACATCAACCTGCAGGATGAGGTGGGTGAAGCTGGGGGGTCTGTGGAAGAGGGGCTGAGATGGTGTGTGGGTGGTGCTCCGCTTGGAGAGTTCTGTGGTCTATTGTGTTGCATGCATTGTGCCCTATGACATGCCCGGCATTGGTCCAGAACACCAAGATGGGCAAGATGGGACCTGCCCCCGCTGGCCAGCCCGGGGATGGGCATCACCCCAGGCTGAAGCTGACCAAGTAAATGCAGTCATGGCCTGGGGAGCTCTGAGGCAGAGGCTCACAGATGGCAGTTTTGTCCGAGTGTTTAGGATGAGTAGAGTTCACCAAAGGCCGGTGAAAGCCAGGTGAGGGCATTCCAGGCAGCAGAATGGCCTGCTCAATGGTGTAGACGCGGAAAGTGTGCCAGGAGTCAACCAGCTTTCTCTGTAGAAGGCAGAGGGTAAATATTTTCTGCTGTAGTTTGCTCTGTTGCGTTCCCCCCTTCTCTTCCTCCTCCTTCTCTTCCTAATCCTTTAACAACGTAAAAACCATACTTAGCTCAAGGGCCATCCAAAAGCAGGCTGTGGCTAGATATTGCCTACAGACCATGGTTTACAAACCGCCGGCTTAGAAAAAGGGGAATATATGATGTTTTCTAGAATGGCCAGCAATTTGGGTGGCTGCAACATGGAAAGAGAAGTGGCTGATCAGGCGAGATGAGACCAGCCTGTGAAGGGATCTGCAATCACACTTAAGTGTTTCCAGCAAGGCCGGCGATTCTCAAAGGGTGTTCCCCAGAGTCCTAGGGTTCCCCAGAGGGGCCTTGGGAGGCCAGGGGCAGGTCAGGACCCCCTGTCCTTGCTAGAGCAACCCTGCTTTGCCCTGTCTGTTGTACTGGGTTTTCATGTACAATTTTATTTGCCCAAAGGGGCTCTGATAAAAAAGATATTTTGGAAAACCGTGAACGTGGGCAGTGATGTCCCACGAATCACACACGTGAAGGCTCATGGAATACACAAGTCTTCCTGTCCTTGGAGAATGAGGAGCTGAGACAAGTGTGTGTGAAATTGTGGACAAGAGAAAAAGATGATCTCTCATCAGGGACCACACTGTGATGAGGAAGGAGAGGGTGCTCAGGCTGGAGCAGGTGGTGGCTGGAGGGTTTGAGTATTGGAGGAATGAATAGGAGGGGGCAGGTGGACGGGAAGCCTTTCGGGGTGTGAGACGATGGCATTTTCCAAAACCCCAGCAAGGGCCGGGGAGGGCTTGAGGGTTAGGACAGAGAGTGGATCTACCTCCTGGGCTTGGAGGTGGGGAGGGTGAGGCCCCAGGGGGACAGAGAAGGCATTTGATGGCTTCACTGAAGACTTCGACCTTGATCTGATGGACAGTAGGGAGCTTCTGATGGTTCTTAAGCTGGGGAGGCATCGTGAGAACAAAGTTCAAGAAACAGTAATGCTCCTGCTCATGTCCATTGGATACGAATGCGGAGGGCAGGGGTCTGGGGAGAAGTCACTGATCTATGGAAGCGCTAAGTGTCGGGAGGACTTGGTGGTCTCAGGGGAAGGGGGAGGATGGGAGCAACCCTAAGAGTTGTCTGCATGAGAGGGAGGAAGGAGGGGCGAGGAAGAGCCGCATGTTTGAGCTGGGGCTGGTGGTATCTTCCCTTGGCAGAAACCAGGGAGTGGGGCAGCGTGAGGAGAGGCGGAAGGGAGGGGCCGTCTCAGGGAGTGGCTCCATTGGATTTGGGGTGTGGAAAGTCCCTTGCATGGGGTGAGGGCATAAACAGGCGCTATATTGAGCCTGGACTAGAGAGTGGCATGGGTCCTGCTGCAGCTGAGGCATGGGATGACCAAGGGTGGGCCGCAGAACAGCAGGGGCCACGCTCTGAGTGGGACAGAAGGAGAGGGCCGCCAGTGAGGCTGGGGTGAGGGCAGACACTTCACTCTGGAGGAACCAGGAAGCACTGGCCAGGGCATTGGGTTTGGCAGCTGGGAGATGAGAGGAGCTCACACCTGAGGGCCAGGAGGTAACGGAGTCGGGTGGGCAGGAGCCGCACTGGGTGTGTGTGAGATGAGGGGGCCATGCTGGCAGGCAGCTGGTCCAAGCCAGGGCCAGCTGGGGGCATACGAGGTATATTGGGTGTGTTGTTTTGTCTTGGATATCATTGTGTCATTTGTTGTGGGTCGTGCTGGGAGTAAGTGTAGTGGGGGATGAATCTAACCCCTGGTGAGCCTGTGGGGAGTGTATTGTTTATGGGATTGTCTGGCATTAAGCTGTGGATCCATTGTAATGAGTGTGTGTACTGCTGTACTGTGTCTCTTTGTTGGGGGTATTAGGTCGCTTTCTGGGCCTGAGTTATTCTGAGCCATTCCCAGCGAGGCGGCTGTGCCCAACTTGGTTGCAATGTGGGGTGATGGTGCCCCCTGGAGGACAGAAGGGACAACGACCCGGCCGTTAGTTCTTGTACTCGACAACCATTTATTTTAGAGTAGGGTTTCTCAATCTCAGTGGACATTTTGGGAAGAACAATTATTTGTTGTGTGGGGTTGTCCTGTGCACTGGAGGGAATTTGACATCATCCCTGGCCTCGATCCACTAGATGCAAGTGGCACCTCCCAGTTGGGAAAATCAAAATGGCTCCAGACATTGTCAAATGTCCTCTGTGGGTGGAGTGGGAGTTTGGGGGACAAAATTGCCTCCTTCTGTTAGAACTACTGATTTAGGGCCATGTAAGTACCAGGTTAACTGTCCTTGCTAGGTGATAGGAGCACAGTGGGAAATGAGACAGACGGGATCCTGTCTCCTCCTGGAGCTTACAGTCCTGCAGGGAGACAGGCATGAACACGGAAACAAAAGCAGAAAATAATGACAAATTGGGTTAAGCGCCAGGAAGGAAACAAAGTCAGGGCTGGGGTGCAGGTGACAGGGCAGTGGTGAAGGTGGCTGCTTTAGCTATGAGGGTCAGAGAAGGCCTCTTTGAAGAGCGACTTTTAGGCGGGGATGAGGAGCCAGTTGTGTGGAGGCGGGGAGGAAAGTTCTGGTTGAGGAAACCAGCACATGCAGAGGACCTGAGACAGGAAGGAGCCGGCACGAATGACTGCTGTGTCACGGATGCTTAAACTGTGCCCAGTGGAGGCAGCAGCTGCCACTCACTGTCTCCCCACAGTGCCTGGGACTTTCTGTGCATGGGGAGGTGTTGGAGCCCACGCACTGGCAGGAGCAGGGAGGGGCTGGGGCCAAGTGTGAGTGTGGGCACAGGACCTCTCTGGGGACTCAGTTCTGCTGCCACCATCCTGATGAGTAGAGAGCTTGGTCTAAGTAGGTCCCAGGGAGGGCCTGGTGGGCTTGATTGGGCTCTGGGGTGAATGATCGTGGAGGCATGGGCATCGGGCTGGGCCTGCCTGTGCCTGACATCTGACCCCTCCCCCAGCGCTGGCAAGACCTCAATGTGATCAGCAGCCTGCTCAAGTCCTTCTTCCGAAAGCTGCCCGAGCCTCTTTTCACTGATGGTGAGTAGGAGGTGGAAGTGGGGCGGGGAGGGGACACCAGTCCGTGCCTCACCCTGACCACTACTTTTGCATTTGGTTTGTTGGTTTTACTCTTTTTTTTTTTTTTTGAGACAGTCTTGCTCTGTTGCCCAGGCTGGAGTGCAGTGGCGCAATCACGGCTCATTGCAGCCTCAAGCTACTGGGCTCAAGCGATCCTCCCACCTCAGCCTCCTGAGTAGCTGAGACAGCAGGTGAACACCACCACACCCAGCTAATTTAAAAGTTTTTTTTCAGAGATGGGGGGAGTTTCTCACTATGTTGCTCAGACTGGTGTTGCACTCCTGGGCTCAATCAATCCTCCTGCCTGCCCCAGCCTCACAAAATGCTGGGATTACAGGCATGAGCCACCACGCTGGCTTTTTTTTTTTTTTTTTTTTAACACAAAAGCTTATTTAAAAAACATAGATTGTACAGATGTGAATGAAGAAAACAGCACAGGACCCTGTGAATGTCCTGCTCCCTTTCACGGGAGGTTGTGGCTAACACTTTCTGAGCATTAGAGTGTGCCAAGCACAACTCCCTACAGCAACTCCATGAGGAAGGTGCTATTGTCTTCCCTCTACAGATTAGGAAACCAAGGCTCAGAGAAGTTTAATGCCTTGCCCAAGGTCGCACAGGTTGTAAATGGCAGAGCCAGGATTCCACCCCAGGCGTCGGGCACCGACGGGCTTTGGCCGTTTGCTGAACTGCTTATTCACAATCTGTTGTGTTTCTCTCCTGGCCCTCTTATATGCATGGCAGAGATACACACGTGCCTGCGTGGGGTTTGGATTTGGGTGGGTTCAGGGGTGTGCTGGCAGATGTTTAACATCTGTCTCTGGGGGAAAAAAGCCCTAATGCCTAGCGTTTTCCAGCTTCCATGGCGTAAATACTCCTACCATGGTTTATTTCAAGCCACCAACATGATGTCACCAACATGGAATTGGGAAGAGAGGCACACAGTCGCTCTCAGGAGCTGGTGTGAGCGGGCTCCAGCACACCGCTGGTTGAGTTGTTTTTAACAAAAGCAGAGTTGTAATTCTGAGATTCATTCGTGTCAGTGCAGAGAGCTCTACCTCATTCTTCTTTTAAATCAGCCACATAGAATTTCATGGTTTGAATAGACTACAATTTCTTTAAGTACTCCTCTATTGATGGATATTTAGGTTGTCTTCAAATGTTTGCTATTACACAACCTGTTGCAATGGCTTTCCTTGAATAAGTCCTTGCACGCCTGGATCTGTGCTCTCTAAGGAGATTCTTAGATGTAGAATTGCTGGGTCAAAGTCCCGGTGAACCTTTCTGAGACCAGTGTCAATTGCACTCTGAGAAAGAGGCCCTGGTTTAGACTCCCACTAAAATGTAGGAGTCTGTCTCTCCACATCCCCAACAGCATTGGATATTATAACTATTATTGTTACTTGAAGGCCAGGCATGGTGGCTTATGCCTGTGATCCCAGCACTTTGGAAGGCTGAGGCGGGTGGATCACCTGAGGTCAGGAGTTCAAGACCAGCCTGACTGTGGTGAAACCCCGTCTCTACTAAAAATACAAAAATTAGCTGGATGTGGTGGCGGGTGCCTGTAGTCCCAGCTGCTAGGGAGGCCGAGACAGGAGAATTGCTTGATCCCAGGAGGCAGAGGTTGCAGTGAGCCAAGATCGCACCACTGCACTTCAGCCTGGGTGACAGAGCAAGACTCCATCTCAAAATAAATAAATAAATAAATAATACAATAAAATAAAAATAAAAATACTATTATTTGACACAGAATCTTGCTCTGTTGCCCAGACTGGAATGCAGTGGCGCAATCATGGCTCACTGCAGCCTCAACCTCCTGGGCTCAAGTGATCCTCCCATCTCAGCCTCCTGAGTAGTTGGGACTACAGGTTTGTGCCACCACACCCAGCTAATTAAAAAAAAATTTTTTTTGGTAGAGGCAGGGTCTCACTACATTGCTCAGACTGGTCTTCAACTCCTGGTCTAAAGTGATCATCGCGCCTCGGCCTTTCAAAGTGCTGGGATTTTAGGCTTGAGCCACCTCACCCAGACAGCATTAAATATTATTAACATTTTAAACTTTTGCTAATCAGATAAGGGAAATGGTATCTCATTATTGTTTTTATTTTCATTGCCCTCATTACTAGGGAGATTAAATCTTTTTTCATTAGCATATTGGCTGTTTCTATTTTCTCTGTAATTGCTCGATCAGACCATGTGCCCATTTTTCTGTTGCGTTGTTTATCTTTTTCTTATGTTGATTTGCGGGAGAAAAGCTCTTTGTGTTTTACAGCTATTAACCCTTTGTTAGTTTTTGCAAATATTTGCTTTGGCCTGCCATTTGCCTTTCACTTTGCAGTATAGAAACTGAAAACAAATTTTTTGTTGTTGTTGTTTTGTTTTGTTTTTTGAGACAGAGTTTCACTCTTGTCGCCCAAGCTGGAGTGCAATGGTGTGATCTTGGCTCACTGCAACCTCTGCCTCCTGGGTTCAAGCGATTCTCCTGCCTCAGTCTCCCGAACAGCTGGGATTACAGGTGCCCACCATCATGCCCAGCTAATTTTTGTATTTTTGGTAGAGACGGGGTTTCACCACGTTGGCCAGGCTGGTCTTGAACTCCTGACCTCAGGTGATTCACCCTCCTTGGCCTCCCAAAGTGCTGGGATTACAGGCGTGAGCCACCGCGCCCTGCCTAACAATTTTTAATTTTATTTTTATTTAATTTTATTTATTTTCTTGAGACTGAGTCTCACCCTGTCATCCAGGCTGGAGTGCAGTGTTACGATCTCGGCTCACTGCAACCTCCGCCTCCCGGGTTCAAGCCATTCTCCTGTCTCAGCCTCCCAAGTAGCTGGGATTACAGGCGCCTACCACCATGCCCAGTTAATTTTTATATTTTTAGTAAAGATGAGGTTTTGCCACATTGGCCAGGCTGGTCTTGAACTCCTGATCTCAAGTGATCAGCTGATGCGCCTCAGCCTTCCAAAGTGCTGGGATTACAGATGTGAGCCACTGTGCCTGGCCGAAAACAATTGTTTAAAATGTGACCAAAGCTGTTCATCTTTTCTTCATGGATTCTGCATCTCATGTTTAGGATGGCCTTAGGATTATAAAAATATTTTCTTACTTTTTCCCCAGTGCTTTTATAATTTTCACAGTTGGCTCTGCCGTGTGATTGCATTTGTGTATTGTGAGCTAGAAATGATCCCCCCGCCCCCGATGGTAGCCATTTGTCCCGGGGACATCTGTTGAGGCCCCCATCCTTCCCCCCGATTGGAAGTGCTGCCTTTATCATATAATAAATATCCATATGGCCCGCTTCCCCCCTTTCTAGCCTTAACATTGCTCTGCCTTTTCTGCCGTGCCAGCCGGCTTCAGTTGTGCCATCCATTCGGGATGTTTCAGTCCCTGGTAGGGCAGATCCTCCCGCGTTACTCTTTCTTTAAAAACTATTCCTGGCTGTCTTTGTGCGTTAGCTCATCCAGATGAATTTCAGAATAGGCTTATCATGTTCCATTTTTTAAAGGTCCCCATGGACTTGTTCTGAAGGGAGTTGGGGTAATCCTTGGTGGAGGCTGTCTGAAGCCCCTCCTCCTCTCCAGGTGCCCTTCTCTTCTGACCTGCTGAACCTTGGTGTCCATGTCCTGGAGACGGGGGCAGGGACCCCTTTTCTGGGATCAGCATGCAGCTCAGATGGTATTGCCTCCCAAATGAACACAGCTGGGCTACCCCAGGTCAGGTGCACACCCGAGTGTAGCTGTGGTGAGTGCAGCTGTGGTGAGTGCAGCTGTGGTGGGTGTGTTCACATACACAAGAGGCTGTCGCCCACGCTGGAGCCCCCGAACTGGAGGAGTTCAAAACACAGCCCTCCCAGCAGGGCCCTTGGCCGGGAGAACAGGGGAAGGCGCTGCCCCCACCTCTCTAAAGAGTCTCCGCTGTGTTCTAGACAAATACAACGACTTCATCGAGGCCAACCGCATTGAGGACGCGCGGGAGCGAATGAGGACGCTGCGGAAGCTGGTAAGGAGAGAGAGGTGCTGTCAGACACGAGGTGGGGCAGCTGCCTGAGCACCTCTGTCCCAGGAGGCAGGGAGTCCGGTGCTGCCCACGACCCCTGTGGCCTTGGAGAAGCCCCGCTCCACTCAGGGCCTCAGTTTCCCCGTCCATACAAGAGAACGGGGGGTTAGAGGATAGGTTCCAGACTCCCTGAGGCATGGTAGTGGGAGATCTTTGGGGCATGGTGATGACGGGGGACAGGGGCAGGCCCTTACAGCCTGTCCCCATGCCCCTCCTCTCTCCTGCTCAGATCCGGGATCTCCCAGGACACTACTATGAAACGCTCAAATTCCTTGTGGGCCATCTCAAGACCATCGCTGACCACTCTGAGAAAAACAAGGTGGGTAGGAGTCCCGCATGGAGTCTGGGGGAGGCAAGCACGGACTTACTGTGTGAGGGCCCTCAGCACGCACTGAGCTCCAGCAGGTCCAGTAACTCAGGCCCCTCTAGGCACGCCCTCCTCCTATGACTGCTCCGTCCCCACCCCGCTCCTACATGCTGGTCAGTGCTTTCCCCCAGAGAGCCATCTCCTGAGTTTCTGAGGGCTTTCCAGAGGCAGGGAACCCCGGCCCCCCGTATCCGATGCATTGCCATCCTCCGACTTAGCTCAAGTCCCTCGCATTGCATTTTCCTCATCAAACCCCTTATGCCTTCTGGTTCTGCAGTGGGGAAAATGAGGGGAGTGATAGGATTTTTTGTGTTTTGTTTGTTTGTTTGTTTGTTTTGAGACGAAGTCTCACTCTGCCGCTCAGGCTGCAGTGCCTTGGCACGATCTCGGCTTACTGCAACCTTCGCCTCCCGGGTTCAAGCGATGCTCCTGCCTCAGCCTCCCGAGTAGCTGGGATTACAGGCACCTGGAAGTGATCGGATTATTTCCCAGGCCTAAAATAACCCCTGGGACCTCCAACATGTTTCCTACTGCAGGGTCTCCCACTGCTGGCACTGACCACTCAGGGCTGCCTTGTATAGGTGTGCAGGTTGGGCACTGCTCATGGCTGCTGGGCCTGGGGATGAAAGGGGCTGAAATCTGGTCTGTGCTCTACTCATCAAGCATCTCCATGCCCATACAAGGGGGTGTCCACCCTCTAAGCTGGGGACTGGTGAGGATGTAGTTGGGGACAGAGGCCTCAGGTGCCAGAGTGAGGGAGGACTGAGGTCAGGATGTTGACAGTGACCTGCTTTCCCTGCTGCCCAGATGGAACCCCGGAACCTGGCCCTGGTCTTTGGGCCGACACTGGTGAGGACGTCTGAGGACAACATGACAGACATGGTGACCCACATGCCTGACCGCTACAAGATCGTGGAGACACTGATCCAGCACGTAAGCCCCTGTTCCGGGGGGCGCCCGGCAGCCCCTGGGGCCCAGGCCATGTTCCTCTGAGCCCCTCGCTCTTGCTCCGCCTGGCGGAGTGTGCCCCAGGAAGGGCTCGGCAGCTTTAGAGCATGCTGCTAGGGTGGTATATACTCCTCCAAAGCCATGGGCTGCATTTCAAGGCAAGGCAGGAATGGATCCTGGAATCCCTGCTGCCCTGGGATGTTGTGTCCCCAGCAGGAGAGTCAAGAGGCCCCCGAGCTTCCGAGATGCCTGGGAAAGGTAGAAGAGGAGGAAGGGCAGGGAAGGTGCTACTGGTGGAGGGCGGAAGGGGCAGCTTCAGAAGTTGGCCCCTGGAGAGGTGTCCTGGCAGACACGAGCAGACGGGGGCCAAGGTCTGGCCTGATATCAGGAGGCCCCGGCTCTAGTGACTTTCCCTGCTGGCCCCACTGAGGTTTTGGGGAGATAGTGGTGATGTTCCTGGTAACAAGGGGTGGATGGGGCAGGGCACAGGGCCTTGGCCTGAGGCAGGATCCTGCACCAGTGCTTGGCATGTACTGGGCTGGCCACCTCCCTTCTCATGGCTTCCTGGATGCCAACAGCCCTGGTCCTGTAGGTTCTTGTTACTGTGCATGGGCGGAGGAGAACCCAGAGTGGCCAGCAGAGGGCGCAGAAGGCCTTGGTTTTCGAGAGCCCAACCCTAAGGCAGCACTGCCGCCTTCTGGTGTGCACACGGATATCATTATGAATCGTAGATTTTCCATTTCCAATTCTTGTTACAGCCCACAAAGGATGAGAACAGAGCCCCTCCTGCCAGGGGAAATAAGACTGGCAGCTGGTCAGAGGAAGGGAAGCCTCAGTCCCAAGCCCCCTAGACACTTTAGGGAAGGAAAGCTGGGCCCTATCACCCCCATTTTACAGAGGAGGAAACAGGCTCAGAGAGGCAAAGCAACTTGCTCATGGTCACACAGCTAATAAGTGGCAGCCCAAGATTTCAAGCCAGATCTGACTAACCAAAGCCTGTGCTTTCCTCCTGCTATCAACCCAAAGGCCAGACTCCTGGGTCCCTCCTTGAGCTGGCTTGGGACGGAGGGAGGGGGCCAGGGTAAGGAGGCGAGGTGGTGAGCAGCTGAGCCATGTTAACAGCCTTGCTTGCCCATCTCCCTCCTTCACTGCATGCTCAGGGCTCCGAGCCACAGGAGGGAAGATCACAGCCTGCTGCATCCGGACACTGGGAACACCACTCCAGAGCTGTCTGGGAGGCCAGGGCTGCCCTGCAGCGTCGGGGATCCTGATGAGGCCTTGGGAAAGCTTAGCTCTCCAGGGCACCAGGGAGCCCCGGAACCTCCCGTGAGGGTGTGTTTTGGGGGCAGCAGCAGGGAAGAATGGGTGTCTGGCCCTGTGCTCCTGGAGAAGTCCCTGGAAGCCCAAGGTCTGAGGTCAGCTGAGGTGTCAGGAACTGCAGCCTTCAGGGAGGAAGGAGGCCAAAGCCCCAAGGGGGAGTCCCTGCTCTGGGCAGGGTGGAGAAGGTGGAGTTTGTCTCATTTAGCACTGACACTACTGGCACACAGTGGCTACTCAGTGTTTGTGGAGTATAAATGACTGAGTAAATTGCTAATTGAGGTTACGTCAGGCTGGGTTTTCTTTCTCTTTCTCTCTCTCTCTTTTCGCTTTTTTTTTGTTTTTTTGTTTTTTTTTTGATAGAGTCTCAGTCTGTCGCCCACACTGGAGTGCAGTGGGCAGATACGGCCCACTTCCAGGCTCAGGCGATCCTGCCATCTCAGCCTCCTGAGTAGCTGGGACTAGAGATGCCACCACCACACCACCTGGCTAATTTTTGTATTCTTTTGTAGAGATGAGGTCTTACTATGTTGCCAGGGCTAGTCTTGAACTCCTGGACTCAAGCGATCCTCCCATCTCGGCCTCCCAAAGTGCTGGGATTACAGGTGTGAGCCATCACGCCCAGCCAGGCTGGGCTTTTCTACTCAGAGATTCATTCCCGAGAGCTAACTGAGCTAGTGTCCTTCCCTTCTCTGCCTCCTTGGCATCTGAACGTAACCAGCCCTGGATGATTGTCGAGGGAATGAGCCACCCACTCTGCAAGCCCTGAAAGCCTGCCCACCCAAGCGTGCCAGCTCTGTCTAGCCTGGAGGCTCCATAGCCAGGGCAGTGCTGCTGTCACTTGGGGTACCCAGACCAGTCTTCAGGTCGGAAAGAGCGTGGCAACTGAGGGGTAAAGAGGAACAGCGACTTGCCCAGGGCCACGCAGCAAGATAATGGCAGAGCAGAGAGGAGAGCAAACCTGGGTGTCTGATCTTGCAGCGGGCAAGTTGCCAGGAGCCCCTACCTATGTTTACGAAGTCAAATGGAACCCAAACAAAGATCACCCAGGGCATTTGCTCAGGGACTCACTCAGCAAAGGCAGCGATACCTAATGTTTCTCAGCCTCAGCACTAGTGAGCGCTGGGGTCCAGATAAGTCTTTCTTGTGGGAGGCTGTTCTGTGTGTTACAGGACATTTAGCAGCATCGCTGGCTTCTACCTGCTGGATGCTGGGAATATCACTCTAGTTGTCACAATCGAAAATGTCTCCAGACATTGCCAAGTGCCCACTGGGGTGGGGGGATTGACGGCAGTGGCTCTGGGGCCAGCCTGCTCCTATGTGCTGTGTGGCCTTGGACAAGTTCCTTACCTGCTGTGCCTCAGTCTCCACACCTGTAAAGCAGAGATGACAATACTGTTTACCTCACATCGTTGTGAATGTCTGCTAAAGCACTCGCGGCGGTGCCTGGCAGGTCCTAAGTGTCGTGTGAGAACGGACTGTCATCCTCTTCGTCGTGGTCATTATTCCACGCCAGAGACAGATCCCCGTGCTGGGAACACGGAGGTGAATGGGAGCCTGCTCAGAAGGAATATTGCCAGCGGGTGTGGTGGTGCGTGTCTGTGGTCTCAACTACTTGGGGGGCTGAGGTGGGAGGCTGCAGTGAGCCGAGATTGCGAAACTGCACTCCAGCCTGGGTGACAGAGTGAGACCCTGACACACACACACACACACAAAAATCCATTAAAAAAATGATGCTTCTCATTCATTTATTCTTTTAATAATGTTTATCAAAGTAAGAGCTGCGTCTCTTTGTGCTCTGGGCTATGCCCAAGGAAGCCCCACAGAAGGACCCACCCCGGCCCTGGGTGCAGGGCTGGGGTCGTAGTCATGGAGTTCTTGAACTGCCTTAGAGGACCATGATGAGAACTTAGCCAGGCAGAGCAGGGAGAAAGGGCATCCCAGGCGGAAAGAACAGCACGTGCAGAAACAGGGTGGCAGGAACTAGTGTGGATTCCTCTTGAGAGCCGTGGCCACCCGGGCGCTTCCTGTAGACGCTGTGGCTTGCAGAGTACTTCTGGGCACCTTCCAACCTGCATTAACGGCTGGCTTCTTTGGGCCGATCCTCAGGCTTCCCCTGGTCAGCCTGTCTCTGGAAGCCACACTTTTGAATAGCAGTAGCTGACATCTATTATACATTAACAATGTGCTGCACTCGACGTTTTCCATACAGTATTTCATCTCAATCCTCCTCAGGCCTAGAAGGAGGTACTCACATCATGCCCATTTTAGAGATAAGTAAATAGACTTACAGAGGGAAAGTAACTTGGCTAAGGTGAACTTGAACCAAGATGACTGACTCCAGAGCTTCCATTTTTCTTTTTCTTTTTTTTTTTTTTTTTTTTTGAGACAGAGTCTCACTCTGTCGCCCAGGCTGGAGTGCAACGGCGCGGTCTCCACTCACTGCAGCCTCCAGCTCCTGGGCTCAAGTGATCCTCCCACCTCAGCACCCCCAAGTAGCTGGGATTATGGGTGCATGCCACCATGCCGGGCTAATTTTTGTATTTTTAGTAGAGCTGGGGTTTCACCCTGTTGGCCAGGCTGGTCTTGAACTCCTGACCTCAGCTGATGCACCTGCCTCAGCCTCCCAAAGTGCTGGGACTATAGGTGTGAGCCACTGTGCCCGGCCAGAGCTTGCATTTTTCTTATCTTCCTTTGCTGTCTTCTCTTCTATCTCTTTCTTCTTTCCCTTCTGGCCTTCCTGTGCTGTTTGAGTTAATCACATGTCAGATCATGAGCGATAATAACTGAGGCTCATGGCGTATGCTCAGGCAAGTCCCCTTGTTTCCCCTCTTCATTCCCCTAGGTGCCCACTCTTAATAGGCTAATATGTGTCCTTCCAGGACACCTTCCACTTATTGTAAATGCATGGCTACCCTTAAATATATATAATATTCTTTGT
This sequence comes from Homo sapiens, assembly GCF_000001405.40. NCBI lineage: Eukaryota > Metazoa > Chordata > Mammalia > Primates > Hominidae > Homo > Homo sapiens. The sequence continues at coordinate 38,495,806 of NC_000017.11, forward strand.
GTGTTTTAAGTCTACATAATGAGATTATAAATTGCCTGTTCCTCTTCTTTCATAGGTGTTGAGGGGGGTAAAGGGTAATTGCCTTAATTTTTATTCATTTATTTTTTTTGAGATGGAGTTTCACTCTTGTTGTCCAGGCTGGAGTACAGTGGTGCGACCTCAGCTCACTGCAACCTCTGCCTCCCGGGTTCAAGCAATTCCCCCACCTCACCCTCCTGAGTAGCTGGGATTACAGGTGCGCACAACCATGCCCAGCTAATTTTTATATTTTTAGTAGAGATGGGGTTTCACCATATTGGCCAGGTTGGTCTCAAACTCCTGACCTCAGGTGATCCGCCCGCCTCAGCCTCCCAAAGTGCTGGGATTACAGATGTGAGTCACTGCACCGGGCCTGTCACTATCAATTTCTAATGCTTATCAGTTTCTGTGTCTTCCTTCCACCACATCTAAAAGCCAAAAGTGGTAGGGTGCAGTGGCTCATGCTTGTAATCCCAAAATCTACAATTTTTTTTTTTTTAATTAGCTGTGCAAGGTGGCACATGCCTGTAGTCCCAGCTATTCAGGAGGCTGAGGTGGGAGAATCTCTTGAGCCCAGGAGTTCAAGGGTACAGTGAGCTAGGATCAGGCCACAGCATTCCAACCTGGATAACAGCGAGAGACCCTATCTCAAAAATAAATACATAAATACAATAAAAGCCAAAAGTGCCTTAGTTATTTCTTGGAGCTTGCCGAAGGTCATCTCTTTACTTGCTCAAGTATTCAGTTAAGAGAGTCTTTGTGTAGTAAATTTTCTGATGTCTCAGGATAGCTTTATTTCAAGGCCAGGTGTGGTGGCTCCAGAGAGCAGGAGGTTCACTTAAGGGGTGATTAAAACAATCTGTGGTATGCCTGTAATCCCAGCACTTTGGGAGGTGGAGGTGGGCGGATCACTTGAGGTCAGGAGTTGAGACCAGTCTGGCCAACATGACGAAACCCCATCTCTACTAAAAATACAAAAATTATCCAGGCGTGATGGCGTGCACCTGTAATCCCAGCTACTTGGGAGGCTGAAGCCAGAGAATCACTTGAACACAGGAGGCAGAGGTTGCAGTGAGCCAAGATTGCACCACTGCACTCCAGCCTGGGTGACAGAGTGAGATTCTGTTGGAAAAAAAAAAAAAAGAATAGCTTTATTTTACACTCAGATTTAAATGAGAGTTTAGCAGGGTATAAAATTCTAGGTTCCTTCAACACGTCAAAACTTACTTTCTTGTCTTCTTGTGTTTTGCTGCTGAAAGTTCCAAGTACCTGTGATACGTGTTCATTTATAAGCAATCTGGATTTTTTTTTTCAGAAAACTTAGAATTTTATCTTCAAGATTCTCAAATTTTACAAAATATATTAAACTGTGGGGGTCTTTATTTTCTCTCTTGTTTGGCCTTTATGAGAAAGCTCTCGCCTCCTGCCCCTCAGGAAACCTCCAACGCCTTTCTCCTGTCATTTCCTTTTCTGGGCTGAGTACGTGACACCCCTGTTGTCAGTGTGGCACCCATGGGTGGCAGGTGGCGTGGGGCACACTCGGCTGTCACAGCCATGGACCTGGCCAACACTAACGGCACTGGTGCCTCCCTGCCCCCCGGCTCGCTGTGGGGAGTATACCACAGGGGTGTGCCCAGGACAGTGTTTAGAGAAAAGCAAGTAAAAGCGAAGCTCTCCCTAAGCCTATCTCCTGTCTGAGGTGAATGCTCCCACTCCCTGCCGTGTCTCCTCCCACACTGGGGTCCCACCTTTTCTCTCCCCCAGGGTTTTTCATAGTCTGTGGAGTCAGGTTTTAGGGTCCGTCAAGCTCCCTCTGAGCCCTCTTTTGCAGCCCCGCCAGCCTGGGGTTTGTTGAGAGAGAGGCGCCCCTTGCCGCCTGAGCGGGTCCTCTGGAATGAGCAGGTGGAAGAGACTCTTCTTTCCCATGCTGATTTCATCCCTTCCTTTTGTCTTCTCTGCAGTCAGACTGGTTCTTCAGTGACGAAGAGGACAAGGGAGAGAGAGTAAGTGATGCCGCGGGCTGGGCTGGCATGGGGGCTGGTCTGGGGTGAGCCCCAGTCCTTGGGGGTGGGGCAGGCAGCGGGACTTAAGCCGGGGAAGGTGTCTGTCCTTGAGGCTTCCCTCAAGTCTGGTGGAGGAAACACAGACCCTCTCCTCAGGAGCCCCTAGTCTGATAGAGAAGCACAAAGCTTGCCTTCAGGAATCCCCAGTCGAAATGGGGGAGATATAGGCCTTGCTCAGAGGGAACCCAGTTCAGGAGTAAAGGCAGCTCCTGCCCTCCAGGCTACTGAGAAGGACTTAGGTTGGAGGAGTTCCAGTCTGGTGCGGGAGACACAGCTCCTGCCCCTAGCTGAAGGGGCCGCTCTGGCCTTCGCGGTTCCCAGGTGTTGAGGAAGGCACAAAACTGTCTAATAGGGGACATGTAGGAATCATCCTCAAGAGCGCCCGGCTGATGAGGGAGACGGTCCCTGCCCCAGTGAGCCCGGTCTGATGGAGGAGACATGGGCTCTGTCATCAGGGCACCCCCCTCTGGGGGGTTGGCAGCCCAGCATCTGAGGGCATGCCAGCTGACCCCTCCTCCTGTTCGCAGACCCCTGTGGGCGACAAGGAGCCTCAGGCAGTGCCCAACATTGAGTACCTCCTGCCCAACATTGGCAGGACAGTGCCCCCTGGCGACCCGGGGTCAGGTGAGCGCAGGGGCCTGGGAGTGGGGAGGCGGGAGGTTGGACACTGCATTCCTGAGGGTCCCAGGTGCCTGGCCAGATGCCCAGCTTCCCTGTGCCACCCCAGCGGGGCCCTCCCCTGCCGGCCACCATGGAGATGGGGCTGTTGGGGGCCTTCTCCCTCCCTAGGGAAGTCCAGCTTGCCCCGTGCCCACCTCCTGTCTGCGCAGCTGCCCCGCCCCGGGCAGGGTCGGAGCTTTGTTCGCCCTCTCTCACTGGTTTCTTTCCTCAGCCTTTAATTTCTCATGGGCTGGCTGTGTCCTTCTGGGCATGTTCCTCTTTTTAATTTTTCTTCCTTTTCTCCTTGCACCCCCGCCTCTCCCTCCTCTTCTCCCCGTGCTCTCCTCCCACCCCCTTCTCTTCTCCTCCCCCTCCCCTCCTCCAGCGGACCTGTTGGAGATTTAAAGGGTACAGTGCGGTGTCGCGGCCTCGGTCACTAACAGTGGCGGGTGATTATAAGAAGGCTGGGTGGGCACAGCGGCAGGCAGAATGTCCCGGACTGTGAGGACCCCACGCTGACATGCCAGTTACCCCTGCCTGTTATCCACTTACCCCAGCAGTCCATGCCCCTCCCATTCTAAAGCCCCTTCTCAGGAGGAAGGAGGCACTCACTGGGCCCAGGGCCCTCCCCGTTGCCTGGACACCTGGGCATCGAATTGCTGCCCTCCTGCAGTGCCACAGACCCTGCGGCCTCTCTTTGCCGAGTCTCACCACTGCTAGTCATCCAGGCTGGGGACCGACACTCTCTGGAGACCAGCGATGCCACGCCCAGAAGCTTCTCTTTATCTCTAACTCCTGCCTCAGTCACCCCAATGGGCCGCCTCTTCCTGCTTAAGAAACCGGGGCCCTAAGTCCTGTTTGCAGGGCCTGTGGCCCTCTCATGGCAGAGGACAGATGATTTACATGCTCAGAGACAGATGAGGGCCACTCCCTTTGTGGCTGCAGCCACTGACTCCTCCCCCCGCCATGGTTGTCCCTCCCTTTAGTTTTAGCATTTCTGTTCGTCTCTGACAGAGGCACACAGGAGCTCCCTAGTCACCAGAGGCAGGCTCAGGAGGGGCCAGAAGACATGGGGGTGGGACGGCAGAGAGGGACCCCATGTCTCTTCTAATCACCCGCCGCCCCCCGCGCCCTGTGTGTCGTGTGTGGTCGCCCATCTTGCTTTTCTCACCTTGTGCAGGGGGAGGGGTCCGGAGAGGGGGGCGTCTAACTTGCCTGCCAGAGAGTGTGGATTAACCGCACCTGCCCACTACCCTGTGGGACCCCAGGAGGCCCTTGGACCAACCTGCTCCTTCTTTAGCCTTGGAGGGGACCCACCAGGACGTGTTTCTGGTTCCTTCTCCACCCCAGTGATATTAAGGGAGTGGGACCCAAGTCCCATAGAAATCATGCTTTTGGTCTCCTTCATAACTGGGTGATAACTGGGGACCCTGCCCATGAGGCAGGGTGACCCCAGGTCCGGAGGTGGAACCTATCAAGGCTCTAATCACCAGCCCACTCCACCTCCTGCGTCCCACCCACTTCATTTTTGCCCTTTTATCCATTATTCATGTGGTCCCTCTTCTCTGTTGTGTGCTCGGGGGTGGATGTAGGGCACCCACCTCTCTGTGCACTGTGTGGTCTCCATTTCTCCAGAGCATCTGTGATTTGCTGTGTTTCACTGTGGTGGTTTCCATGGACTGCACCTGATATTTGGCATTTTCTCTCCAGTGCTTCAGAGTAACAGGGACGGGCGGGGAAGGGGAGAGGAACCAGGCTCAAAGACAATGCCCCCTTGCCCTTAGCCATCGGTAAATGAGGGGCCAGTGGCTGGCAGCCTGATGTCACTTCCTGCCTCTAGAGGAAGTGGCAGTTAACATCATTTTCTCCTCCATCCCTCTCCCATAGATGGACATCAGATGTCCATCATACTCCTAGGGCCTGGGGAGATCTCATGTTTCAGAATTCCCTGGTTTCTGAAGCCTTTGAGGAGAGGGAATTGTGTGCATAAGACTCAGCTTTCTTTTTTCCTGATGCAACTTTCATTTTTTTTTCTGTCTTTCACCAACAGATTCTACCACCTGTAGTTCAGCCAAGTCCAAGGTACGTATGAAGGCAATTCTGAAGGCTTGATCCCTGTACAAGGCAGCCCACTTTGGTTTTTGTTCAAGGGAATTGAGGGAATGGCAGTTGGACCATGGGGAAAGTTGATGGTCCCTGGGAGGGAAGGCAGGAGGTACCGAGTGCCCAAGGTAAGCTGAGAAATTGCTTACCTTGGCAGTGTTTGGTGAGGCATCTGCTGTAGTAGAAGGACCTGGCCTGGGAGTTATGTGGCTAGGAGGCAATGTCACTCAGTAGTTAGAAGCACAGACTCTGCAGTCAGACAGTCCTGGGTTTGAGTTCTGGCTCCACCATTTAGTAGTTTGGGACATTGGGCAAGTTACTTAACCACTTTCTGATCCTTAGCTTCCTCATCTATAAAATGGGAATATCAGTAAATCTGTGGGGTGCTATAATAAATAAAACAGATATCCTTTAAGGTCTTTGGAGAGCCTAAAGCAAGCAGAAGGAAATAAAGAGAGGAGCAGAAATCCATGAAATAGAAAACAGTTGAAAAAAAGCAATGAAACCAAAAGCTGGTTCTTTGAAAAAAAATCAGTGAAATTGATAAACCTCTAGCCAGACTAACAGAATAAAAAGAAAGATGGCACAGATTATCAGTATCAGGGATGAAAGAGGGACATCACTACAGACCCCTAAGTTATTTTTTATTTTTTATTTATTTATTTTTTTTGAGACGGAGTCTTGCTCTGTCACCCAGGCTGGAGTGCAGTGGCACCATCTCGGCTCACTGCAAGCTCCGCCTCCCAGGTTCACACCATTCTCCTGCCTCAGCCTCCCGAGTAGCTGGGACTACAGGCGCCCACCATCACGTCCAGCTAATTTTTTGTATTTTTAGTGGAGACGGGGTTTCACCAGGTTAGCCAGGATGGTCTTGATCTCCTGACCGCGTGATCCGTCCCCCTTGGCCTCCGAAAGTGCTGGGATTACAGGCGTGAGTCACTGCGCCTGGCTATAGACCCCTAAGTAATTGAATTTATGGGCATAAAGTTGCCCATAAATTCAATAACTTAGGTGAAATAGACCAATTCTTTGAAAGATTCAGACTGCCAAAACTCACTTAAGAAAAAATAGATAACCTGAATAGTCCTATACCTCCTAAGGAAATTGAATATGTAATTTAAAATCCCCCAACAATGAAAACTTCAGGACCAGATGGTTTCACTGTTAAATTCTACCAAATATTTAAGGAATTTTTTAAATTTTTAAACAATTTACTTTAATAATTTTAAAATATTCTAAATAGAAAATAGTATAATTTTAAATATTGATATATTTAAATAGTTATTTAAATATTTGAATTATTTAAATGTTATTTAAATAGTTATTTAAGAAATAATACCAATTCTCCACTATCTCTTTTGGAAGATAAAAGAGGGTGGCTGGGCACCATGGCTCACGCCTGTAATCCTAGCACTTTGGGAGGCTGAGGTCGGATCTTGAGATCAAGAGTTAAAGACCAGCCTGGCCAACATGGTGAAACCCCATCTCTACTAAAAATACAAAAAAATTAGCTGGGTGTGGTGGCATGCGCCTGTAATCCCAGCTACTCAGGAGGCTGAGGCAGGATAATTGCTTGAACCTGGGAAGAGGAGGTTGCAGTGAGCCGAGGTCGTGCCACTGCACTCCAGTCTGGGCGACAGAGCGAGACTCCGTCTCAAAAAAAAGAAAGGAAAATAGAAGAGGAGGAAACACTTTCCAACTCATTTATGAGGCCAGCATTACCCTGATACCAAAACCTAACAATGCTTTTGAAAAAGATAGGGCTAATTCATTTGATAATACCACAAATACTTGTTGAACGTCTACTTTATATCAGTACTGTGCTGGGTACTGAAAATATAAATAATGAGCCAAACAGATAGGTTCCTGCCCTCACAAAGCTTATCTTCTAATGAGAGACAGACACTAAGCTTATGAAGAAATAGACTATCTGTCTGGCAGGTTTGGAGGCACAGTGGAGGCAGAAACCAGATGGAATGAGCTAATAAAGTGAGGGAGGGAAAAGCGCATACGTAGACCACTCTTGTGAGAAGTCCGATTGTGAAGAGATATTTACAGAACAAAAATGGAAAAATATGTGGCTTGAGGGAAACTTTCATTAAAAGATGAAAGCAGCCAGGCATGGTGGCTCACGCCTATAATCCCAACACATTTGGAGGCCGAGGCAGGAGGATCCCTTGAGCCCAGGAGTCCGAGACCAGCCTGGACAACATAGTGAGACCTCAACTCTACAAAAAATGCAAAAATTAACCAGGCATGGTGGGGCATGCCTGTAGTCCCAGCTACTTGGGAGGCTGAGGCAGGAAGATCATTTGAGCTTGGGAGGTTGAGGCTGCAGTGATGAGCCGTGATCATGCCACTGCACTCCAGCCTGGGCAACAGAGCAAGATCCTATCTCAAAAACAAACAAACAAACAAACAAAAAAAGACGAAAGCACATATTTACTTGCCAATGGGAATGATCCAGGTGAGAGACAGAGAGAGAGAGGAAGAGCTGGGCCCAGAGCCCGTGAAGCAGCAGTAGCCTGTGCTCCTAGCAGATGCATCCCCAGGTGTAGTAGGAAGAGAGGGAGGTGGCAGGGGCACACTGGCAGGCAGTGTTGGCAGCAGGTCATTGGGGTCACTCCCAGCTGATGGCTCTTTCCTCAGCGAAGTGGAAGGTGAGGACCTCTGCTGGGCGTGAAGGTGGCAGGGAAAGTCTGAGCAGAGTGAAGGAAGTCTGAAATGGGTCCCATGAAGCAAGGCAGATTTCCTGAAGGGGCCGAGAAGCATCATGGGCAGGCCGAGGCCTCTGAAGGCTGCGGCCCCTTCTCGAGAGCCAGCACTTTGCCCAGCAGCCGTGCCCCGCCCCTTTGGGCCTGGCTTCTCCACACTCCCCGGAGAGCCCCTTCTGAGTCCCTTCTGGCCAGAAGATGTCCTCATTTGCTTCCTGTGACCCCACCGTGTCTCCAGTGGACTCAACACTGACCTCCCCAGAGCTCACAGGCCACTGCCTCCCGGAAGCCTCCTGGCTTGAAATTCCTTCCTCCTGAGACGCTAGCAGTTACCGCTTCCCAGTCTGGGCCTGCCTGACTCCTGCATTAACCTGGGAACTCCTGCAGGAGGCCTTCTCAATCACAGGGCCTTGAACAATAGAACGTGCTTTTCAGAGAGTACGTCTTTACTGTAAACTGACTCAGAGACTTCACTGTGACCCAGTGAGTTCATCACAATCACTAGCATGAGATGAAAGAGGAGGGAATGCACATTTACTGAGCACCTACTAGGTGCCAGCCAGTATGCAGATAACTTTTCACGAACATCGGTTTCATTTCATTTTTACGGAAGACCCTTGAATTTTGTACCATCCCCATTTTACAGATGTGGGGAACCAAGGCTCAGAGAACTTAAGTAACTAGAAGTTTGGGCATATTCTTGGGCCTCAGGCAGGGGAGCTGGTTAGGTGGCCTCCTTCCTTGGTTGGTGCTCTGGTATCTGAGTTCTGATCCTCTGTTCTCAGGCTCTGAGTGTTTCTTGATTTTCTGGCACAGGGACTGGCTCTGTCCTGAGCCTGAGCTGAAACCAACCGGCCAAGCCTCTAAGAAACGGAGGCACAGACGAGGCTGCCGGTCTATTAAGTACAGCGATAGGAATAACTGTTGCAGGGACAGGGACGTTGAGTTGTGTGTGCCGCAGTGGTCTCAGTCTCATCTACTGGGGAGACCAGGAATCGGAGTCAGGGAAGCAGGAGGCACCAGGCATCTGAGAGCCTGCGGCCTCCTGTCCCGGCTGTAAGGAAGGGGCTGCCTCGGGCACCAGGGCCTGGCCTCCCGCCAGGCTGTGAGCTCTGAGGGTGGGCACAAATCCTGCAAGTGCCGGACATTCACGACTGCCAGCCTCTGTCTCTCTTGCCTGACTCTAAAACCCAGGTCTGTGATGGTCAAACTGTGTTCCCTGGAGCCACCATGGGGTTGTGACCACCAACAGGTGTATGACAGGACCAAGCGTGCAGGGATCCAAGCTCCCACGGCCTCCATCTGAGCCACTCTTGGTTCTGTCTCACATTGCTGGGTCTCTAGGGAGGATTCGATTTGGACAGAGTGCTCCCAAGCTCATCAGAAACCATTGTTCTAGATGTGACAGTCCTGTCTGTAGACGTTCTCCAGGCTGTGTCCAGGACACCCAGGCGGCGTCGGTGCCCCAAGTTACAGCCACATTCTGATCTTGCCTCCCTGTGTGGATGGTTTAGGCTGTCCCGGGTAGGAGTGTGGCCAGGCACACATGGCAGTCTCTCAGCTCCGTGGTGGGTGGAGTGGAGCTGTTCATTACTCAGAAGCCTCCCTTATCATCTTTTTTTTTTTTTTTTTTTTTTTTTTTTTTTTTTTTTTTTTTTTTGAGACAGGTCTTGCTCTGTCACCCAGGCTGGAGTGCAGTGGCCTGAACACAGCTCACTGCAGCCTCTAACTGCTGTGCTCAAGTGATCCTCCTGCTTCAACCTCCTGAGTTAGCTGGACTACAGGCACACACCACCACTCCTGCCTAATGTTTTTGTATTATTTTGTAGAAATGGGGTCTTGCTTCTTTGCGTAGGCTGTTCTTGAATTCCTGGCTTCAATGGATCCTGCTGCCTCGGCCTCCCAAAGTGCTGAGATTACAGGCATGAGCCACGGCACCCCACTCTCCTTATCATCTTAATTCCAAGTTCTTGAGGAAGGGGACCACTTTTGTCTTCTCTGGTGGTCCCTCACCTACTGCTTAGCTTTCTTTACAGCCTGCAATAATCCCCGAGCACCCCCACTGGTACAGGGAGAAGTCTAGCTCCTGACCAGGCTCTGATTTCCCCGGCCCTGCCCTATTCAAGTTCCTCAAATTCCTTGACCCCAACCCTTGCCCCATAAGAAACCTCCCCATGACCCTGACCCTGACAGAGAACTGGCTGTGAAAATTTTTGCATTGACAACAGATATTGGAATGCAGGGATTCCCTATCTACTTCAGGCACCTTCAAGAATCAGAGGAGGCCAAGCATGGTGGCTCATGCCTGTAATCCCAGCACTTTGGGAGGCCAGGGTGGGGAGATCACTTGAGGCCAGGAATTTGAGACCAGCCTGGCCAATATGGCAAAACCCCGTCTCTACTAAAAATACAAAATTAGCTGGGGGTGGTGGTGCACGCCTGTAATCCCAGCTACTCAGGCGGCTGAGGCAGGAGAATCGCTTGAACTGGGGAGGTGGAGGTTGCAGTGAGCCAAGATTGCACCATTGCATTCCCAGCCTTGGCAATAGAGTGAGACTCCGTCTCCAAAAAAAGAAAAAAGGAAAGTTATGCACTCTTGCTCCAGAACGACACCTATCTACACAAATCCTGTGGCAAGTTCAAGGAGTTTATGGACCCCCAAAGCCAACCCAGGGACTCCAGTTAACAGCACCTTCTCCAGAGTATTCCGGCTGGTAATTAGCTTGTTTGGCAGAAGGTGTCAGTCCAGCTGTCAATAATGCCTTTGGTCATCGCTGATTCCTAAGTTTAAAGTATTCAACAATATGAATAGTTACAATTTATTGAGCATTTGCTGTGTTACTGTGCTTAGAATTACTAATCCTCACAAATGCCCTGTGAGTTAGAGATAAAATTGTCCTTATTTTGCAGTTGAAGAAACAGAGGCCAGAAGAGCTTCTGTAACTTGCCCCAGGTCTCACAACCAGCAAGTCGCCTGCTCCAGAGCCTCCCCTGTGAGACAGAACCCGTTAGGAGATGAGGCCTGCCCTGGGTGACCCTGCCCGGCTGTGAGATTAGAGCTTGAGGGCAGGGTGTGTATAAAGTCATCTCAGGCTGCTGTAATAAAATGCCATAGCTAGGTGCCTCAGACAACAGAAATTGATTTTCTCACAGTTCTACAGGTTAGAAGTCCAAGATCAAGGTGCCAGTGTGGCTCATTTCTGGTGAGGGTTCCCTGCCTGTCTTGTAGATGGTAGATGGCCACCTTCTCACACTGTGTCCTTACAAGGCAAGGCAGAAAGAAAAGAGAGCGCAAGAGAGCCCAAGCCCTCTGGTGTCCCTTCTAATAACCGCACTAATCCCATCAAAAGGTCCCACCTTCACCTAAACCTAATTATCTCTCAAAGGCTCCACCTCCAAACTGGGGGTTAGGGCTTCCACATGTGAGTTTGGGAGGTACACGATTTAGTCCATAGCAGTGAGTGAAACCAGCTGATGACTGGCTGGTGGAACTGGGCTCATTTCTGTCTGGGTCTCTGAGCACTGCACTGGCCAGGTTTGTAAGCCCACTCCACAGCCATGTGCTTGACACCTGGCAGGTGCTCCGTGTGTGTCGGATGAATACACTGGACAAAAGAAAAAAAGGCTGTGGGCGCAGTGGCTGATGCCTGTAATAATCCCAGCACTTTGGAAGGCCAAGGTGGGAGGATCACTTGAGGCCAGGAGTTCAAGACCAGCCTAGCCAACATGGTGAAACCCCGTCTCTACTAAAAATACAAAAATTAGCCAGGTGTGGTGGTGTATGCCTGTAATCCCAGCTACTCGGGAGGCTGAGTCATGAGAATTGCTTGAACCCGGGAAGCAGAGGTTACAGTGAACCGAGATTGCGCCACCTACACTCCAGCCTGGGTGACAGAGGGAGACTCCGTCTCAAAATAATAATAATAATAATAATAATAATAATGCTCTAGCCTGGTGCAAGGGTCCCCTGTAAGCTCTGCATGGAGCCCCTGCCTGCACCTGGACACCTCTGGTGACAGAGACCTCCATCATAAGATTGCTGTGACAGGGAGAAAGTTCATTATAGTGACCTACATCCAGGTCCTTGTCACTTCCGTCCATTGCTCCTGCTGGCCCCCTGCTTTCCTGCAGTATATCCTGGATTAACTCCCTGATCTCTCTGTGAATCTGCTGACCTCTGCATTCCTTGGAAGAGAAATCAGTCTGACCTCGTTGCTTCTGGAACCAGCTGGGATGAGAGGGTAGTTTGATCAGGTGATCCTAGCGGCCTCTTAAGTCTCTCAGAGAGCACTGGCCAGGAAAGAAAGCAGTACTGGCCACCATATGCTCCAGGCTGATCCTAGCAGTGCAACCACATTGCACAACTCCAGGGGGTGCCTTCTGGTGTTGTGCATTGTGGGCAACCATGGCCCAGGAGCCACATGCCTGTGACTCCTGAGTCCCTGACATGCTCTGGTTTTCTCAGAACTAATTAATGTGAGAGCAAGGACAGTGGCTGCAGTGGCCACAAGAGGCATCTGGGTCTCCATTCATTATTACACCATGGCTGAAACAAGAGGTGGTCTGTGAGGAGGGGTTGAAAGGGCAGCGTGACCTTGTCAGGTCATTCCAGCCCAAGACAGGAACCAGTCCCAGCGTCTGCTTCTACAAGGCTTCCTGTGTTAAGGGGACTTCATTCACCAATTGTTTGTTCATTTCATGTTTATTGAGCACCTGTTATGTGCCATGCAGAAACAACCAAGTCACAGCCTTTGCTCTTAAGGAGCTCAGAGTTTGATGAGGCTGATGTGAGAAGAGCTAGGAGCATAGTGAGATGACAGGAACATAGAGAAGTGATCTCCCATCTCAGGCAAAGGGAGGGCTGGGAAGTGGCTGTACAGAGGAAGCCATGTTCGAGCTGGGCCTTGTAGGGTGAGTAGGAGCTCATCCAGCAAATAGGGCAGGGGGACATTAAGGGCTGGCAGCAATGTAACAGTGTAGGTCACATCAAAGGAAGGGTTGGTAGGGCTGTATTTCCACAGTGAGGGCTGTGTTGGGGTTGGGGTCAGGGCAGAGCAGGGCAGTAGGCTGGGAAAGTTGGGGCTGGGTTATGAAGAGCCCCATGTGCTGAACTGGGGAACTTGTGCTTTATCCTGGTGGGTGCTGGGGCATGCAAGCTTCTGAGCAAAGCTGGGTGAGGATCAGATTCCTGCTTCAGAATGGTGGCTCTGGAGGAGAGACCCGGGCTGGGGCAAGGGTGGAGGCAGGAAACCCTATTAGGAGGGGCAGGAGGGCCCAGAGAGGGCAGAATGAGGGCCTGCCGGAGGAGGAGGAGGAGTTGGCTTTGGGAGCCATTTCAAAAGAATCCAGGACTTGGCTGTGGGTGGAGGAGAGAGGGAGGAGTCACAAGACCGCCCTAAGGTGAGCAGTGTGAATGGAGGCAGTTTGGGGCAGGGGTAGGTAGGATGCTGTGGTTCCGGATAGGTGAGTTTTAAGAGCCTACAGACACCCAGGTAGAAATGGATTCTCAATGGGAAGAAGAGTCCCGGAGCTCAAGTGAGTGTGGTGTTGGACAGGGAGGCCTGGATAGCAGCGCTGCTTGGGAATGGTATTTTCTAGGGAACACGAACAGAGAAGGCAAAGGGGCCAAAAACAGTCCTGGGAACACTGAGTCTCAGTGGGGAAGGCAGGGGAAGGCAGGGGCGGGGCGGGGGGCGGGCAAGAAGAACCTCCCAAGAGGCAGAGGAGAGGCCAGAAGGGCGGATGAAAACCAGCTTCCAGAAGGCCATGGGCGGCAGCATGGGCCCTCCTGGGAAAGTGTGAAAGGCCAAGGCCCCAAAACACCACAGGGTGTAGCAGTGAGGGCTGGTTCAGGTGAGAACAGCGGCATGAAGTTGCCCAACTTGGGGTTGGAAATCACAGTTTGGGAGCGGCTCCAATCCAAACCATGACACCATACGGGATCTTTCAGCCACTTGCAGGGGCGGAGCTGGCGGCGGGATTGACCTGGGATTGGGGATTGGCGGGGTGGGGAGCTGGTGGGGTCCGGCGGAAAGGGGAGGACGTGAACTTGGGCGGGTTGCCCTGGAGAGGCCTGTAGATGCTGGGCAGGTGGGAAGGCAGGTTTCCAGGTGGCAGCGGGTGGAGAGGAGGTGGGGGACTTGTGGTCAGAGAGCGCCCCTGGCGGGGATTTGGGGATCAGCATGCAGGAAGCTCTGGTGATGACACCCCAGGGGCGTGTGTGAAACGGATTCAGGCTGCCAAGCGTTATTCACTGTGGAGAGATTGTCATCACCAGAGCCGTGTCTAAAGGATTTAGCCAGGGCTGGATACGGAAAACAGAATGGAAGGGGGCTTTGGGAGACCAGCCCACCTCACAAGAAAGAGCTGAGAGCCTAGATTTGGGCCAGCGGGGGTAGTCTCTGGACGGAGGGCGGCACGGGGCTGGAGGAGGAGCGTTTTATGATGCGGCCGTGGGTGCTGGCCTTGGCTGGGGCTTGTGGCGACTGGGTGCCGTGACGTGGGGGTGGACCGGGTAGAGCGGGGTCGGCAGGGGGCCGAGTCCGGGCGCCCCCCGCATCCTGACCTGTCTCCCACACAGGGTTCGTGGGCCCCCAAGAAGGAGCCGTACGCCCGGGAGATGCTGGCGATCTCCTTCATCTCGGCCGTCAACCGCAAGCGCAAGAAGCGGCGGGAGGCGCGGGGGCTGGGCAGCAGCACCGACGACGACTCGGAGCAGGAGGCGCACAAGCCTGGGGCGGGGGCCACAGCGCCGGGGACTCAGGAGCGGCCGCAGGGGCCGCTGCCTGGCGCCGTCGCCCCCGAGGCCCCCGGACGCCTCAGTCCCCCGGCGGCGCCGGAGGAGCGGCCGGCCGCGGACACGCGCTCCATTGTGTCGGGCTACTCCACCCTGTCCACCATGGACCGCAGCGTGTGCTCGGGCGCTAGCGGTCGGCGGGCAGGGGCGGGGGATGAGGCGGACGACGAGCGTAGCGAGCTGAGCCACGTGGAGACGGACACTGAGGGCGCGGCGGGCGCGGGGCCTGGGGGGCGCCTGACACGCCGGCCGTCCTTCAGCTCGCACCACCTCATGCCCTGCGACACTCTGGCGCGCCGCCGCCTGGCCCGGGGCCGCCCAGACGGCGAGGGCGCGGGCCGGGGCGGTCCCCGCGCCCCGGAGCCGCCCGGCTCGGCGTCGTCCAGCAGCCAGGAGTCGCTGCGGCCCCCGGCGGCGGCGCTGGCCTCCCGGCCCTCGCGCATGGAGGCGCTGCGTCTAAGGCTCCGCGGCACGGCGGACGACATGCTCGCCGTGCGCCTGCGGCGGCCGCTGTCGCCCGAGACCCGGCGGCGCCGGAGCAGCTGGCGCCGCCACACCGTGGTGGTGCAGAGCCCGCTGACTGACCTCAACTTCAACGAGTGGAAGGAGCTGGGCGGAGGGGGCCCCCCGGAGCCTGCGGGCGCGCGGGCGCACAGTGACAACAAGGACTCCGGACTCAGCAGCCTGGAGTCCACCAAGGCGCGGGCCCCGTCGTCCGCTGCCTCGCAGCCGCCCGCGCCCGGGGACACGGGGTCCCTGCAGAGCCAGCCCCCGCGCCGCTCGGCCGCCTCCCGCCTGCATCAGTGTCTGTGATCCCCACCTCCCGCGCCGCTCGGGCGCCACCCCTCCCTAGAGCCCCTTTGGAACCAGGAGGCTTCACCAGCCTGCACCTCCTCTTCTGTGGCCCCTGGGTGCATGGTGTGGGTGGAGGGCGCAGCAGGCAGTGTCTCTAGTTGGTGTGCTGGAACTGGCAGGGCAGAGGAGAAGGCTGGGGCCGGACTAATTGAATGGAAGGGGGTTCCAGAGGTGATGAGCAGAAGAGGAGGGGGCGTGGGCTGCTGGGGTCTGTGTCCCTGCACACATGCGCCCGATAGGTCCTTCTGAGCCTTTCTGTGGCTGCACTTGGGGACCCTTGTGGACCATGGGGTGTGGCTAGGGAACCCCTAAGTTTCAGACTAAAGGAAAGATCCTGGGTGATGCTGGCTTTTTGCTTCTTTCTTCTGCCCTCCCACCTCAGCTTGTAAGCGGGGATGTGTGTATGTCTGGGGAGAGGAGGTGTAGGGTGCGTATGTCCATGGGGGGAGGGGCTTGTGTGTGCAGTCATTGTCCCAAGGTGTTTCCAGTAGCGACTTCTGTCCCCCTATCCCCACCCTGGTCCCCACTTTGCGCCCCCGGGCTCCCTGCCTTTGGTGCACACAGGATCCTGCCCGCCCCCCTTGCCAGAGCCAGAGAAGGGGGTTGGGGCCATTCCAAGGAGGCAGGACTGAAACCCTCACCAGGGTTACTCCCCAACATCCTTTTGCCTGAGTCACCCTCTAAGCGCTTTAACCACGGGCAGCTGCCTGTTCCCCAGACAGTTTTTGGTGGGGGGGGTCCAGGGTCCCCCTTGCTGGTACCTCCCTCACCCCTCTTTTTGTTTTTCCATCTGTGCCTGTTCCTTCCACAGCCCAGGCACACAGAAGCCCACCTTCTTCCCCTTAGGAGGAGGGATAGTCAACACCCCTGCTGTCTCTCTGTCACTCACACACTGATTTATGGGGTCTGAGCTGGGCTGTTCCTGCAGGATGGACAGGACCCAGCGCCCTCTTCTCCCCACAGGCTGTAAATAGACTTCCAATCACCAGGCCAGCCCCCACACACCCTCACTCATTCCAGGGAAGCCCAGGTAGGTGGTGAACCCGCTGCCACGTCTATCAGTCCTCTTGTTTTATGCAAAGATTTACTGTAAAGTAGATTTCTTTCCCTCCCTCCCCCATTCTTTTATTGTAAATATTGTCTCTAAATGTGTAACATATTATAAAGAATTTATAAGGATTTTTAAAGATGTTTTGCTCATTTACAAAAGTGTTGTAACAGTGTTGGACAAAGCCTTCCACCCCATGTCCGCATGGCTCCTTTCACTGTGTCCTTGACACACCTCTCTGGCAACAACTAAAATTTCCTGCTTCTGAAAAGTCCTGTCTTAAAAGTACAGTCTATATCTTGGAAATAAATAGCTTTCCTCAAGGCATGAGTCAGCTGTCTCACTTGTTTTGGAGGGAAAGGGCCAGAGTGGGGCTGGGAGACAGGAGAGGTACCTGGCCCAGGGAAGGAGGGCGATGGGGACTGGACCAAGGGGTGGCAGGACGGAGGCAGACTTTTTCCTGGTGACCTTTTTGTAAGTGTCCTGGGGGACTGGTCAATGACACAGGGACAGATATGAGTTGGAAGAGTGGGTGGCCCTCATTGCTGTGCGAAGTTTCCAGGCACCTGCTCTCTATTCCTACAGAGCCCAGGCAGGTGCACAGGCACCTTCTCAGGCCTACCTGGAGCTTCACAATGGTTCCAGCAGTCCTGCCCCGCAGACAGGAGGCTTGGGCCAGCTGTCGTAGGCACTCCAGGCCCAGATAATATTGCAAAAGGACAGAATGGGTTTTGCCCGTTGTCCCCTTCACATGTGTAAGCTTACAACATGGGGTGGGCGTCCTTCTGTGCCGGCGGTTGCTTTGTAGTTGCCCCAGCCAGTTTACAGGCTGCCTCTGCTGAGCCTCGCAGCTTTCTGTAGGAAGACCAGGTGACAGTCATTAAAGGGAATCTAGGGAGGGCTGGGGCAGTGGCTCACGTCTGTAATCGCAGCACTTTGGGAGGCCAAGGCGGGAGCCCAGGAATTTAAGACCAGCCTGGGCAACATAGTATAGTCCCTCCCCCTCCTCTATTATATATATACATATATATATATATTTAAATCTGTATATATATAAAGAGAATCTAGGGAGGAGCCCAGGAGCTGGGAAGAGCTCAGTTGCTCACTGAATCCTATGCCCCACCCTCCCAAGTCGTTTCTGTTGGGCAAATGAGCTTATAGCATTGTAGGCTCTGCCAGCTCCAAGGGCTTTACACGTCTTATTATTTTTTTTATTTTTATTTTTTTTGAGACCGAGTTTCGCTCTTGTTGCCCAGGCTGGATCTCGGCTCACTGCAACCTCCACCTCCCAGGTTCAAGTGATTCTCGTGCCTCAGCCTCCCAAGTAGCTGGGATTATAGGCATGCGCCACCACACCAGGCTAATTTTGTATTTTTAGTAGAGATGGGGTTTCTCCACGTTAGTCAGGCTGGTCTCGAACTCCTGACCTCAGGTGATCCGCCCGCCTCGGCCTCCCAAAGTGCTGGGATTACAGGCATGGGCCACCACACCCGGCCAACACGTCTTAAATCAGTCGTCCAACACTCTTGAGCACACCACCATTGTTTTCTGCATTTTATATATGAGGAAATGGAGGCACGCAGCAGTGTCATAACTTGCCCAGCCCAAGATCACATAGCTAGTAAGCTGTAGAACCAGGGTAAGTTTAAGTCCAAAGAAAGGACACAGAGATGGGGTAACAAGCCCATTGGGCCACCTTCTCCAGACTGTAGTAGACTTTGAGTGAGAATGGATGAAAACCCTGTGCTCTCCTTCAAAAATAAAGTAGGAATAGGCCTGGCACAGTGGCTCATGCCTATAATCCCAGCACTTTGGTAGGCTGAGGCAGGGAGCTCCTGAGGCTAGGAGTTCGAGACCAGCCTGGCCAACACGGTGAAATCTCATCTCTATTAAAAATACAAAAATTAGCCGGGCGTGGTGGCACATGCCTGTAATCCCAGCTACTCAGGAAAGCTACTCGGGAGGCTGAGGCAGGAGAATCGCTTTAACCTGGTAGGTGGAGGTTGCAGTGAGCCGAGATTGTGCCACTGCACTCCAGCCTGTGTGACAGAGTGAGATTTTGTCTCAATAAATAAATAAATAAATAAGGAATGAAAATATCTCTAGATTTATTTTTATTTTTATTATTCTATTTATTTATTTTTGAGACAGGGTCTTGCTCCATTGCCCAGGCTGGAGTGAAGTGGTGTGATCACAGCTCACTGCAGCCTGGACCTCCTGGGCACAAGTGAACCTCCTGCCTCAGTCTCCAGTGTAGCTGGGACCACAGGCATGTGCCACCACACTCAGCTATTTTTTTTTTTTTTTTTTTTTTTTTAGTAGAGACAAGATCTCATTATGTTGCCCAGGCTGGTCTTGAACTCCTGGGTTCAAGCGATCCTCCTGCCTTGGCCTCCCAAAGTGCTGGGATTACAGGCGTGAATCACTGTGACGGGCCTATTTATTTATTTGAGACAGGGTCTCACTCTGTCACCCAGGCTGGAGTGCAGTGGCGATCGAAGTTCACTGCAGCCCGGACCTTCTGGGCTCCAGCGATTCTCCCACCTCAGCCTCCCAAGTAGCTAGAATTGCAGGTGCGTGCCACCATACCCAGCTAATTTTTTAATTTCTGTAGAGACAGGGTCTCCCTATGTTGCCCAGGCTGGTCTCAAACTCTTGGGCAACCCTCCTGCCTCAGGCTCCCAAAGTGCTAGGATTACAGGTGTGAGCCGCCATACCCCCACTGATATCTCTAGATTTTAAAAAACAGAGAATTTATCACTAGCAGACATGCCATATAAGAAATAGTAAAGGCAGCCTTCAGATTGAAACGGAAGTACACTAGATGGTAATTTGAGTCCACGCGAATGAATAGAGAACACTGTAAGGATAGCCACATAGGCATTATGAAAGACAGTATAGGCCAGGCTCGGTGGCTCAAGCCTGTAATCCCAGCACTTTTGGAGGCCAAGGCAGGTGGACACTTGAGGTCAGGAGTTCGAGACCAGCCTGACCAACATGGTGAAACCCTTTCGCTACTAAAAATACAAAATTAGCTGGGTGTGGTGGTGGGCACCTGTAATCCCAGCTACTTGGGAGGCTGAGGCAGGAGAATCACTTGAACCTGGGAGGTGGAGGTTGAAGTGAGCTGAGACAGTGCCACTGCACTCTAGCCTGGGTGACAGAGCAAGACTCTGTCTCAAAAAAAAAAGAAAGAATAAACATTTTTGTAGTAATTATTTTCCTTTTTGTCTTTAACCCTGTCTTTAAAAGATAACTACATAAAGCAATAATTACAAAACTGTGTTGACATATAAAGGTGTAATTTGTATGACAATAATGGCATGAAGGACTGGAGAGGAATGGAGCTATATTAGAGCAAAGTTTTTAAACACTATTAAAATTAGGTTACTATTAAGGTGAACTAGATTGTTCTAAGTTAACATGCTAATTGTAATCCCTAGGGCAACCACTAAAAATAACTCAAAAAATTGTAAATGAAACAAAAAAACAGAATTAAATAGATGATATATCAGAAAATATTGGCCAGCCATTGTGGCTTATGCCTGTAATCCTAGGACTTTGGGAAGTTGAGGCAGGAGGATTGCTTGAGACCAGCCTGGGCAATCTAGCGAGACCCATCTCTATAAAAAAATTTTTAAAAGTTAGCCATGCATGGTGGCACATGCCTGTAGTCCCAGCTACTTGGGAGGCTGATGTGGGATGATCGATTGAGCCCAGGAGGTGAGACCCTGTATTAAAAAAAAGAAAGAGGCCAGGCGCAGTGGCTCAAGCTTGTAATCCCAGCACTTTGGGATGCCGAGGCGGGTGGATCACGAGGTCAGGAGATCAAGACCATCCTGGCTAATGCGGTGAAACCCCGCCTCTACTGAAAATACAAAAAAAGTAGCTGGGCGTGGTGGCAGGCGCCTGTAGTCCCAGCTACCCAGGAGGCTGAGGCAGGAGAATGGCGTGAACCTGGGAGGAGGAGCTTGCAGTGAGCTGAGATCGCACCACTGCATTCCAGCCTGGGCGTCAGAGCAAGACTCCATCTCAAAAAAATAAAAATAAAAATAAAAAAAGAAAGAAAATATTTATTTTACACTCAAGAAGGCAGAATCAGGCTGGGGGCAGTGGCTCACGCCTGTAATCTCAGCACTTTGGGAGGCTGAGGTCAGAGGATCACCAGAGGTCAGGAGTTTGAGACCAGCCTGGCCAACATGGCGAAACCCCGTCTCTACCAAAAATACAAAAATTAGCCGGGTGTGGTGGTGTGTGCCTGTAATCCCAGCTACTTGGGAGGCTGAGGCAGGAGAATCACTGGAACCCGGGAGGCGGAGGTTGCAGTGAGCCAAGATGGCGCCATTGCACTCCAGCCTGGGGAACAGAGTGAAACCGTGTCTCCAAAAAAAAAAAAAGAAAGAAAGAGAGAGAGAGAGAGAGGGTGAGAGGGAGGGAGGAAGGAAGGAAGAAAGAAAGAAGGCAGAATCAAGGAATAGAGGAACAAAAAAGGCAAGACATATGAAAACAATTAGCAAAATGGCAGACATAAATCCTAGCTTATTAGTGATACATTGAATGTAAATGAATTTAACACCCCAATCAAAAGGCAGAAATTGGCAGAATGGATTATTATTTTTTTCCTTTTATAAGACTGGGTCTTGCTCAATTGCCCAGGCTGGAGTGCAGTGGTGTGATCCTAGATCACTGCAGCCTCGACATCCTGGGCTCAAGCAATCCTCCCACCTCAGCCTCCCAAATAGCTGGGACTACGGGGCCACGTCACCACGCTTGGCTAATTTTAAAAACAAAATTTTTGTAGAGATGAGGTCATGCTATCTTAACCAGGCTGGTCTCAACCTCCTGGGCTCAAGTGATGCTCCCACCTGGGCCTCCCAAAGGGCTGGAATTACAGGTGTGAGCCACCGGGCCCATCCCAGAATGGATAAAATAAAATAAAATGATCTAACTGTGAGAGATTTACTTTAGAGTCAAAGACACAAGAGTTGAAAGTAGAAGGATGGAAAAAGAAACCATGTGAGGAGTTATTAAAAGAGAGCTAGGGTGGCTACACAAGCATGAGACAAACTAGACTTTAAGACAAAAATTCTTACTGAAGCCTGGGCGAGGTGGCTCACGCCTGTAATCCCAGCACTTTGGGAGGCTAAGATGTGTGGATCACCTGATGTCAGGAGTTCAAGAGTAGCCTGACCAACATGGTGAAACCCCATCTCTACTAAAACTACAAAAATTAGCTGGGCATGGTGGCGTGCACTGCAGTCCCAGCTACTCGGGAGGCTGAGACAGGCGCTCCTAATTGCTTGAATCTGGGAGGCGGAGGTTGCAGTGAGCCGAGATAGCACCACTGCACTCCAGCCTAGGCGACAGAACAAGACTCTGTCTCAAAAAAAAAAAAAATTGTTACTAAAGATACAATATCTTTTATAATGATAAAAGAGCCAGTTTATGAGGAAGATAAAATGATTGTAAACATATATACTCCTAACAACAGATCCCAAAATACATGAAGCAAAAACTAATAAAACTGAAGGGAACTGAACTGAATTAGACCATTCAATATAGTAGTTGGAGACTTCAATACCCCACTTTCTTTTTTTTTTTTTTTTTTTGAGGCGGAGTCTCACTCTGTTGCCCAGGCTGGAGTGCAGTGGCACGATCTCCGCTCACTGCAAGCTCCGCCTCCGGGGTTCACGCCATTCTCCTGCCTCAGCCTCCCGAGTAGCTGGGACTACAGGTGCCCGCCACCATGTCCGGCTAATTTTTCGTATTTTTAGTAGAGACGAGGTTTCACCGTGTTAGCCAGGATGGTCTCGATCTCCTGACCTCGTGATCCGCCCACCTTGGCCTCCCAAACTGCTGAGATTACAAGCTTGAGCCACTGCGCCCGGCCCCCACTTTCAATAACGGATAAAACAACGAGGCAGAAGATCAACAAGGAAGTAGAAGCCTTGAACAACACTGTAAGCCAAGACCTGAAAGACATCGAAACACTCCACACAGCAGCAGAACACACATTGTTCTCAGCTACGCGTGACACACTCTTCAGGGTAGACTTATACTAGGCCTTAAAACAAGCCTCAATAAATGGAAAAGGATTGAAATTACATAAAGTCTGTTCCCCAACTGCAATGGAATTAAATTAGAAAATGACAACCAAGGAAATTAACAAATACGTAGAATTTTTTTTTTTTTTTCGAGGCGGGTCTTGCTCTGTCCTCCAGGCTGGAGTGCAGTGGTGCTATCTCGGCTCACTGCAGCCTCCGCCTCCTGGGTTCACGTGATTCTCCTGCCTCAGCCTCTCAAGTAGCTGGGACTGCAGGAGTGTATCACCATGCCCGGCTAATTTTTGTATTTTTAATAGAGACAGGGTTTCACCATGTTGGCCAGGCTGGTCTCGAACTCCTGACCTCCAGTGATCTGCCTGCCTTGGCCTCCTAAAGTGCTGGGATTACAGGCATGAGGCACCACGCCTGGCTAGAAATATGTAGAAATTTAAAAACACTCCTAAATAATCAATGAGTGAAAGATGAAATCACAGGGAAATTAGAAAATATGTTGAGATGAATGGAAACTAACACACAACATAACATAACTTACTGGATGCAGCTAAAGCAGTGCTTAGAGAGACATTTGTAACTATGTCAATATTAGAAAAGAAGAAAGATTTCTAATTAATAACCTAAACTTCCACCTTAAGAAACTAGAAAAAGAAGAGCAAACTCAACCAAAAGAAAGCCAAAGGAAGGAAATAATAAAGGTAAGAGTAAAAATAAATGGAATAGAAAATAGAAAAAATAGAGAAAGTCAGTAAAACCAAAAGTTTTTTCTTGGAAAAGATCAACAAATTGGCAACTGTTTAGCTAGACTGACCAAGAAAAAAAAAAGAGAAGACTCAGATTAATACCTCAGGCATGAAAAGGGAGCTATCAATACTTATAAAAAGTAAAGGGGGGCTGGGTGCAGTGGCTCTCGCCTGTAATTCCAGCACTGTGGGAGGCCGAGGCGGGTGGATCATTTGAGGTCAAGAGTTCAAGACCAGCCTGGCCAACATGTGAAACCCTGTCTCTACTAAAAATAAAAAAATTAGCCAGGCGTGGTGGCGGGCGCCTGTAATCCCACCTACTCAGGAGGCTGAGGCAGGAGAATCACTTGAACTTGGGAGGCAGAGGTTGCAGTGAGCTGGGATCGTGTAACTGCGCTCCGCCTAGAAGACAGAACAAGAGTCCATCTCCACACACACACACACACACACACACAAAAGTAAAGGGATAATAAGGGAACACTGTGAACAACTGCATGCCAGCAAGTTAGATAAATAGAAGAAATGAAAAAATTCCTAGAAAGACATAAATTACCAAAACTGACATAAGAAGGAGAACTCATAAATAATCTGAACAGACTTACAACATGGAAAAAGATTGAATTAGTCATTTAAAAACTTTCAACAAAGAAAATTCCAGACCCAGATGGCTTCACTGGTGATTTCTATCAAATATTTAAAGAAAAATTAATACAAATCCCTCACAAACTCTTTCAAAAAAAGAAGAGGAAGCAACCGTGAGGCCAGTATTACCCTGATACCAAAGCTAGAAAAAGATATCACAAGAAAACTACAGACTAATATCCCTTGTGACTATAGAAACAAAAGTCCTCCACAAGCTACCAGCAAACCGGTTGGGTGTGACAACTCACACCTGTAATCCCAGAACTTTGGGAGGCCGAGGCAGGCAGATCACATGTGGCCAGGAGTTGGAGACCAGCCTGGCCAACATAGCAAAACCCTATCTCTACTATTAATAAAAATACAAAAATTAGCTGGGTGTGGTGGCACACACCTGTAATCCCAGCTACTCTGGTGGCTAAGGCACAAGAATTGCCTGAACCCAGGAGGCAGAGATTGCAGTGAGCTGAGATCACGCCACTGCACTCCAGCATGGAAGAGAGAGCGAGACTCTGTCTCAAAACAACAACAACAAAAAGATACAAGCAAAACAAATCAAGAAACGTATACAAAGGATTATACACCATGACCAAGTGGGATTTATCCCAGGAATACAAGGTTGGTTTAATATTTGAAAATCAATCGATGAAACACACAAAATTGAGAGAATAAAGAATAAAAATTACATGATCATCTCAATAGATGCTGAAAAAGCAAGACAAAATTCAACACTCTTTTATGATTATAAAATTCAATAAACTAGGAATAGAAGGAAACTTCCTCAACCTGATAAACATACCTATGAAAAATCTGTAGCTAGGCCAGGCAGGGTGGCTCATGCCTATAATCCTGGCACTTTGGGAGGTTGAAGTGGGTGGCTTGCTTGAGCCCAGGAGTTTAAGACCAGCCTGGGCAACATGGTGAAAGCCCGTCTCTACAAAAAATACAAAAACTAGCCAGGCGTGGTGGTTCATACCTGTAGTCCCAGCTACTTGGGAGGCTGAAGTAGGAGGATTGCTTGAGCACAGGAGATCAAGGCTGCAGTGAGCCATGATTGAGCTACTGCACTCCAGCCAGGGTGACAGAGGGAGACGCTGTCTAAAAAAAAAAAAAAACTACAGCTAATATCGTATTTCATGCTATTAAATTAATAGACTGAGAGCTTTCCCTCTAAGATCAGGAAACAGACAAGATGTCCACTCTTACCACTTCTAGTCAACATTCTACTGGGAGTTTTAGCCCAGGCAATTAGGCAAGAAAAAGAAATAAAAGCCATCCACAAATAGAGATGTAAAACTGTCTCTATTTGCAGATGACATGAGATTGTATGTAGAAAATTCTAAGGAATCCATGAAATAGGAAACTCCAAGGGGCCTCAAATAGTGAAAACAAAATTTAAAACAAAGTAGCAGTACTTACACTTCCCAATATCAAAACTTACTACAAAGCTGCAGTAATCTCAACAGTGTGGTACTGGCATAAGGCTAGATATATAGACCTATGGAAAAGAATTAAGAATCCAGAAATAAACCCAAACATTTATGGTCAACAGATACATATATTTTTTACATCCATGATACACACTGGATGTCAATTTGACACTTGACAACGTTACCAAGACCATTCAATGGGGCAAATGATAATCTTTTCTAAAAAAATGGTGCTGGAGGCTGGGTGCAGTGGCTCACGCCTGTAATCCCAGCATGCTGGGAGGCCAAGGTGGACGGATCACAAGGTCAGGAGATCGAGACCATCCTGGCTAACATGGTGAAACCCCGTCTCTACTAAAAATATAAAAAATTAGCTGGGTGTGGTGGCGGGCGGCTGTAGTCCCAGCTACTCGGGAGGCTGAGGCAGGAGAATGGTGTGAACCTGGGAGACGGAGGTTAGTGAGCTGAGATTGCACCACTGCACTCCAGCCTGGGCGATAGAGCAAGACTCCATCTCAAAAAAAAAAAAAAAAAAAAGGTGCTGGGACAACTGGATAACCACATGCACAGGAATGAAATTGGACCACTATCTCACTCTGTCTACAAAAATTAACTCAAAATAGATCATAGACTTTAAAATAAAATCTAAAACTCTTAGAAAAAAAAATAAGGTAAATCTTCATGGCCTTGAATGTGACAATGGATTCTTAGATTTGGCACCAAAAGCATGAACAATGGAAGAAAAAACAGAAAAATCTAAAACTTCTGTATGTCACGAGACATCATCAAGAATGTGAGAAGAGGCCAGGCCGGTGGCTCACGCCTGTAATCCCAGCACTTTGGGAGGCTGAGGTAGGTGGATCCCTTGAGCCCGGGAGTTCGAGACCAGCCTGGCCAACATGGTGAAACCCCATCTCTACTAAAAATACAAAAATTAGCCGGGTGTGGTGGCAGGTCCTGTAATCTCAGCGCTTTCAGACGCCGAGTTCAAGACCACTCTGGGCAATATAGCAGGACCCCCTTTCTACCAAAAAAATGTTTTTCTCTTTTTTTTTTTCTTTTTTGAGATGGAGTCTCACCCTGTTGCCTAGGCTGGAGTGCAGTGGCACGATCTCAGTTCCTTGCAACCTTCACCTCCTGGGCTAGAGTGATTCTCCTGCCCCAGCCTCCCAAGTAGCTGGGATTACAGGCGCCCACCACCACGCCTTGCTAATTTTTATATTTTTAGTAGAGACGGGGTTTCACCATGTTGGCCAGGCTGGTCTCAAACTCCTGACCTCAAGTGGTCTGCCCACCTCAGCCTCCCAAAGTGCTAGGATTATAGGCATGAGCCACCATGCGCAGGCAAAAAAAAATTTTTAATTAGCGAGGTATGGTGGTGTATGCCTGTAGTCCCAGCTACTTGGGAGGCTGAGGTGTGAGGATCTTCTAGCTGCGACACCAAAAGCACAAGCTATAAAAGAAAAAAAATTGATAGATTGGACTTCATAAAAATTAAAAACTGTGTGTGTCAAAGGATACTATTAGGAAAGTGAAAAGACAACCAATCATTGGATGGAAGAAAAAAAGTGTGTGTGTGTGTGTGTGTGTTTTTTCCTGAGACAGGGACTCACTCTGTGGCTCCAGTTGGAATGCAGCAGTATGATCATGGCTCACCATAACCTCGACCTCCTGGGCTCAAGTGATCCTCCTGAGCTGGGATTATAGGCATGCACCACCACACCCGGTGGGAGAAAACATTTGCAAATCATATATTTGACAAGGGACTCATATCTAGAATATATAAAGAACAATAAAATTCAACAATAAAAAGACAACCCAATTTGGATAAAAATAAGCAAAGGATCTGAAGACATTTATCCAAAGAAGATATGCCAATAGCTATTATATACTTGAAAATATTTTCTTTTTTTTTTTTTTGAGATGGAGTCTCGCTCTGTTACCCAGGCTGGAGTGCAGTGGTTCACCGCAAGCTCCGCCTCCCGGGTTCACGCCATTCTCCTGCCTCAGCCTCCCGAGTAGCTGGGACTACAGGCGCCCGCCACCATGCTCGGCTAATTTTTTTGTATTTTTGGTAGAGATGGGGTTTCACTGTTAGCCAGGATGGTCTCGATCTCCTGACCTCGTGATCCGCCTGCCTCAGCCTCCCAAAGTGCTGGGATTACAGGCATAAGCCACCGCTCCCGGCCAAGATTTTCAACATCAGTAGTCATCATGGGAATACAAATCAAAACCATAAGCTACCTCTTCATACACATTAGGGTGGCTGCAGTAAAAAAACAGACAATAACAAGTGTTGAATGTGGAGAAATTAGAATGCTTATTACATGGCTGGTGGGGCAGCCACTTTGGAAAACAGTTTGGCAGCTCCTCAAAATGTTAAACCTAGAGTTATTGTAAAACCCAGCAATTCTATTCCTTAGGATATACTCAAGAGAGCTGAAACATATGTCAACACACAAAAAAAAACTTGTACACAAATGTTCATGTACTGACAACCTAAATATCCATCAACTGATGAATGGATAAGTAAAATATGATATATCCATACAAGAGAAAATTATTCAGTCTGGGCGCGGTGACTCATGCCTGTAATCCCAGCACTTTGGAAGGCCAAAGTGGGTGGATCACTTGAGGTCAAAAGTTCAAGACCAGCCTGACCAACATGGTGAAACCCCTTCTCCACTAAAAATACAAAAGTTAGCCGGGCATGCTGGCACACACTTGTAGTCCCAGCTACAAGTCCCGACTTGCAGTCGGGAGGGTGAGATAGGAGACTCGCTTGAGCCTGGGAGGCAGAGGTTGCAGTGAGCCGAGATCATGCCATTGCACTCCAGCCTAGGCATCAGAGAGAGACTCTGTCTCAAAAAAAAAAAAAAAGAAAAAAAGAAAAAAAAAAGAATGAAATACTGAGGTAGGAGGTGGGACTCGACTCCAGAGTCAGTTCTTGGACACTGGACCAAATTGAGAACTAGCTAAAACAAAGATGGAGTGGAAGCAGGTCTCCATAAGACACACCTACCAGTGCAGCATTTCAGTTTACCATTGCCACGGCAACAGCCAGAAATTACCACCCCTTTCCATGGCAACGACCCAATGACCCAAAAGTTACCAAAATTTTCCTACAAATTTCTGCACAATCTACCCCTTAATTTGCATACAATTAAAAGTGGGTATAACTATGAGTGCAGACCCACCTCTGAGCTGCTACTCTGAGCACAAGGCCTGTGGGGTAGCCCCGCTCCACAAGGAACAGCACCTCTGCTGCTGTGCACTGTCGCTTCAATAAAAGCTGCTGTCTAACACCACCGGCTCACCCTTGAATTATTTCCCGGACAAAACCAAGAATCCTCCTCTGCTAAACCCCAATTTGGGGGCTTGTCTGCCCTGCATCAGTACTGATACATGCTACAACATAGATGAATTTTGGAAACATGTAGAAAGAAGATTGTCACAAAAGACGACATGTTGTATAACTCCATTTGTGGGAAGTGTCTGCAATGGGAAATCCATACAGATAGAAAGTAAATTACTAATTCCCTAGGGCTGTGGGTCGGGGTGAGGAGGTAGGTGGCAGAGAGGAGGGTGCAGGAATGGGGAATGACTGTCAAGTGGTCAGGGTTCGGGGAGTTGAAATAATCTAAAGTTCGATTGTGGTGATGGTCACACATATCTGTGAATATACTAAAAATCACTGAACTGTAGACTTTAAAAGGGTGCATTTTGTGGTATGTGAAATAAATCTCAATAAAGCCGTGTAACAGGCCAAGCATGGTGACTCACGTCTGTAATCCCAGCACTTTGGAAGGTGGAAGTGGGAGGATCACTTGAGCCCAGTAGTTTGAGACCAGCCTGGGCAATATACTGAGACCTGGGCTGTACAAAAAACTAAAATTGACCAGGCATGGTTGCACATACCTGTAGTCCTAGCTACTCTGGAGGCTGAAGTGGGAGGTCTGCTTGAATCCAGGAGGTCGAGGCTGCAGTGAGCCGAGATAGTACTACTGCATTCTAACCCTGGTGACAGAACAAGACCCTGTCTTGAACAAATAAATAAATAAATAAATAAATAAATAATTTAAAAAAGCCATAACAGGTCGGTCGTGGTAGCTCGTGCCTGTAATCCCAGCACTTTGGGAGGCTGAGTTGGGCAAATCACTTGAGGTCAGGAGTTTAAGACCAGCCTGGCCCACATGGTGAAACCTCGTCTCTACTAAAAATACAAAAATTAGCTGGGCGTGGTGGTACCTGCCTCTAGTCCCAGTTACTCAGGAGGCTAAGGCGGGAAAATCGCTTGAATCCAGGAGGCGGAGGTTGCAGTGAGCTGAGATTGTGCCACTGCACTCCAGCCTGGGCAACAGAGTGAGACTCTGTAAAAAAAAAAAAAAAAAAAAAGAAAAGAAAAAAAAAGCAGCCATACAAACAATAACAAACTGTACTCTAAAACTTGCTCTAGGCCAGGCTTGCTGGCTCACGCCTGTAATCCCAACACTCTGGGAGACTAAGGCAGGAGGATCACTTGAGTCTAGCAGTTCAAAATAAGCCTTGGTAACTCTGTCTCTGCAAAAATTGAAAAATTAGCCAGGGGTTGTGACTTGCACCTGTAGTCCCAGCTACTCAGGAGGCTGAGGCCAGAGGATCCCTTGTGCCCAGGAGTTTGAGGTTGCAGTGTGTTATGATGGCGCCACTGCACTCCAGTGTGGGTGACAGAGCAAGACCTTGTCTCAAAAAAATAAAATAGGATAAATAAAATACAGTAAAACTTGCTCTGCCTATCCAGTGGGGGTTTTTTTTTTTGGAGATGGAGTTTCGTTTTTGTTGCCCAGACTGGAGTGCAGTGGCGTGATCTCAGCTCACTGCAACCTCCGCCTTCCAGTTTCAAGCGATTCTCCTGCCTCAGCCTCCCGAGTAGCCGGTACTACAGGCATGCGCCACCACACCCAGCTAATTTTTTGTATTTGTAGTAGAGACGGGGTTTCACCATGTTGGCCAGGATGGTCTCGATCTCTTGACCTCGTGATCCGCCCGCCTTGGCCTCCCAAAGTGCTGGGATTACAGGCATGAGCCACTGTGCCTGGCTTCCAGTGGGGTTTGATATATTTCATAGGAAACTTTTTTTTTTTTCTTTTTTTTAGACAGAGTCTTGCTCTGTCACCCAGGCTGGAGTGCAGTGGTGCAATCTCGGCTCACTGCAACCTCCGCCTCCCGGGTTCAAGCAATTCTCTTGCCTCAGCCTCCTGAGTAGCTGGGATTACAGGCGCCCGCCACCACGCCCAGCTAATTTTTGTATTTTTAGTAGAGACGGGGTTTCACCATGTTGGTCAGGCTGGTCTCGAACCCCTGACCTCGTGATCCACCTGCCTCGGCCTCCCAAAGTGCTGGGATTACAGGCGTGAGCCACTGCGCCCGGCAGGAAACATTTCTTTGGGAAAACTCCAAATCTATGAGGGCTTAGGTGAAAGGAATAGAGATTTTTCCCTGCCCTTCTAGTATGGACATGGAGAGGCAGCATGATTGTCACCCTGAACTAAAACACAGGCTGAGATTTTGAGTGAAGATTTCTGGAACGATGACAAAGGGGAGGGGATGGAGGGATCCCCCTGCCAGGTGTGCCATTATGAGTGGTATCAGCCAGTCAGCACCAGTGAGCTTCGAGGAAGCCTGTTCTCAGTTAAGGGGCACAGATGCCACTAGCCCCAGGCCCCCATCCTGTGGATCGTGCTCTGTCACTCTGAGCTCAGGGACCACTTAAGCCACTCAATGATCAAACAGTCAGAAAATGCCCAGGGGGGCCAAGAGAGGATGTGCAGACAGTGAAGGAGAGAAGCCGAGGGCTTCCCCGACCACTACACGTCAAGTAGCGCCTGCCTCCTCTCCATCAGGAACCTGAGCTCTGAAGGCAGTCAGATCGCGCTCAAATCTTGGCCAGAGTCAACCTTCCCCACTGATAGCACAGAGGTAATAATATCTATTGTCTGGGTTGTTAGAAGATTAACGAACTCTCCATAAATGGTAGCAATTAGTATTATAAAACATTAATAAAGCATGGCTATTGGGAGGGATAAGTTCCGGTTTTTCTTTTTTTTTTTTCTTTTGAGACGGAGTCTCACTCTGTCACCCAGGCTGGAGTGCAGTGGCGCGATCTCGGCTCACTGCAAGCTCCGCCTCCCGGGTTCATGCCATTCTCCTGCCTCAGCCTCCCGAGTAGCTGGAACTACAGGCGCCCGCCACCACGCCCGGCTAATTTTTTTGTATTTTCAGTAGAGACAGGGTTTCACTGTGTTAGCCAGGATGGTCTCGATCTCCTGACCTCGTGATCTGCCCGCTTCTGCCTCCCAAAGTGCTGGGATTACAGGCATGAGCCACCGCGCCAGGCCTATTTTTCATTTTTGAGACAGGGCTGGGGACTGGCTTTCTGTAATCTCAAGGGTTGCTGGGCTTTGGTGGGTGGGTGACTCACGGAGGGGCATTCCCTGCAGACAGTAGGCAGTATTGTATTTGAGACAGGGTGTCCCTCGGTCACCCACACTGGAGTGCAGTGATGCCATCATAGCTCACTGAAACTTCAAACTCCTGGCCTCAAGCAATCCTCCCACCTCAGCCTCCCCAGTAGCTGGAACCGCAGGTGCATGCCACTCTGATTAACTTTTTTTTTTTTTTTTTTTTTGAGACAGAGTCTCATTCTTGTCGCCCAGGCTGGAGTGCAATGCCATGATCTTGGCTCACTGCAACCTCTGCCTCCCGGGTTCAAGTGATTCTCCTGCCTCAGCCTCCCCAGTAGCTGGGATTACAGGTGCCTGCCACCACACCCAGCTAATTTTTGTATTTTTAGTAGAGACCGGGTTTCACCATGTTGGCCAGGCTGGTCTCGAACTCCTGACCTTGTAATCTGCCCGCCTCAGCCTCCCTAAGTGCTGGGATTACAGGCGTGAGCCACCACGTCCAGCCCACTCTGAGACAACTTCTGAAACAACATGTCAGTTCATGACACTTTCTTACTTTAAACCCTCCTATTGTTTTCCATGGCACCTTCCTTACCACAGCCCATAAGGCCTCACATGAGGGGGCTTCTGCCCACCACGCTGCACTTTCCCCTCCTCACTCTTCTTGGATTTCCTTCATTTTCCAGAACCCACTGGTTACGTCCCACCCAGGGCCTTGTGCCTGGGACCCTCAGCCACCAGCGCCCCCAAAGCCCACTCCTCACCCACCCACAAGGTCTCCTCTCAAATGTGACTGACCCTGCTACTCCCCGCCACATCTGCCACTGTGCCTCTTTTTTGTGTTCTCCCAGCACCTGCCTTGGTTGAGCTCGGGTGTCTGTGTTCTGTCTGCTGGCTGTCCTGGCAGCTCTCCCGCCAGACAGAGCCCCAGCCCCAAGGAGTGGACGAGCAGCGCCTCACAGGGAGTGCATCCTGGATAGGCATCTGGCGGGTGAATGAGTGCCTGCCTCCTTCCAGGCGTGCAGCGGATGGTTCCGTTTGTTACTTGATCTTGAACTGTCATGAGTGCAGTGATTCTGGGAGAGGGGGTTTTTTGGCTCCTCTCCCAGTTTTTGGGGAATAGGATGGCAGAGAGAAGGCAAGATCTGCCGACATTCTAAAAAGGACATAGGGATGGGCTACGGGCAGGCTGAGGACTGGCTTTCTGTGAGTCTCAAGGGTTGCTGGGCTTTGGTGGGTGGGTGACTCATGGAGGGGCATTCCCTGCAGACAGTAGGCAGGTTGCTGCCCTCTGTCTCCAAAGAGGTCTTTAAGAGAAGGAAGCGCAACTGGGGCCCCTGTGATGACTGGAAGATTGTGGCTCCAGGACACAGTCACTACCTTCAGGGATGGAAGTGAAGTGATGCTGAGGGGGGAGAAGAGATTCAGTAACATGCCAGCCCTCAGCCACGCAGAACAGCTGGAAGGCTGCCTCGGGGACTCTTAGAACATGCTGGAACAGTGGCACAGCCTTCAGAATTCCGGGAAAGCCTGTAAAACCCAATCAGGACCCATGGCATACACCATGGTGCTCTGTGTAGCAGGTGCTGCTTTGCTGTGGCTGTTTGTGCATATGTGTGTACATACCTAAAGCATAGAGGTGTCAAATGCATTTTGTATTGTTACCACTTTACGGGTTTGAAAGCTGCTGCATCTAGAAAAGATGTTTGTGGCCGGGCTCGGTGGTTCACGCCTGTAATCCCAGCACTTTGGAAGGCCGAGGTGGGCAGATCACTTGAGCTCAGGAGTTCGAGACCAGCCTGGGCAACATGGCGAAACCTCATCTCTACAAAAAATACAAAAAAATGTAGCCAGGTGTGGTGGCAGGCACCTGTAGTCCCAGCTACTTGGGAGGCTGAGATGGGACAATTACCTGAGCCCAGGGAAGTTGAGGCTATAGTGAGCTGTAATCATGCACTCCAGCCTGGGTGACAGAGGGAGACCCCGTCTAAAAAAAAGAAAAGAAAGAAAAGATGGGTGGACCCCCACCAAGGGTCATCTCACTCAAAGGGCAGGAGGCTGAGACCCAATTCAGGGGACTACTGGAGGTCATCAGCCCTGCTTGGTTTCAGGGTAACCGTGGGCTTTGGTGTCAGGCAGAGCTGGATTCAAACTTACTGGTTTGTCTACAACCTACCAGTTGTATGACTCTGGGTAAGATGCCCAACATCTCTGAGTTTTGTCACTTGCCTGAGTAGGTAGTGCCGGTAGCTACCTCACCGATGGTTGTGAGGGTTAGGCAGGACACCTCCTGGAATGCCAAGCTGAGAACTGGTTTTTTTTGTTTTGTTTTTGTTTTTTGAGACAGGTTCTCGCTCTGTCATCCAGGCTGGAGCGCAGTGGTGCGATCTTGGCTCACTGCAACCTCCACCTCCTGGGTTCAAGCGATTCTCATGCCTCAGCCACCCGAGTAGCTGGGATTACTGGTGTACACCACCCCACCTGGCTAATCCCAGGGGCCCTGTTCTGTCCTCCCCCTCATGCTCTGCCAGCTGAAGGCCAGTGGCTGCCAGGGATTCCCCACCTGCCACCCCACCCATCCCAGCACCTTCCAGATCCTCCAGGGTGAAGCAGAGAAATAATGAGACATCAGCCTATAGGAAGGAGATCCAGGAGAGGAAAAAGAAACAAGTTTTATTAAAGCCCCAAACACTTGGCTAGAAAAACTGAAAAGGAAAGAGAGCAGGGAGCGGGGGAGAAGAAAAAAGGACATTAAAAAAGAGAGACAGAGAAAACACAGCAACCCTTTTCCATTTAGAAATTGTCAAGTTACACCGACAGAGGTCACAGAATATCCACAGAAGCCATCACTGCTACACCAACATGGGCCCTACAGGGTGGATGGGGCAGGGTGTGGAGCCGGGGCTCACCCCGGGGGGCCCCCTGGGGACCCCACTCAGAGCCTCAGGCCTGAGGCTCCTGGGGAAACAGCATATTGTGGAAGGGGCAGGAAATCCCCCATGCGAGTAACACAGCACAGTGGGCGGGGGCTGAGAGGACCAGGTACAGGGGTCCCCCGAGACGTCTTAGTTTTCTCTTGGTCAAGCACACACTGATGGACAGAGCAGCGAGGCGCATGCAGCTGGGGGCACTGATGTGCTGCAGGCTGTGAGAGGGCCAGCGGGGACGGGGGCTCAGGAAGGGATCTGGAGCCAGTGGTGCAGGGATGATGGAACACACGCACACAGAGGCACACCCACACACTTGGGTCTGCACCAGCACACATACCTGCACACACACACTCGGAGACACAGATTACATGCACCTCCATGTATGCGTCTCTATCCACATGTACGTGGCCCACACACAAGTCTCTGGCTCTCGGCATGTCTGCACACACATTACACATGTTCTCACACACAAAGCTCCTCTCACGCTAACATGCAGGTAGGCACGTGCCAATGCCCAAACAGGTTACATGCACCTATGTGCCCACGCCTTCCCCCACACATGTGCTCGGCCATGCCTGTGGGTGCAGGCCCCATGCGTCTGCACACACAGTGCATGGGCTTGTGCCAGCACACACACAGGCTGCACGCAATTCCACACGGATGCCTCCCAGCCCATAAATGTGCAGGAACCAAAGAGAAAGAAAGATGCAAATCCCACTGGGCTTCACCCGAGCGGGTGGGGCGGGGCACGTGGCTCCCTCCTTCTGCCCCTTCGTGGATGGACACTGCCCCCCCCACCTCCCCCACAAAGGGACATTCAACTCAGGACAATGACGGTGGGGCACACATTCCAGTCACAGGGCTGAGGGTGGGAGCTGGGGGCAAGCGAAGTAGCAAGCAGAGAGTAATGGAGTGGAGGGAGGAGGGGGCACCACTCCCCCCTCCCCTCCCAAGTCAGGGGGTCTCTGTACAGCCAAATCAAACCAGACCATTTCACTGGGACCACAGAAGCCAGGCCGACGTGCCCGCCCCCCAGCCCCCCTCCCCCGCCAAAACAGTGGCCAGGGAGAGTGCCGTGGTTTTCTTTTTTTTTTCTTTTTTAAATATTTATATATATTTATATTACGTATATTATATATATAATATGTAAATATATTTTTAAAACAATATAAAATGTTAAGACACTTCACTTAAATGTAAAGAGTTGCCTGCAATTAAAAGTAATTGCATCATTTATGAGGTCCTTTTTTTTTTTTCTATTTTCCAGGGTTTTTTTTTTTTTCCAGGAGGGATTTTTTTTTTCCTCTTTTGTTATTTTTCAAAAAGGCTTGCTCGCCTTGGTACAAAAATGATCCAAAGCTAGAAAACAAGGATGAACCAACAAAGGCAAAAACAAAAAAAGAAATGAAGAAACACAACCCGTTTCCCCTCCCCCCAAACCTTCAACAGCTCCCAGCTCTCCCCAGGTGCGGACCTTCCCCAGCCAGGCCCCAGGGTCTGGGGGGCTCTGCCTTCTGCGCAGCTCCTCCTTTCTGTGCTTGCTATGGGGGACTGATTCTAGTCCCCCTCCCCTGTGCTTACTTCACTTTGTGCTCCAAGTGGGAATCCTGCGGCCGGGGACCCCGCTCCTCCTCCTCCTCTTCTCCTATCCTCTCCCTACCGGCTCCTCACTGTGCCCTCTGGGGGGCCAGGAGTGAGAACCAAAATTGGCCTCTCTCTGCCTCCCCAGGACCCGGCCAAAAGCCAGGCGGCACTGCCAACCGCCTCTGCAGGGCAGGCAGGGCGTCCACAGGCCAGGGGCGCTGGCTGGATGGTCAGGCCTCAGGGACCTTCAGACATCTCACCAGGGTCACCAGAGCCCCATTGAAAAACTACGTCTCATCCTTTCCTGGGAAAACCCTCAAATTGCCAAGAGGATGACTGAAGTTCAAGTCACCCCACCTGCGGGTCCCAGGTGTCTTCAGTGCTCCCCGTCAAGCCCCTCTCGACCCTCCCATTTCCCTCAAACCAGACCCTTCCCCCAACTGCAAGCCACAAAACCTGGTTTTCTAGGCCCCTCACTCTTGCCCACCCCATCCCCATTCAATAAGTTAATGCCATTTAAAGTGCTAAATCAGGAAACTAAAAGTACCAAATACCCGTCCGGGCCGCCCTCTCCCAAGGCAGTGTCCCCGATATCCGGCTGTCCGTGCAACCCACCCTCCACAGCCAGCAGACCAAAGGGCCTCTGCCCTCCACTCCCCACTGGACGGCAAGGCCCAGGAGGCCAGCGCCTCCCCAGGGATACAGACTCCATGGCCTCACACCCACCCTGAGGCCTCTCAAACTCCGGCCTCGTCTCCAGCCTGTCCGTCTCTACTCCAGGCCCACTTGGGTGTGAGTGGGAGGAGGCAGAGCAGCCACAGAGGAAGTCACAGTCTTGTCGGAGCTTAGACAGGGAGTGGGGCATCTCCAAGGCCAGTCTCCCTAAGCCCCGCTCTCTGGCTTGATGTATGGGTTGGTCCGATGTCCCCGCGTTCCTCCAGGAAGGTATCGAGAAACGGGAGAGGGGTCTCCCACTGCTCCAAGTCTCCGTGGTTCAGAGTTTGTTTGGAGTATTCTTGGGAAGTGAGGGGAAGGCGGGAAGGGGGTGCAGGAGCTTCAGGATGGACTGGGGGAAAGAGTGGTGAAAGAGAAGAAGGAGAGATGTGACAGGTGCGGCCAGCGAGAGGCCAGCTGGGATCAAGGAAGGTGGTGTGTTTGGTTTTTAGTTTTACTGTTTAAAAAAAGATAATTAAAAGTTAATTGTTAAAAAAAAAAAAAAAAACAAAACCAAAAACACCAACAGATGATGGGTAGGGGTCGCTGAGGAGGGCCGCACCCTCCTCTTCAGGGCACACCCCTCAGGGCGTCTGGAGAGTAGGGTGGGGTGGGGTGGAGATGAAGGAAGAGAGGGGAGAAATGGCAGGAGTGAGGGAGGGGGACAGGCGGGGCAGCGGGGTGAGGGGCTTCTAGAAGGAGATGGAAGAATTCCTTGCCCCAAAGGAAGTCAATACAGGGATAGAGGTTCTGGAAGCCGAGGGCTTTTCTGAGACTGGGCTCGAGGTCTCATTCGACCCGCTCATCTCTTTAGATGGTTTAGTGGCCTGGAACAAAAACAGGGGTCAGGGGTCAGAGAGCGGAAGGGAGCGCCTCCATGCTGGCCCCCAGCTGAAGTTTTAAAAGTGGAAAACCTCCACAAATCCAAGGAAATTAACTGCAAAAG
Organism: Homo sapiens; assembly: GCF_000001405.40. Classification (NCBI taxonomy): domain Eukaryota; kingdom Metazoa; phylum Chordata; class Mammalia; order Primates; family Hominidae; genus Homo; species Homo sapiens. Next base: position 38,533,551 of record NC_000017.11, read on the forward strand.
GAAGAAGCCAGAGGGGCATCTGGAGAGAGGGGTCCCTTGAATGGTGGAGGGGTGGGGGCAGAAAAGGGGGGGGAGGGGGCACGAGGTTGGACAAAGGGCCTGGGTGGTCAGAGGGCAGGCCCATAGTTACTGAGAGCAGAGAGAGAAGCAGAGCGACCAGAGAAGCACAGAAGAGGCCGCGCCCAGGATGGGCAGATGGGGAGGTGGGGGTGGGGGAGGGCAGGGGAGGGGAGGAAGAAGTGAAACATTAGCTGGGACAGGGGCACAAGCCCTGCGGGGGACGGGGGTCAGGGTGGGGAAAGGCTCCTAGTCCCAAATGGCCCGCTGTACAGCCAGAGCCCCTTCCAGCTTCATCCTGGTGGCAACAGAGGAGGGGGCTTATCCTCCCAGGGGGGAATAAACACTTCAAAGACCCCGTCCACCACCACCACCACCACCACCTGGAAATCTGAGAAGAAGGCGCTGCCGCACCAGCCTCCCGCCCAGTGCAGGAGGCCCCACTGCATGCCCTGCAAGCACTTGTCGCCCCAGTTGGTAACAGGAGGCTACTCCCTCATGACTTGTCCTGCCCTCACTGGTCAGTTCTAGTGGTCAGAACTGACCCCTCATCCTCCTCCCACCTTCGGTGGACTCCCGCAACTCCACCGGTCCTGGAGGCTTTTCCTCTGCAGCTGCGGTCTCCAAAGTGCGGTTTGAGAGCTACGTGCATTACCTCATCACCTCCAGGGGCCACCCTCTGGCATGCATCGTGAATGCAGATTCCTGGGCTCCCCTCCAGAATCCATCTCTTGTGTGGGCTCATGAATGTGCATTTTAAGCAGGTGCCCCAGGTGCCTCTGCTGCACACTTACCTTTGAGATCCACTGGATTAAGGCTACACAGACCCAGGTTTCTCCTTGTAATTGTACCCACTGTCCCTCCTGGCCTTGCTTAGCTACTAGTGTGAGAACTGAATCACCCAGATTTAAAAAAAGATCCAAAAGATAAGACAGGGCGCTGTGGCGAGTCACCAGAGACCACCCTGAGGTTAGGTCTGGGCAGGGTCGTTCACTTCCCTCTACTATCACCCTGCTGCTACGGAGTTTTCTCAGATGCCTTGCAGAGGAGAAGCTAGAGTCTAAAGCAAGCCCTGTCTCCAGCAGCCTGCCCAGCTCACAGTAAAGAACCAGCGCTGGCTGCAATCACCATTTCTCCTTTACAGGTGCACAGATGGTTGGTTCCACGATTCACCTGGGTTTTGCTCACTACAGTGTAGTTTGCCATCTACATTTCCCTTTTATGAGAATCAAAACAAGGGCCGGGTGTGGTGGCTCACACCTGTAATCCCAGCACTTCAGGAGGCTGAGGCAGGATTGCTTGAGCCCAGGAAGTCAAGACCAGCCTGGGTAACATGGCGAGACCTCGTCTCTACTAAAAAAAAAATTTTTTTTAAATAGCTGAGTGTGATGGTGTGTGCCTGTGGTTCCAGCTTCTCTGGAGGCTGAGGTGGGAGAATGGCCTGAGCTCAGGAGGTGGAAGTGGCAGTGAGCCATGACTGCACCACTGCACTCCAGCCTGGGTGACAGAATGAGGCCCTGTTTTTTTGTTTGTTTGTTTGTTTTGTTATTTATTTATTTAAGTTAAAGCGAAAATTCCCCATTTGGGTTTTCTTTTTCTTTCTTTTTTTTTTTTTTTTGAGATGGACTTTTGCTCTTGTTGTCCAGGCTGGAGTACAATGGCGCAATCTTGGCTCACGGCAACCTCCGCCTCCCGGGTTCAAGCGATTCTCCTGCCTCAGCCTCCCGAGTAGCTGGAATTACAGGCATGCGCCACCACGCCCGGCTAATTTTGTGTTTTTAGTAAGACGAGGTTTCTCCACGTTGGTCAGGTTGGTCTCAAACTCCCCACCTCAGGTGATCTGCCCACCTCGGCCTCCCAAAGTGTTGGGATTACAGGCGTGAACCACCGCGCCTGGCCCTGTTTGGGTTTTCTAACCCCTCTCCTCTGCTCATCCATTACTCAAGGGAGTTCTAGGGGGTCCAGGGCCCAGCCACAGGGTCGTCAGATTCACGCAGTCCTCAGCATGTGTCAGGCATGGCCCCTGCCCTCTCTGTGCCCCCAGTACCTGGGCCTGGAGACAAACTCATCCAACGGGAACCAGAGGCTCTCTGACCACTGTGTCACTTACCTTGGGCTCAGTCCTGCCTCTCCTCTGCTCTAGCCTTTCCCATTTAAAGTTCTTTCCCCCAAAGCCAGGTGAGAGGGAAGCACTGCCCAGTTCCCCCTGATGTCTCTTCACACCTCACCATGTCCCCCGGCAAGGTGCTGATTCTCCCCGGTTGTCCTTTTCCCTCTGAACTGATCTTTCTAGGTAAAAGCTGCTTTTTCTGCTCCTACCCCTTCAGCATTTTTCAAGAGCCTCATTCTATTCCAAGTTTTGGTCTTGGGAACACTTGTCTTCCGGCACCACCACCTGGCTTCTGTATTCAGGCAGGTGATGTGCCTTCACCCAGTTGAGGTACCCCTTCTCCCCCCAACAGCCAGTGCAAGACCTTTAGACATCCAGCTTCACCAGTTTATGGGGATGCCTCGTCCCCGTCCCGCTTCTTCATGGAGACCACTTCTGCAACATGTGCTTTCTAAAATCCTCTCGGGTCATCTTCCCTCCCGGGAGACTCTGGACACACCATCCACAATCCACTCTCCTGAAGTTGAGGGAGCACGTCCAGCTGTGCCCGGTGACCCCAGCCTGTGCTGCTAACCCTTCTCAGGTGACACAGCTGCTGTCTCTGAAGGTTCCTGTCATTTCCTTTCACCCATCATCCTCCCCTGCTGATTCCAATTATGTCCAGAGAAGCAGAACTTTGTTACCTTCGTGGCAAGGCAGAAACCTCACACATGTCCAGCTTTCAGCTGGGGGAGGCATGGAGCACTGAGCTGGTCCCAGAGGGCACCACCCTGCACACCTCCCTCTTGCCTGGGGATCAGAGCCGGCCACCTGCTCTCGCCAGGTCCATGTTCCCGAGGCCCTTCACATTCTGACGCCCAGATGTCCAGACAAGTGTGGAACCTCTCGACTCTACAGACCCCGCTGACTCCACCTCCAGGGCCATTCCCAGGGCCACCCTCCCTAGCCCCCATGCCCTCCTTCCTTGCTAAGCCCTGCCTGGGTCAGGTATTGAACCATCAGGAGAAGCTGGGCTTTCCCCAGCCCAGAGTGGGGGATGTGGGGATCATGACAAAATCTATGGCAATTGGAGAAATTCCTTTCTCCTTGCCAGTGACTGATTTAGGAATGGGCAGTGAGATAAGAGGTGTGGTCTGTTGGAGGCTTCTGGGAAAGATTCTCCAGCTTCTAAAAACAGCTGTGTGAGGCCGGGCTCATGCCTGTAATCCCAGCACTTTGGGAGGCCTAGGCAGTCAGATCACTTGAGGCCAGGAGTTTGAGACCAGCCTGGCCAACACAGTGAAACGCCAACTCTACCAAAAATTACAAAAATTAACCAGGCGTGGTGGCGTGCACCTGTAGTCCCAGCTACCTGGGAGGCTGAGGCAGGAAGATCGCTTGAATCAGGGAGGTGGAGGTTGCAGTGAGCCGAGATCGCACCACTGCACTCCAGCCTGGGTGACAGAGCGAGAGACTCTATCTCAAAAAAAAATTAAATAAATAAATAAAAACAGCTGTGTGAAGCCGGGCTTGGTGGCTCATGCCTGTAATCCCAGCACTTTGGGAAGCTTAGGTGGGTGGATCACCTGAGGTCAGGAGTTTGAGACCAGCCTGGGCAATGTGACAAAACCCCATCTCTATCAAAAATACAAAAAATTAGTGAGGCTTGATGGCGCCACCTGCAGTCCAGCTACTTGGAAGGCTGAGGCGGGAGGATGGATTGAGCTTGGAGAGGTTGAGGCTGCAGGGAGCAGAGATCATGCCACTGCCTGGGTGACAGAGTAAGACCCTATCTCAAAAATAATAATAATAAGACTGGGCTCTGTGGCTCATGCCTGTAATCCCAGCACTTTGGGAGGCCGAGGCGGGCGGATCATGAGGTCAGGAGATCGAGACCATCCTGGCTAACAGGGTGAAACCCTGTCTCTACTAAAAATACGAAAAATGAGCCAGGCGTGGTGGCGGGCACCTGTAATCCCAGCTAATCAGGAGGGTGAGGCAGGAGAATGGCGTGAACCCAGGAGGCAGAGCTTGCAGTGAGCAGAGATCGCACCACTGCACTCCAGCCTGGGCAACAGAGCTAGACTCCGTGTCAAAAAAAAAAAAGAAAGAAAAAAAAATAAGGCCAGTCACGGTGGTTCACACCTGTAATCCCAGCACTTTGGGAGGCTGAGGTGGGTGGATCACAAGGTCGGGAGTTCAAGGCCAGCCTGGCCAACATGGTGAAACCCCATCTTTACTAAAAATACAAAAATTAGCTGGGGGCAGTGGCAGGCACCTGTAATCCCAGCTACTCGGGAGGCTGAGGCAGGAGAACTGCTTGAACCCAGGAGGCAGAGGTTGCAGTGACCTGAGATTGTGCCACTGCACTCCAGCCTGGGTGACAGAGCGAGGGTCCATCTCAAAATAAATAAATAAATAAATAAAAATAAAAATAAAATAGGCCGGGTGTGGTGGCTCACACCTGTAATCCCAGCACTGGGAGGCTGAGGTGGGCGAATCACGAGGTCAGGAGTTCGAGACCAGCCTGACCAACATGGTGAAACCCTGTCTCTACTGAAAATACAAAAATTAGCCAGGCGTGGTTGTGGGCACCTGTAATCCCAGCTACTAGGGAGGCTGAGGCAGGAGAATCACTTGAACCCAGGAGGCGGAGGTTGCAGTGAGCCAAAGTTGCGCCACTGCACTCCAGCCTGGGTGACAGAGTGAGACTCCGTCTCAAAAAAAAAAAAAAAAATAATAATAATAATAATAAAATAATAAAAATGACAGCGGGACCAAATGCAAAGAAACTTGGGTCCTGATATCCTCAAGCTGCTAAATTCACCAACCCTGGAATCCCCCTGCTTCCAGCCTTCTTGGTTACAGGATACCTTTCCTTATTGTTTATCCATTTTGAATCAGGGTTCCTGTTCCTTGCAGCTGAAAGCATTCTCACTGATACACGTGAGGCCCAGTGTTGCTTTATTGATCTATTCGACCTTCATTTTTTGTTAACGTATCACCTTCTAGAATTCTCGTCACAAGCGCGATCTCATCGAGGCTTGCTCACACCCACGAGGTTATGCTCCCTGGCAGGGCAACAGAATCCAGCACTAAGACAGCAGAATTTGTAGCAGGCACACTCGGGTTTAAGTCCCAGCTCTGCCACTTTTTAACCGTGTGACCCTAATCGCATATCTCTCTGTGCCTTCATGTCCTCACCTGCAAACGGATAACAGGCCCCACAGCACCAGATGCACATGACGAGATGATGCCAACAGGGTGTAAGACCCGGCGCCCAACACCCTCAGTACACATGCAACAAATGGTAGCCATTATAGCGATTGTCATTTTAACCTTTCAGATTTGCTTTGGCTGTTTCCACCTGGATTGGGCCTGATTGGTGGCAAACTCATTCGCTCATTCACTCAACAAATATTTACTGAGTGCCTACGTATGCCAAGCACTATTCTAGGTGCTGTGGGGATGCAGCTGTGACAACACAGATTTACTTTAAGGTATAAAGTTGTAAACTTGGTACCTAACAGGTATGCTATCTGTCTTTCACTTGCCTCTCCATACCCCGGAACCAATTATGGGGGGGCTCACGTATGTTGCCCAGGCTGGTCTCGAACTCCTGGCCTCGAGTGATCCTCCTGTCTTAGCCTCCCAAAGTGGGGATTACAGGCGTGAGCCACTGCCCCTGGCCTCCCAGAACTAATTTCTGCCGTGCTCTGTACCCTGAGAGGCTGATCCTGGTCACTCCTTTGCTGACTGGACTCTGGTTGGGTTTGGCCAGTGGGGTCTGTGGCAGGGTGAGAGAGAGGTAGGTGGGGTGAAGTTCCTTCCCTGCTCTCTCCCTCCTGGGAGCTGTGTCACAGGCAGCAGCTGTGCCCTCCACAGCACAGCTCTGCTGCTCCCGCCCTCCGGGACTCGCTAAACACCTGCCCCACTGCCCTTCCCCCAGGGAGTCACAGCCTCCTGCTCTGAGATGTCCATGGGTACCTCGGCATCCCTTGTTTTCTCCCTCAATCCTCTGGTGTCGTCCTTTCATTAAAGTCTCTTCATCTGGGGCCGGACGCAATGGCTCCCAGCACTTTGGGAGGCTGAGGCAGGCGGATCACTTGAGGTCAGGAGTTCAAGACCAGCCTGGTCAACATGGTGAAACCCCACCTCTACTGAAAATACAAAAATTAGCCGGGCGTGTTGACACACACCTGTAATCCCAGCTACTCAGGAGGCTGAAGCAGGAGAATCGCTTGAACCCGGGAGGCAGAGGTTGCCGTGAGCCGAGATCACGCCACTGGACTCCAACCTGAGCAACAGAGCGAGACTCCATCTCAAAAAAAAAAAAAAAAAAAAAAAGTATCTTCATTTCAGCCATCTGAGAAGATAAGCAGTTGTTCAGCAAATTTCTTAGCCCTAATAGAAGAGGGGGTGTCCATAGCTTCAGGTCTACACAAAGCCTTGATCCTTGCACGCCTGGGAACCTGGCTCCCGTCCCTCCCTGGGATCTTAAGCACAACATTCACGGGCTTCTCCTCAGTCACTTCCTCTGACTACTCTGTGGGGTCAGGCACTGCTGCAAGGCACCTCCATCTTAGAACTTTCTTACTCCCAATTTCTGTGTCCCTGATCCCAGCACTTCTAGTCCCCTCCATCTCAACATTATCAAAGACAGCTTGGACTCACTGGATGAAGGAGAGGCCTTGGGCACCGCCCCCCCAATCCCCACCCCCGCCGGCCACCGTAGAGCTCACTGTGGTGTTCCAAGCTCTCTCCTGTACCTGGCATTATGTGAGCTCAGGACCAGGCTGGATACTTCTGTCCCCATTGTACAGACGAAGAAAGGGCCTGAGAAGACAGAGGGCTTTGACCAAGGCCACAGGCTGAGCTAGTGTGGATCGTGTCCCACCAGTGACCCGCATGGCTGGAGCACACCGAGGGTGTGGGTGCAGGGGCAGGGTGAGCTGAGGCTGCTGTGAAGGGCCCTGGGCCGCACATGAAGGATTTGGGTTGATCATCTGCCAGGGGCCGGGGCAGGGATTTTAAGCTGGCAGGGGTGTGTGTGTGTGTGTGTGTGTGTGTGTGTGTGACACACACAGAGACAATCAAATCTGCATTTTACAAAGTTCCCTCCCCACCCCCAGGTCTTGGGAAATCAGTTAGAGGTGACAGAAGTCACAAGGAGATCTTAGAAGACCGTGCATGTTGGTAGTGAGACATCGATGGTTTTCCCCTGCTTCTCTATACTTTACTGTTGAAAATTTCCACAGGGAGGCTGGTGGCGGTGGCTCACACCTGTAATCCCAGCAGTTTGGAAGGCTGAGGCGGGTGGATCACGAGGTCAGGAGTTCAAGACCAGTCTGGCCAATATGGTGAAACCCCATCTCTACTAAAAATGCAAAAATTTAGCCAGGCTTGGTGGTGGGCGCCTGTAATCCCAGCTACTCGGGAGGCTGAGACAGGAGAATCCCTTGAACCCAGGAGGCAGAGGTTGCAGTGAGCTGGGATCGCACCATTGCACTCCAGCCCGGGTGACAGTGTGAGACCCTGCCTCAAAAAAATAAAATAAAATAAAATAAAATAAAATAAAATAAAATTTCCACTGTAAACATTTATTACTTTACAAGAAAGAAGCCATGTTTATAAGAAAGGCTACTGGAGCACTGGAAGTGAGACAGGGGCACGGAGGGGCTTGGGAAGGCTGGGGGTGGGCGACCCTTCCTGAGGGAGACAGCAGCTGGGGCAGCCTCGTACCGGCTGGGGCAGCGTGGTCGGGGGAGCATTATGTCTGGACACACGCATTCGAGGAGCCTGGGGATGCCCGGGGAAGCGTGTGTGGGTGACTGGAGCTCAGAATGGAGACCTGGGTGGGGGCAGGGACTAAGCAGTGCACCTGGTGCCTGAGGAGAGGAAGGCATGGTGTGAGGAGAAGAGGCTGAGGAGTGGGGCACAGGAAGGGAAGAGGCAGGCAAAGGAGAGTCGCCCAGGCAGGGTGCAATGGCTCACGCCTGTAATCCCAGCACTTTGGGAGGCTGAGGTGGGAGGATCACCTGAGCTCAGGAGTTTGAGACCAGCCTGGCCAACATGGTGAAACCCCGTCTCTACTAAAAATACAAAAATTAGCCAGTGTGGTAATTAGCCTGTAGTCTCAGCTGCTCGGGAGGCTGAGGCACGAGAATCACTTGAACCCAGGAGGCGGAGGCTGCAGTGAGCTGAGATCACACCACTGGACTCCAGCCTGGGAGACAGAGCAAGACTCCGTCTCAAAAAATAGAGGGAGTCACCCAGAAAGGAGCCCAGAGGCTCCAGGTGGAGGCTGGGGAGAGGATGCTGAGGAACAGAGGGTCTGCACAGCCCTATGCAGGTGTGGGGGGGGTCTACAAGGCCACATGCTGCAGAGCAGTGGGGGAGGGGGGTGAAAAGAGCCCATCTCGATGTCACTGGAGACCCAGGCAACCCCGGAGATGGGGTGGAGGCTGGGCCATAAAGGCATGAGGCTGACACCACAGCGGAGGAGCTGGGCTCTGGGGAGGGAGGGACTAGGGTGGGAAACAGTGCAACATCATTAGAGCTGAGGGAAGGGGCTGCTGGAGAGGCTGAAGCACTTTGTGGTGGGGAGGGAGGCAGTCTGGACTTGTGTCCTGCCCCCCACTTGCTAGCCGTGTGGCCTTGGATTAAGCCTCAGTTTCCGCCCCCGTCACATGGGGGTAATAGACCTTCCTCAGTGTGGTGAGTGTGAGATGAGATAATGCGCATGCCTGGCCCCAGCGAAAGCTCTGTCAGTGTCAGCTGCTCTGCTGGGCACCCAGGAGGGTCCAGCCCGGACAGGACAAGGGGAACTCATCCCTGGCAGTGGCAGGAAAAAGATCTGGAGGTGGGGCTCGCAGGGTGTCTGGGGGCCATGAGGAGGCAGGTGGGAGCTGTGGAGAGGCTGCGGGGGGCTGGAGGGCTGCTTTTTGAGAAATTCTCCTGGGAGCCAGTAGGGAGGCAGGGCCTTGGGTGCCCAGGGCTGTCCCAGGGCCAGTGCAGGGAAGGGTTCCAAGATTCCTAGGTCCCGATCCTGGCTGTGATGCCACCTTGCTGTGCACCTTTGGGAAGCCCCTCTCCTCCTCTGAGCTGCCCCCTCATCTGAAAAAGAGATGGACTCACCCATCTCTAACCTCTTGCCTCTGAGTCTAGAACCTTCTCTAACGTCTTGCCTCTGAGTCTAGAACCTTCTTTAAGTGAGAGCATCTGGACATATCACAGCCCCCACCCTCACACCCAGAATGGGCCTGTCATACAGGAGCTGCTCATAAATATTAACTAAATCAAACGAGTGCACTAAGGGTCTCTCACAACATCTGGGTCCAGGAGCCACCCTGCAGCCTCTGACCAGGCCACAAGGGCAGTAAACACCCACAGGTGAGGTATGTCCACTCTCCACACAGCCTCCGCGCCTGCTCATTAGACCTGAAAGAGATTGCGGCATCCCTGCAATTCCTGCTGCACCCCTACCCTTCCTGAGGGCCAAAGTGCCTCGCCCTGTCCCCACCCAACCTTGCAAAGACGGGAGGTGACCCCACTGAAACCCAAACACAAGGCTGAAAAGCAGATGCAAAGTTGGCTTCTCCCTTGGCTAGGGGTGGCCTAAGAGCTAAGAGGGAGACCAGGATGAGAGTGGGGCCCTGAATAGCAGGCGGAGCCCTGGGAAGAGGGAGAGGGAAGCGGAGAGAGAAACAGAGTGGCAGGAAGCAGAGGGCCACAAAATCCCCCTTCTGCACCCCAGGGTAGGCCAGGCCTGAGAAGGGACCCAGGCGTTGGGGCTGCTGGAGTCACAAACTCGCTCGCTCGCCCCTCCTCCAGGAGCCAGCAGTGGCAGCTGGAGAGTCTTCTCTGTGTCTGAGTGAGGGAACTCCTGAGAGGGGAGGTGCCTGGTTGAGAACTCATGTGCTAATCTAGATCCAAAGCTCCGGGATCGGGAGGAGGAGGGAGAAGACGGTTCAGGGGGTGGGTGGGGCAGTCCTGGCAGGGAAGGTCTGTCTGGGAAGAGGTTGGGAAAGCTGGTCACGGGAGCAGGGGCAGGAGATGCCCAGTGGGGCAGGGGCCCGGCATGCAGCAGAGTGGGCCTGGGTGGCCCCCACAGTCCCCGCCCTCACCTGCTGCTGGGCCTGGATCCGCATGTACTCGGCCCTCTGCTTGCCATGTTTGCTTTTGTCGGGGCTGCCCGCCTGGCCCTGGGCCGCCTTCAGCCGAGAGGCCCCCGGAGTCACCACCTTCATGGGTGGTACACTGCCTCCGCCACTCTGCAGGAAGAGGAACAGGGTTGCAGTTGCAGAGTCCACATGGGGTGAATCACACAGGAACCCTAGCACTGGGTGGGGTCTCGGGGCTGGGACCTCCTCAGTGGGGCCCTTTGAGACCTGGAGACCCCTCTCTAGCTCCACACCCGAGTCCAGAACCCAGGTCCACCCTCTCAGTCCCCACTTATGGTCTCCCTGCAGGAGAGGGGTGGGGCCCAAGCCAGTTTCCCAACGGCTCTTGAGGGAGAGCTCTTCGGTGGCTTCCTTGAGTAGCTCAGGGGCAGCTGATGCCCTCCTTGGGGAGCCTCTGCTAAAGTGAGGGTCCCCAGCAGCAACCCCACTCCCGGCAAGGGGCACCATCTGGACCTGGGTGCACATGCCAGCAAGGGGCTCTCTATAATGGCACACAGAGCAGAGGGGCAGCCCCAGGCCCACATCCTCCTCCTAAGGGGAGGATGCAGGTGAGGTCTCCCTAGGGATGGGCAAGCTTGGCTCCCATGAACCTCCCCAAGTACCAGGCCTGCCCGCGGGGCACTGGGGATCCAGAGGCGCAAGCAGAGAGATGACAGAGACAGAGAATCAGAGACAGGAAGGGGAGGGGAGCATGGGGATGGAAGGTGGGGAGAGAACTTTATTTGTTGGTTTACAGATACAGAGCAGAAGGGGGAGGCCCTGGTTCTTGCCAAGGCTGGGGATTGGCCGGCCCCTGGGTAGGCCGGCTTCCCAGCCTCCCCCGGACTCTGCCTGCAAACCCTGCTCTGGCACCAGGCTCCCAGGAGAGTGGTAAGAGCTGAGAGAAGGCCGGTGGGAGGAGGGGGCTGGCCTGGCATTTCTGCTGCCCCCTACTCTGTCTGACTCTGGAAATGGAGGAGGAAGGCAGCAGAGGAGGATGAAAAGCGGGCAGCCACCTGGGGGCGGAGGGGTAGGGGTGGGGGGCTGCCAGGGGACCCCATGGCAGGGCCTGTGCCCATGTTGCTCAGGGTGGCTTCCAGCTCCCGGAGCGTCTCCTCCAAGCTGTCCATCTGCTGGGCAGTGGCGCCCCACGTGGTGCGGCCTGAGTTGGCAGCAGCCTGGCCCTGATGCTCCCTACTGCAGGTTTGGGCATCATGTCCAGAGTCCTTGAGGATCTCCTCTGGGTAGGTGTCAGCAGTAGAGGTCTCTGGAGTCCCATCCTGGGCTGGTCCCTGAGGACACTGTACTCTGGCTCCTCCATCCTCTAGGCTGCTGCCTCCTCCACCCAGTCTCTTCAGAGCTGCCCCCTCCTTCCGGGGCATGAAGCTGCTCCTCGGCCCAGAAGTCTCCCCCACTACCCCTGGTGGGGACTGTGGGCCATCCCAGCCCCTCGTGCTGTCAGCCAGGGTCTGAGGTCTTGGGGTGGGAGCTGTCCTGGGTCCCAGTTCCTCAAGTCTGGCCTCTGGCGGGGAGGGAGGGTTGGGGGCACACTCTGTCAAGATGATCCTTGGGACGCAGAAGGCCCTGGGACCTGGGGCAGCCTGCCGGGAGAAGGAAGATGAGGAAGAGTGTGATTCCTACAACCAAACCCCAAGCTAAAATGGGTGTTACAGTTAGGTGAGCCTAGCCCCTTTCTTTTACAGATGGGAAAACTGAGGCAGGGAGGGTCCTGACAGAGGCTACCCAGTAAGTTGGAGGCAAAATTGGGACCAGAATTCAGGTCTTTCCCACCATACCCTGTGGCCTCCTACTTGCCAGTAAAGGTGCCGGTTTGGCCAGGGCAGGCACACATTTACTTTACACCACCCATGTGAGCCTCTGGGAGCCGGGCTCAGGGTTGTTCCCATGAGCGTGCCCATCTGTGCAATGACTCGACACCAAGGTGGGGCCGGTGGAGGATGAAGTGAGCTCGCTGGGCATGTTGTGAGTGCTTCATAAATATTAGCTATTTGTTGAAATGAATGGAATGGCCGAGACCTTTGGCCCCATGTGGGCAGAGACAACATGTCAGCCTCTGGCATCTCAAACCAGAGACTTCTGGTCTACCCCAACTTTGTGTGCTCTCCCCAAGAGCTTCACAGCTAGAAGGGGTGGGGCTTGCCCCCTGACAAATCCTCTGTGGCACACACACTCGGGCAAAGCTCCCTTGGGCACCTGCTCCGGTGCCAGCATCCCTGGCCCTGGCCTCGGTGAGGGCACAGAGGGAAGCCCCAAGTACCACTCCCCGATGTGAGTGAATCCTGGTCTAACTCTGAGCACCAGGCTTGTGCCAGGTGCCGTCACACCCTTCCTCACCTTCAGTGCCTACCTTAACCCGGGAAGTGACTGCTGCTCTCACCAGGGCGAGGGAGGTAACACACTTCACCCAAGGCCACCCACCCACAGCTAGTTAGTGGCAGAGCCTGGATTTGAACCCAGGTAGTCTGACTCCAAGGCCAGTGCTCCTTCCACTAAAGGGAGCCGTGGGGAGATGGGAGGGGGCAGCAGGGACCCCCAACCACCCCCTCCCAAAGGAACCCACCCAGCCTTGCCACCTGCTTACCTGGAAGTGGGGGGTGCTGACTGGGAAGGCAGAGAGGGCAACCTCACGCTCGCCCGGCTCCGTTGCCCGATGCTGCCGCAGGATGCAGAGGGTCGGCCAGGGGCAAAAGGCCTTGTCCACTGGGCCCCTCAGGATGGGCTCCCAGAGCCGGAAAGGGGCAGGGCTTGGATGGGAGGGGCCAAAGTGCCAAGGGCATGGCCAGCCCAGGAGGCGCCCCTTCCATACAGCTCATCCTAGAGGTTCCTCGCACTGCTCTGTGCCCATCCTCTGCCCAGCAGAAGGCACTGTCCACTATCTGATGCCCCTCTGCTCCTCCCCCGCCAGGAAACCAAAGCGCCAACAGGCCTCCAGCCAGGCCAGAAATCAGGTGGCCACCAGCACAGAGCCCACTGTGGGCCAGGGAGCCCCAGATAGGGAGTGTGTGCACACGGGAGGCTCTCCTTCTCCAGAGCGGAGCCCCCCTGCCTCAACCTGACCTGGCAGAGAGAGAGAGATTCCCAGACCTTCCCCCTCCCCTCCTCCCCAAGCACAGTCCCCAGGGGTAGGGTGCAGACAGCAGGTTCACCCCCAAATTCCCAGGAAAGAATAAAGAGGAAATAAGTGCAGCAGGACAGCAGCAAGGACTGACATTAGAGAGAAGGAAGAATTTCCCAATGCCAAAAGAACCAGCAGCCAAGGAATGGCATAGCTTTCTTCCATTCCAGGCTCTCTGTCCAAGAGGGCATCGTAGGCCCTTGGGCTAGTGAGGCTGTAGACGAGCCTACCCCTGTGGTGTCCTGGCCCCCAGCGCAAGGCATAGATTCTAGGGGAAAAACAGAGCCCCTCCCCGGCACAGGCAGCAGAGCAGCGAAGATGGAGGTGGGGGCTAGGCAAGGGCTCAGGACAAGGTCAGATTTTGAGCTGGATCCAAAGTCATCTTGTGAGCAAGATCCAAACTCCAATCTTGGCCACACTCAGCCTTCGGGCCAGACCTAAGCTCAAACTGCGAACCAGAACAAAATACTCAGGCCTCCATCAGCAAGCCCGTGAGAAAATGCAGACACAAGGGGCCACCAGACACCCAGGCTGCTGGAGTCTCAGGGAGCCCCCCAGCAAGCAGCGGGGAGGAAGGGTTATGCGCCTGTCCTTGGAGTGGGGGAGGGGTGAGTCCACATGTAATGCTGTGGCAGTGGCTGTGGCCATGGTGGGACTTGGGATGGTGACTGGCGTTTTAGCGGGTTAGCGTGGGAGGTGAGGAGAGGAAGCTGTGGGGGCACAGGCAGAGAGAGAGCTGTGAGAAGTGGCAGCAGCCCCGTTACCTTCCGTGTAGGGCCTGGGGCTGAGCCCCCGGGGGGCCCCAGGTCCTGGGGGGACAGCAAGGTGGGGATCAGCTGGCGGCGGGGCGTGGGGGGGAGGGAAGACACTGAGCTTCTCTCAAACACCTGGGGAGCAGAAGGTGGGGGCAGGTTTGGAGGAGGGGGCACTAGGGAGGATGGGGGTGCTGGCCTGTGGCCCCGGCACCCTTGGGGAGGGTGGCCTGGGATGGCATCGGCCCCCAGCCTCACCCCTTGGTCCCTTGCCATAGCCGCCAGCCCTCTCTGCCCTCATCTGGTCACCTCAGAGCCCTGGTAGTCCAGGTCTCCCGCACTGGAGCTGGGGGTGGCTGAGAACGCTTGAGTGTGGTGACTGACACTGCTGGGAGAGTCGAGGCATGGGGTATGAGAGTCTCAGAGCTCCGTCCTCAGAATACTCAAGTATGGGGGTCTCAAGCATGAGCTGATCTCAGAACACTGGGGGATGGGGATCTCCAAACTCGGTGATCTCAGAATCTTCGGATACGGGACTTTCAGAGTGCAGGAGGTCTGGGGATACTTGGGGGGACTCAGAGACTATAGTTAAAAAACTCAAACCTGCAAGGAGAGAAGACTTTAGACCCCCACCCCTCATTTCACAGTGGAGAAGAAATGGAGGCAAAAGGCTGGGGTCTGAACAGCCAGCGCTCCGCAGGGAGCCCGAGAGCCCATCTTCTGCCTCATCCTGTCACCTGGCCTGGGGGGCAGCCTGGGAGGGAAGGGGGCCTGGCTGAGACCTTGGGGGCCAGGTGTGCCCTGACCTACCTCTAGCTCTGCGATGATGCGATCCTCGTCATCCTCGTCCTTGATGGCCGAGGCCATGATGGGTGGTGTGGAGGCTGGGCGGGCCACCTCAGACACAGCCCGGCGCAGCTTCACCTGGGGCTTCTGCACCTCCAGCTCCTCGGACTCAGCCTTCTGCAAGGCCCGGGACTCCTGTCAAGGCCAGGCTCTGCCCCACTTCAGCACCAGCTCACCTCCCAGGCCCCATCGCCCATGTACCCCAGCTTCTCGTCTGCTACTTCTGCTGCTACACCCCTGCCAGGGTGTCCCTCAACAGACAGGGGCCTGGCATGGAATTAAGGCAAATACACATACCTAGAATCCCAAACTAGCAGGACAAAGTCGCCACCGGCCACTCCCTCTTTCCTTCCATGTTCTCTGAGAAAGGGGTCTCTTTCCCACCCCAGAGGGCCTCCAGAAGTCATCTGAGGCTTCATCCTAACTCAGTCCCCTGGCCCTCTGTCTGAGGTGGGAGTGGTACCTTGATGAAGGCCGAGTCCTTCTTGCTGGTGACCACCACCTCTCCGGTACGTGTGGTGGTCAGGCCATGGGAGGAGGGGAAGCTCCGGCGGGGAGGGGGCGGTGGGGGCGACTTGGAGGGCTTCTCTGTGCGGTATCGGGGCACGGTCAACTCATCTGCAGGCACCAAGGGGCTGGGGGTCAGCAGGCCTGCAACCTTGGAGTCAGTGCACTACATCTAACTTGAAGGGGATAAACCTTGCTTCTTCCTCCAGGGAGGACCAGGAGGAGGTGAGAGGAAAGCCTGGGGGCAAGAACACAGGGCCCCTCCTTCTCTTACCTCTCCTGCACACAAGCCCCAAGCCCTGTCCCTCTCCTGACAGCACTCTTGCTACTCCAAGTGTTGTCTGTGGACCAGCAGCACTGGCAGCGCCTGGCAGCTTGTCAGAACTGCAGCTCAGGCCCCACCTCTGGGCTGCTAAACCAGGATCTGGTTGAACAGATCCTGAGGTGACGGACACACATTCAAGTTAGAGAGGCGCTGCTCTAACCACCTCCTTCCCACTGCCCCTCACCCTTGCCTCGGCTCAGCTCTCCATCTCTCCTCCAGGGATCCTGGCCCCTCCCACTGGGCTCTCCTCTCCCCCAATTTGTCCTCCAGCCCTGCTTCCGGGGTAACCTGCAGAGAGGTCACTCTAGCCATTCCCCTGCCTTTGATCTTGCAGTGGCTCCCCATCACCCCAAACCATGTCCAAGCTCCTTAGGCCAGCACCTCTGCACCTGCCAAGCTTTCAGCCTCAGCTCTGCTTGCTGCTCCCCAGGCTGGACCCTGTTCAGGCCATGCCACACACACACCTTCAGGCGTTTGCACACGCTGTTCCCTCACCCTGGAGTACCCGCTCTCACTAGCTAGGGAAGTGCCCACTCATTTGCAAGATTTCAGTGAAAAGTCACATCTTTAGGGAAGCCTTCCTGCCCTCCTAGGGCCTCCGCCAGGACTGCACAGTACCGGCATTCACCTCTGCTATTACATTTAGCACTTGCATTCTATTTCTGGTTTACATACTAGGCATGGTCCGGCACAGATTTCTTAATCATTTTGAGCCTATGTCCTTCTCTGTAAAATGGGAATAACTACCGTGTCTGCCTCCTGAGCTTGTTATACAATTATAAGGATGAGGCCAGGCGTGGTGGCTCAAGTCTGTAATCCCAGCACTTTGGGAGGCCAAGGTGGGCGGATCACGAGGTCAGGAGATCGAGACCATCCTGGCTAACACGGTGAGACCCCATCTCTACTAAAAATACAAAAAAATTAGCCGGGCGTGGTGCAGGCGCCTGTAGTCCCAGCTACTCGGGAGGCTGAGGCAGGAGAATGGCGAGAACCCAGGAGGCGGAGCTTGTAGTGAGCCAAGATAGCGCCACTGCACTCCAGCCTGGGCGACAGAGACAGACCCCGTCTCAAAAACAATAAATAAATAAAAAATAAAAATAAAATTATAAGGATGACTACAGTAAAAGCAATGGAACAGTTCTTATCACAGAGTAAGTGCTTGATAAACACAAATGTCAGTGTTATTCCCCCCACTAAATTTTGAGCTCTTTTAAAGCAAGCCCTGTCTTATTTCCGTATCTCCAGCACCTAGCACACAGTAGGTACTTAACCAATATGCATTGCAGGAATGAATAAAATGAAGGAATGATGACTGCCACTTCTGGTCTGGATTTCTGCCACTCCCGGGACCGTGACTCAGGCTGGGGACCATGGGAACTGTGTCAGTATCAGCAGTATCAGCGCTCAACCCGCCCTCAACACAGCCTGGTTTGGGGCATGTGCCCAGCCAAGCCGTGGAGGCGGATGACTCTGCCTGGACTTGCTCCCTGCCTGGTCCTCTCAGTGGCTCCCTTCCCAGGACAGTGGGAAATGCCGGGATGGAGTCCAGCTTGCCCTGTCCTTCTGGGTCCCAGTCTCCCTTTAGTGGCAGCCGATGTCCCAGGGCCTCCCTTGTGTGGCAGCCCAACCACAATGATCTTGAGATCCCAGTGCCTCCCCCATCAGCCTGGGCTCCTGAGGAGGGCACTCCCCCACGCTGGGCTCCTTACCAGCCCTACTACTCCCCATACCTGAGCCCCTCCTCCCACTGGGCTCCGTTCGGGGGGCTGCCTTCTGGCCGTGGGGGGCCTTGGGGGGCTTGTGATCTGGAGTGGGGGCCGGGCCTGGATGGGCCTTGCTGGCACAGTCCAGGTCAGGGATGGCCTTGAGCAGCTCTGCCTGTGTCTCTTCCAGCAGCCGGTTGATGTCCTTGGCACTGTACTGGGTCAGGGCTGCCCGCTTCTCCTCCCAGTCTCGCTCTGCAGCCTTAACAGGGAGCCAGGAGTCAGGATTGAGGTAGCTCTCCTGCTCCAGGACCTCTGGGGCCTCAGCCTCCTCCCCCAAGCCACGTAGGCAAGGAATAGAAAACGAAGCCTCATATTTGATCCCACCTCCAGGAAGACACTTTGACTTCTCGTGGGTATCACATGGCATCCCCATGGGTAGGAATGCCACCCTCATTATATACTACATTCGTGATAAACTTAGATCTATTTCTGGGCATTCTATTGTTTCACTGACTACATAGTCTATTCTTGGGCAAACATCATACTGCTTTGATTATTGTAGCTTTATAATACGCTTTCTGTCTAGGAGGGCTAATGTCACCCTCATTATGCTTCTTAGGCTTCCATTAGGGCACTGGCCCTCCTCCCCCAAGGAAAAAGACCCACAGGATTGGCACTCCCCACTCTAGGAAGGATGGTCGTAAGAATGTGTGAACCTGGCTCATGGCCCCACCCACAATCCCTGGCCCCAGCACCTCAACAGACACAGCTTTGTCCACGCTTCTCTTGCCAGGAGTGTCCAGGCCTTTGGTGGGGTTGCCCCCCTTGGGGGTAAGAGAGGCTCCTTCAGCTGGCCCGCTCAGCTCATGCAGGTTCAGCGGGGGGCTGGGGGGTGGCATTTCGAAGTCCACGCTCTTGTTGAAGTCAGTCTCTGCCGTCACCTTCTTGGGGGACTGACTCAGGAGATTGTTGGGGGGTGGCCACACACCCTCATCCACTTGCCTGGGGTTGGGAGAGTTGGGAGCAGCTGTGAGGCCAGCAGGTGGTGACCCTTCTGCAGGAAGGCTGCTCTGAGGGAGGTGGGGTGGGAGGCAGGCTCTGGGATGCTGTGGGAGGGCCTGGGGAGGAGTGACTGCCCCTGGTATAAGAGGAAGCCAGGTCTACAGCATGCAGGGGTCACAGGGCAGAGCTGAGGTGCCAGTCCAGTCGGCACGCCAGTGACCTTTGGGGGAGTTGGGGTAAGGGTTCAGTATGACCTATGGGTCTGGGCCCGGTGTGTGAACCCATGGGAAATCAGAGGTCAGGGACAGAATGACCTTCGGATCTGGGCCAGCGTGTCCGTGACCCCGCGGCAGCGCTTGAGGAGCCCATCCAGGCGCTGGGGCTCCTCCTTCAGGAACTTCACCGCCTCCACCTCCACGCGCAGCACCACCCGCATCTTGCTCTGCAGGCCCGGGAAGTGAGCTGAGGAGACAGGAAGGCATGAGCTGGGGCCAGAGGGAGCACCACAGACTGGGAGGAGAGGATGGTGGCTGGAGTATGGCAGACTTCCCCACCCTGAACAACGTGCTGCATTCGCAGGCCCCAGACCCACCCTTGAGCTCTGTCAGCGTCTCCCCGAGCTGCTTCAGCACCAGTGCCTTCTCCTCCAGCTCAGGGCCGGGCACCAGCCGGTGGTTGTGGGACACGTCTCTCTGGATCTTCTCCACCGATTTCTCCAGGTCACTGCAGCCACAGAGAGACCCTTTCAGCCCTTTTGGCCTGAGATGCCAGCCCAGCCCCCTGAAATTGGGCAACTGGAAAGAAATCAGGCCACCAGTTGGATCGAAAGTAAAAGCAGGAGGCTGGGCACCGTGGCTCACGCCCGTAATCTCAGTACTTTGGGAGGCTGAGGCAGGCGGATCACTTGAGCCCAGGAGTTCAAGACCATCCTGGGCAACATAGGGAGACCTCATCACTACAAAAAAATAAAATAATTAGCTGGATGTAGTGGCAGGTGCCTGTAGTCCCAGCTACTCGGGAGGCTAAGGCAGGGGGAATCACTTGAGCCCAGGAGGTTGAGGCTGCAGTGAGCCGTGATTGTGCCACTGCACTCTAGCCTGAGTGACAGAGGGAGACCTTGTCTCAAAAGCATACAAACATAAAAGCCAGCCATCAGGCCACATACTCAAGTAAAATCTGCAACGCCAAATCTCAGAGATGAGGAGACTTCAGAAGCGCTCCCTAAGAGGTGCCCTGCACCATCTGCCCCCTTGGAAGCTCTGACCCTCAGCAATATCTGCCCGAGTATCTCTCATTGTAACTTGCATCCCCTGATTCTATTCTGCCAAGGAAGCAGAGAGAACTTAGTTGCCTTTCAAAGAACCAGAGGCAGAGCACGTGCCCCCGGGGAGGTCTCTTGTCTCGGGGGAAACTGCCATGTCCATTGCCCTTCTCTCACATGATCCAGCCACACAGCCTCTTTCCTGAGGGCCAAAGCTGAGTTAGATTTTCAGCTACTATATGCTGAACTTGTGTCATTTGAGACCCTACATTCTTCTAAATTGTAAATCAGATCAGGTCTTCACTTGTGCCATTGAACGCTAAATGGATCCCATCATCCTGAGGCCTAACATCCAAACTTTTCAATGCAGCCAAGAAGGGCAGGAAGGTGGTAGTTGAAAACTTGGTTCTAGAGTCAGACTGATCCAAGCTCCAATCCTCACTCTGCCCTTGCCAGAGGAGAGATCTTGGGCAAGTTACCTAATATCTCTGGACTTCAACCTCCTCGTCCAAAAAATAGGGATGGTAAGAGCTCCCCGCTAGGCATGGTGGTTCAAGCCTATAACCTCAGCACTTTGGGAGGCCGAGGTGGGCTGATCACCTGAGGTCAGGGGTTCGAGACCAACTGGCCAATATGGCGAAACCCTGTCTTTACTAAATATACAAAAATTTGCTGGCCATGGTGGCGTGCGGCTGTAATCCCAGCTACTTGGGAGGCTGAGGCAGGAGAATCGCTTGAACCCAGGAGGCGGAGGTTGCAGTGGGCCGAGATCATGCCACTGCACTCCAGCCTGGGGAACAGAGTGGGACTCTGTCTCAAAAAAAAAAAAAAGAGTTCCCCCTTCATGGGGGCCATCAGGTGGATTGGATGAGCTAATGAAGACAGGAAAGCACGCGGCAAAGGGCTCAGTGCCTGGGAACTGCTCTTGTTTTCCGTGCTGCTGTAACCCTCATCTCATCTGGCTTCTGCTTAGAGCCCTTCAGACCTGCTCTGAGGTGCTACATGTGCTGTCCTCTCTGGCTCTTTATAATGCTGTTTTCTCTGCCTAGAATATTCCATTCACCCATACACATACAGGCACACACACGTGCTAACTCCCACTGATCCTCAGGTCTCAGTGGGAAGCTGTCCTCCAGCCCCTCCCCTTGCGGCTGTTGGGTCTGCTTCCTGCCCTCCAAACCGCTGAAGCTCCTGTTGGCTGGGTTGTGCAGCCTTCTGGACTACTAACCCCAGGCAGGCAAAGACCATGTCTTCCAGATTCATCTCCGGTTTCTAGCACCTGGCATGGTGCCTGGTGCAGAGTAGATGTCTGGGAAATAATTGTGGAATGAATGAACAAGGGAGAGAAGGAACTGCTGCCCAGGTAAGTCATCTCAGTTCTGTACTTGAGTCGCTGACATCCCTGACTCACATGCGGGACTTTATATATATTCCTGTCAAATCCCATTGTTGGATTTCAGCTCAATCCAGGGGCAAACAACTTTTGAATTTCAGTTCTACCATCCAACAGATTTGCTCCCCCTTAAAGCTCTGTGTCATCAGCAAATCTTATCAGCACGCCTTACACATCTTCATCCAACTAGCAGGTGAAAAGACAGACTGGGTTGAAGTCAAGGGCAAAAGCTTGTGACTCAGCAACACTACCAGTTAAAGAGCTATCCTGTATTACGCACTTACTGTATGCCAGGTGCCACACTCAGGCCTTGGCTTTCATTACTTTAATTAACCCTCAAAACAAATCCTGGAGGTGGGAACAGTTATTATCTCCAGCTTATACACAGACAAACAGTGGCTCAGAGCCTAGACTACACATCCCAGCCTCCCTTGCAATGATAAGTGGCCATTTAACTGAAGTCTACCCAATGGAAGATGAGTGGAAGGGATACATGCTGCTTCCAGACCTGGCTCACAAAAACCTCCCATGTAAGGTCCTCCATGCTCCTTTCTCCTTTTCCATTGGTTGGAAACTCTCTGGGTGATCTTGGAAAACACATGTTGAAGACGGCAGAACCTCCATCAGCCTGGGTCCCTGAATGACTGCATGGAGAAGAGCCACCCGCCTAACCCACCCAATACTGTTCCATGAGAAAGATATGTTTATTACTTTTGAATTATTAAACAATTTGGGAGCTTATTTGTTATAGGAAGCTACCCTAATTAATTAGCTATCCTAAGACTCTGGCATTTTAAAAAAAGGAAAAAAAGATATTCAGATATTCAAAGAGATTAACTAGTTAGTTCAAGGTCATACAGCTATTTTGCAGCAAAGCGGGATCTACTCACATCTGACATCAGCCATTGGTTCTGCTGCATCTCATTTTCACACTAGACCAACATCAGCCACGCTGCCCCCAATCCATACACTGTCCTAGCCCAGCCCTCGCTCTACCACATGGGAAAGAACAATTCCCCTGCTCATATGTGTAACACCTGACTGGTCCAGGCTGTGCCAGTTTTATAAAATGGTCACTCCCAAACATCACTCAGAGGGGGAAGAGACTCTCATGTAAAGGACTCAAATAAGCTTCCAGGAGATGACAACACTGCAATTCTTAGGCAGGAGAGACTAGGCCTCCCTAAGCTCAATCGGCAACTTGATGTTCTGATCACCCAATCTGCCAAAGTTGGGGGGCCTCTAACCTGGGCAAGCTCTGCAAATGAGTCCCAGGCCAGCTAGTCTAGACACTGGATTAAAATGTGGCTAGGCTTTCCAAGCCCAGGTTTAGTCCTGGAGGGGTCAAGAGGGGAGAGTCAAAATGGAACCAGCTAAATAATTTATGGGGCCCAATGCAAAATGAAAATGTTACCTCTAGTTTAAAAATTATTAAGAATTTCAAGATGGCAACAGCAGAGCATTACACCAAGCATGGGGCCCTTCCAAGCATGGGGCTCCGCGTGACCGCACACGTGGCATACCTACAAAGCTGGACCTGGGTTAGGCAAAGGTAGATTCCAGGACCTAAAAGGTCTCAGTCAGCAGAGGCTGCACCTAAAGGCAGTGCCCAGACAGACCTTAAGTGCTGGGCTAGATGGGCAGGTGAGTGAGTCAAGTTGAATGAAACAGAACCAGTTTTAACTTCCAGCAAGTTGCCAGGAAAGAGGAAGTGGTATAGCAAATTGGAGCAAGAGTAAGCGTAAGCTCCTGGAGTAACCACGAGCTACAGCCAGAGTGTGGGGCAGGGGGGCTGCAGGGTTAAAGCCTGGGAAGGCTATGGGAGCTGGGCAGGGAGGGCCTTCATGGCCAGGTTGGAGCCCAGTATCTGCCCAACCCAGAAGAAGCAGGAGTCCCCTTTCAGGAGGATGGAGAATCCTGCCAGAAACAGTAATGCAGGTCCCAAGCTCTCTGAGTAATGGGTTTGATAATGGGGCAGGGGTTGGGGAGTCTGTGTTCCTGGAGAACCAAGGCCTTCAGGGAGCCAAGGACCAAACACTTATAATGACGGTAGCATAAATCTCTCCTTTCGTATCTTCTGGCTCTGTGCTTTTAGATCTCCTTTAATTTTCCTTTAATGTCTCGGTAAAGTTGCTTTTGAAAATTCCAACCCCCCTCCTCTGGGCTGAATGAAAAGGGACAAGGAAAGGATAGAAAATCTGGAGAAATGGAATTCCCTGGGTGAGGAGAGATGACACCTGCCAGTCTGCTTGGAGATCTGGCTGGAGTCCTCACTAAGTTATCACACCTAGAGTGATGGGGTGGCCCCTTACCCTATTTCAGCCACATGGTGTCATGGGAATTGTTGCCTTGGGCCTTGCTAAAATGCACATGTACCACCAGGCTATGTGGGCCTCAGGCTGAGGAGCAGCAACCCATCTCAAGGAGCCCGTCGCAAGAGGCTCATTTATGACTTAGTGAGGAAGCTGGGCTCCAAGGAGCAGCCTCTCCTGGCTCCCGGAGTCACTGGCCAGTACAACTCAACCCCTTGTTGAAAAGAGAGGTGAAAAACTTAATGCTGGGTACAGATGAGGACACTGGGGCACAGAGAGGGGCAGGAACTGCCCTGATCACTCAGCCTCTCAGTGCTGGCACTGGACTCCAGGTCCCCTAGTGCCCTGTGTCACCAAGAGAGGGCCCAAAGGAAGGAGCAGGGCCTCTGTCTCAGATCCTTATCACTGGCGAGGGAAAGCAGGGTGGGTGCTCACTCCCTGAATGGACACTGAAAGGCAGCGTCTCCCTTCAAAGGTGCCAGACAATGGAATGGTTGGCCAGACAGCCATTTGCTAAATTTGGATCAGAAGACTGTCTTCTGTTAACCCCTCCATGCCTAAGCATGCGGAGGCACAGTGTTCGCGATTCCTCCTTCCTTCTGAAAACACTACAGCCCTGTTCCAGCTGCACTAGGAAGGAAGGTGGGTTTTCCTTGGCTATATCTGGACTCAGAGATCAGGGAATCGGATCTCCAATGATGGCTGGTCAGCGCCAGGCTGGAGCAGTGACGGCACCTGAACGCTGCACCTGAACTCACTACCCAAGGGTCACTTTGCACGGGTCACAGGCCAAAATGAAAGTAGGCAGAGGGCAGAGGGAAATCAGGCAGCTGGCCACATGACAGTGAAGCTGCAGGCCACAGGAAGCCTGAGTGTGGATCATTATGAAGCAAGACCATAGCAAAAGCAGGCATCAAGCCAGAAAAAAGAAATCAGGAATAATGCCAGCCGGTCAAAAGTTTGTGGGTCACAGTGAAATCAGGCCAGAGGAGAATGAAATCAGGCTTCAGAACAGACCAACGCCACCTGTGACTCAGAGGGAAGGGAGCTGCGCCTCCCAGGGAAACCAGGTTGCGGGTCACTCCAGCCGCACCCCCACCCCTCCCTCCGCCGCGGGCCCAGCCTCACTTGAGCTGCTGGGTAATAAGCTCCTCGTCGTTGAGATAGCGCAGCCGTTCCTCTTCCACCAGGGTGCGCTGCCGCTGCAGCGGGTCCTCCTGCCGCCGCGCCGCCTCCGACACGCGCATGCTCAGCTCTGCCTCCGTGCGCTTCAGCAGCGCGCGCACCGACTCCTGGTTCTGTAGCTGCGGGACGCACGGACGGATGGACCCGGGTGGGGGGAGCGGAGCCGCGAGGCAGGGGAAGGGCCGGGAGAAGGCGGGTAGAGGACTGCCCAATCCAGGGCGGGGCTCTGCAGAAGAAGCGGCTGCTTGGCTCCGCCTCAGGCAGCAGCGAAGGGGTGGGATGGCGAAGGGCAGGGGCGGGATGGCGAAGGGCAGGGGCAGAGGGCTAAGTTCTGGGGAAGAACAGAGGCAGGAGGAGAACGGATGGGGATCGTGGAGAGGGGAGCGTTAAAATGGGCCATGCAAAGGGGGAGCTGCATGGCTGTGGCCGCGAGCAGGGGTGGTATTGCAGGGGGAGGAGGGCAAGGTTAAGTTCTGGGGAATATGAGGCAGGAGAAGGGGTTGGGAATATTTGCGGGACAGGGTGTAGCCCTATGTAGGTCCCTGCCGACAGTGCGGCCGCATGGCTATGGCTTCCATCATCCCGGAATGGGGACGGGACTGGAATGAAGGACTCAAGCGCTGGCATTTGATAGAGCTTCTATGGCTGGGACAGGAAGACTAAGTTGATGATCGATCCAACCCTGTTCCAAGCCTGAATGGCGGGGGTGGGCAAGATCTTACCCGTTGCCCAGATGGCAATTCTCTGCCCCCTCCCCAGCCTGTCTCTGCTAATTATCCTCACCTGACGGCCCCTGGGCCTGCTTGAGGAGCGGACTCGGCGATGCCAAGCTCCTGACAGGTGGGACCATCTGCCAAGCAGGGCCGGGGAGACTGTTGGGGCTCAGGAGGGAGGAGCTGAGAGGACTTGGGGGAAGGGCTCTCGCTGACTCAGGGAAAGGGATGCAGGGCAGGAAGGAACTGGAACTGCCCCGAGGGATACTGACGACGGAGGGGCTCAGTGGGTGACTGGGGCTCCAGGAGGGCGATGGGGACTCAGGGAAGGAGAAGGAGGGCTCAATGAGGGGGTCACGGGCGAGGGATAAGGCCTTGGTGAGGAAGTGGAGGTTCAGCGAGGGAGCGGAAGCTCAAGAAAGGGGAAGGGGAGAAAGGGTTCGGAGAGAGGCCAGTGAGCGGCGAAGGACTCGGGCGTGGAAGCTCTGGGAAAAGGATGAGGTAGTAGGGGATGGGGCGGGACTTGCGGCAAGGGACTTCTACCAGTAGGTGGGCGTTGGTGGGGCGGGGCCCAGGACGGGGCGGTACCTGGAGCTTGCGCAACTGCTGGAGCTGGCCGCGCAAGTCACTGGCGCTGTTCTGCAGGCCTCGCAGGTGAAGCTGCATCTGCAGCCGGCTAACGGCGGTAGGCTGACCTGCGGGGGTGCTGCTGGCCGAGGGCGGGGGCGGGCCGGACACCGGGGTGGCCCCGCTGCTCCGGCCGCCTGACCCACAGGCTGCAGAGGACCACGAGGATGGGAGAAAGTGAACAAACTGTGAGCCTGGGAAGGACTGGGCTGGGACAAAGTCCTCCCTACTCTCCGACCCCACACAGTAGCCAGAGAAGCCCGTGGCTCTACCTGCCCCAAGTGGTCAGCCCTAACGGTGGGGACCAAAGTGCCAGGAAAAAGACCTCTTGGGCTAAGGCCAGTGATGTAGCTATTGCTTAATCCCCACTTTATAGATTAGAAAACAGGCTCGGAGAGAACAAGGATGGGGGAGGGGGAGGTTCACTCACGTGCTGAGGGGGTGGCTGCTCCATTGGAGCCTTCAATCTTCTCGCTGTGGCACAGGGAAAAAAGCCATCAGGGGGTCCAGGCCAGCCCCAGACCTTCAGAGCTGGGTGGAACCTTGGATGTCATCTCCTCCAGCTCTCCGATCTCAGGATGGAGTCCCAGAGAAGGGAAGGGATTCACCCAGGGTCACCCAGTGAGACACTGGCAGAGCCGATGCCCATTTCCCCTTCCTCCTGCTCCACCCCTAGGCCCTGGCAGTGGTGTTGGGAGAGGGGCCTCACCTGGGGGTCTCAGGCTCAGAGCCTCGCAGTAAGGCGCTCTGCACCAGGCCTGTGAGGCTGGCAATCTGCTTCTCCATGGCCTCCATGCGCTCCCTGGGGAGGAAGGGGGTCTGGGCAACCTCGCCTCTGAGCATAGGGTCTCTCCTGCCCAGCCCCCCATTCCTAAGATTGGTAACCAGAAGAAACACCGTCCCATCCCTGGCTGCCAAAACACAGACAACGCAAAGGGCCCCAATGCCTAAGGATCAAGCCCACAGCCTCCCATCTCACCTTTCATTCCCTCCCTAAAGGCTGCACGCTGATCTCTCCATGCCTGGCAATGCTTTCCCCTGCCTGCTCTGCCTTTCTCCTGACCCCTCCCCCAAACCATTCCACAGACCCCAGGGGCCCCGAGGAACGCCTCCTTCCATACCACCCAAGGGAAGTGGAGGTATGCTGAGTGTCTCCCCACTAGACCAGGACAGGAACTGGGTTTGCTCAGCTTGGCATTGACAGTACCCTGTGCAGCGCCTGCCACACAGGCCACGTAAGAGCTGTGTGAAGGCCAATGGCTTCTCTTCACTGCTCAGCAGCGCTGCCTGAGGGTGCAGATTACCTACTGCCCTGGTTACCTCCTCCAGCCCTGCACCCTTAGGAGGGGACTGAGCGATGGGCAGGGGCTCCTCAGCCTGGAGGCTAGGTACCCGAATGTGCTCCTTTCCTCGTCACCATTTTTCAACAGCACCCTCCTCCCCAGTGGACTTCAGCTGTCCCGGTGCTGGACAGCTCTCACTGCTGCAAACTCTTAAGCTGGAAAGCCACTAAAAGTGGTTCAACCCCTCAATTTTACAGTTGGGGAAACCGAGGCTTAGAAAATGGATGCAAACCCAAGTCTCCAGAGTCCTCGTCTGGGGACCTCTCAACCACCCCCTCCAGTCTTGCGGATGGGAGGAAAATGGCAAGCTGGTCTCTCCAATGCCCTCTCTGCCACATCCAAGATGCTCTCTGGCGACCCTTCAAGACTACTCAAGGTCTCCAAAGGACTCCAGGATCTCAGTCCAGGACACACACCTGCCACGGACTCTGCTGTGAACCCTCTCCGCAGCGCACCCCCCACCCCCAGTCCCTGAGGCCTGGTTAACGTCCCTCACCTGGTCTCCGTGTCCTTGGCTGGCACTGGCGGCCCGAACCCAACCAGCGAGCGTTCCCCAGGCCCAGGGAAGAGCTCCGAAGGGGGAGCTCCGGCCGTCGAGGCGCTCCCCGCGCTGCGGGTCTTCCCTCCAGGACTCTCGGCAAAGACGGACGAGGAGCCCGAGTCCTTGCGGAAGGACTGGCGCACTGGCGAGCCGCGGCTGGGCGGCCCCGAGTAGGGGCTGTGCGGTGGCGGGGGACCTCCGGGGGGTGCTGCCACGTCGGCCAGCTTCTGCGGTGACGAAGGCGGCAGGCGGAAGCCGTAGCCGTCGCCGTACAGCGGGCCGCCGCCGCCCGCCGCCTTGTACAGGGAGTCCTCCAGATCGGACTGCAGCGCGGCGGCCGAGTAGGTGCTGAGCGAGCGCACCGAGCCGCGCTTGTAGAGGCCGCCGGCGCCCGGGTAGGCGAACGGGTCGCCGGCGGCCGCGGCCAGGCTCAGACGGCCCTCGTGCAGCAGCCCGTAGGGGTCAGCATAGAGGCCCTCGCCTTTCACCAGCACCATGCCGCCCGCCTTGCTCGCCAGGTCCTCGTCCGGCTTCACGTCGCGCCGCTCCAGGATGGCGCTGGGGCTGGGGCTGACGCCCTGGGCGGCCGGGGCGCCTCCCAGCCTCTCGGCCGCGTGGTGCACCGGGCTGCCGGCGTACGAAGGCGGGCGCCCCCCGGCGTACGATAGGCGCGAACGCGACGGCGAACCGGACTGCAGCCCGGACGGCAGCCCCGACGGCAGCCCGGGCGGCGGCGAGCCGGATGCCAGGTGCGGCGCTGGTGACAGGTTGTTGAGGCGCCGCGTGGGCGAGGACTCCCGCGATGCGTACACCATCTCTCTCTGCGCAGAAGACAGCCCGGAACCCCACGGGGCTGGTCACCAAGGACACCCCTGTCCCTTGCTTGAGGAGCCAGCATCTCCTCCCTGACGCTTAGGAAGTCCCTTCTGCTCTCTGCCCTCCCTCCATCCTGCTGCGTCTAGGGTCCCTTTCCCATCAGGGTTCCTAGCATGGAGGAAAAGGTGGCCGATGAAGAGGCACCAGAGGGGTAACCCTCAGCTCAGCTACCGTGAGGGGTGGGAAGTAGAAGGGGAAGGGGTGGCTCCGGCTCCTGAGAGAGGGCTTAGAATATCTGGAGGCAAGTTAGCAAAATCCCGAGTGGACAGGCCCGGAATGGAGGGGAAAGTGGCAGGTGGGACAGGGGCTCTTCCCTAACCCCTCAGCCCCTATGCTGTCTTCTCCAAAGCTGGCCCTGGTTCCAGATGACAACTGCCCAGACCCTGCTCCCCTGGACCCCATGTGCCCAGCCTCCCCAATGCCCTGGGCATGCCCAGCCATACCCGGAGGTCCCCGTTGGTGAGATGTGAGCCAGGGAAGGCAGCGTAGAGGGGCTCCTTTCTGTAGATCTTGATAATACTGCGGTCCTGGATGTCCCTGGGAGAGGCGGGGAGACGGGGGTCACCACCCATCCCCCAGCTGTGCACAATGAGAAGGGATGGCTACTCCAGGCCTAGAGAAGAGGGGTGGCCAGAGGCACCGGGAGCCCCATCTCAGGCTGCCTGCACACACGCCCAGCAGCCTCCACCCCGGCCTCTTCCTGGCCTCCGGCGCCATTTTCAGGTTAGCTCAAAGCAAAGGGAACCAGCAGGGGTGGACGATTTAGGGGGTGGGGGCTGAGATGGCCGAGGAAGGGGGCGGGGCGGTAGGGCTCTGGGAGGGGAGGGGAAAGGCTGAGGTCGGGTCAGGAAGGAGCTGGGGAAGGGCCGGCGGGGTCCAGCACCCTGCAGAGGAGGAGCGTGGGGAAGCCCACCCAAATCCCCCCCGGTCCACGCCCACCGGACGTCCTCCAGCTCGTAGAAGACGTTGCGAGCCTCGTCTTTGATGAGGATGGCGGTATTGGGCGACTTAAGCATGCCCATGGTGAGCTTCTGCGGGAACATGTGCGCGATGAGTGCGTGCAGCGTGTCCAGGCTGCTGACCTCGTGCGTGATGTGCACGCGCCGAGTCTCCTCCCCGAACTGCAGGAACAGCACCCCTGCGAAGGAGACGCCGCCCTCGCTGTCACTGCTGCCGTCTCCACGCCGCCCTCCAGGAGAGCGCGGGGAGCTTTTCGGAGCTGCGCCAGCCCCGCAGCGGCAGGGTCTGAGGCTAGACGCCGCCCCCGAGTGCAGATGCACCCAGGCACCTCTCATGCTGCCGGCGGGGGCGCCAGGCCGGCTCTCCAGCCTCTCAAGGCACCCACTGGACTCCAGGCAGTTGAAGGAACTTGGACAAGGAAATGGAAGTGGGGGCAGAGCAGGTGGGGCGGAAACTGAGGGGAAGTGAGCTGAGGGAGAGAGAGGTTGGAGAGAGTTAGAGAAGGGAGATGGGAGAGAAGGGAGGGATGAAAGAAAGGGACAGAAAAGGAAGCAAGAGGGAGAGAGGAGGCTTGGAGGGAAAGGGGTCGGGTGGGGATGCTGAGGGCGAGAGAGAGATGGAGAGAGCTGGGGTTGCTTGGGGAGAAGGGGCTGTGGGAAAGAGAGCAGAGCTTGAGGCGAGCTGGCGTGCTGTAGGGGAGGAGGGGGCTCCAGGGAGTGAAGAGCAGAGGGAGGAGCCTGTGTGGGGAGGGAGGGTGGACTGGGCGGGCAGTACCTGGGGAGCGCAGCTTGGTCTGGCTGGCCGAGCGGGAGAGAGGCAGGCTCTGTCGGAAGCGGTTCATCCTGCTGAAGCCCAGGGGCAGCTCGGCCTCCGACATGGTCTCCAGCGACTCGGCGGAGGCGTAGGACAGCTTTGCCGCCTGGTCTGCCAGCCCGGGCTGGGCTCCCTGAGTGTGGCGTGAGCTGCGGGTCTGCAGGGGCCGGGCAGGGTGAGAGGAACCAAGGATGAGCACCCCCCCTCCCCTTTGCTTGTCACTGCCCATATCCAGGCCTGGGAAGGTCCTGCCAGCCAGCGACACCCACACAGATTACAGACTCCCACACAGATTACAGACTCCTGGCATGGCCACAAGAGAGTTCCCCAGTCTCTGCTGGCCTTGGCCTCCCTGGGACACCCGGCAGGTAAGGAATGGGCAAAGGACCCAGGCACCCTGGGAAGCCAGACAAGAGGCCATGTGAGTGGGAGCCATGGGCACGGCTGCTATTTCAGGCTTCCGAAGAACAACACAAATTTGTCACCGAGGTGAGCAGCAGAATCGTTGAGCAAATTGGGGCATTAGTTCCAGACATTAATTAAGTGGCAGGTTTGTGAGCGGAGAATTTATTCTTCATGGAGTTCAGAGGGTGGGGGTGGGGGTGGGGGCGGGAAGCAGGGCCCAGGGAGAAAGCAAAGAGAGCTGGCACCCCAGGATCCCAGCTTTGAGGGGATGCGGACCCTGACAGAGCTGGACACAGGGAATGTGCCTGATTTAGGGTGATTGAGAAAACTATCCCGAACTCCTCAAAGCCAGCTGGACCCGGATTTGAGACGACCTGCCCAGTGCCCACAACACACATGTTAAGTCTGATGTGACACACATGTGCCAGGCCTCAGCCCCTCCTTGCAAGGCACATGCTGCCACACAGCCAGCCAGCCTCCCCCAGGAGCCTCTGAGTGACGGCAGCCACTTCTCTGAAGCTGTAGCTGAGGCTGATATCTGGCTGGGGGTGGGGGAGGATGTCACAGGACAGCTTGATGGCTCTCTCCGTGGGGGAGGGGGAGTCAGGATGATTTCAACCGTACTTTAAGAGCCTACTTTTGGCTGAAACCTGGGGATGTCACTCAGGGCCACAGCCCCTGACATTCTGCCTTAGTCCCTGGGCAAGAAATCTGGTTGTTGTACAGAAGCTGGTACAAGGAGTGAGATAATGAATCCGATCTACATCATTCCATGTTATGTGCATTATATACATATATGTATTACATATACATATACTGTCAAGAAATAATCATGTTGCCCAATTATATTTTTTTGTAAAACAAATTGTCTATTTTTAACAACAAATCACTCAAAACCATTAACACTGGTTATCTCAGGGTTGACAGTTTTCTTTTTTCACTTTATAGATTTCTCTACAAAACGGTGTGAATAGATTCCTTTTATAATTTAAAAAAAGACAACAATAAAATATCTCTAAAAAGGAATCATTTATTCTCCTCTTCAGCTCCCTCTCTCCCCAATTCCTGATTTACCCCTAATTAATCTCCATCTTCATATTAACTCAATTTAATGTTCCAATTGGATTAGCACTCTTAAAGGGAGAGCATCTTCTTCTGATGGGCAGTATGCCCAGCTGTCCCCAAGGTGGCCTTGAGGGTTTGGGGACCATAATAGATCAGACGTGGGGACATCAGGGAGCTTCCCCTCTCAAGCATAATGCCTTGACCACTGGGTGGGTGTGGGTCTTGGCAGGAGGAAGGCAGCATAGAAATGGGCCAGGGGCAGTAGGGAGGGGCCGCTTGTGCTTGTGACCGAGAGGCTATGGCTCAGCTCTAGGCTGACCACCAGTGCCAGCCCACACCCCTCTGTCTCACCTTCATCCCAGCTGAAGGGCGGGGAGCTCTGTGGCAGTGTGGGGAACCAGGTCTGGTCTGGTGGTCATGGGGTTGCCTGGCAACTAAAAGGTCAGTGGTTGCCAGGCTAGTGCGGATGAGGGCTACAGAATTCAGGCAGCACGAGGCAGCCAGCAACGATGAAGAGTAGGGGGTGGCCATGGTGCCGGGGGGACACCAGTGAGATGCCAGTAAGGAGGCAGAACAGGGGTCCAAATGAAGGGAGGCAGGGCAGGGATCCTGGGGGTTGCTGCCTGCCAAGAAGGCAGAAACCCTGGGAGAAGAGATGCCCACGTTCCCTGCTCCACCACTTCCTAGCCCAGTGGGCACCTTTCCATTCTCACAGCCTGTACAGAAAACCCTCTCGAGAGGAGGGAAAACCTGCTGGCACTTCTCTCCATGCTTGGGCTGAGACAATAGGGCAGAGGAAAGTGAAACATCCAGGACTTCCCCACCATAAGGGAGATGGCAGAAGAACAAAACAGTGATTCAAGCAGAGCTCTCCCAAGACAGGAGAGGGACCACCATGGGAGGTAGAGAGCGCCTATCACCAGAGTGTTCCAGGGAGCAGCTCATGGATCTGAGATTCCCAGAGGTTGTCCATAGACTAGGGAAGAATCACTTGGGAGCTTTTAAAAATACCTTTCCAGGACCCCATATTCACTGAACCAGAATCTCTGGGGATTGGAGCCTGGGGTTCGAGATTTTTGACAAGTTCCTAAGGCGATTCTGATTTCTAGGTTTGAGAATCAAGGCAGAGTCTATGATTTAGTAGCTAATGAGGTCAGCTACCATGTAAGGCTCACCAGGAGCCAGGCACTGCCTGGAACATGCATCCTCTCGTGTTTTGTTTTGTTTTGTTTTGTTTCGTTTCCTTCCTTCCTTCCTTCCTTCCTTCCTTCCTTCTTTCCTTCCTTCCTTCCTTCTTTCTTTCCTTCTTTCTCTCTCTCTTTCTCTCTTTCTTTCTTCTTTTTTTTCTGAGATAGGGCCTCCCTCTGTCACCCAGGCTGGAGCGCAGAGGTGCAAACATAGCTCACTGCAGCCTCAATCTCCCATACTCAAGTGATCCTCCCACCTCAGCCTCCCTCCTTGGCCAACAAGTTCTCACTACATTGCCCAGGCTGGTTTCAAACTCCTGGGCTCAAGCATTCCATATGCCTCGGCCTCCGAAAGTGCTGGGATTACAGGCGTGAGCCAGCACATCCGGCCTTTTTTCCCTATCTTTACAACAATTCTATGATGCAGACATTGTCGTTCTACTCTACAGAGGAGAAACCAAGGCTAAGAGGATATGTGGCTTGCCCCAGGTCACCAAGCTAGTTAGCAGCAGACTGTATGGAATTCACCACTACGCAGCCTGGCTCTTGGGTCCATGCGCTTAACCACTACCCTCAACTGCCTCCTCCAAAGAGGCTATGCTTGACAGTGTGACTTTGACTCCATGATTCTCTGATTCAAGGACTTCTTGCAGTGCTAGGAAGAATGCATGCAAATAAGACACCTGGGGAGTCTGGGTGGGATGCCTCCCACCCGCTGTCATGATGCCTGGGACTTGGGAGGCCAGAGACTCCAGGAGGCAAGCAGGTGCCTGAGGGTGCTCTCCCAGGGGTCAACAGGATACCCTGGGAGGGGCAGACAGCTGTCTTAGCTCTGGAAAGGCCAGAGCTCAGGAGGAGGCAAGAAGGCACCTATCCCTCAGCTTAGCCCTCCACTTAGACAACAGGCTTGAGGGTGTAGGACCATGAGTCTCCTGCCTAGCACGGACCAGCCCCCATGGTGGACAGTAAGAAAAGGAAGGGGGACCCATCACAGTCACAGGGCCTCCCTGGGAGGTGAGATATGAATTCAAAGAAGAGGGCCCACAACAAGGGTCTAAGTCCCTAACTCAGAGGCAGCAGTCTCTCCAGGCTGGGGAAAATGTATGTCATTTCAAAATGCCCCTCAGGGGCTGGGGATGCCTGGGGACTGAGCATCTCTAGCCCAGATCCCCAGCAGGGGTGGCCCAAACTCCTACTCCATCCACAAGCCCCTGACAGGCGAACCCAGACTCTCCCAAAGCAGCAGCCACAGCCTGCAGCCCCGAGGCCCACCGCCCATACCAGAAGGTGTCCGTGCAGATGCGCACCCCGGTGCAAAGCCTGTGCAAGGGAGAGGCAGGGGCAGGGGAGGGAGAGCACATGCAGTTGTCATGGGAGCAGAGGCATCACACACTGACCTTGAAACTCCAGTAGTTTGGCTGCTGATGGAAATAAGAGAAGAGATGGTTATGAGGGGGCCCAGGAGGGGAAAAGAGGGGCAGGGGCAGGTTAGAGACCCTTGGAACTCAGCACTCAGCCCTAGGACAAGGGCCCTCCACCCTCCCAGGAGCAGGAATGAAGTCATGCCTGGTACATCCATTCTCTACTGAGACCTGGAACACCATGGTGTACCCAGGATGGCCCTGAGCAGGCGCTACAGCGACTCCTCGCAGAGTTACTGGTGGGAAAAGGCACAGAGGATGGTGATAGAGCGAACCCATGAGGCAGTCACAAGAGAGGCAGCGACAAAGCTGAGCTGTGGGGTCAGAGAAATGGCAGGCCAGGGAACAGTGCTTGGAAGAGGTGGCATTTGAGTTGGGTCTGGAAAAACGAGCAGCTGGAGACTGGAAGGAGAGGCCTGCTGGGCAGAGGGGAAGTGCCCAGGGGCAGACAAGTGGAGGGGGGTTGAGGCAAGTCACTAGTCCACATTGGCTGGGGCGCAGCTGGGAAAGTAGCAGATTAGGCTGCAAAGGGTGGGAAGTGGGAGGCTGAGGCCAGATGATGAGTGGTCATAACTGCTGAGAGAAAGTATTTAGACTTAACTGGGTGGACAAGCAGAAAGTGTCTGAATGGAGCAGAGTGGGATCAGAACTAGACCCCGGGGCAGAGGTGGATGGGGTGGATCAGGATGGATGGGGCAGGGGTCGGAGGAGGGGGGCTGGGGCCCAAGGCCAAGAGAGAGAGGCCTATGCAGCATGGTGGATCTAGTTTACAGAGCAGAGTGGCCAGGTGCCAGGAACCTCACTCACTGGGCAATCAATGGCTGGGGAGCTGGGGGCAGTGAAGGGAGTTGGGGAGACTGGGGACTGTGGCTGGCTGGCTGATTGAGGAGGGCTCCTCGTATCCCTCTTAGCATCCCTAGAATGGGAAGCCAGAGAGTCCTCCTCATTTGCAGTAACCCAGGGTCACCCTTCCTTCCCTAGAGACCAGAAGGCCCTTCCAGATGGCTTAGTACAAGGAAAGAGCTGCCCTGGGGCCGGGTTGGTTCTTGGCAAAGCCAAGGCACCCTGCTGACCGGTGCCAGCCTCAGCAGGGAGACAGAGGCAGCAGATGGCCTGGCCCGGGGGTGCCTGGCACGAGCAGACAAGATCCCCAGGCCTTAGAGCCACTGGCAGAGGAGAGGGACATCGAAGGCGCCCCTGGGGGAAGAACACCATGCCAGGGTGTCCTGGGCCACCTGAATGCTTTCCTGGCAGGGAGGAGTTGGAAGGGGCTGAGTCGAGGGGCACTCCGGCTGGAGGCTTTACCTAAGGCAGACCTTTGGGGTGGGGGTGACACTGGGCTGGGGCTGGGACCAAGAGGGTCATTTGCCAAGACCACCCCCTCCTAAGCCACCATCCCCATCCTTCCCCCAGCATTCACGCTAGAAAACAAACAAACAAACAACAACAACCAAAAAAAACAGTCACATACCAGGCAGTAGAAGAGGACAACAAAGTCTGTGTCCCAGCCAATGCTTGGAATCATCTATGGACTGAGGCCACCCCCAGTGGTGCTAGGGGATGCCCACAGGTACTGAGGGTAGGGGAGACCAGGGACCAAGTAACAGGCTCCAGCGGCAGCTGACTGTGGCCTGGGGAAGGGGAGGGGTAGCAGAGGGAGTGGACACGTGGGGGCAGGCAGAGGACACCGGAAGGTTTATGAGGACAATCACGTCTGCAGACCCAGCGGTGATGGACCGCTCTGCAGAGAAGGCCTCAAGTCCCTTACCCACCACTACCATGACACCAGGCACGGGCGGCGCACACATGGGCCACCCACAGCGCCCCGCAACACACAGGCTCACGCACAGCTGAGCACAGACTCTCAGACACATCCTCTGATAAGGACATCTCCACAGACACACCCAGAGCGACACACACACACCCCTACTAAGAGAGGGGCTCCCCAGTCAGAAACAGCCCTGGAAACAAACAGAAACTCAGAGACAGAGACATTCACACATAGACCGCCCCCACTCATACACAAACGTGTTTGGCTCCCGCCAGACCCCTGCCTCGCTTACACACACTCACAAGCACCATAGCCAGTCACAGAGGACAAGAGGTGCTGATGGCATTCACACTCACCCTCAAAACACCACAGTCACAGAAACAGAGACACGGGTGCCCACTCACAGTGAGAGACACACACCCCGGCTATTGAAACACACACACACACGGCCTCAGAGCCACCTACGTACAAAGAGAAAGCCCCAGGTCAGGGTGCCACTGTCCCATGCCTATCATGTCCCAGATATCATAAGTCAGGGAGGTGACCTCTGATGCAAAAGAGATAGAAGATGTTCTGTCCCCCACCCTGCCACCAGTGTCAACACATCAGACTCAGGGTACCTTGTTCGGATGACTGAGGCCCACCTCGTGGTCCTGGGAGGGAGATAAAGACAGGGCCTGGCCACAACCACACTGGCTATGGCCTCCACATGGGCCTGCCCCAGGGTCCCAAGGCTGTGCACATCCATGGGGCAGTCACCTGGAAGGGACGTATCACTAGCAGCAGCCAAGGGAGAGGACTGGGTGGCATCAGTGCCATAGGAAAGGCCAGCCAAGCCCCTCAAAGGATAAAGATGGAAGAGGGGCTGCGCTTGTGCCGGTCACTTGGATGCATGAGAGATGTTGAGATCAAAATCTGGAACTTCAGGCTCTGATCTATAGAGCACATGAGTGAATCCTGCCCCTCCATCCTCTGTCCTCCCTCTGGAAAGTGGGAAGAATGATCCTCTTTCATGTTGACCCCACCAGGAACGAGACACAGTCTCTTGGCCACTCAGTGTCTCTGGCGAAGAGAAACTGTGGTGGGGGAGGCCTCTGGGGATATCATCCATCCCCTTCTCTGTCTCTTTCCAGGATTTTAACCCATGGGACAGACTAGCGTGACTGAGAGCAAAGGGCTCCTCTAGTGTTCTCTAAGGTGGGACATTCCCAGTCACTCCCCTTCCAACTTCCAGCACCCTGTACCTCCTCACCCCTTTCCAGGGTGTCTGTTCCTCCTGCTGTGCCCAGTACAGTACCTGGTGGATAGCAGGCACTCAGCAAGTATGTGACAATGAATGAATGTCAATAAAATAGGACCGAGCCATGGGTGGAGGGTGGGATCTCTGAATACTCTGGTCTGGCACCACTCCCTCCATCTCCTGGCACCCAGCACTGCTCAGCCTTCTGGGCCTTTTCCCTGGGAATTTCCCAACACCAGAAACCCCCCAGTTAGGAGGGCAGAGGGCAGGAAGGGCCAGGAGAGGTCTGGCTGTCCACCTCAAGCCAAATCTTCCAGTGCCAAAGCTGTCTCCCTCCCCCATAGTCAGGGAGGGGGTCTCACCTTCCCAAAAGACAGTGAAAGGGGGAAATAAAGAAAGGGGTGAGTAGGGGAGACCCCGGCAGGGGCAACCACTTGTGGGGAAGAATCTTAAAGGAGCTGGGGCAAAATGAGAGGTGTTCTAAGAAGGTAAGATGGAAGCATAGGACCCTAGGGACCACGCTGTGAGAAACGGGGGAAAGGAGTGTCTCTCAAGGCCCAAGGAAGCCAGGCCAGGGAGTCCTCAAACTCCTGGTGAGAAGAGGAAACAGCTTCTTCTCTCTGGGAGCTAAGGAGTTAACTCCCTTCCTCTCTCCTCCATCCTAGCCACTGGTAGAGGGGTTCCTACTTCCCCTGCTGCTGGTTTTCCCCCCCTCGGCCCTCATGCCCTGGGAGGGGAGGGGCTAGGGCCCCTGGGGAGGCTTGGCCCAGCCAGCTGAGGTCTCTTTCCTCCCCTGGGCAGGCATCCCCAGCAGGTTCAGTGAGCAAATGACCCCTCCTTGACCTCAAGCCCTGACCACGCACCTTCCAAGGAGGGAGGGCAACCCACGGGTCCACACCGGCTCCTTAATCCCCTGGCTGTGCTGCACCGGTGCACACACCCACCTCTCAACTCCCATGAACACGAGTCAGCGTAAACACTCGTCCCCCGGGCTGGGGCTAAGCCACTCGCCCCTCCTCGGGCGCCTGCCCCCACCGCGATGTACATGCATGACCCTCTCTTCCAGATGTGTGGATGACACCCTCATCTCCTTCCCAATGCAGAGTGTGTGTGTGGGTGGGTGGGTGGGGGTGCTGTGGGACGCTGGGGAAGAGGGCGCACCCCGGGAAGGTCATGACTTTCCGACGCTGGGGGAGGGGGCGCCAGCCTGATTTTGGAGTGGGGGCCGGCCCACGCCGAAGGCACCTAATGCGGTGGGGGAGGGGAGGAGGCGTTTCTCAGGGATCGGGAACCTGCAATGGCCTGGACGTCCCCCACCCCTGGATGGCTCTCGGTGCCGCGGAGCGGGCCCCCATCTCCGTGTCCCCGCCCCCCGCCCAACCCGAGGCGGCGATCCCGGCCCCCACAGTCGCTCCCCCTTACCTGCGGCCACAGGTGTACGTGCGGGGTCCCCAGCCCCAGGTCCTGCGTCCGGCTGGGGAGGGAGGGCCCCTACTCCCACCCGCCCGGGCTCTTCTCTCCCCCGGCCGCCTCCGCAGCCGCGGCCGCCGCCGCCGGTGCCCTTTGCTGCAATGCGAGAGCCGCCGCGGCCGCCGCCGTGCCGGCCCGGGCCCCAGTCGCCCCGGTAACCGCGACTCCACCTGGCGCGGCGCTGCGCGCCGCCGTGCACATCCCCTCTCGCGGCCCCCTCCCTCGGCGCGGCCCCGCCGGCGCAGCCCCGCAGAGGAGCGGCGGAGGCTGGTGGCTGCGTCGCCGCGGTCACCCGATACGCCGGCCTGGCGCCCGGGACTCGGGTTGCAGCAGGAGGGAGGGAGGTTAGACAGCCTGGTGGAAGCCGGGGGAGGGGCTTTGGCTTGGAGTCCAACCTCTGGTGCCCTCCCAGGATCCTCTTCACTGCCCCCATCCCTAAAGGTCCCGCCTGGTGGAGGATCAGGGAGGGGACAGTGTTCTGCCTCCTGCTCAAACTTCAGAGCCCACAGCCTCTCCCCACCGGGGTCTTTGCTGTGCACCTTTGGCCTTTAACTCTCCCGTGACTTAATCCTTAGCCAAGTCTGGGAGGCCTAGGATGCCTAAGTTTCCTAGATGGCCTCTCATCCTGCCCTGCTGTGTGGTTCTGGCCTTTCCAAAGTCTCTGGTCCTGCACTTAACAAAAGGGAACCTCAGACTCAGCCTTAGGGGCAGGGAGTGTGATAAGTATCAAGTGATGAAAAGATCCTATGCACAGACACTTTCCTGGTTAATTACAGAGCCCCAGGAGGAAGGTCTGCTCAAGCGCTCCCCTTTCCTCCATCAGAGCAGATCCCAGATGTGGACAGGCCAAAATCCCCAGCTCCCCCAAGCCCCTGACTTGGGACAACTGAGCTCACCCAGTCCAGCCTCACTCCTGTCCATCATCCAACCCCTATCACAGCCCCAAGATGCTCCATCTGGGGAGGACCTCTGGGCAGACAAGGCACCACAACCCTACCCATGCATATCACATCGTCCTCTGTCCTATCACCATCCCTGTCCTAGCCCCACTTTGGTCTCCGCCATGCACTTGGCCATTCAGGACAAGTCTGTCCCACTTGCCATCCAGCCTTGGGGGCAGACACATTCCTGTTCCCCAAAGTTCAGCCAAGATGGGGCTTGGGAACTGGGAAAGAAATTGGGCTGAATGCCCTGTGAGTGATGACAAGCATGCCAATCTGTTACTAGACTTGAGTTACACTCGGCTAAAACATCCTCCCTCTGAAGGCCTGTCATTTCCTAGGTGGTCACAATTTTCTTTCTCTTAATTCTCCTTGAAAAAGCCAAGACTTTTTGTCCTCTGGGGGAAGCAGGGTGTGTAAGGACCTGAGCACCCTGTTCCCACTGGATTCCCTGCCACTACCCCTCCTCCGCCTCCTACAGCTGAATATCCTCAAGTCAAGACCTCCCCTGGGCTGTCCCCTTCCCATTGCAACTCTGATGCCTATTTTGGGCCTCAGATGCCTATTTTTCTCCCATAGCAATGTCCAGGCCTAGCTGGGAGCCCAGGCCCCTGGTATCCTGCCTACATGTGTCCCTGTCTAAGCTAAGATCTATCTTCCCATAACGGACACTGAAGCCTGATGAGGAAGAGGGGAATAAGTTCAGAATAGATGGCTTGATGCCCAAGTCTTCTTAAAAATTAGAGACTAAGCCATGAACTTAGCAAGAGGGGTGAGAGAGAGACTTCATGCAGAACTTCCTGATGGTGGGACATCTGGGGAAGGCTGGATCTGCTCAGAAACGGAAGGGGAGGGTGTGGAGAGGGGAATAAGATAGTCCTCAGTGGGAGGAGGGCATAAAACCCACAGAGCAAGGTCAGGGGACTTCTGTTTAAAGGAGAAAGGGATACAAAAACTTTTTTAAAAATCCTGAGTATCTTCCCTCAAAAAATTCCTTCTCCAAAGTCAACCAGGCCTGAGGAGGTAGTGGCAGGGAATTAGACATCGGGCAGATGTGAGTACGGGACACAGAAGTCTCCTGAAAATAGGGGCTCCTACACCAAAGAGAAAAGGTTGCAAAATAAAAGTCCTGAACATCCCCCCTCCAAAAAAAAAAAATCCTCCCCAAAGCCAAACTCCACCATGGGCTTGGGGGGTGGGGTGGAGGTGGGTGACTCACCTGGGCCGGCTGGCCAGCCCCGGAGGGGGCGGAGTCGCCATGGAGGTGGGAGCAGAGGGAGCTGAGGAGGCATACGGGGTCCACGGTCCAGCCGCCAACCTGTGTGTGCGAAGCGGGGGACACCCCATTAGGGGAAGCGGGCAGGAGCCGCTGGGGTACTGTGATTGGGAGGGAAGGGCATTCCTGGGGCAAGCCTTGGCACAGAGCTCATACTGCAGAGGGGTCTAGCGATGCTGGCAAGTCCCTTATTTAGGCTGGGTATCTCTCTAACTAGAGCCCTGCTCTGTTTCTGGATGTCTGCTTTTCTGTTAGACCTGGGGGTTCCCTGAGCCCAGGGCAGGGCCTTCCCTATCAGACATTTCTGAAATTCTCATCTCCACTTTATTTTTTTTGAGACAGGTTCTCACTCTGTCTCCCAGGCTGGAGTGCAGTGGCACGATCATGGCTCACTGCAGCCTTAACCTCCTGGGCTCAAGTGATCCACCCACCTCAGCCTCCTGAGTAGCAAGGACTACAGGGGCAAACCACCATGCCCAGCTAATTAAAAACAAAAATTATTTTTAAGAGACAGCCATGTTGCTTAGGCTGGTCTCAAACTCCTGGGCTCAAGGAATCCACCTGCTTCAACCTTCCAAAGTGCTGGAATTACAGGCGTGAGCCACTGCGCCCGGCCTCATATCCAATTCTTGGCTGTCCCTCTGCACACTGGCAAGGAAGCTGCTCCTTACCATCTCCCCTTCCCCAGCTCTCATCCCCTCCTCACTAAAGGTGTCACACCTACCTCACAGAAATAGGAACCGCTGGGCAGGAGAAGCCTCCCCCCAGTTGTCTCTGTCCCACAGCATACCTTTCTTTCCTGTATCTCAGTGGAAGTGACTCCACCCCCTTCGTTCCCCAAGGCCACCCCACACCTAAGACCATCCTTCCAGATTCCTCTAGGACCTGTTTCCCGTGGCCTTCTTTCCCCTTGGCATCCTCAGATTCATTCCTCCCTCATTCTCTCATTCATTCCACAAACACTGCCTGAGCTGGCACCGTGCTTAAGCACCGAACATTCCATGGCAAGTGAACGGGCCATAGATCCTGCCCACTTACACTCTAAGTGGGGAAACGAATGAGTGAAAGAAGAAAGGAACAAATTTGTGGGTGGCTGGGCTTTGATTCATTTCCTAAGTATTTACTGAGTTCCAAACTCTGTGCTGGTGAACATGCTAGAACATAGGAGGCCCTTAGACATGCCTATGCCTTCTCTCCCAGGCCTGCTACCCCTGGAAGCTCCACCCAGCTGTTTTCATCCTTTTCCTGGCCCAATCTCCCCAAAATAAGTCTGTGGCTGGGGCTCCTGATCCTTCACCAATCCCAAACTCCCTAACCCATGAAATTGGCCATTACTTTACCACACCACGAGACACAAGCTCTCAATACCCTCTGCGCCCACAAATCCCGGCCAGTCGCGATGTCTGTTTCTCTCTCCCCATCCTTTGGACTTCTGAAGCTCTGGTCACCCTCCTGCTGGCCCCTTGTCCAGGGGCCTTTTTTCCCCTGGGACTTCCTCATGGATGTAGAACATTCCTGGTCCCCTTTCCCCAAACATCATGGGCTTTCTCCCTTCTTAGACCCCACTGTGCCCTGATGGCCACTCCGCATCCCAGGTCCACTTTGTATCTGCTGTGACCGTGCTCAACTCTTCTCCTGAAGCTGCAGCCTCTCTGGAGTCCTGAGTGGTGCATATGGTGCCTTAAGAGCATCCCCAAGAATGCCCTACCCACTGCTCAAACCCGTCTCTGTATATTCCTCTCCCTCACCCCCAAACATTTCCCTCCAACCCTCCTATTTCTCTCCAAGGCACCAACATCTCCCTGTCGCCCAGGTGTTTCTGTCATTGCCTTCTAGGTCCAGGCAGCTTAGCCTTAGACCTACACTTGGTCTTCTTCCAACCCCCATCCATCCATCCTTTCCCCTTCATCATCCCTGATACACTCTTCCTCTTCTCCTTCCCCTGCCTCCAGTCCCGCTTCTCCCCTCCTATTCACCATCCAAAAGCAAACACAGCCACCTTAGCCACCACCATCTGCCCCACTTTTTCAGTCAGCTCCCACACATCCCACTACCTCCCACCTGAGCCTTCTCGCCGGCCAGGTGGACCTCTGTGCCAGTTCCCAAACCAACTCAGGCCTATGCCCATGCCATACACCCCCACCACTCCTAAAACAACATTCTTTCCTTTAGGGCTATGCAAACCCTTTTCATCTTTCTAAGCCTGATTTAGATACCTCCTCCTGCAGGAAGCCTTCCCCGATCAGGCCTGCCTATGATCTTCCCTCCTCTAAACCCCGTCCCAACTGACTGTTCCCCTCCCCAGCTAGATGACAAATGCCCCTGCCCTTCTCCTCAAGCCAGTGCACACAGGAGGAACCCAATGAGAGGGGCTCCTTGAGGGTGACGGCAACATCTTCTTCAACTCTCTCTAATCCTGATCTGCATCCTGCTCCCAGAAGGACTTCAGAGCTGGGAAAAGGCAAAAGCCAGACGGAACTGGAGGTGGCACTAGAGGGCAGATAAGGTAGCAGAAATGTGCCAATGTGTCTTGTTCCCTGCAGTGAGGATGGGAGTGGGGACACTCCTCCCCATCCCCAGCTACATCCAGTAGAACCCGGAAAAGGGAGACAGGGACTGACACACCCCCAGGCTTGACTGAAAGGCTGCTGATGGGATGTGCATCCCTCCCCTCAGTCCCTTCACCCAGGGGTACAATGGCTGAGTCTCAGAAGCCAATATGCAGCAACCATGCAAGCGCCTCACCAATGCAGAACTGTACACAGGATGCTAGACCCAGAAAGCATGTTCTTACAGACAAGAAGCTCATACTTGGGTGGAGAGATGCATTCAGGACCCCGAGGTTCTGGGGGAGGTTTAAAAAGGAACCATCCCACTCGCTATAGAAGGAGACGGGTCCTGGTCTAGACACAGGCGCTGTGTCTCCTCTCTAAGCCCTACTGATGGCAGGAGAGATACCCAGGTACAGAGAGAGGAGGCCTCCAGCTCCAAGTCACCCAGCACGCCACGGGGTGGAACAGGGAGGAAAGAGGTCAAAGGCTCCCGTTCTGGGCTCCATTCTTGCAGGCTGCAGGAACTGGGGACACATCGGACCCAGCCTACTGAGGCTCTCAAGGCCCGACTCTCTCTTAGAGTCCATATCACAGAGGTGCCGACGACCCCAGCATCTCAACTTCACCACAGGATGGACTCTCAGGCACAGAACAACAGTCCCCAAGGCTGTCCTCCTCTCCTTTCCTCCC
Source organism: Homo sapiens (assembly GCF_000001405.40). Taxonomy (NCBI): domain Eukaryota; kingdom Metazoa; phylum Chordata; class Mammalia; order Primates; family Hominidae; genus Homo; species Homo sapiens. The sequence goes on from NC_000017.11 coordinate 38,578,175, forward strand.
AGAAGAGTTCTGCCCAAACAGCCTGAGTTAAAGAGGCTGGGCTCTCTCTGCCCCGTCACACGCTCTCGATTTCCGGACTGCAGGCAGAGGTCTGGGGGCCAAGCCCCCACCCCCTTCCTCCCCAGGCTCCAGAAAAGGCCAACCAGAGCCACTGCCCTGGAGGGACAACTCCCCAACTCCTCCCCTTCTTCCCTCTCTGCTCCAGATGCCTCCCAGAGTTGGAATGAGCCTGGGGACACGGAGCACGGGGTCAGACCTCCTCCCCTGCCCGCTGGCCGCGGCCGCAGCCGCAGCCGCAGCCGGGAGCCCACTCACCTGCTCTCGCATCCTGTCCTGCTGGCCTCGCAGGGCCAGGGCGTGCTGTGGGTACTTGCTCTTCAGGTGGTCCATGAAGGCATCACGCTTGCGGTCGGCGTCCGCCTTCTGGAGCCCGCTGAGCGCCTCCAGACTCTGGGCCGCGATCACCGTGTGCCGCCGCTCGGACGTGTGCACCAGCCCCACGTTGGAGAAGCGCCGGCCCCCGCTGCCCCCGCCGCCCCCGCCCCCCAGGGTCCGGTACTCCCGCGGGTACTCCGCATCGTCCGCAGACAGCATGGGGGGGCTGCTCCGCTCCGGATCTGCGAGAGGTGAGAGGGGCACGGCTGGGTCACGGCGCGCCCGGCCTGGGGCTGCCCATCCCCCAAGGGGGTCCCTGCGGGAAGGGGCGGGGCCTGGGCCTAAGGAGAGTGGAGAGGCGCCCGGGGAGAGGCAGGGGCTGCCCAGCACCCCACTAGGGACTGAAGGGGGAAGTGCGTGGATGGCGTGGAAAGCGCGCCTACGGCCCCTAGGGAGGGGTGAGGAACAAGGGCTGGATACTCCCTGTTCCTCCGTGGGTTTGGAGCGATAATGACCGCGGGGGTGCAGCCCTTTGAGGCCAAGGGTTGGGGGTTTGGATGAAAGGGGTAGAAGGTATCCTGAGACCCTCTCCAGCCACACAACCCCCTCCCCTCCTAAAGCTGGTGCCAGCAGGTGAGGGAAGGAGGGGTGCTTTTTAGATGCTCCCTAAAAGACGTGAAAATGAGCTCGTAGTCTTCCTTTGAGGTTGGGGGCGGGGAGCCCTGCCTCCTCCCTCAGACTAGCATATGTCCAGGACATACTTATCCTCAAGGCTGGGCGCCGGCTGGGAAAAGGGCCAGGGCAGGAAGACATGGGGAGAATGAGGGCAAAAATCGCTCTCAGGTTTCCCATGGAGATGGAAGCCCAGCGTCTGGGGCAGTGGGACCCCTTTTCCCTTCCCTCCCCAGAGACAGACAGATAGACAGACAGGAGAGGCTGGGCACAGAGAGGACAGTGAGAGATGGATTTGGAACAAACTTAAAGGGAAAGAAAGCAGACAGAACAGCTGAAGTCCTTCCCAGGGGCTTTCCCCCCACCTCTCCCCTCCCTTCTTCAGTCTCTCCTCCCGACACACACACAAGATCAAGACCCATAAGAGACGTACAGGGGACAAAGGACAGCACAGAAGCAAAAGAAAGAGAAGGCCGGGGGTTGAGGTCCCACGCGGAACTCTGAATCCCCTTCCCAAATGCTCTCCAGCCCTGAGCTCCTGGCCTCCCCAGGCCCAGCCCTGCTGGCCCGCACTCTCCAGCTTCAGTGACCAGTGGCCAGGGGTTCCAGAGGTCACGCATGCCCCTGGGGGTGGAAGAAGTTGCTGGGGGCCTACCTCAGCCATATTCCTGGGCATAAAACATAGATTTGTGCCCCTCAGAAGTCAGTCCATAGGGAGACAAGCACAGCCTCTCCTGCACACCCCAGCCCCACAATCCACCAGCCCCAAAGCAGCCCTCCAAGTGTGGCCTAGGACTGGGGCATCAGGCGCTGCAGCAGACACATGCACTCCCGCCCCCGTGTGGCCTGACTCATAGGGCTCCTCCAAGGGCAGCCCAGGGCAACAGGGGACGCGGCTGGAAACGCTGGAAACCAGCCAGGTTTGCTACAAGCCTCCTCCCGCCAAGCATCCACTGTCAGGAGGTCTATGGACAGCTGCCAGGTCTGCCATCCCCTGCCCAGCCACAGAGGAAAGAGGAGATTCAGCCAGGTTTCAAGAAAAGCCACCTGCCCCCAACACACACACACACACACATACACACATACACACCCCTCCCTGGGCAATGGTTGGGTTGTGTCCATTAGGGGCACAGAGCCTGCGAGGACCCAGCACCTCCCACCGAACCAAGGGAAGAAGGGCTCCCATGGGCATGAGAGCCGCAGCTCACCAGGGCCTGACCACCTGCCTCATGGCTGCATGCTTCCTTCCCTACACCCCATCAGGTGGGTGTTATCATGGTCCCCATTTCAGAAATGGCTACTGAGACTCAGAGAAGTCCACTGACAAGCCTAAAGCAACACTGAATGGAAGAGGCCTGATTTGATCTCAATATTTATTACGTTTGTGCCACCACACTCTCCACGATGACTGTTTCTTGAGTGAACATTGACAGCACCACATGGCATGTGTGGACTTCCTCACTGACCTGCTGCTATCCCCAACCATGGCCCTGGGTCTTGGGTGGTCCCTCTCACCATGGTCACCATCCTCTGTTGTGCTCCCCAAAATAAGGTCCAAATACATGAGAGATGACTTTGGGAAGAACATTATTTTATGTCTTCTCTTCCTTCCTCTTTTTTTCTTTTTCTGGGGGGACAGGGTCTTGCTCTGGCACTCAGCTTGGAGTATAATGGTGTGATCATAGCTCACTGCAGCCTCAAGCTCCTGGGCTCAAGAGTTCCTCCCACTTCAGCCTCCCAAGTAGCTGGAATTACAGGTGCCTGCCACCACACCCAGTGAATTTCTTCCTTTTTTTAGAGATGGGGTCTTGCTATGTTGCCCAGGCTGGTCTCAACCTCCTAGGCTCAAGTGATTCTCCCACTTTGGCCTCCCAAAGTGCTGAGATTAAAAGTGTGAGCCGCGGACCAGGCACGATGACTCATACCTGTAATCCCAGCACTTTGGGAGGCCGAGGCAGGTGGATCACGAGGTCAGGAGTTCGAGACCAGCCTGACCAACATAGTGAAACCCCATCTCTACTAAAAATACAAAAAATTAGCCGGGAGTGATAGTGGGCACCTGTAATCTCAGCTCCTTGGGAGGCTGAGGCAGGAGAAATGCTTGAACCCGGGAGGCAGAGGTTGCAGTGAACGGAGATTACGCCACTGCACTCCAGCCTGGGAGACAGTGTGAAACTCTGTCTCAAAAAAAAAAAAAGAAAAAAGAAAAAAGAAAAAAAAAAGTGTGAGCCACCACACCCAGGTCTTTTTTTTTTTTTTTAAATACCTTTATTTTCATAAGGATTAGAAAAAGCCCCAATTAGAAGGTCAAACCAGTGATTTCATGGATATAGTTCCTTGGGATGGTAGTGAAATAAAGTTTCCTTTTAAGTAAATTTAAAGTTCAAAGTGAGCTAACAAAAACGTATATTGCATTAGTACAGTACAAAAGGTTTCCTGATATGATGGTAATTCGTGAAATAGACCCTGACTGAGTGAGACTGGGAACACTGGGGCCATCTTCCTGAGGGCCCAGTCCCTGTCTTTGAGGTACTTGTGGCAACCCACAGTGGCCAGAAGTGTGGCTAAAGGAGAGTGGCCTGAATAATGCCTCCATGAGAAGGCTGGGGGTTCCCTGGGCGCTGGAGAAATAGCTCCAACCAAAGTCAGAGGGTTGCCTCCCATAACCCCTGACCTTCCTCCTCCTCCACTCACCCTCACCACCAGCCAGAGGTCTGCAGCCCATTGGGTACAAGTGAGAAGGAGGGGACCCTCTGAGGCCAAGAGCCTTTCCTTTGCCCAGGCCTTGTGGATTCTGCCGTGGCCTTGCTGCTGGAATCCAGCTCCACAGTTCAGGCCTAGTCCTGCCTGAGCCAGAAGGACCCCTGCCCCTTATGCCAGAGATCCAGGCTCCTCTGCCCTCCTAGGGCTCAGGACAACATTGGGACAGGTCTCCAATTATCATCTCCCAGCTGCTTCCTTCCTGGAGCCAAAAGAGCTCCTCATCCCCTCTCTTACCCCCTCCTCATGCCAGCACCTCCTTCCCTACCTCCTGGGGGATCTCAGTGTGTCTGGGGTGGAGCAAACAGTGTACCAGCCTGAGATGAGTGGTGACTGTGGAGTGGGAGGGTCCCCAGGTCACCCAGTTCTCCCAGGCAGATTATGGCAGGGAGAGGTCCCAGCTCCCAGCTGCTGGAGCAGGCAGAGGGTAGGGCATGGAGCTCACAACTGCACTATATGACTGCAGTCCCACAAATCTCACAGTTGGCAGTGGGGAGGGGCTGCTGAGCAGCCTGCACAGACAGGGAAGCAGGGACTACCCCTCACTGCCTCCTCCAGGCCGTCGCTCAGCCCTCAGGTGCTCTGGCATTGGGGCTATTGGGGTGAGGCGGGCAGGAGCTAGATACTAAGGGGTGGCAGAGAGAGGGGAGGGGGCAGGAGAGATGATCTGCTCTCTCTGAGGGGCGGTGGCAAGGAGGAGCTTTGATGTGAAAAGCTTTAGAATCTGTTTAAGAACCTTTGAGATCCTTGGCTTTTATATAACAAAAAAGTAAGCTGAGGCTCGGGGAGAAGGGAACGCCTGGGTAGCCTAGCTGTCCTGGCTTCCTACTTTGTACAGATTTAACTTCTTTCTGCAGGGCCCCAGCTGAGCTGGGAGGATGAACCTGGGCTTCTGGTTGAGGGTGGGGGAGCATCCTGTCCTTAGGAGAGGGAAGCCAGTGACCAGCCTCCTGGGGGGGCTCTGAAGATTCAGGCATGATTTTAACTCCTTCAGCAGGCCAGGCACTTGAAATCAGAACACTGGGAGAGAAAAACCCAGGCCAGAGACACCCTGGGTGTCTTAGCAACTTTTCTGAGACCCCAGGCTAGCCATTTATTTATTTTTTGAGACAAGGTCTCACTCTGTTGCCCAGGCTGGAGTGCAGTGGCGCGATTATGGCTCAGTGCAGCCTCAACCTGGGCTCAAGCTAGCCTCCAGCCTCAGTCTCTTGAGTAGCTGGGACCACAGGCACGTGCCACCATGCCCAGCTTATTTTGGTGGTCTGTTTTGTTTTGTAGAGATGGGGTTTTGCCATGTGGCCCAGGCTGGTCTCCACCTCCTGAGCTCAAGCGATCCACCCACCTCAGCCTCCCAAAGTGCTAGGATTACAGGCATGAGCCACCACACACACCCAGCCTCATTAATTTACTTACTCATTCAGTCAACAAATATCTTCCCTCTCTGAGCCTAAGAACCTAATTTGTAAAATGGGGATGTTAACGTCTAAACTCTGCCTTTGGGCACTAAGTGAGAGGCTGGCAAGACAATGGTAGAGAAAGTAGGTTGTTTTCTTTTTTTCATTTTCTGTTTTTTTTTTTTTTTTTTTTTTGAGACAGAGTTTCACTCTATGGCCCAGGCTGGAGTGCAATGGTGCGATCTCGGCTCACTGCAACCTCTGCCACCCGGGCTCAAGCAATTCTCCTGCTTCAGCCTTCTGAGTAGCTGGGATTACAGGAGCCCACAACCATGCCCAGCTAATTTTTGTATTTTTAGTAGAGACGGAGTTTCACCATGTTGGCCAGGCTGGTCTCCAACGCCTGACCTCAGGTGATCCGCCCGCCTCGGCCTCCCAAAGTGCTGGGATTACAGGCGTGAGCCACCGCGCCAGGCCAAAGTAGGTTGCTTTCAATGAAAGACATTCCTGAGCAGCGATGGGCTTGTAGCAGCCTGACCTCCCTGTTACCCCTACGCCTGTTCCAGCCATCAGCAAGTCCTCGGAGTGGCCCTGACCCCCCTCGGACCTGAGCAGCCCAGGGAAAAGACACAGGGATCGATTCCAATCTAGCAAGCGGATCCAGGCACCTGCCAGCCCTGCACAGATCAATGCGTCCTGTTCCAGGCAGGGAGGGCATGAGAGACCCGGGCTGGGGTCTTAAGCATGGCTGGGTTCTGCTGGGAGAGGGATAGGGGCATTGCGATAGAGAGAGACGGAGGCAGGGAACTCTGGGGGAAGGGAAGCAAAGCTAGGATACCCTGGTGGAGGGGCGTTGGGCCTGAAGGTTCCCCCCAACCCAGGGATGGGGTTGGGGAAACCAGAGACATAAGGGAGGGGGCTCAGGGCTTCTCTTTTCTCCAAGGAACCTCAGTGTGCAAGGCTGACTATATTTTTTGAGTCCGAGATTCAAGCCACAGGGAAGATGCCAAGAACTGGCGAAATCCAGAATCCGAATGAGGGGAAGGGCAGGGTGAGGAAGGCGGGTTCTGCCACCCTCAGCTCAGCCTGCCCCGCCTGGGAAACGCGGAAGGTGAAAGTGGCCTGAGGCTGGGGTGGCCGGGAAGTGGCGGGCGCCCCCCAGTGGCCGGCTAGGAGGACGGCACAGGTGCTTGGGAAGAGTGACGTTGTCATTTGTCCGAACAATTCCAAATTCTACGTTTATTTATCAGCCTCATTTATTTTTATCCTCCACCACATTCTTTTACATGAGATCACTGTAACTGATTATGAGAATTAAGATCCCAACATCTTAGTGACACCATCTCATAAGCCACCAAGCCGGTCCCCAACTGGCATCTTTACCCCGGATGTAACCCTCTACTCTGTCCTCTGGCTGCCCCTGGGCAACATTCACACATGATGTCATCTGCAAAGGAGGAGAACGGGGAGAGGAGAGGAGAGGGAGGGAGAAGGAAGGAGAGAGGCAAATGGACAAAGTAGAGGAAGAACGAAGCCACCAGCTCAGGAAAGGGAGAAGAGAACTCTCTGGGGCCCCTGATGTGAGTCCTCCCCAGCCCCAAACTCAAGATCTGGAAATCAGGTCCCTGTAACCCTCTCTGTGGAGATAAGGAGGCTGGACAAAACCCCTCCCTTGGGGACCTGAGAGGCTGTCACATGTGTGCCCCGACCCACTGCCTGGGCAGGGGTAGGAGCTGGGTTATAGCCCTGGCAGGAAGCGAGGGCAGGAGGCACTCAGGGTGAAGACACCAACTCACAAGCCCACAGGACATGGGGCTAGGCAGGGCAGCAGGAGAGGAGCATGGAGACAGCTGGAAGGGTGGAGGACCTGCCTGCCTTAGGCCACACCCACACACACACACAAACACACAGCATGAGGCTCCCCCAGTCCCTCCTCTGCAGCCAATGCTACAGGAGCCCAAGTCAGCCAGGAGGAGCCCCGAGGCACTGCCACCTTCGATTGTGCATGATGACTCCATCCTGCTGGGTGCCTGCTGCAGTCGGGAAGCACACGGTGTGCTTGGAGGTTGGAGGCCAGAGGACAAAGGTCAACCGGGACCAGATATGTATCAAACTAGGCAGAGGCTCTGGGAACCCGAATTAGGAGAGGGGATCCTTTGCTTCCCCTGCTAGTGAAGGAATCGGCCTCCCTGTCCCTGGGTGCCCCTGGCTCTGCCTTCCTTGTGTGCCCATACTCCTCAGTTTCTGCTGGCTGGCTGTGGGTCCTTGGATCAGAAGCCCATCTGTGTCTGTTTTCTAAAACCATCTTTTCCGCCCCATACCACAGCAACCAAAGTCATTTTCCGGGCAATTGCCTTTCTGTAAACATTCCTGTGTAATATCCCCCCAAATTGCTAATACCCAGCGCCCTGTTGAGTCTCCCTGTCACTCCAACTAAAGCCTCGGAGATGAGGGCGTGTGATGGGGGAAGGGCGATGGGGGGAAGGAGGCAGCTGGACTGAGGATTGGAGACAGGGGGCTCCTGCCTAGCTCCTGGCACAGAGCGGGGGCCAGAAACTCTGCACCTCCCCACGGTGATCCCCACTCCCTGCCAGCCCAGCCCCACCCCCTGAATGTCAGGCTCCACTTCAGGAGAGTCTGCCTGGACTAGGAGGGAAGACAGAGAGGAAGTGGGAAGGGAGCCCACTGGACAGAAGGCCTGAGACAGGGCCTGGGAGGAGAAGGAGCTGAGTTGAAGGCATGGAGGAGATGGCTAGAAAATAAAGACTCCTGGTGACTAGGGCAGGGCACTAGGGACATGGGGCAAGGCCAGGCAAGTTGTCTTCAAGGAATGCCAGCTCCCCTCCCCACCAAGGGTGACAAGGAGGACAGAGAAGAGGGTCGAGGCCAGGGAGGATCGAGGCCATCCCCCCAGCGTGGGCCCTGCCCACTCCCTGGGCACTGTAGTGGATGGGGGCGGGGGGAGATGGACAAGGCAAGAGGTGTCAGGTGGTTCTTGGCAGGTGATACACCTGTTGTCCCCTCCTCCACCTCCCAGCCCTGATCTATAAAGCCACCATGGAGAAGGGTCTGGAGCAGGCTGATTCTCCTCATCATACAGCAAGGGAAACTGAGGCTCAGGGAGGTCGAGTGATCTAATCTGAGTCACCACATGGACTCCCTTCCCCAGGGGTGGGGGTAAGAAGGGGGACTAGGACTGTGGCCTATGACCCTGTGGTCTCTTCCATCCCCCTGCCCAGGGAATACTGCCACCCCCTTCCCAAGCTCCACAGAAGCTGGGCATCCAATGGGATGGGGGATGATGGAGCCCTGGAGGGAGCTGGGAGCAGAGGTGATGCAAAGGGCAGCTAGGGAGGGTGCAGGGCACTGCCAGTCACAGCTTTGTGTAGGCAGAAAAACACAAACCAATTTGTGCAGATTTAAAACCCACTGAAGGCCACTTAGTTGGTAAACGAGTCAGAATCTAATTAAAGGACCTCTTCGAGGCTGGGGGAAGGCACTGACACCTGCCTAGGAGGAGCGGTGAGGCTGGGGGCCTGGGCCCTGGCTGCTACTGGTGGAGCTGCTGGGGCTTTCCATGGGGAGAGCAGATTTGAGGGGGTCAAGCTCCCTGCGGGTGGGCACCCGGGGAGGGGGGCGGGCATCAGATGCTTCCCCAGCCCAGCTCTTCCTCCTCGCCCATCCCAGGCTGACTGTGTCCACTTGCACAGACCTGGGCACTCCCAGGGCAGGACCCTCACCTCCTCCCTCAGACTGGGGCCTCCCTTATGGCAGAAGGGCCATTCCACCCAGAAGGGCAGAATTGGGTGGGGTGAGGAGGCCCACCCACCACATCAGGAGTGGGGTGGGGTCCTGGGGACTCTCAAAGATCCCAGGCTTGGCCTCGGTGCCACCTCCACCAACTGCACTGGCTCTGCATGGCTATTGAGTCCTTGCTTCCTTCTGCTTGCAGCTGTCTCTCCCCCAGGGCCCCAGGCCACACAGCACAGCAGCTCTCAGACTCTGGTGGTGAGGTGGGGCCTCCCCTCAGCTCTCAGCTCTCGGGAAGAGGTGGCCCCCTCCTTACCCGTCCTGTGTCGGGAAACCACAGTGCTCTCTCTCCAGCCAGATGCCTTTCCTAGGCAGGAAACCAACACCCAGAGTACAAGCCTGACCCAATCTGCAGGAGCTGAAGGCAGAGCCCAAAGTGGAACCCAGGGGTCCTGGCCCTCAGGGACAAGGATTTTTCCATTCCACGATGCCACTTCCCAGAAAGCAGCTGCCTGGGGAGCCCCTCTCTAGGCCACGGGCCCCAGGAGGACACAGACTAACAACCTCCTTAGGAAGGATCAGCAGCAAGGCAGAAACACCGCAGCAGCCCGGCCGACAGGGAGAAAAGCTGGGGTCCATGGCCCAGTGATGCCCCCAGCCCAGGGGGATGCTCACCACACAGAAATCAGGGTCCCCGCAGGGCATCCGAACTGCACATTCAGACAAGACTCCCCATCCTTGCAAAATGTGCAAATCAGCCCCGTGCCCAGAATTCCAGATATACAACCCTCTTTCTTCCCCCTGCCCCTCCTCTTTCACACACAGCAGGCAAATCTGTGACATTACCAAAAACCACTGCATCCACTGACTAGTTATGTGACCTTGAGTAGGTCAGGGGATGCTCAGAGCTTCAGTCCTCTCATTTGCTTTAACAAAAAAAAAAAAAAGGAAGAAGAAGAAGAAGCAGAAGCTAATAACAGGCAACAGGCAACAGGCAACAGGCATGCAGACTGCAGAGCCTGGGTGAGCAGAGTCAGTTTCTTCTGATCTACCCCGGAGCCCGATTTCCTTCCACCCACTGTCAGAGTTGTATCAGACCCAGGACTGTGGGGTTGTGATTTTTGGCTTCTAATGAAGATCTGGCTAATTGGCTTCCCTGGGAAGGAAGGGGGCAGAGATATGGAGGGCAGCATGTCACCCCCAGTCTGAAGCTGGAGCTGGAAATGCTGAGAACAGCCCTGGCATGTGCCCACGCGGCACTATGTTAACCAGCTAACTCCTGTGTGGCAGCTCCACTGCTCACGCGCCCAGGGAAGGTGTCCTGTCAGCTCCACATCTCCTTGGAGAGGCAGCCGAGGGGAACACAGGCCGAGCGGGAGGGGAGGAGGGAACACTGGAGGGTGGGAAGGGAGGAAGGCCGGTGCCTGTCCTCAGCTCTGCCATCACTCTGAGGAGGCTGCCAGGGCGTCTTCTCCCCAGGGGGCACTCCAGCCTGAGTGCTGCGCCCCTCTGTGTGTGAAAGGGATCTTTCCTCCCTCCCTGCAGCTGCCTCAGGCTGAAAGCGTGCCCAGGGGGAAGCATATTGTTTCCAGGGGAAGAGACTCCAATCTGTTGGAAGTGAGTGGTGGAAGCCCCACCCACCATCCTGCCTCCCCACAGGGAAGCATTTTCAACACCAAGTACTCATCAACGGGCTCATCAATATTGGGCAGGAGACCCAGCCTTGCCAAGATGCCCTTGATATCCTCCTCAGAGACACCACCTTTCATGGGGACAGGCTCTCCCTAGGAGGCCTTGTCCCAGCCCTATGACCTAGTAGCACTCAGACAGCTCCCTCGGCCGCTAGAACCAGCAGGATTCCTCCGGGTTCCCAGCACACACTCAGTCGCCCAGGCACACACATCTGCTCACTCATGCTTCTACGTCAAACCTGTGCACCTCGGCATGCGCCTGGCTGCCCAGTACTTGCTCACTGACATGGGCCCAGTCACAGCCTGCCTCACCAGCACTCTCCACCTGACCTCAGGTGATCCACCTGCCTCGGCCTCCCAAAGTGCTGGGCTTACAGGCGTGAGCCACCGTGCCCAGCCATGATAACCACTCTTGAACACCCACACGTATTCATGACAGTCTACATGCAGGGGTCTACATACCTGGGCCCACCAGGGTGCCCCACTCTGCCACCTTAGATGCCACGCAGACAGGGAGAATGTCATGCCAGTCCACGCAGCTCATGCAGGGCATCTGGGGCTCGCTAAAGCGCCAGGTGGATGCATCTCCAGCTTGGGGTGAAAGACAGTGGGGACTTGCCCATCCTGAGTCCCTCATGGAGGCGACATCTTCAGCTCCTTTTCCACTTTGCCAGGTTCGGGGCTCCCTTGCTGAGGTGTTTACACAATGTCTTAAAATACAGGAGTCAGCCCAGTAACCTCAAGGCCACCTACTCTGACCAATGCTTAGCCAATGGGGCGATGTTCATGAGTGAGACCCTCCTCTGGGACCTGGTTGCCTCCAGCCCTCATTCCACCTCTGTAGGTGCTCAGCGCCTCCACCAGGGCGAGGGGGCCGGAGAGCCTCTGCCCAGCTTCCAGCTCTGCTGATGGGGAAGGACAGGGCTGCTGGGACCCAAGGCTTAGCTCTCACCTCATGGGTTAATTTCTCTGCCACCCTGCAAGCTAGCTAAGAACAAACAGCCGAATCTGCAGCCCATGATTCTCTCTCCCTAGGGACACCCTGTTAGTATCCCGAGAGACTCTGGAGGATGGGGCGAGGGCAGCCCGGAGTTCACAGTTTGGAAAAGGCAGGAGACTTGGCAAGTCGGCTTGGCCTCTGGGTCAGGCAGTCTTTGGAAGCCAGGGCCTGGTCAGATAGCAGGGGCATCTTGTGGAAGTTCTCTTTGTTGTCTAACCTGAGCTCTCCCATCAGAGCAGCATCTGGGAATGTGGAGCACAGGCTTCAAGGCAAGGAAAAATAAACTGTCTCCCCTTCTGCGAAAGACACAAAGACTCCCACCCTCCCTTCTCCAATCCACACATCCATCTTGAGTGACGAGGGTTAAACCCAGCATCGGGCTTTCTGGAAGCTGTGGGAAATATGGACCAGCCATGAAATGATAACCACTCTTTTTCTTGAGACAGTCCTGCTCTGTCGCCCAGGCTGGAGTGCAGTGGCACAATCTCAGTTCACTGCAAACCCCTCCTCCCGGGTTCAAGCAATTCTCCTGCCTCAGCCTCCCGAGTAGCTGGGACTACAGGCCCGTGCCACCACACCTGGCTAATTTTTGTATTCTTAATAGAGACAAGGTTTTGCTGTGTTGGCCAGGCTGGTCTCAAACTCCTGACCTCAGGTGATCTGCCCGCCTTGGCCTCCCTAAGTGCTGGGATTACAGGCATGAGCCACTGCACCCAGCCATGATAACCACCCTTGAACACCCACACATATTCATGATGATCTCAAAGGGCTCGTGCAGCCATCATTCTCTTCATTCTCACAGTCACCTTGTGAGGTTGCAAACCCCCTATTTTACAGGTGAAGAAACTGAGGCTCAGGAAGGAGTGACTTGTCCAAGGTCAGAGTTGATAAGTGGAAGAGGCTGATCTCAACTGCCGGGGTGCTTAGCCCATTAGCCCATGTCCTTCTTCTTTCCCCTACACTCTGTTGCCCCTGAGGAAGATGCTGATTCTGCCACCAGGTCATCTGTGAGTACTCATCTAAGCCATTAGGCCAGAGCCCCACAGGTCCCCTCTGTCCTTCCTACACCCTAAGAAGAGAACGCTGAAACAACCCTCCTTCCCAGCTAATCTTGGGCGCCATCCACCCAGTCCTCTTGGGGGGGCCTATTCCCCAGGGCTGGAGGAGAGGGAGGAAGCAGAGCCACCCCCAGATCACAGAAACTTAGGCTGGAAGTGGGGGTCCCACAGTCCTGAAAGACCTTCTAGGGGATCCACCTTTCCACAGCCCTACTCGTAGCCTTCTTGTACCTATGCTGGATACGAAGCCCTCCCAGCCCCTGCCACAGGCTGTGCAGAGACAGAACTGCAAATCAGGAGCTCCAGCCAGTCAGGTCTTAGATACTTCCAGGAAAGGAGAACTCATTACATCCAAAGCACCAATCATCTTGTGGGGTTTCTCCTTCCTTAACATGAGCCACAGTCTGTGCCCATGGCCCTCAGGGGAACCTGGGGGAAGGTCATGACCTCTCCCTTTGGAGCAGAGTGGAGGCTCCTGAACCGGAACCTTCTGTCATAAGCCCTCAGGTCCTTCCTGTGTGGCCCAGCCCCCCAGCCATCTGCACCACCCTTTGTTGGGTAATCCCCATGTCACCACCCCTCTTGGCTGCTGGCCTTCAGAACTGCTCTAATGGTCCAGATGAGGTATGAGCAGCACAGGTGACTCCTCTCTGCTTCTGTTACTAAAGTGCCTTCGCTAGTGCCCCTCCTGCCCACACAGCACATGTGCCAGGAAAAACAAATGCTCAGGGCCTAAGAGCGCTGTTCCAGGGCCAGAACATACCTTCCTTGCCTCCTGCTCCTAACGCTCAGGCCTCCCCCAGCCTCAGACCTCAGGGGGCCAGCCTGACTCCTCCTGCCTGGAAGGGGTGAAGTTCCTGGCCCAGTCAGCTGAAACTGCTCCTTCCAGTCACTTCCATTTGCTTTCTGGTGCCTGGCCTTGCTAATGTCACTTAAGGGGTCTGGTCTGAATCTTAGCACCTCCCAGCAACTATGCCCCTCAGAGCCCCAGCTCCAGACACCAAAGGGTGTGCCCAGGAGTCTGAGTGGGCAGCCCGCTCTGCCTGGAATTCTCTGGCTAGTGGCCTGAGGCCCAGGATGCCCCTGTCTGGCAGCCAGTCACTGTGAGAAGTGGAAAACCACAAGCCCACATGATAATATCTGAGGCATATTAACCACACAGTGCTTCCTCCTTGCTAACCTACTTCCTCCTCCCTGCCCTGCTGCCAGAGGGCCCCAGGCTTGGAAGGAGAGGCTCCCCCACCCTCAGCTGCTTCCCTGCAAGTGCCCCGTGTCTGCATCCCATGCTTGCGCAGTGGCTAATTCTGGTGTCTCATCAGACAGTAATTATGGGGGAATCAGCAGTGCCGTCATCTCTGCAGCTCGGCACCTGTCACCACGCCGCCATCCCCAGGCTGCTGGGATGGGATCGGAAGCTGAGGGAGGAGGGCTGTGCTGGGGTGAGGGGCATCTGCACCCTTCCAGCCTCTGCAGCCCTCACTTCCCTGCCCTGCCTCCCCAAGGTGAGCAGTGCACCTCAACCAGGTGGTCACCAGCCACACAAGTGCTCCCTGTTACCCGGGACAGGTACTGAAAGCAGGTGACATGTGTCCCATGTATGCATCCCCATGACCAAACAGAACAGGCAGAAGGACACAGCAAGCCAAGGCTCAAATCTCACCTTGGCCACTTCCCATATGTGTGACCTTGAACAAATCATTTCAGTCCTCCAGGCCTCAGTTTCCCCAATGGCAAAATGGAAAAAATAGTGCCTCCCTTGTGAAGATGGGAAGAAATAAGGTGTGTAAAGTATCTAGCACAGTGCCTGGCACATGTGTCATCATGTAGTCATTCAACAAACAATTCATACACAGCTACTTTAATGTGTTAGGCAATGTGGGGATGCCAAGATGAATGAGATGATTTAGCAAGGATCACACTGTGGCTACACTGAAGCACAGGCTTTTTTTGTTGGGGGGGTTGGGGGGCTGGTGGTGTTTGGTTTTATTTCTTTGAATTTTAATACCTCTAAGGAGCACAGGAAGTGAGGTAAGGAAGGGAGGGCTGCAGAGGCTGCAAGGCACCCCTCTCCTCACCACAGCCCCCACCATTCCCTATCATCCTCATGCATCGCTTCCCTCATTTGCTGTCCCTGAAGGTACTGAGTTTGCTGCCCCCACAAGCAAAAGTAGGCTAGTGGGCTTAGTTATGTCCAGAACTGGTGATTGTTCAAGAAAGGTTACATTAGGAGCCACCAGAGGTTTGACAGTGCTCTGGGAGATCGGAGGGGCGAGCCCAGAGGCGGTTGTTGGGGAAGGGCATTTCAGGGAGGAGCAGGAATGGGAGGTGATGAAGAGGAGCTGAGCCACAGAGGCAAAGGCCCACAGGGAAGAGGCCAGACCCAAGGTGAGCTGCTGGGGCCCCCACCTGGCTGCAGCACGGACTCCTCAGGAGGAACAGGGTTGGGGAGGAAGGTGATGAATCTCAGTGTGAATTCTCCATGGCGCTGGGCCACAGAGGAGCCCTGCTGCCAGAGTGCAGAGAGTGAGGAAAAGGGGCACGAGGGAATGGGGCAAGACCCATACAAAGCTTCAGGTGAAGGCGGAGGGGAAGGGAGGGTGTAGGGCTGAGGCTGCCCTGCTAGAGACTGGGACTCTCTCTCTGACCTCAGGCATGCTACTTAACCCCTCAGGTCTGTCGTCTCTTCCCCCACAAAACAGTCAGCAGCAGTGAGCTCACAGGACAGTTGTGAGGATGAAATGAACTAACACTTGTACAATGCACAACCCAGCATCTGGCTCCCAGGAAGCACCCAATAAATACTGGCCATCAGTGTTTTCATTATTACCAGTGATGATTTTTTTTCTCAAAACTCAGCAATGACTAAATGAGCCCCATCCCCTGAAAGCCCACAGAGGGAGCACAGGTCTCTTCTAACCAAAACCAGAGTCAACAGTGAGGGGCTGACCCCGGTGTCCACTACCATGGTAGCCTCCTCCCGACTCCCACCCCCTACACCCTCACTAGGCATTGCAATACTCCTTCATAGCACTTTTCCAAAACCCATCCACATCTTATTCCACTCTGGCTGGTAAAGCCAGGACGGGGCTGCTTCACCTTTTTACGGAGGCAGAAAGTAAGTCTTGTAAGGTACTGAGCTCCCCATCACTGGGGGTATTCCAGAAAAGGGTGGGTGAAAGAGAAGAACATTCAGGTCTCAGAGGCCCTTGCCCTGGCCCCCTCTGCCTGGTTCACTGCCCCTGAGCCCACCCTGCAGGCTGAGCCTTGGCCCCTCTGCTGTTTGTGCAGGGAAGCGGGGGTAACTCACGCGAGCAAGGAGGGAAAGGGCTCCAATCTCAAGTCTCTCCGCGTTCTCCTGGCTTCTCCCGGCAGCAGCCAAGGATGGGGGAGGGAGGGGAGCAGTGTCGTTGCTCTTTTAGGAAAACGGTAATTTTAATTAAGAGGCAGACAAATGAGCGCTCTGCAGATTGTCTCAGAGCAAAGTTATTAAAAAGCCATCAAGGCGGCGGCAGCCACGGTGGCAAGGAGAGCTGCCTCCCCCAGCTGCCCACCCAGATTGTAGCTGAATAGCAGTTCAGAGAGCTGGAAAAGGGCTGGAGGACGTGGAACCTGAAAATAGCCCCTCTCCTAAGAAGGCAGGGCAGCATCCAGATAGTACCCAGGGTACAGCCTGCCCAACCCTGGGCAGCAGGTGGGGACGCAAAGGGCACCTGCAATTAGGCAGCCCCTGCTGTGGGCCAAGTCTGGGCCCATCACTACTTTTTCTTTACTCTTCTCAACAATGCTGCCTGGGAGGTGTTCTTGTACCACTTTACAGGCACAAACACTGAGGCTCAGAGAGGGAAAGTGGCTCGTCCAGGCTCACACAGCTAGGAAATGGCTGAAGTGGGGGTTTGAACCCAGGGCAGGCTGACTCTCAAGTCCAATGCTCCAGGCTGCTGGTCCTGGGCCCAGATTTTGGGGGGCGGCTTCCCCTGCCCATACACCCTCCTCCAGCCGGGCTGTTTGATGTCCTCTGAAACAGCCTCAGGAGCAGCCTAATGATGTTGCCCTTAGCCATCAAGGTCACTAGGGACTTGGAGGCCAAGTAACTGCTTGCTTGGCAGGGGCACATTATGAGAGGACACTCTACAGGGACATAAAGTTACAAAACAGCTTCCAGCAGGGGGAACAGGGGCAGATAGACAGAGGACAGGCCCCCACAGCCAGGATATCTTCCAACTCTTCAACCTCTACTTGCTCAACACTTAAGCAAAGCATCCAGGAACCTATCTGCCTTGGTTGCTGTTAGACTCTGAGCCTAGCCCAGTGCCTGGCACAGAGAAAGTGTTCAATAAGTCTTTCCCCGCCGCCCCGACCCCGAGATGGAGTCTTGCTCTGTTACCCAGGCTGGAGTGCGGTGGCGCAATCTCGGCTCACTGCAACCTCTGCTTCCCGGGTTCGAGCAATTCTCCTGCCTCAGCTTCCTGAGTAGCTGGGATTACAGACACCCGCCACCACACCCAGCTAATTTTTGTATTTTTAGTAGAGACAGGGTTTCACCACGTTTGCCAGGCTGGTCTCGAACTCCTGACCTCATGATCCGCCTGCCTCGGCCTCCCAAAGTGCTGGGATTACAGGCGTGAGCCACCGCGCCTGGCCTTCAATAAGTCTTTATTGAATAAATGGATGAATAGATAAACAAGCAAACAATTGAATAAATGAAACGAGATCACAAGTTTGCATGTGACTGTAAGCTAAACAAAATGGTCCCATCTTCTCCCATCCCCCACCCTCTGGGCATCACTGGAACATGGGCTTCCCCCCATAAGAGGTGCCCCTTGCTCCTGACCCCTCTCCCCAGGCCACAAGCCCCCTCAGCAGAGGATTCCCGCCTCTTCTCTTCACCCCAGCCCTAGCTTACATGGCGGCTTTGCAGCCTGCACACACATGTACATGCACGCGTGCTTGTACACGCACACTCACTGACATGCACACACGTGCACATACAGACATGTTCTCTACCAGCCAAAGTGCCCCCCCCAGAGTCAGGTATCTGCTGCCCCCTCCCCTGGCAAAGGCTGGGCCCACCAGGGATAGCCCCCTCTCCGTTTCTGGCCCTCCAGGCTGGGGAGGAGCATCTGACTACGGAGAGCTGGAGAGCTGGCAGGAGGAGGAATCGTGGGGGGCCTCCCTCCTCCTGGCTTACTAACCTGGAGACTTTAAACAGAGGGAACAGAGTCCTGGAGGCTTCCCTCCCGCCGCACGCTGGAGCCCTGGGTGAGGGACAGGAAAGGAGGAAAGTCGTGAATGAATGCCCAGAAAGGCCCGGCTGCAGAGGAGCTGGAGAGAGGAGGGGGCCGGGGCAGGGGCTCCCAAAGTGGGCTAGGTCAGGGGCAGGGCCATGGGCCATGGGGTTGGGGGAGGTGAAGCAGGTACAGAGCAAGGCAGAGCCTTAGGAGCTCTCCCTTTGGGGCCCCCCAGGGCAGACAGGATAGAGATTGGGTGTCATAGGAAGAGCAGGGACTGAGGGGGTAGAGACACTGGTGGGAGACAGACAGGGGGACAAACAGCAGGACAACACAGAAAACATGGGGTCCCCAGAACTGGGTTCCCAGGACAGACAGCCAACAAGCCATGCCTGGTTCTCCACCCAGAAACAGGGGCAGACACTTTACTGAGGTGCCCAACCTAGACCCCAAATGATAGCCCGCCTGCCTCCTTCATGCCAGGTTATGCCATTCTGGAAGGTTGATGGGTTCAGGGTCAGAGAGGCTTGCCATCATTCCCCTGGTGACAACCCTCTCCCCAGCCTACGAGACCCCCATCTGCTCCACTCCCCACTAACCCTGAGAATGCCCAGCTTCCCCTGCCTGTGTTAGAGGAGACAGGCATTCCCCACCCAAAAGGCACTCATAGGTTCACACTGTGCTAGGAGCACAGACCTGCCTGAAGTCCTTCACCTAGCTACTGCCTCCACACCCCCAACCCTCAACCTGCCATGGCAGGGTCCCCTACAGCTGTCCACCATGCCCCACCCTTTAGAAAGGTTAGAAGTCCTTTCTAAACCTACTCCACCTCCCTCATGCTGCAATACCTATTAGCCTTTTACCCTGGGGCATGCAGCAGTTAAGACCCTTCCTGCCGGGAGACACTGTGGCCAGCACCCACTCAGGCACAGCCCTCCCTGGGCTGGCTCAGACCCATCCATACCCACAACACGTCTGGCTACAAGCATTCTCAGAGCCCCCTGCCAATCTCATGGTTCCAATTTTCCCACCGATTACCTAAAACATCGACATCCCAGGGAGAAACAGCTGTTGGGACACGGACTGGGAGAAAATATTAAGAATGCTCATTGATGTGTCTAGCCCCAGAGAACTTCCTGGATGAGGCAGTGGGAGGCACAAAAGTGAAGGCTTAGGAGCTCCAGCTTCCTTCTTACCACCAGCCCTAAGTGGCAGCTCCAGGGGCCCAGCCCCAGACAGGCTGAGGTGAGGATCTGGGTTTTCAAAAAATCTAAAGAGGTTTCTTATGTATGCCCTTTTCTCAGTGGAGAGTGGGCCCCATTCAATCATTCAGTCAGACAGAGGAAGAGGAGGAAGATAAAGATATGACTATTTATTGAATGTCTACTATGTGCCAGGAACTCTGCCTAAATTACCTCATATAATCCTACTACCCACTCTGTGAGGAAGCCAGTGTTAATGCTCTTGATCTACAGAGACAGAAACTGAGCTTCAGAAAGGTGAAGCAACTTGCCCCAAACCACACAGCAAATGACTGTCAGGGCTGCGATTGCAGCCCAGAGCTGTCTGACTGTAGACCCTAAGCTCTTGACCCAGGAGCTAAACTGTCTCCTATCCACTCCCACCCCTCTCTCAGTCTTTGGCTATCTTCCTTTTGGTGGCCTCTGGGAAGTTCTGCCTAAAGAAATTATCTCCTATGGGCAATAAGGTAGAAGAGAAGATTTCTCTTCGGCTCTGCCTCGTCCTAAGAGTGGGAGGCAGACTGTTCTAACCCCAGGCTGCCAGTGGACCAGGAGGGGGTGAGCCATCAGGTTAAGGAGAGAGGTGGGTCTAGGTTTTCCTGAGCTTTATCTTTAGGTGACTTCTGCCTCTCTAATAGCCCCTTCCTGCCCCTCCCACTTCCAGGAGAGAGGAAGCTCCAGGAAGCCCCGCACAAGCCCCTTCACGTTTTACCAACCAGAAGTTCCCATAGTGCCCAGGTAGAGGAGAGCCCAGAAGTTCTGGGGTGGACAAAGTGAGAGTCTGCGGCAGTCCCCACAGCCCTTGCCTCTGCACAGAGTCCTAACTTTCCATGGATAAGGGGGCTGGGGACAAGAATGGGGGACTCATCAGGCCAGCCTGGTCACTGGGTGGGGTGGAATAGGCAGCAGACAGCCCAGGAGAGAAGACAGCAAGGCCCATCCCAAGGGCTTCAAGGAACCATGGAAGGCCTTCCCTACGAGCTGGGGTCATTCATTCTTCCCATAAGAAGCAGAGGCTGGTGTCTGGAGTGATGTCTGCTGCGTATGCAATTATCATGCATCCTAGGGGTGAGGGGAGACTGCAGAACACGTCCCCCCCGCAATCTCCCCAGCTCTGCACAAGCAGAAACAGCTAGGCTCTTTCTGTGGGGTCTCTGGGTCTGGGGTCTCTCTATAAGCTGAGTCTGGGGGCCCCTCTATGGGCCCCTGGGTCTGGGGTCTCCAGCATGCTTTGCCAGCTGGAATGGAAAAGAAGCCAGTGCCCTGGAATGCGTGTGTTTGCACAGGTGAGGAAGGCAGGCATGAGAAAACCCAACTCCCTTCCAGTCTTGGGTTACTCCACATCAGGACATGCAGGCAACCGAGGCAGGTGGCCTGGGCTACCAGGAGCCAGGATAAGGCTGTGGGGGAGCTGAGCCACCAGCTTGAAGTGCCTTGTGGGAGAAAACCCGAATTGGATTATAGTCCCCGGATGGAATGGAGTGTGGCAAAGCCAGTTCTGCTGGGGTGGGAGGAAAACAGTGAGTTTAGAATTCAGAGGACAGCTGAATCCTCTAGCCACTCCCTTCTCCATCCCCTGGGCTGGGAGGGCAGATGTAGGCAAGGTGTGCCTTCGGAACAGGAGGGGGCTGTCTGTAAGGCATGAGTGTGTGTGTGTATGTGTGTGTGTACGTACGTGTGTGTGTATTCCAATATTCTCTTGGGCCAAATCCCCATTTTTTTTTTCTTAGCTTAAGCTGGGAAACAGTCTTCCCACCCTCCATGTGGCAAAGCAATATTATCTCAAGGGAGAGGAGGTAGAGAGAGCCTGGGAGCTCTGGAAGGGAGCTTGAAGGTCCTCTAGTCCCACCCTCTTTTCTTATACCAAGGACACTGAAGACCAGAGGGGGCAACTAAATTGCCAAGGTCACACAGCAGTAGGGGAGACAGGCAAGCTGACTCCAGCCCAATGCTTGTTCTTTACAATTTACTTCTTTGCCCTAAGGAGCAGAGGAGCAGCTTCTCTCTTTCTCCTCCTCTTCTCCCTCTCCCGGAGCACTGGATCCCTCCCCAGCAGGGTCCCCTGCACTCTGGCAACCACACCAGCCAAACTCTTCAGGATGCCCAAAGTTCATCTGAAAGGTCACGCTGACCAGTCCCCTGCCGCTAGGTCCAACACTAGTCTACGGGTGCTCACAGACCACCGTCATTGAGGTGAAAGATGCAAAAATACCACTGGAGCCTCCCATCCTGAAGTGGCCACACGCTGGGAGGTTTATCTTCCTATCTAACCTCGATTCCTCCTACTACAGCGTGGGCCTGCTTCCTCTCAAGCTGTCCTATGCAGAGATGGAGGCAGGGGGAGAAAAGCAGGTTTCCAGCCTCCACACCCTTATGTTTGCCCACCCCCAGCAGACAGGATGAGGGCAGGGTGTCCCTGGGTGGCTGGGCCCAAGCCCAGTGCATGCGTGGGGCCCGAAGGGTGGGATGAGGGAACAGCAGCCTGGGTATGGGGGAAACAGCTCTTCTAGGAATCGCCCCTCCAAGTCCTCATCCTCTGCAAAATCCTAACTAAGTCTCAGGCTTAGACTTCTCTAAGGATTATTATCTTCTCTGGGTTCAGAGATGTCTGTCCCCTATCCCCTCATAATTGATTGTTTATTATCCCAACAATAAGTTGATTGTTTAGTATATGTCCGGCACTGTGCGGGATGTTTTCATCTGTTGTTTCATTTAATCTTCACAATTCCAGGATCAGAAACGAATCTGTCCCCTGGGACCATCCTTCCTTAAGACTAAGTCTAACCTTGATCTCTCTTGCTGCATTTCCTCTGGCCCAGTCCTCCTTGGTGGCATTTTTGTTCCTGTCTTCAGAGACTCTTCTCATGACTCAGTGGCCTACATGATCTTTTTCCAGGCTATCAACCTTTACCCAGCCCTGCCCCAGGACGGGGTAGATATGTAGGTAAAAGCGACCAAGGCATGCGAAGAGGCTCTGGGGGAGGTCCCCAAAAGGTCAGGCAGGGCTGTTGGAGGTACGGGCAGGACTAGGGTGGCAGGCTCTCCTCCCTCATAATGTCCATGACCCCTGCAGGGGGCCTGGGCCCCATCTTCTGTGTGGTAGCTAAGAGGGCCCAGAGAGGCAATGAATGACCTAGTCCTTCTCACTGACCATCTCTGAGGCCCAGGTTTCAGCACACACATCCCCAGAGCCCAGGGGAATGGGCAAAAGCAGGCAGGGGCACAAGGGCAGGACTTGCCATGGGTTGAGCCTGGGAGGTGAAGCCGGAGGAGGAGCTCTGACACCTGGCTAAGCTCCCGGCAGAGGGCTAGCAGGCCCTGGAGGGTGCACAGCCTCAAGCCCCTCTGCCGGCTGCAGTATCAGGCCTCCGTGGGGTTCTGCACACCCCATCCTAGCTAGCCACAGGCAACTTTGGTGAATTCACCCACCACTTGGCTTCTCTGTTTTGACCTTTTGGAGCAGAAGTGCTGAGGGCAGGGGTCCCCTCGACTACAGCCATCCCCCCAACCCTGCCCCCAGCATGGCTGGAACACAGGGGCCAGACTCACCTCCCCAGGGAATGCTCAAGCCCAGCTTTCACCCCTCTGGGAAATCGGAGCAGCAAAAGCATGGGCCAATGGGCAAGGGGAGTTGGAATGGTGGGTGGGACTCTGGGCCGGGTGTGGGCGGCACCCTCCCCCTTCAAGCAGGCACCATTAATATATGCAAAGCATATGCAAATCACCCAGAAGAGAGACACAACACCGCTGGAATGTCACAAGAAACCTTGGAGATCAGCCAGCCCACGCCCCCTCATTTCACAGGTGAGGAAAGAGGCCCGCGCTGGGATGGGACTTGCTCAAGGTCACGCAGACATCTGGGCACTGAGGAAGGATAAGAATGAGCTCTCTTGACTTAGTGCAGTGCTTTTTCCACCAGGGTCTTGTCTTTCTGCTGGGGGGTTTATAACATTGCAAAGGGGCCCCAGGGCGTGGATGGGGCTCCAGGCAGGCCCATCAGAGACATGGGTGGGAGATGGAGCTGAGAGGCTTCTTGGATGCCTCCCTTACCGCCTCTGCACCTGGAGATGGTCTGGTGGGTGTGAGGGGCAGTGCAAGGGCAGCATAGCACCTGGGGGGCCGCGCGGTTGGAGGGGCGGGAGGCTGGAGGTAGGCAAAGAGAAATATGAGGGGCAGGGCAGAAGAGCAGGGAACCTGGGGTGTTTGAGGCAGGGGAGGAAGAGCCCAATGTCAGGGCAAGGTGCCTGCTGTGGTGTGGGGAGGGGGATGGCGCCCTCAACACATACACACACACGCACACACACACACACGCTCGCGCGCACACACACACACACACACATCGCTAAGTGCTCTGCAGCCCTTCCTGGACTCTGACAATTATGGCACCTGACAGACCATAATAGTTAACCCAGGCCCATCCCTTCTGAGGCCACTTCCCCGCCCCCAGCTTGGCTTCTCAACCTTCCAGACAGTCCTCGAAAGCAGGGCCAGAGCTGGGGAAAGGAAGGGGAGGCAGACAATGGGAGGGGTGGTCAGAGGGAGGAAGGGGGAGGCAGAAGAAGAGACGAGGACAGGGTTAGAGAGAGAGACAGCAGGAAGGGCAGCGCAGGAGAAATTGACGAACAGGGAGCGGGAGGGGAGGAATGGGAAGACGGAAAGGCACAGAGGAGAGATGGGGGAGGGGCGAAGACTGAGGGCATCCAGGGGAGTGCTCTGGAGCCCAGGTATCGGGTAGAGGAACCCTGACCCCGAGGTTCTAGGCTGCTTGGCAGGAGTTGGGGACCATGCCCCTGCCCCTCTGCCCACCTCCCCCAGAAACTCCCCTGGCTGCCAGGAACTCAGTCCTCCCTCCTTCACTGCCTCCCTCCCTTCCTCCCTCGGGGCAGGCACTGCTTCCCAGCCAAATCCGAAGCCTTCATCTCCGCTACTCAGAGCTTGGAATGAAAGAAGGGGAAGCGAGTACAGCCCTCAAACCCGCTGACGGCCAGATTTTTATTATCTTTGCTCGAATGGGCCCTAGGAAGCCAGTGAGGGATTCTTCAAAGAGCATCTGAGTGCCTCATTGAAGCCTGCACCTGCACCAGCCCACCCACAGCAGGCAGCCAGGACTTGGGGGGCACAACCTGTCCCCCACCCCCCACAAATCCTAGAGTCCAGAGCCTCAGCTACCAGGAGACTCACCCTCAGCAGCTTGTGCCCAAGCAGGGGTCCCTAGGTCAGGAAACCAGGCTTAAAGCTAGACCTAAGTCTGCTGGGCCTCTGAGGCAGTCTGTGTCCCTCTCTGGGCCTCAAGGACATAAATGAAGAAAGAAAACAGATTTCCTTGCCAGGGCTTGGAGGAGATAAATGCTTGAGATTCCTCGAAAGAGCAGCTTTTATGGCAAGCCCTGGATCCTTCCCCTGAACTCCCTGCCTGCCCAGCACCCACAGGCCCCTTTGCAAGAGCACCCCCCACCACAGCTGCCTCTTCATGTGCCCCAGGCCTGCTACCCAGGATGACAGACGCCATGAACTGTTCTTCCTTGAGCCCCAAACTCAGCTCCCTCAGTTCAAATCCTCAACACTGTCTCCCTTCTTTCCCCAAAACCTAACCTGGGGTGGGGGTGGGGGCTCAACAAACTGGGTACTTCAAAGAGCCCAGCCGCCTCCCTCCTAAGCACTTCCAGGGCTGGGGTTTTGGCAGAGAATTCCAAGGTTGGCATAGGCAGATGGCAGCCATGCCACCCCCACCCTCTAGCTCTGACCACACTGTCGATGCCCACAGCCAAAGAAGGAATCAATGGTTCTAATTAAACCCTTTTTCCAGGGTGGGTCCCTGGCGAGAGAGAGGGAAGAGGGAGAGAGACAGGGAAGGGAGGGGGGAGAGGGGGAGAGAGAGAGAAAGAGAGAGAGAGAGCGCGAGAGTGCATCAGAGAGGCCCTGCATCCCAGTGCCCAACCCAGTATCCTGCACATCTTTAAGACGCCTGGAACCCAGCAGGGATGAGGCCACGAAGACCCCAGACCCTCCGCATTAGGCAAGGAGGCAAGTAGAGGGGCAGGGGAAAGCCTGGGGTGGGGGTAGCTCTTTGAGGGGTTCATTCGAGCGACCCTTCCCCTAGTGGAGCATCCCTCTCCACTCAGCACTCCCCGAGGACCACAGTTGCCTCTTCCAGATAGAGCTCCAGGGCACAGACAGTGGGAGCCAGAAGGGGGATTTGTGCCTCCATCCCAGCCTTGAGGGTCATCACAGAGAACCAGCCATCGTGGAAAGGGCAGAAGAAGCAGGAATTGTTGTGGGGGGACTGGACAAAGACCCTCTTGTCCCCAAGGCAGGGTGGCAGGAAGCCAGGGCAAAGCCTTTGCACTTGCTGCCAGTGGTGCCTGGGTGCCAGGCAGTCTGGGTGGGGACAGCGGGGTGGAGGGGGGGTGCATCTTATTCTTGGAAACCCTCCCCTTATGCCCAGAGCCCTCACCCCATCCCTTGCTTCTACCCCAGGCCACCAGCTAAGTCTCTGTCCCCAGCAACTCTCAGCTTGCCTGGAGCACTCCTTCCTGTGTGAATGTTCCTTCCCATGTCCCTGACACCTGTATGGAGTGGCCCATCACCAACCAGAACCAGCAAAACCCCTCAAATGCACCATAGCTGCTCCCCACATACAACCACACCAGAAACCACCACCATCACAGCTGCCACCAGTGGCGACAGCCTCACAATCTCCATCAAATGCATCATCAATTTTTAAAGATCAACAAGAGGGAAAGGGATGGGAATAAGAGAAACTGAGGCAAGGAATTAGACAGCAAAGCAGTTGGCTCAAGGTCACCCAGACCAAGATACCAAGAGTCGGGAAGAAGGTATCCTGACGACCCCCCAAAAGTGCTCAAACCCCACCCAAAGGAACATTCAGGCCCACAAACCTGGAAGTCTGGTCAGCTTCCCTCACTCCCAAGCCTCACCTGTTTCTCCCTTCCCCAAAACAGACAGCAGCTCCTCCATCTCCTTTTGAAAGGCTGCTGCCAGAAACCCCCACCCCCAGCTCGGGGAGCCCACTTTCCTTAAAGTTGGGGTGCTGCAGGACCTCCTTGTCCCACAACATTTGAGGAGGGGGGCTGGGAAGATCCCCCTCCTTGCATACTTCCCCGCGCCTGCTCACCTGGCTCCCCTCGGCCCCCAGGGTCCCTCGGTCCAGCCTCCTCCCTGGGAGAGCGGGCTCTGCCCTCCGCCGTCCTCTCCCACCAGGCCAGGGCAAAGCGCCGGAGGCACTGCCAGGGCTGCATGGGGACGCGTGGGGCTGGGGGACGAGCACCAGCAGCCGCACACGCCCCGCCGGGCCCTGACAGCTGAGCTGCGGAGGCACCCGGCCTGTCCCCTCTGCTTCCACCAGCATCCTGCTGCCCCCACCGACAGGACTCGGAGCTGGCCCGGGAGCTTCTGACGTAGCAGGGGGGTGCGTGGGAGGGGAGGGGGGGCCACGGTGCGTCCCCTTCCCAGCCCCACCCTCCACCCCTCAGCCGCCTGCCTTCCCTATCTTCTCACTCACCCTAGATGCCCTCCCCAGCTGGGGGCGCCCTCCCCTGCCCCCTGGCCTCTGCAGGGGGAGGGGTTAAGATCAAATAGCCCCTCCCTAAACCCCTCCCTCTCGTGGCCCTCCCTACCCGCTGGTAGAGCGGGGAGCTGGTCCCCAGTTTCTGCAACTGCTGCTGAGGCTCAGAGGTCTCCAGGGCTAGGGCCTCGAGGTGCGGGGAGGGGGGGTGTGTGGAATACAGGCTTGTATCCTGGCAACGCGGCCAACCCCAGAACGCACTCATCCCCTTCCCTCCCTGGAGGCTGGCGCAAAGGGCCCACCACCACCATCCTAGCCCGTGCACCCCATTCTGGGAGCTGGGGGAGGGAGGCCTTTGATGCACCCCTCACTTCTCCATCCCCTTCCCCTCCCCTGCATCCTCCACTTCCCCCACCTCGGAGGGACGCCCTTCTCCCCCCACCCTCCTCACCATCCATCCCCCTTCTTCTCCTCACCCCTCCCCCTTCCACACAAGCCCCTTTACAGTTGAACCCCTCTGGCCCCCACCCCGGGGCGTAGTGAGGCCCTCCCCACCCAGTCTCCTGCCTCGCCACCCTGCCCCCTTCTCTGGTCCCAGCACTCCTCTCGCCCGGGTCCTTCTCCCAAGCCCGGCGCACAGCGGTCCCCTGCCCCCACACACCTGCGCCCCAGCATCCCTCGCCCCGCCGGCCACCGCCTCCCCGGCCCGGCCGCCGCCCCCGCCCCCGGCCGAGGGGGAAAACACACAAAGAAAACAGAAATACCTTCCACTTAAGCATGGAGGCACATTAGGGAGGAGAGAGACAGGGACATGCCTTGGGACGGAGCGTTCCCCATCGGGCGGGGGCGCGGGGGGCGGGGGCCCCGGGCCGGCCTGCCTGGCGCTCGCCCTCTCGCCGCCTCGCGGGCTCCTCGCTCGGCCCCAGCCCCGGGGCGCGGTGCCAGGCGGGCGGGCCGGGGGCGCGGGCCCCGCCGGGGTGGACCAGCTGGGAGGGCGCCGGCGGCCGGGCGTGTGGGTGAGCGCGCGCGCGGGCGTGTCACCGAGTGTGCGAGAGCGAGTGTGTGTGTGTTTGAGTGTGTGTCTGCGCGCGCGCGGGCCGGCGCGGGTGTGTCACTGCGGGCGGGCGCGCGCGCGGCGCGGGCGCGCGCGTGTGGCCGGAACTTACAAAGGGCCGCCCGGGGCGGCGGGGGCGGGGGAGGGGAGGGGGCACTGCGCCTTCTCGCGCCCTCCAGCTTCACCGCGTGATCCCGCAGCGCGCGGCCGGGGCCGGGCGCGGGGCGCGCTCACTCTCTCCTTCCCGCGCCACCTGCTTCGTCCCACCCCAAGTAGTCTTCGCGCCACGATAGAGACAAATACATTGACCGAGGACCGGCTCGGAGGAGGCACCCGGGGAAGCGGGGACACTTGGAGGGTGGAGGACTCCTGGGTCTCCAAGCCCGGGCGCGCCTAGGGATGGAAAGGCTCTCGGGGCTGGGTGGGGAGGCGGGGCGGCGAGACTGGGGGCTCCCTTCAGCCAAGGTGACCGCGGAAACCAACAGCCGCCCCATGCTGGGAGCGCCCGGATCCTCCTCTGCTTCTGCCTCGCGACCCCTCACCCCAGCGCGCCTAGACGCGGCTCGGTCGGAGGGTCTGGGCTCCCCGGCGCCCCCTGCTGGGCCGCCGCCTCGCCCCCGCTCCGGGTTGCAGCCCCTCCTGCAGGCGTGCGCGGGAACTGCAGGCAGGTCCGCGCCCCTCCGGCCAGTGAGACCCCACCGTAGGACGCTCCAGCGACGGTCCCTGCTCACGCCTCGCTTGGCGGCGTCACTGCCGCCTCTACTTCAGCCCGCAGAGCACTAGCTCGGCTCCACCCTGCCGTCCCCCGCCCCTCCGCGTCCCACCTTCGTTGGCCTACCTGTTGGCTCCGCAGACTTCTCCAGCGCTGACCCGGACCCAGACCCAGACCCAGGCCCGCGCCGACACCTCGTGATTCCAGCGGCCCCCTCCCTCCCTCGCTCCGATGCTCTGGCCAGTCCCTTCTCTCTCAAGCTTTCTTGCGGAGGAGAAGGTGGGCTGAGTCCCCTGTCCCTTTTATTTACTTCTGGAGTTTCCAAAAGCAGTTTAGGTGAGCAAGAGAGTGGACACAGTACTTCTATTCACTGTGGGCCATCAGGCAGAGTGGCAGGCAGGCAGAGAGCCCAGGAGAGGAGACCCCACCCCAAGTGGCCCAAATGACAAACCGGTTTCCCCACTTCCTGGTCTACCCAGTTGCAACCTTAATCTGGGCTCTCCCAATTTCCTATCCACCCCCAGGCCTGCCCCTGAGCCAACCACATGCCCAGCTAGGGACAAGGTCCCAGATTCCCCTTAGAGATAAATAACCAATTGCAGTAACTCAGATGCCAGGGCCAGGACCAGAGGAGAGGCCCTTCCCAGCTCCAGTGGGACAGATCAGGAGGACAGCCAAGAGCTGTGTCCTGGACACACAGTCTGGGCACACGACCCCAGCGGCAGGCACCCTGACTTCTTCCCTCCTGGGCCAACTGCCTCTCCCTCTGCCAACTGGATGGTGCCCATCTTTTGGCCTCTGAGCGCACAGTGGGCATCCATCCAGTGCCCTGCCTGGCTGCCTGCCCAGGATGGGCATGGGAGGCAGCAGGCTCTGTGTGGGGGAGGCTCAGGGGAGGCAAGGGTAGCTTCCCCTCAGCACACGGACACCACCTCCCAAGCGGCTGGGAGCCCAGAGCTCTGGCACAGGTCGCTCCTCCGTTCAGATTCCTCACCCACTGACTGCACAGGACTCCTGCCCTTCACCTGCCCCCAACTCAGATTCCCCCCAAGGGACAAGATTTCTTCCCTCCCCCACTTTGTGCCTAAGGGGAAGAAAATTAGCAGGTGCTCTACCATAATCTCTAATTTTACCCTTTCGACAGCCTGATGGAAGTGAGCATTTTCAACCCCCTATCAGAGAGATATAGCCAATTGCCCAATGTAAGAGCAGCAAAGTTGAAATTCAAACCCACATCTGCCTTATGTCAAAGCTCCCTGCCTTTCTTCTATCACCATCATCTCATAACCCTGTGGGTCGCCACAGCAGGGACAACCCCTGGGACACAAAGTCTCATAACCATATAGTCGTTAGAAGAGAACTGAGATCAGGAATGTGGCTGAGAGTTAAGATGTATAGCCATGCCATAATCAGGAAGGAGACAGGGATCTGGTCCTATTGTGGAGAGAGTGACCTGAGGCATTACCTCTAGTTGACAATTGAAAAGATGCTTGTGCCATCATGTGGAGATTTGCCTGCCCAACCCCAGTGGCTTGGGGTGGGGTGGGAAAGGTTCTGTGATGCAGCCCCCAGGGATTGGAACAGTTCCAAAGGTGTCAGCAGAACGAAGCATCCATTTTTACCCGCCCTAAGGTGAGCTCGCTCATCATGAAGGCCACCTCCATAGTGAGGAGCTTAAATCAGATTTATGTAATATTTTTAATTTGTATAGCTCACCTTTTAATGATGAATCCTTAGCATTTCTGATCATCTTCATAGCTATCAGCTCATTTGAGACCCTTCTGCCCTCTCTTCCCCAAAGATGCTTTGTCCACACCCACCCTGCCCAGCTGACTCCATGGGTCTCCTGGAGGGGTGAGAAGGGATACAGCTCCCTGAATAGAACCCAAGGTCCCAAGGCTGAAAGTGGAGCCAGAGGACAGATGGCCTGGCATCATCGCCCCTCATTGACCCCAAGAAAAATACGTGCCTTTCCCTCCTCCCACCAGGTCTCAAAAGGAGGGGTTCCTGGTGGAGAGAGAAGGCTGGGGACACCATCTCCACTGATCAGGGCAAAAGCAACACAGGTATTACTTCAGCTGAGAGATGAGAATTGCTCCTGTAAGCTGGCATGGTGCCCAGGCACAACCAATTTGCCAGCTGCCTCCACCTGAGATGCCTCAGGTGCCGCCCCGCCCCCGCTCTCATTCCTCAACAGGTAACTTCCCTCTGGTCCTCCTCTCCTGTGCCTCTGGCAGTGTATTTGGTGGGGAGGGGGCAGCTGGCATGTTTGGGGCTTGGAACAGCAGATCCTAACCACTCACCTTGCCTCCCCAAACATCCCACCCAGCCCTCACCTGTTCCTGGGAGCTTGCGAGAGAGAGGTTATGGGGGTGCACCCTAGAGGAGAGAATTCTCAGCCCTGCCTCTCCTTCCCCAAGATGCAATAGGAACAGGGGTTGCATCTGGACAAACATCTGGGCAGGCAAAGGGAGATGGGCCTTGGGGTGGGCAGAGAAGGGCATCTGGGCCTCTAGGAGAAGGCACAGGGAAAAGGTGACGTGGAAATAATGGCTGGGACACCCCAAACTGGTCACTCTGCTGCTTTGGAGCACCCCCAGCCCAGTATCCTTGAGAAAGCCCCCGGTCCATGGGGCTGTTGTCTGGCCAGGCATTTCATGAGACCCCAAGGAACCATCCACATTCCACTAAGGGTGGCCTGCAGACAGTGAGGGCCTGGGGACCTGGTCCTATTCTGGGTCAAGTAACCAGGGGCAGTGACCTAGCACCTGGGGCACAAGAGGGGTGGGGGAGGAGCCAAGGAGGAGGAGGGTGCTTCCCGCTGCCCCAGGCCTGCTTCTGGGGCTTTCTGAACACAGCCTGGTCTCCCAGAGCCCCTAAGCCTCCCTTCTCACATTCCTCACCCTCCTGCTCCTCCTCCCACTCCATAGGAGAGGAGTGAGTGGCAGTAAATTTCTAAAGACCCTCCCCGCTTCCCTGCTTGTTATTGTAATGAATGCTAATGATGCTCCCTAACTGATGCCCTCATTAGCACATCAAACCCGCTTTCTGAAGAATGGAGACAGAAAGTGGAGGCAGGTTCTCTGGGGTCGGAGCCGTAGCCAGCCTCCTCCAGAGAACCTTATCCCGTTGCTTCTGGCAGGGAGGGACCAGCGTAGGGGCTTGGAGTGAAAAGCCGAGGTGTTCCCCTCCCAGTGGGAATTTCCTGAGCACAAGGCTGTCTTCCCTGTCAGATGGCAAGGGTTCCATCTGTCCCATCAGACTGGGAGCTCCTTGAGTCAGGCACCTTGCCCCCCTCATTAAGCCAGGGCTCCCCCTGTGGTAGGGCAGTGGCTCTGAAAGTAATTGGAAAAGCCCAGTTGCCTGGAGGGCATGTTAAACCAGCGATTGCTCCCCTCCCCTCAAGGTCTCAGATTCAACAGATTTGAGGAGGGGCCTGAGAATTCGCATTTCTTTTTTCTTTTCTTTTCTCTTTTTTTTTGAGATAGAATCTCACTCTGTCACCCAGGCTGGAGTTCAGTGGCTCGATCTCGGCTCACTGCAACCTCTGCCTCCCGGGCTGAAGCGATTCTCCTGCCTCAGTCTCCCGAGTAGCTGGGATTATAGGCACCCACCACAATGCCCAGCTAATTTTTGTATTTTTAGTAGAGACCGGGTTTCACCATGTTGGCCAGGCTGGTCTCGAACTCCTGACCTCAGGTGATCCACCCGCCTCAGCATCCCAAAGTGCTGGGATTATAGGCGTGAGCCACCGTGCCCGGCCCCACCCTGACAATTCTTTTTTTTTTTTTGAGATGGAGTTTCACTTTTGTTGCCCAAACTGGAGACCGGAACTGGATCCCTGATCCCCTGCTGTGTGCCAGGTCCATGCTCGGTGCTGCTGATGCCAGTGGATCTCCTTTCTCTGTAGGAGGGGAGAATAACCGCAAGGGAGAGGGTTCCTAGCACCCACCTCACTCTGGGTGACCTCCCAGGGCCTAAGTGGGGAGAGGGGCTTGTGGCTACAGTCCATAAGCATGCCTGCAGCTCCCCACCTCCTCCCTTCCCACTTGGTCCCTTAGGCATAAGAATTGTCGGGATGGGGCCGGATGCGGTGCTCACCCCTGTAATCCCAGCACTTTGGGAAGCCCAGGCAGGCGGATCACCTGAGGTCAGAAGTTCGAGACCAGACCGGCTAATATGGTGAAACCCTGTTTCTACTAAAAATACAAAAAATTAGTTGGGCATGGTGTCAGGTGCCTGTAATCCCAACTACTTGGGAGGCTGAGGCAGGAGAATCACTTGAACCTGGGAGGCAGAGGTTGCAGTGAGCTGAGATCGCGCCATTGCACTCCAGCTTGGGCAACAAAAGTGAAACTCCATCTCAAAAAAAAAAAAAAAAAGGAATTGTCGGGGTGGGGCCGGGCGAGGTGGCTCATGCTAGGCGAGGTGGCTCACGCTGTAATCCCAGCACTTTGGGAGGCCAAGGCAGGTGGATCACCTGAGGTCAGGAGTTGAGACCAGCCTGGTCAACATGGAGAAACGCCATCTCTACTAAAAATACAAATATTAGCCGGGCGTGGTGGCACGCGCCTGTAAGCCTAGCTACTCGGGAGGCTGAGGCACGAGAATCACTTGAACTCAGGAGGCGGAGGTTACAGTGAGCCGAGATCACACCACTGCACTCCAGCCTGGGTGACAGAGCAAGACTTTTTCTCAAAAAACAAACAAACAAAAAAGAATTGCCCGGGTGGGTGGGTGAGTGAACTGCAACCTTAGTGCTCTAGTTGGGGGAGGAGGGAGACAGGAGACTGGAGCTGGAGTGAAGAGATGGAGGGTGAGGGGAGGGGGCAAACAGAATTGGGATGAAGAGAAGATGAGAGGTGGAGAAAAACAGAAGAAAAGGGAAGAAGAGGGGAAGCAGGAGGGAGGGAGGGGAGGAAAGAGAGAAGAAGAGAGGGAGGGATGTATGGAGAGATGGAAAGAGTGAAAGAAGGCCTTTGACAGGGAAAGGGAAAAGACAAGAAAGATGAGGCCAGGGCAGGGAGGAGGAGAAGGAAGGTACAGTCTGTATCTGTCCTTAACAGGACATATTATGAGCCACTGAGGCCCAGGTAGACCACAAGCCCAACTCCTGCAGGGCCACACCCAGCTTGACTTTAAGGCTCTAGATTTCACCATCTGATTCACATGTCTTGGGGAAAAAAATGGAAGACTCCTTCCACCTCCAGCTAGCTGCCTTCCCAGGCCTGCCAACCAGCCTTAGAAGACTGTGGTAGAAGGTGCAGGGCATGGAGCCGGTACTATCCTGATCCGTTTTACCCCTGCTAGCACCTAGTAACCATCTCCTTGCCTTCCAAGGTTATAGCAATCCCCTAGTTAATGATGAAAGTAGGAAGAACTCTCGTGCATTGCTGATGGGAATGTGAAATGGTTCAGCAGCTATGGAAAGCAGTTTGGCAGTTCTTTAAACATAGAATGACCCTATGATCCAACAGCCCAAATGTCCTTCAGTGGATGAATGGATACACAAATTGTGGTATATCCATACAATGGAATACTATTCATCCATAAAAAGGAATGAAGTACTAATACATGCTTCAACATGGATGAACCTCAAAAACATCATGCTGGCTGGGCACCGTGGCTCAGGCCTGTAATCCCAGTGCTATGAGAGGCCAAGGCAGGATAATTCCTTGAGGCCAGGCGTTCGAGGCCAGCCTGGGCAATGTAGCAAGCCCCTATCTTTACAAAAAAATCCCCAGTCCCCACCAAAATATCATGTTAAGTGAAAGAAGCCAGTCATTAAAAGTCATATATTGTGTGATTCCATTTATATGAAATATTCAGAATAGGTAAATCCACAGAGATTTGCCTGGAGAGACGGGAGAACAGGGAGCAACTGTTAATGGGTATGAGGTTTCCATTTG
Organism: Homo sapiens; assembly: GCF_000001405.40. Taxonomy (NCBI): domain Eukaryota; kingdom Metazoa; phylum Chordata; class Mammalia; order Primates; family Hominidae; genus Homo; species Homo sapiens. Next base: position 38,612,544 of record NC_000017.11, read on the forward strand.
GGATGATGAAAACGTGCTGGAACTATATAGAGTTGATGGTTGCACAGTATTATGAAAGCACTAAATGCCACTGAGTTGTTCACTTTATAATGGTTAGTTTTATTAATATACTATGCAAATCTCGCCTCAGAAAACAAAGTAATAATGAAAGTAGGAGTCTGCCAGGGAATTCAATGAGTAGAACCATCTGAAAAGTTCAGCTTATCTTCTTTGGAACAAAAGAGCTTGTGCCCACATGAGTCACAGCCTTTCCCGGTGTGCTGGAACACTGGGCACTGCTCTGAGGACTCTCAGAGGATGCTCGTAGGACCTTGAGATGTTTTCTGGCCCCAGGCTGCTCCCCGAAGCCTCTTCCTCTGCCTAGCCCTCACTCCATGGGGGCCTCCCTTTCAGGTTCCTGCCTCCCAAGCAGGTGGCAGACAGTTGATCTGTGCTTCGCATCTTCAGCTAACATCGTGCCATCTGCCCCAGTGGCAGGTCCACCCCTCTCTGATCCTTTGCTCCGAACATAGCCTTCAAAGCCCTCTAGTTTTCTTTACCACAATTTTTTTTTTTTTTTTAGTAAGTGCAGTGATGCGATCTTGGCTCACTGCAACCTCTGCCTCCCGAGTTCAAGTGATTCTCCTGCCTCAGCCTCCTGAGTAACTGGGATTACAGGCACGTGCCACCACGCCCGGCTAATTTTTGTATTTTTAGTAGAGATGGGGTTTCACCACGTTGGCCAGGCTGGTCTTGAACTCCTGACCTCAAGTGATCTGCCCACTTCGACCTCCCAAAGTGCTGGGAGTACAGGCCTACCACAGATTGTTTTCATCACCCCTTAAGTGAACCTCCTGCTCTCTGGAATCTCACATTCCCCACAGCACTCTCCCCACATGCCAGGCCCTGGGCTGCCTGCTCAGGGTGCAGCAGAGTGGGGAGGAGTTCCAGGGTGAATCAGGCTGTTCACTGCTCCTCCCTGCTCCAAAGCTTCCTATAGCCCCTTCTGCTCAAAGATCTTCCATGGCTCCCCATTCTCACACCAAGGGATTATAGGAACCTGAACCCTTTGAGGTCCTAACAAGAATTTTGCATTCTCTGTAAATAAATAAATGTGCCCATGTACAAGAAATGAGTGGGCCTCTTTGACCTCTGCAGCCCATCCAAGGACCTCTAAGGCAGAGCTACTCAAAGTGTGGTCCATAGACCAGTGCCAGCCACTGGTTCACAAGAATACAGAAATGGAGAGTAAGCACTGAGAAACCTTTATAGCGATTGCCTGTACATCTAGGCACATGACCACTTTTACTGTATTTTACAAAAATATGGGTATGCAATCAATTGGAAATTTTTTTAAAAGGCGGGGGTAGTCCTTCATTACAGAGTTTGAGAAACACTACCCTAAGGACCCTTTCACTGCTGACCTACTCAATAAATTCAGGCTGGCATTCCAGGCCCTCCACGACCCCATCCTCTAATCTTTCCAGCCTTATTTCTGGCTACCTCCCACAACACACACACACCCACACACACACACACACAATCTTCCCTTCACACTCCATGTCTTTGCCTATACTGTTCCCCTCCCCCATGGGGTTGTCCTTTCCTTCCTCTGCACCTGTTGACACCTGATTCTGGCCTCAAAGCCCAGCTCAAATTCCATTTCCTCAGTAAAGCCTTTCCAAATTCCACCCCCTTCCTTCCTTACACACATAAGCAAACACACAAACATATTCTAGCTGAACTTTGCACTCCCCTGGGCTTTCCTAACACCCATGTAGCTTTCTTTGTGGCCGTCTGTCTCTTCCTAGCCAAGGCAGAGCTGTGGTCCTCTCTGCCGGTGCCTCCTGGCCTCTCCCGCTCTGGGATGTCCAGCACCTCGCTGCATGGATTCTGGGCATTGCTATCCTGATTTGTACCCCACTCCCCTGGCCTCTCCTGTGGTTGCTCCTTTGTGTCCACCCATCTTCTGTGCTGGCCCCTCTGAGCTCCCCTCAGCAAGGACTCCATCCCACTCCCTGCCCCACTCCTGACTTCACCTCATCACCTGGGAGATCCGACCCTCTCAGCAATAACTGCTGGTATATGACTGGGACCAAAAATTAGTGACATCTTGACATGTTAAGAACTGTAAAAAAAGGCTGGGTGCGGTGGCTCACACCTGTAATCCCAACACTTTGGGAGGCTGAGGTAGGCAGATCATGAAATCAAGAGATCCAGACCATCCTGGCCAACATGGTGAAACCCCATCTCCATTAAAAATACAAAAATTAGTTGGGCGTGGTGGCGCGTACCTGTAGTCCCAGCTACTTAGGAGGTTGAGGCAGGGGAATCGCTTGAACCTGAGAGGCAGAGGTTGCATTAAGCATTGAGCCGAGATTGCGCCACTGCACTCCAGCCTGGCAACAGAGCGAGACTCCGTCTCAAAAAACAAAAACAAAACGAAAAAAAAAACACTGTAAAAAAATACTGGCAGGGCGTGGTGGCTCATGCCTGTAATCCCAGCACTTTGGGAGGCCGAGGCAGGCAGATGCTTGAGCCCAGGAGTTCCAGATCAGCCTGGGCAACGTGGCAAAACCCTGTCTCTCTCTTTTTTTTTTGAGACAGAGTCTTGCTCTGTCACCCAGGCTGGAGTGCAGTAGCACAATCTCAGCTCACTGCAACCTCTGCCTCCCGGTTTCGAGCGATTCTCCTGCCTCAACCTCCTGAGTAGCTGGGATTACAGGCATGTGCCACCACGCCCGGCTAATTTTTGTATTTTTAGTAGAGACGGGGTTTCACCATGTTGGTCAGGCTGGTCTTGAACTCCTGACCTCGTGATCCACCCACCTGGGCCTCCCAAAGTGCTGGGATTACAGATGTGAGCGACTGCACCCGGCCAACGCTGTCTCTATTAAAAATACAAAAAATTAGTTGGGCATGGTGGCACATGCCTGTAGTCCCAGCTACCCAGGAGGCTGAGGTGGGAGGATCACTTGAGCCTGGGAGGCAGAGGTTGCAGTGAGCCGAGATCATGCCACTGCACTCTAGCCTAGACGACAGACTGAGACTATCAAGAAAAAAAGGAAAGAAAAAAGAAAGTAAAATAATACATTTTGCTTATTTTTTATTTTATTTTATTTTTTGAGACAGTGTTGCTCTGTCGCCCAGGCTGGAGTGCAATGTCCCAATCTTGGCTCACTGCGACCTCCACCTCCCAGGTTCAAGTGATTCTCCTGCCTCAGCTTCCTGAGTAACTGGGATGACAGGTGCCCACCACTACACCCAGCTAATTTTTGTATTTTTAGTAGAGATGGTTTCACCACATTGGCCAGGCTGGTCTCAAACTCCTGATCTCAGGTGATCCAACCGCTTTGGCCTTCCAAAGTGCTGGGATTACAGACCTGAGCCACTGCGCCAAGCCCATAAGTGTTTCAAATGAATCATTATTTCTAGTTTTGCCCTGATTAGTGGATCCATAGCAACCAATCTTCCTCGATTTGGCCACATTTTTCTATTTATGCGAATTAGCCAGGTGTGATGGTGCACACCCGTAGTCCCAGCTATTCAAGGGGCTGAGACAGTAGGGTCACTTGAGCCCAGGAGGTGGACACTGCAGTGAGCCATGATTACACCACTGCACTCCAGCCTGGGCAATAGAGTGCGACCTTGTCTCAAAAAAAAAAAAAAAAAAAAAAAAAAAAGAAGAAGAAGAAGAAGGAAGAAGAAGCAGTTCAGCTTCATCAGAGTTAGAAAAATGCCTCAAGAATTCTGCCCACCTTGAGAAAGAGAGGGAAGGAGGGCATGTTTCATCTGAAAAGGGAGAAACTAAAATAATGATCACCGTGTGTGTGAAGGAGGAGACAAGCCAGGGAACACTCTAGGGGTTTCATGTCAGCAAGAGAGACTGAAATTAGCTCTGAGTGTGAACCTCCTGGCAGTGCAGGAGGGATGATGAAGGCCTGGCACCAGGGGGAGGATGCTGGGTGACTTCCTATTCAGAGATCATTCAACCAGGATTAAGGGTGGAGGCCCAGCCAGGCCTGCTGGGAGGCAGAGGACCGGAGCAGGTGACCACTTAAGCTGCCATGCAAGGGCAGAGCCTCGCCGACAGGGAGAGGCTGAGAAACGGATTATTAAGGCAGGGTCCAGAGCTTTAGAGTCTTCAAAGCAACCCCATAATCAAGGCTTCAAGGAGGCAAGCCAGGATTACGAATAACCTGTTTTCCTGATGAGAAAACTGAAGCCCAGAGAAGTTAAGAAACTTGTTTGAGGCCTCACAGGTGAGCCAGGACTTGAGCCCAGACCCTCAGTTCTTCAGTCCAGTGAGATGACCCCCACTGCCCTGCCTCTTGGGGCCAGAAGCTTCCCAGATAGGACCCAGGCCTCCTTTCTTGGTGGCTCTGTGAACTTCCTTAGGCCTTCTGCACCCCCACACCCCCATGCCACCCTCTCCACCAACACCCCAGCCACACAGCCCCAGAACAGGGCAGGGACCGCGGGGAGAGGCTGCAAATCCCTCTCCTAACAACTGAACTGAGGGAGGAAGGAGGTGGGAACAGGTCCCAAACTTCCATCTCACTTGTCCTCGCCCGTCTCCGTCTCAGACTCTCGTGATAGGAAAGTAGGCCAGTTTGGAATATGTCACGGATATTTTCAACAACCCCATCTGTACTATAGCTTCGCACACAGCCTACCGGGGTGGAGCCAGAGGCTTCCTGCCGGATGAGGAATACACCTGCTACCTCTGGGGCTCAGAGCCCAGATGGGGGCTGGGGACGTACACAGGGGACTCTGAAGGGCCAGGCATCCAGCAGTCAGGGTAGGGCGGGACAGGAGACCAGCTGTGTCTGTCCTCTTCCCAGAGCAGCGGGAGCAGAACAGCTGGGACCTACAGACACCATTCCACTGCCCTGCGACAGTGTGCCCTCCCAGCCTGTGGGTGGGGCACTGAGGAAGGAGCAATCAGTCCTCAGGGAAAGGGATCTGGAAAAGCTTTATGACAGAGGTGGCTGACATCTGAGTTGGGCCTTGAAAGCAAAGCAGGGTTTTGCTGAGTGGAAAAGAGGAGGAGGGTGTCTCTGGCCAAGGGAGAATGTTGAGAAAGCTGGGGCCAGCGCGCCGGGGCCAGCGTGCGGGAGCTGGTATGGCTTGGGGGTAGAGGGCTGCCCAGGGAGTGGCAGCAGGAGAGGCTGGGAGGTGGCAGGCTAGCGTTGGAGGAGCTGTGAATGGTGGATGCCCAGCTAAGGAGCTTCAGGTGGGCCCTGCAGGTGCCCACGGAGGCTTTTAAGTGATGTGATTCAGGAAGAACATGTAGCTATGGGCAGGAAGGAGTCAACTTGGGAGGGGCAGGGATGCAGAGGTTGAGTGAGTGTCCCTTCTGGACACCAGACACCCTGACCACATCCTTCTCCAGTCCACTAGCAGGGTAACCTCTCCTGACTGGGGAGAGAGGCCAATGTAAGAAATAAATTCCTTGTAAAAGTATTAGTGACAGCCAGGTGAGGTGGCTCACGCCTGTGATCCCAGCACTCTGGGAGGCCAAGGCGGGCAGATGACTTGAGCCCAGGAATTTGAGAACAGCCTGGACAACATAGCAAAATCCCATCTCTACAAAATAAAATGCAAGAATTAGCCAGGCATGGTGGTCTCAGCTACTCGGGAGGCTGAGGTGGGGGTATCACTTGAGCCCAAGAGGCCAAGGCTGCAGTGAACCATGATCATACCACTGCACTCTAGCCTGAGCAACAGAGCAAGACCCTGTCTTAAAAAAAAAAAAAGAGAGAGAGAGAGAGAGAGATAGAGATGATAGAGGCTTACTAGCTCAAGGGGACCAAGGTCAGGTCAGGGATGCATTTCAGGGGATTCACCTGGAAAGGCTGGCCCAGGGGACACCCACATGCTTTTGTTTACTAAGCACCACCTGCTATAGGCACTTGGCAGCATGGCCTTATTTAACCTTACAACAAGGCCAAGTGGTGCACATGCTTCCCTCCTTTCTATTGATGTGGAAACAGAAGCTCAGGAAGTTCGGGTCCCATCCCCAAAGTCCCACAGTTTGTAAGTGGCATAAGAATTTGGATCCATGTGTCTCCAGAGCCCAGTACATTCCCTTCATCTCTTTTTTGTTTGTTTGTTTGTTTTTGAGACGGAGTCTTGCTCTGTTGCCCAGGCTGGAGTGCAGTGGCACAATCTCGGCGCACGGCAAGCTCCGCCTCCCAGGTTCACGCCATTTTCCTGCCTCAGCCTCCCGAGTAGCTGGGACTACAGGCGCCCGCCTCCATGCCCGGCTAATTTTTTGTATCTTTAGTGGAGACAGGGTTTCACCATGTTGGCCAGGATGGTCTCGATCTCCTGACCTTGTGATCCACCCGCCTCAGCCTCCCAAAGTGCTGGGATTACAGGTGTGAGCCACCGTGCCTGGCCCTATCCCCTTCATCTCTTACCACCTCCCAGAACAGAGCCACGACTCCCTTCCAAAGAAGGGCCCCAACCTTTACCCCCTCTCACTGTCTCTACCCAGATCCAGGGCTCCAGGGCCCCATGGCAACCCCACAACCCTAACTACACTCAGATAAAGAAACTGAGGCCGAGCAATGGCTCATACCTGTAACCCCAGCATTTTGAGAGGCCAAGGTGGGCAGATCACTTGAGACCAGGAGTTCAAGACCAGTCTGGCCAACATAGTGAGACCCCATATCTCCTAAAAATACAAAAATTAGCTGGGTGTGGTGGTGCCTGTAATCCCAGCTACTTAGGAGGCTGAGGCAGGAGAATCACCTGAACCCAGAGGTGGACGTTGCAGTGAGCCGATATCGTGCCACTGCCCAGCCTGGGTGACAGAGTGAGACTCTGTCTCTAAAACAAAACAAAACAAAAAGAAACAGGTTCAGAAGCATCAAGTGACTTGCCCGACGACACAAGTTAATTTGTGACGTAGGCAGAATTCAGAGCCAGATCCCTTCTCACACCTACCCACTCTGCCTTTCAGCCCTGTGTCTCTGGCAGTTTATTTGGTCGGGAGGGGGCATCTGGCATGTTTGAGAGCGCTCAGCCTCTGTGTTTCCCAGTTTCTTCATCTGTAAAATGGGCCTGGGAGGGTTAGTGAGAGTGCACAGGTACAAGTCACTCAGCACAGTGACTGGTATGCACTCAACACTCAACAAATATTTATTGAGCAACTACTAGGAGCAAGATCATCTTTCAGTGGTTGGGGCACAACCAGAAACAGAAATAATCTGCTCTTCCAAAGTGGATATTAAGATGAGGATTGAGAGGAGAATGGGCCAGAGGCACAGGGAATGTGCCCCATAAATGCTCCCACTGAGTCCCACCTTCTGGCTGTGGGAGCTTGAGCAAGTCTCTCTGGTGTGCTCTACGTGTGGATCTAGAAATTGGGAAGAAGGCGGAAGAAGCTCCCCACTGTGTAGCCGCTATGTATTACTATCACTGCCAGCCTCTGTGGTGAGCAGCCCTGTTCCAACCCCTGTGAGACCAGCAAAGCCCTTCCCAACCCTGCTCTGTTTTTGGCCACATCTGGGTCAGGCAGACGGGTGCACGCTTTGCCTTCTGTTCCCTCCCTTCCAGGACCCACAGCTCTGCTCCTTGTCCTGTTGCAGACTCACAGCTGCCCAGCCCCCGTCCAGGCCCAGCCCTGAATCCGACGCAAGCATCCTGTCGGAGGCTGTAAGGGCTGGTGTTCAGGGGACACCTTTGAGGCCCTGATGCTGCCCTGAGCGTCGGGCTCCAACTCCTTACTTCCAAGGGTTGGGCTGCACTTCTGGCCAAAATCAAGGAGCTCCTCACAGAAAGACAAGGAAATCAAGGTCTAGCTCTAGGAACATAAAATAATCATAGTTGGGGTAATTCTTAAGCACTTAGGATATTATTTTATTTAGTTCCATCTGCGAGTATAAAACCCCATTTTAGAGTTGATAAAACTGAGGCTCAGAAAAGTGAAGTGACTTGCCTGAGGCATCCAAAGCCCCTCTCTTCTTTACTTCCAGATTGATGGAAACACTTGGCTCTGAATCCCTGGACTGTGTGTCCAACTTCCAGGCCGTGGCTGGACTCCAGTCCCCAAGTGTAACCAGAGGCAGGGGATCTGGGACCCCAGGACTGGGGAGAAAGAGTCTGGCACCTCCCCATGGCTGTTGCGGCTCACATTGTCCCTTTCAGGAACAGCTGCTGCTCAGTCTCCTTCACCCCCAACCTCAGGGTCAGGAAGTGGGGCCACCGTTGGGAGGTGGGATCAGGCCCTTCCTAGGTCCCCATCGCTGTTTCCAAAACATCATTCTGTTACTTTCTTGCAAAAGCCTCTGCTCTATCCATCTGTGCCACCCTCACCGTGCCACCTACAGTGGCCTTGTCCATTGAACTCGCAATACTGCCTCTATTTGTTGAAGCCTTTTGACATCCCAATTCCTAGCATATCCTGGGTAACTTCAAAGCCTCAGCCTCTCAGTGCTGTGACCTTCACATGCCTGATCACTTTCCACTGTACCCATAGCCTTGTTTCCATCTAGACACTGTTACCATCTGTATGTGCTCATATTTTCCTCTCTGGAGCATCGTCCACTCCCTCTATTCAACTATTCGTCATACAACCGTTCTTCAATCTCCCACCAACTGATCCAGAGGTGCATTCCCCATCCATCAGTTCCCTTCTGCCTTCACTCTTTTTTTTTTCTTTTTAATGAGGCAGGGTCTCACTCTGTCACCGAGACTGGAGTGCAGTGGCGAGATCTTGGCTCACTGCAATCTCCGCCTCCTAGGCTCAAGCAATTTTCCTGCCTCAGCCTCCCAAGTAGCTGGGATTACAGGCATGCGCCACTACCACCCGGATAATTTTTGTATTTTTAGTAGAGACAGGGTTTCACCATGTTGGCCAGGCTCGTCTCGAACTCCTGACCTCAAATGATCCACCTGCCTCAGCCTCCCAAAGTGCTGGGATTACAGGCGTGAGCCACCGCACCCGGCCCACTCTTTCTTCTCTTGTCAGCCCAGAGTCCCTGGTTTGTCAGATCATCTTAACTCCCCACACTCTGTATTTTGGGGTTACACTTCCCTGACAAAACCCTAACATTTAGACTTCTGATTCAAGATGGTTACCCTTAACACGTATGTTTGCCCCTCCATCCTGGACAATCCCTTTGAAATGACACAAAAAAATATCCTGGGGTTTTAAAACAGGCTTGATTTACTGATAGCACAACCTAACAGAGAAGGAATCTATGACATCATAGAGGGCTCCACTAAGAGAGTGAATTTTCCCCGAAGAGCCCTAGACTTGTGTCTCAGCATGGGAATAAGGCAGGGATGTCCACCCCCATCATCCCTAGTCAGCACTGTAGTTCAGCCAGTGCAAGAAAGGGGAAAAGACATCAGATTTGAAAGGCAGCAGCAAAATGATCATTATTTACAGATGGCATGAATTTCTATGTAAAAAATCTGATGGAATTTGTTAAATGGCTATTACAACTAATAAGTAAGTTTAACAAGATTGTAGGAGATAAGATCAATATATAAAAATCGATTACATTTCTATATACTAGCAAGTGAACTATTGGAAATTGAAATTAAAAAAAAAAAAACTCTGTATAGTAGCATCCAAAAAATATGAAATATTTAGGGATAAGTCTGACAAAGGATATACAAGACTTGATACCAGAAACTATGAAATTTGCTTAGAGGAATTAAAGACCTGAATATCATCCCTAGTCAGTGTTGTAGTTCAGCCAGTGCAAGAAAGGGAAAAAGACATCAGATTTGAAAGGCGGCAGCAAAATGATCATTATTCACAGATGGCATGAATTTCTATGTAGAAAATCTGATGGAAGCTGGGCGCAGTGGCTCACGCCTGTAATCTCAGTACTTTGGGAGGCCAAGACTGGCGGATCGCCTGAGGTCAGAAGTTCAAGACCAGCCTGGGCAACATGGTGAAATCCCCTCTCTACTAAAAATACAAAACTTAGCCAGAACAGTGGCACATGCCTGTAATCCCAACTACTCAGGAGGGCTGAGGCAGGAGAATCACTTGAACCCGGGAGGTGGAGGTTGCAGTGAGCCGACATCACGCCACTGCACTCCAGCCTGGGCGATAGAGCGAGACTCTGTTTCAAAAAATAAAAGAAAGAAAGAAAGACAAAGAAGAAAAGCACAAGGGATTTAGAATAGTCAGAACAATTTTGGAAAAGAAGGGGAAAAATTGGAGGACTTACACTATCTAACTTTAAGATGATTATAAAGCGACGGCACAATCAAGACAGTGTCATATTGGCATCAAGATGGGCAAATAGATCAAGGCTTGTAAACAGATCCATGCACATATGTTCAACTGATTTTCAACAAAGATGTAAAGGCAATCTAGTGGAAGAAAGACTGTCTTTTCGCCAGGTGCAGTGGCTCACGCCTGTAATCCTAGCATTTTGGGAGGCCAAGGCAGTTGGGTCACTTGAGCTCAGGAGTCTGAAGCCAGCCTAGGCAACATGGTGAAACCCTGTCTCTACCAAAAATACAAAAATTAGCCAGTCATGGTAGCATGCAGCTGTGGTCCCAGCTACTTGGGAAGCTGAGGCGGGAGGATCGCTTGAGCCCAGGAAGTAGGCTGCAGTGAGCTGTGGTCATGGTGCTGCACTCCAGCATGGACAACAGAGCGAGATCCTGTCTCAAAGAAAATATAAATAAACAGTAAGTTAGCTGGTTGTTGTGGCACGCACCTGTAGTCCTAGCTACTCGGGAGGCTGAAGCAGGAGGATTACTTGAGCCCAGAAGTTCAAGGCTGCAGTGAGCTACAATCACACCATTACACTCCAGCTTGGGTGCAAGAACAAAACCTTGCCTAAAAAAAAAATAAAAAGAAAAAAGAAAAGGTTGGGTGCGGTGGGTCACGCCTGTAATCCCAGCACTTTGGGAAGCCGAGGCGGGCAGATAACCTGAGGTCAGGAGTTCAAGACCAGCCTGGCCAACATGGTGAAACCCCATCTCTACAAAAACACAAAAATTAGCCGGGCATGATGGTGGGTGACTGTAATCCTAGCTACTTGGGAGGCTGAGGCAGGAGAATCACTTGAACTCGGGAGACAGAGATTGCAGTGAGCCAAGATCACGCCACTGCACTCCAGCCTGGGCAACAGAGCGAGACTCGGTCTCAAAAAAAAAAAAAGAGAATAAAAAAGCAAGCCAGACTGGGAAAGAATATTTGCAAGCATATATGGATAAAGGACTTTTATCCAGGATATATAAAGAACTCTAAAATCCCAATAATAAGAAAACAAACAACCCAATATTTAAAATGGGCACACGGAGGCAGGGGCAATGGCTCACGCCTGTAATCCCAGCACTTGGGGAAGCCAAGGCAGGTGGATCACCCGAGGTCAGGAGTTTAAGACTAGTCTGGTCAACATGGCGACACCCTGTCTCTACTAAAAATACAAAAATTAGCTGGGCGTGGTGGTGTGCGCTTGTAGTCCTAAACACTCTGGAGGCTGAGGCAGGAGAATCGCTTGAACCTGGGAGGCAGAGGTTGCCGAGATCGTGCCACTGCACTCCAGCCTGGGTGACACAGTGAGACTCCTTCTCAAATAAATAAATAAATAAATAAATAAATAAATAAATAAATAAAATGGGCACAAGAGCCGGGCACGGTACTCGCACCTGTAATCCCAGCATTTTGGGAAGCCAAGGCAGAAGGATTGCTTGAGCCCAGAAGTTAGAGACCAGCCTAAGCAACATAATGAAACCCTGTCTCTACAAAAAATGTTTAAGCTGGGCGCGGTGGCTCATGCTTGTAATCCTAGCACTTTGGGAGGCTGAGGCAGGTGGATCACCTGAGGTCAGGAGTTCGAGACCAGCCTGGTCAACGTGGTGAAACCCCGTCTCTACTAAAAAAAAATACAAAAATTAGCCGGACATGGTGGCAAGCGCCTATAATCCCAGCTACTGGGGAGGCTGAGGCAGGAGAATTGCTTGAACCCGGGAGGCGGAGGTTGCAGTGAGCTGAGATCGCTCCACTGCACTCCAGCCTGGGTGACAGAGCAGTAGTCTGTCTCAAAAAAAAAAAAAAAAAAAAAAGTTTAAAAAACTAGCTGACCGCTGACCACTGTGGCTCGCGCCTGTAGTCCCAGCTACTTGAGAGGCTGAGGTGGAAGGATCCCTTGGAAGTCAAGGCTGCAGTGAGCCACGATTGCACCACTGCACTCCAATCTGGGCAACAGAGCAAGATCCTGTTTCAGGAAAAAAAAAAAAAGCGCAAGATTTTGGATACTTCAACAAAGAAGAAGATATGCAGATGGATATGGAAAGAGACCCATCACTAGTCATTAGAGAAATGCAAATTGTGGTTTCACAATGAGACATCACTATTGGAATACCACAGTATCAAGCGCTGGTGAGAATGAGGAGAAAATGAAACTCATACGCTGCTGGTGGGTATGTAATATGGTACGACCACTTTGGAAATTAGTTTGGCGGGGGTTTTTTTTGTTTGTTTGTTTGTTTTTTGTTTTTGTTTTTGTTTTGAGACAGAGTCTCGCTCTGTTGCCCAAGCTAGCGTGCAGTGACGCAATCTCAGCTCACTGCAACCTCCACTTCCTGTCTTCAAGCAATTCTGCCTCAGCCTCCCGAGTAGCTGGGACCACAGGTGCCTGCCACCAAGCCCAGCTAATTTGTTTTGTTTTATTTTGAGACGGAGTCTTGCTCTGTTGCCCAGGCTGGAGTGCAGTGGTGCAATTTCGGCTCACTGCAAACTCTGCCTCCTGGGTTCAAGCGATTCTCCTGCCTCAGCCTCCTGAGTAGCTGGGATTACAGGCATGCACCACCACGCCCCGTTAATTTTTGTATTTTTAGTAGAGACGGGGTTTCACCATGTTGGCCAGGCTGGTCACGAACTCCTGACCTCAAGTGATGCCCCCACCTCGGCCTCCCGAAGTGCTAGGATTACAAGCATGAGCCACTGCACCCGGCCACATAATAAAAAATTATTATGCTGGATGAAAGAAGAAAAATGAAAAAGAGGAGTATCTACTGTATGACTGCATCAAGAAAATGCAAACTAATCTATAGGGATGGAAAACAGATCAATGGTTGCCTAGAGATGAGGGGAGAGTTGGGGGAGCAAAGGGGCATGGGGAAACTTTTGGGGTGATAAATATGTTCATTATCTTGACTTGATGGCTTTGAGGATATGTTCATATGTGAAAACTTATCAAATTGTACATTTTAAATATGTGTAGTTTATTGTATTGTCAATTGTTCATCAATAAAGCTATAAAAAGGTAAATAAAAAGAAGCAAGAATCAAATAAAAGAGTTAGTCTAAGAAAAGAAATGAGATATAAATACTACAAAAAGAGCAAAATCATCACTACATGCAGATTACATTATTGTCTAGTTAGAAAAGTCAAAGATTCAACTGAAGCCATTTAGATCACATCAGCAGGTTCAGTAAGATGGCCAAAAGAAAAATATACAAAAATCAATAGTTTTCTTTTTTACCAAGCAAAAACAATTTTAAAATGTTAGAAAAAAATTATCTAATTCGTGATAGCAATTGAAGCTATGAAATACCCAGGAATAAACTTTACCCAGAACATACAAGAAGACCTGAATAAACAGAGAGACCTATGCCATCTTCTCAAAATGGAAGAACACTCCGGAAAAGCTCTCAATTTTCCCCCAGATTACTCTATAAATTCATTGCAACTCCAGTTTAAATTTCCAGTGGAATTATTTAACCAAAACTAGAGAAGATAATTCTAAAATTCATCTGGAAGAGTAAATGGGTACCAAGAACAACAACAACAAAAAAAGTAGTTAAAAATAAGGATAATGGACCAGGTGGGAATTACTTCCATTACCACTAATCCAAATGTACCATAAAACAATTATTATTATAGCAAGCATGGATTTGTTTTCCTAGTTCACAAATATTTACGAAATAACCAAGTAAATGAATAGGCAAACAGAACAATAGAATGCATCATACAGAGACAGTCTCCAAAACGTTTTTCATGTAGTGAATATTTTAGCATAAAGACTTATCATGTATTTCTATTATTTTTATTTATTTTTTTTATTTTTTTATTTTATTTTATTATTATTATTTTTTTGAGACGGAGTCTCACTCTGTTGCCCAGGCTAGAGTGCAGTGGTGCAATCTCTGCTCACTGCAACCTCCGACTCCTTGGTTCAAGTGATTCTCCTGCCTCAGCCTCCCAAGAAGATGGGATTACAGGTGCCCACCACCATGCCCGGCTGATTTTGGTATTTTTAGTAGAGATGGGGTTTCACCATGTTGGCCAGGCTGGTCTTGAACTCCTGACCTCAAGTGATCCACCCGCCTCGGCCTCCAAAAGTGGTGGGATTACAGGCTTGAGCCACCTGTATTTAATGTATTTCTATTAAATATGTCCTGGATATCCATGAGTCCCTCAAAAGCAACATGCCCCAGATTGACCTACCTTCTTATTCATGCACCTCTTCCTACTCCACAGTTCCAGACAATCACTCAACCAGGAAAAGTAGTCACCCTGGATCCCTCCTTTTCCTCCCACTCACTCTCTCATTCAGTTTTACCTTTTAAGATATTTCTCAATCTCCACCTCCCACCACATGGAAATTTAGCACATGATAAAAACAGCATTTCAAACTAGCAAGGAAAAGAAACCGTGCTGGAATAAGTGGCTATCCATCTATGAAAAATAAATACTTAAGTCAGATCTATACATAACAATGAATTCCAGATGGATTAACTAAGTACATAAATAACTACAAAAGCACCAGGAAGAAATACAGGAGGGTTTGGTTTTTTTTGTTTTTATTTTTTTATTTTTTTGTTTGTTTTGTTTTAATCAGACAGTGCCAGAAGAAGGAGAACATTTTTTGTAATTTGGGGATAAGAAGGACTTTCATAAGACATGAAATTCATAAACTATAATGAAAAATATCAAAAGATTTGATTACAGTAAAAGACACCATAAAGTAAAAAAAGGGAATGCTAGGCCGGGGGCGGTGGCTCACACCTGTAATCCCAGCACTCTGGGAGGCCGAGGCGGGCGGATCACCTGAGGTTAGGAGTTCCAGACCAGCCTGGCCAACGTGGTAAAACCCTGTCTCTACTAAGAATATAAAAATTAGCTCGGCGTGGTGGAACATGCCTGTAATCCCAGCTACTCAGGAGGCTGAGGCAGGAGAATCACTTGAACCCGGGAGTCAGAGGGTGCAGCGAGCCAAGATCGTGCCACTGCACTCCAGCCTGGGCAACAAAAGTGAAACTCCATCTCAAAAACAACAAAAAAGTGAATGCTAAAGTAGGAGTTTTGCAATATTTAAAGCACAGATAGAGTTACCTGCTAATTATTATCCCTAATATACAAAAGGATCCTACACATCAGTAAGAAAAGATCAGAAAATCCAACAGGACAAAGGGCGAAGGTAATGACAGGACAATTTATGCTTTTTTTGTTTTTTTGAGACAGAGTCTCAGTGTGTTGCCCAGGCTGAAGTGCAGTGGTGTGATCATAGCTCATGGCAGACTTAACCTCCTGTGCTCAGCCTCTCAAGTAGCTAGAACTACAAGTGCACACCACCAAGCCTAGCTAATTTTTAGTATTTTTATTTTTTGTAGAAACAGGGTCTTGCTATACTGCCCAGGCTGGTCTTGTATTCCTGGGCTCAAGCAACCTTCCCACCTCAGCCTCCCAAAATGTTGGAATTACAGGCATGAGCCACTGCACCTGGTAGAGATACATTTTTGTCCATTAAGTTGGTAAAAAATTAATGCAATTGATAATGTTTGGTGTTCACATGAGCGCAGATACAAGGGAACTCTCAAACATTGTTGACGAATATACAAAACAATACGACAGTTTGGGAGGCAATTGATCTGTACTCACCAAAATGTTAAACAAACCCTTTGAGAAAGCTACTCCTTTTTAGTAAAAATCTGTTGTTTTAGCTTTCCCAGCACCCATTACCCCTTCAGAATTCTGGCAACTGCCCTTCCCTCACCCCAGATTGTCTGCAGAACCACTTGTCTCCTACTGTCCAGCAAGCAGTTTGCTGGGGCTGGCTCCGCCTCCCAGTTGCGGGGGTGAGTTCTGTGACTTAAACTTGCCCAATCAGTGTATTCCATCCCCCACCTCAAGCAAAGTGATTGGTTTAGGGCAGGACATGTGATCTAAGTGAGAGCCAAATTAGAGACCGCCCTGTGACTTTTCCAGCCTCCCAGAGAAGAGCAGGTGGAGTGTGGCCATCTTGACTTTCCATGCAAGAATTGATCTGAGAATGAAGCCAAAACAAAGGAAATCCAAGTGCTAGTGAGAGATTATGAAGGCAAAATTTGGGCACCTGGACCCAGCTATACTTGAATTCAGCTGTCCCTAGGAATTGAGTGATATGAGCCAATAAAACACCCTCCATGGCCAGGCACAGTGGCTCACGCCTGTAATCTCAGCACTTTGGGAGGCCAAGGTGGGCAGATCATTTGAGGTCAGGAGTTTGAAACCAGCCTGGCCAACATGGTGAAACCCCCATCTCTACTAAAAATACAAAAATTAGCCGGGTGTGGTGGCACGCGCCTGTAATCCCAGCACTTTGGGAGGCCAAGGCAGGAGGATCGCTTGAGGCCAGGGGTTTGAAACCAGCCTGAGCAACTTGGTGAAATCTCATATCTACAAAAAATACAAAAACTAGCCTGGCATGGTGGAGTGTACCTGTAGTCCCAGCTACTCAGGAGGCTGAGGTGGGAGGATCACTTGAGCCCAGGAGGTCGAGGATGCAGTGAGCCGAGATCACACTGTTGCATTGCAGCCTGGGCAACAGAGAAGATCTTGTCTCAAAAATAATAAATAAATAAATAAATAATAAAATACTTGAGGGGGAAAAAGTTTCTTAGAACCATGTGGAAATACTACTTCTTTTTTGTTTTGTTTTTATTTTGTGTTTGTTTGTTTTTGAGACAGAGTCTAGCTCTGTTGCCCAGGCTGGAGTGCAGTGGAGCAATCTCGGCTCACTGCAATGTCCGCCTTCCGGGTTCAAGCAATTCTCCTGCTTCAGCCTTCCAAGTAGCTGGGATTACAGGCATGCGCCACCATGCCCGGCTTATTTTTGTATTTTTAGTAGAGACGGGGTTTCACCATATTGGCCAGGCTGGTCTTGAACTCCTGACCTCGTGATCTACCTGTGTCGGCCTCCCAAAGTGCTGGGATTACAGGTGTGAGCCACCACACCCGGCCTTCGTTTTTAATTTTAAAATACACCAAGACCCGCAGTGGATACCTGAAACTGCAGATATACCAAATCATATATGTACTATGTTTTTTCCTGTACATGCAAACCTATGACAAAGTTTAATTTTAAAATTATGCACAAGAGGCTGGGCACAGTGGCTCACGCCTGTAATCCCAGCACTTTGGGAGGCTGAGGCTGGTGGATCACCTGAGGTCAGGAGTTCGAGATCAGCCTGGCCAACATGGCGAAACCCCGTCTTTACTAAAAATACAAAAATTAGCTGGGCGTGGTGGCACATGCCTGTAGTCCCACCTTCTCAGGAGGCTGAGGCAGGAGAATCCCTTGAATCTAGGAGGCAGAAGCTGCAGTGAGCCAAGATTGCACCACTGCACTCCAGCCTGGGCAACAGAGCGAGACTCCATCTCAAAAAAAAAAAAAAAGGCACAAAAAGAGATTTACAACAATTAATAAAATAGCACCCCTCCCCCTCCCCCTCCCTCTCCCCACCGTCTCCCTCTCCCTCTCTTTCCACAGTCTCCCTCTGATGCTGAGCCGAAGCTGGACTGTACTGCTGCCATCTCGGCTCACTGCAACCTCCCTGCCTGATTCTCCTGCCTCAGCCTGCCGAGTGCCTGCGATTGCAGGCGCGCGCCGCCACGCCTGACTGGTTTTCGTATTTTTTTGGTGGAGACAGGGTTTCGCTGTGTTGGCGGGGCTGGTCTCCAGCTCCTAACCGCGAGTGATCCGCCAGCCTCGGCCTCCCGAGGTGCCAGGATGGCAGACGGAGTCGCGTTCACTCAGTGCTCAATGGTGCCCAGGCTGGAGTGCAGTGGCGTGATCTCGGCTCGCTACAACCTCCACCTCCCAGCTGCCTGCCTTGGCCCCCCAAAGTGCCGAGATTGCAGCCTCTGCCCGGCCGCCACCCCGTCTGGGAAGTGAGGAGCGTCTCTGCCTGGCCGCCCATCGTCTGGGATGTGAGTAGCCTCTCTGTCTGGCTGCCCAGTCTGGAAAGTGAGGAGCGTCTCTGCCCGGCCGCCCATCGTCTGAGATGTGGGGAGCGCCTCTGCCCTGCCGCCCCGTCTGGGATGTGAGGAGCGTCTCTGCCCGGCCACCCCGTCTGAGAAGTGAGGAGACCCTCTGCCTGGCAACCGCCCCGTTTGAGAAGTGAGGAGCCCCTCCGCCCGGCAGCCACACCGTCTGAGAAGTGAGGAGCCCCTCCGCCCAGCAGCCACCCCGTCTGGGAAGTGAGGAGCCTCTCCGCCCGGCAGCCACCCCGTCCGGGAGGGAGGTGGGGGTCAGCCCCCCGCCCGGCCAGCCGCCCCCTCCGGAAGGGAGGTGGGGGGGTTAGCCCCGCGCCCGGCCAGCCGCCCCGTCCGGGAGGGAGGTGGGGGGGGTCAGCCCCCCGCCCGGCCAGCCGCCCCGTCCGGGAGGTGAGGGGCGCCTCTGCCCGGCCGCCCCTACTGGGAAGTGAGGAGCCCCTCTGCCCGGCCAGCCGCCCCATCCGGGAAGGAGGTGGGGGGGTCAGCCCCCCGCCCGGCCAGCCGCCCCGTCCGGGAGGTGAGGGGCGCCTCTGCCCGGCCGCCCCTACTGGGAAGAGAGGAGCCCCTCTGCCCGGCCAGCCGCCCCGTCCGGGAGGGAGGTGGGGGGGTCAGCCCCCCGCCCGGCCAGCCGCCCCGTCCGGGAGGGAGGTGGGAAGGTCAGCCCCCCGCCCGGCCAGCCGCCCCGTCCGGGAGGGAGGTGGGGGGTATCAGCCCCCCGCCCGGCCAGCCACCCCGTCCAGGAGGGAGGTGGGGGGGTCAGCCCCCCACCCGGCCAGCCGCCACGTCCGGGAGGTGAGGGGCGCCTCTGCCCGGCCGCCCCTACTGGGAAGTGAGGAGCCCCTCTGCCCGGCCAGCCGCCCTGTCCGGGAGGGAGGTGGGGGGGTCAGCCCCCCGCCCGGCCAGCCGCCACGTCCGGGAGGTGAGGGGCGCCTCTGCCCGGCCGCCCCTACTGGGAAGTGAGGAGCCCCTCTGCCCGGCCACCACCCCGTCTGGGAGGTGTACTCAACAGCTCATTGAGAACGGGCCATGATGACAATGGCGGCTTTGTGGAATAGAAAGGCGGGAAAGGTGGGGAAAAGATTGAGAAATCGGATGGTTGCCGTGTCTGTGTAGAAAGAGGTAGACATGGGAGACTTTTCATTTTGTTCTGTACTAAGAAAAATTCTTCTGCCTTGGGATCCTGTTGATCTGTGACCTTACCCCCAACCCTGTGCTCTCTGAAACATGTGCTGTGTCCACTCAGGGTTGAATGGATTAAGGGTGGTGCAAGATGTGCTTTGTTAAACAGATGCTTGAAGGCAGCATGCTCGTTAAGAGTCATCACCACTCCCTAATCTCAAGTACCCAGGGACACAAACACTGCGGAAGGCCGCAGGGTCCTTTACCTAGGAAAACCAGAGACCTTTGTTCACTTGTTTATCTGCTGACCTTCCCTCCACTATTGTCCTGTGACCCTGCCAAATCCCCCTCTGCGAGAAACACCCAAGAATGATCAATAAAATAAATAAATAAATAAATAAATAAAATAAAATAAAATAGCACAATTATAACAATATACTTATTGTATTCCTCCTACCTGTTTTCAGAACTCGATTGACCTTGGGTAACTAAAACTGTAGAAAGTGAAACTGTGAATAAAGTGGAACTACTGTATGTCTATGCATACAAAAAGGTCTGGAAATATAGACAGACACACACATCCCCACACCCTCACACACACACACACACACACACACACGGACACACACACTATTAGCAGTAATTATCCCTAAGGGAGTGGCAATGGGAGCCAAAGGAATCCACTGTTGTGTGTTTTTTGTGTTTTTTGTTTGTTTGTTTGTTTTGAGACAGAGTCTCTGTCACCCAGGCAGTGCAGTGGTACGATCTCAGCTCACTGCAACCTCCTCCTCCCGGATTCAAGTGATTCTCGTGCCTCAGCCTCCCGTGTAGCTGGGATTACAGGTATGAGCCATCACACCTGGCTACTTTTTTAATTTTTAGTAGAGACGGGTTTTCACCATGTTAGACAGGCTGGTCTCAAACTCCTGACCTCAAGTGATTTGCCCGCCTCGGCCTCCCAAAGTGCTGGGATTACAGGCATAGTCACTGCACCCAGCCCCAAAGGAATCCACTTTTAATCCTATACACATCTTTATGATTTGAATTTTTCTTTTCTTTTTTGTAGAGATGGGATCTTGCTGTGTTGTCCAGGCTTGTCTTGAACTCTAGGCCTCAAGTGATCCTCCCGCCTCGGCCTCCCAAAGTACTTGGATTACAGGCATGAGCCACCATGCCCAGCTTGAATTTTTCTAAAGAGCAATGAATTATTCATTCAACAAATATTTAAATAGGACCTGTCTTGACCAATCACTGTTCTAGGTTAAGGCCATAGCATTAAACAAAACGGACAAAATCCTTGCTTTCATGATGGGAGGGGGCATCAATATATTTTAAAAATGATATCTAGGTGGGGTGCAGTGGCTCACGCCTGTAATCCCAAAAATTTTGGAGACCGAGGCAGGCGGATCACTTGAGGTCAGGAGTTCGAGACCAGCCTGGCCAATATGGGAAAACCCCATCTCTACTAAAAATACAAAAAAATTAGGTGGGCATTCTGGCACATACCTGTAGTCCAGCTACTTGGGAGGCTGAGGCAGGAGAATCGCTTGGAGTCAGGAGGCGGAGGTTGCAGTGAGCCAAGATCATGCCAATGCACTCCAGCCTGGGTGACAGAGTGAGACTCCGTCTCAAAAATTAAAATAAAATAAAATGTTAAAAATTGATGAACCCAACTCTTGGCTTTTATCGTGCCTGCATCCGGGCAGCTGAGTATCACTAGAGAAAAGCACATAGCTGAGAAGACTGGGACCAAAGAAAATGGTGGTCCTCGATGTTATATGGAACCTGAATGTGGCTTGACAATCCTGGCTATGCTTCAGTGATTAACTCCCTACCTGCTCTTCAAAGTGACAACTTCTAACATCTCCCATTCTCCTTCCTTAAACTGTTTAAAAGAGTGATTGCTGGGGCCAGGCCCGGTGGCTCATGCCTGTAATCCGAGCACTTTCGGAGGCCGAGGTGGGTGGATCACGAGGTCAGGAGTTCGAAACCAGCCTGGCCAAGATGGTGAAACCCCATCTCTACTAAAAATACAAAAATTAGCCGGGTGCAGTGGTGGGCACCTGTAATCCCAGCTATTCAGGAGGCTGAGGCAGAAGAATCGCTTGAACCTGGGAGGCGGAGGTTGCAGTGAGCCAAGATCATACCACTGCGCTCTAGCCTGGGTGACAGAGCAAGACTCCTTCTCAAAAGGAGTGATTACAATTGTCATTAGGACTATTCTGTGTCTCTGCCTTCTGGGCACAAAGCAAGATGCTATTTCCCTTAAAGTTAGAATGGTCGGCCAGGCGTGGTGGCTCACGCCTGTAAGCCCAGCACTTTGGGAGGCTGAGGCAGGCAGATCACGAGGTCAGGAGATCAAGACCATCCTGGCTAACATGGTGAAACCTCATCTCTACTAAAAATACAAAAAAAAGGTAGCCGGGCGTGGTGGCGGGAGCCTGTAGTCCCAGCTACTTGGGAGGCTGAGGCAGGAGAATGGCATGAACCCGGGAGGCAGAGCTTGCAGTGAGCCGAGATTGCACCACTGCACTCCAGCCTGGGCGACAGAGCGAAAAAAAAAAAAAAAAAAGTTAGAATGGCTACGCAACTTCATTTGGTCAACGAAAGTTGGACAGAAGTGATGTGTGTTACTTCCAGGTCAATGCTTTTTTAAAAAAAATCAGTAGTTTTGGGGGTGCAAGTGGTTTTTGGTTACATGGATGATTTATATAGTGGTGAAGTCTGAGATTTTAGTGGACCCCTCAACTGAATAGTGTACACTGTACCCAACACATAGTTTTTTATCCTTCACCCCGTACCCACCCATTCTGCTTCTTAGTCTCCAAAATCCATTATATAATTTTTTTTTCTTTTTTTCAGACGGAGTCTCGCTCTGTTGCCCAGGCTGGAGTGCACCGGTGCGATCTTGGCTCACTGCAACCTCTACCTCCTGGGTTCAAGCAATTCTCCTGCCTCAGCCTACCAAGTAGCTGGGATTACAGGTGCCCGCCAACACACCCGGCTAATTTGTCTTCATTTCTTCATCTCCTACTTTATAACGCCCTCCACGCTGGTGCCACCCCACTAACTCCATTCAAACTACTCTTCCTTAGGCTGTGGCATACCTGTTTTAGTCCTTACCTAATAGGACCTCTCAGCAGCATAGAGCAGTTACCCATTTTTCTCTTTACAAAAACACTCTCGGCCAGGCACAGTGGCTCGTGCCTGTAATCCCAGCACTTTGGGAGGCCGAGGTGGGCAGATCACCTGAGGTCGGGAGTTCAAGACCAGCCTGACCAACATGGAGAAACCCCATCTCTACTAAAAATGCAAAATTAGTCAGGCGTGGTGGCGCATGCCTGTAATCCCAGCTACTAGGGAGGCTGAGGCAGGAGAATCGCTTGAACCTGGGAGGCGGAGGTTTGCAGTGAGTTGAGATCGCACCATTGCACTCCAGCCTGGGCAACAAGAGCGAAATTCCGTCTCAAAAAAAACAAACAACAACAACAACAAAAAAAACCCACACTCTCTTCCCAGCTTCTAGGATACTGTACTTTGTTTTTTGTTTTTTGTTTTTGTTTTGAGACGGAGTCTCACTCTGTCACCCAGGCTGGAGTGCAGTGGCATGCTTTTGCCTCACTGTAACCTCCACCTCCCAGGTTCAAGCAATTCTCCTGCCTCACCCTCCTGAGTAGATGGGATTACAGGTGTGTGCCACCACGCCTGGCTAATTTTTGTATTTTTAGTAGAGACAGGGATTCGCCATATTGGCCAGGCTGGTCTCGAACTTCTGACCTCGTGATCCGCCCGCCTCGGCCTCCCAAAGTGCTGGGATTACAGGCGTGAGCCACCGCGCCTGGCCAGGATACTGTACTTTCTTGGTTTCCTTCTCACAACCTCTCTGACTACTTCTTCTCAGTCTCCTTGGCTCAACCCAACTATGAAATGTTCCTCAGTTTTTTGTCCTAGGCCTGTTTCTATCCTCACTCCCTGACACTCCCATGGCCTTAATTACCACCCATATTTTAGCAGGTCCCAATTAATATCTCCAGCTCAGATAGAAATTCTAGTCCTATATATTGAATTGCATACCAGGACTTTCTCCACTAGGTTGTCAACTAGTCCAAAACTGATCTCATTATCTTTCCCCTTAGTTCTGTTTCTCCTCCTGGGTTTTTTAAATAAATACTGGTGCCATCCACCAAACCTCTTAAACCAGAAATAGGAGAGTCTTCCTTGATTCTTTACTCTTGCACTCTATACCCTAAAGCAGGAGTCCCCAACCCCCGGGCCACAGACTGTGGCCTGTTAGGAACAGGGCCACACAGCAGGAGGTGAGTGGCTGGCCTGCATTCCCGCCTGAGCTCCGCCTCCTGTCAGATCAGCGGCGACATTAGATTCTCATAGGAGCAGAAAGCCTACTGTGACTGCGCATGCAAGGAATCTAGGTTGCATGCTCCTTCTGAGAATCTAAATAATGCCTGAAGATCCGAGGTGGAACAGTTCCATTCCAAAACCACCCCCCATCGCTTCTCGGCCTTTTGGCTAAAATCAAGTGTAAAGCCACCTCCCACCCCACCATCTGTGGAAAAACTGTCTTCCACAAAACCGGTCCCTAGTGCCAAAAAGGTTGGAGACCACTGTTCTAAAGGTAATCAGTAAGTTTTTTTTTTTTTTTTAGACAGAGTCTCGCTCTGTTGCCCAGGCTGGAGTGCAATGACACGATCTCTGCTCACTGCAACCTCCACCTCCTGGGTTCAAGCAATTCTCCTGCCTCAGCCTCCCAAGTAGCTGGGACTACAGGCTCATGCCACCACACCCGGCTAACTTTTTGTATTTTTATAGAGTAGCGGGTTTCATCATGTTGGCGAGACTGGTCTCGAACTCCTGACCTCAAGTGATCTGCCTGCCTCGGCCTCCCAAAGTGCTGGGATTACAGGTGTGAGCCACTGCGCCTGGTCACAATCACTAAGTTCTATTTTTCCTACCTCCCAAATATCTAGTTTGTTCACATCTCCTTATCTTCACCACCATGAATCTAATTCAGGATGCCAGTTTCACTCACCTGGACAGCTGCTCCGATCTCTTAACTGGTTTCCCTGCATCTGTGCGTGTGTTCTTCCAGTCAGATCTTCATACTGCAACCAGAGAGAGACCTTTGCAAATACAGGAACAAATAGGAAACAAATAGAATATGGTAAATTAAACCCAACTCTATTAGTATTTACATGAAATTTAAAGGGGCTAAATCCTCTAATTAAAAGAAAAAAGATGTCAGACTGCATTAAATAATCCAATTATGTGCTGTTTACAAGAGCCACATCTTCAATATAAGGATGCAGAAAGGTTAAAATTAAAGGGTGAGGCCTGGGTGTGGTGGCTCATGCCCGTAATCCCAGCACTGTGGGAGGCCAAGGCAGGCAGATCGCTTTGAGCTCAGGAGTTGAAGACCAACCTGGGCAACATGGCAAAACCCCATCTCTACAAAAAAATTAAAATAAATAAATAAATACTACAATTAAAGGATGAAAAAAGATATAATGCAAGCGCTAACCAAAATAAAGTTGTAGCTATATTAGTATCAGACAGAGTAATCTTTAGGGCAAGAAGCATTACTAAAAACAAAGAAGGAACTGGGCAGGGTGGCTCATGCCTGTAATCCCAGCATTTTGGGAGGCCAAGACAGGTGGATTGCCTGAGCTCAGGAGTTCGTGACCAGCCTGGGCAACATGGTGAAACCCCGTCTCTACTAAAACTACAAAAAAATTAGCCAGGTGTGGTGGTGCACGCCTGTAATCCCAGCTGCTTGGGAGACTGAGGCACGAGAATCACTTGAACCCAGGAGGTGGAGGTTGCAGTGAGCCGAGATGGTGCTGTTGCACTCCAGCCTGGGTGACAGAGTGAGGCTCTGTCTAAAAAAACAAACAACCAAAAAAAGAAAAACAAAAAAGAGGGACATTTCACGATAATAAAAGGGTCAATTCAACAGGAAGACATAACAGTTCTAAATACTCATCTGATAATATAACCTCAAAATACATAAAGCAAAAATGGACAGAATTAATGAACAGGCCAGGCATGTTGGCTCATGCCTGTAATCCCAGTGCTTTGAGAGGTCAAGGTGCCAGGATCTCTTGAGATCAGGAGTTCAAGACCAGCCCAAGCAACATAGTGAGAACCTCATCTCTACAAAAAACTAAAAATAAAAATAGGTAGGCGTGATGGCATGCACTTGTAATCCCAGCTACGCAAGAGGCTGAGGTGGGAGGATCCTTGGAGCCCAGAATTCAAAGCTGCAGTGAGCCATGATCATGCCACTGCTTTCCAGCCTGGGTGACAGAGCGAGAACCTAACTCAAAAAAAAAAAAAAAAAAAAAAAAAAAAATTAAAGAAGAAATAGGCAAATCCCCAAAATTCCCAATCATAGTTGGAGATTTTTGACACAGCTCTCCCAGTAACTGATAGACAAGTCGATTTTTTAAAAGTCAGTAGAGGATTTGAACAATGTAATTAAACAAATTTCCCTAACTGACATTTATAGGATATTATTTTAAAAACCAGGAGGAAACCAACAACTACAGAAGGCACATGCTTCTCAAGTACCAATTTTGACACTTAACAAAATTGACCATATGCTGGGCCATAAAGCAAGTGTTAACGAATTTCCAGTTCCTGAAATCATGCATAGTATGTTCTCTGGACTCAGTGAAGTTGAGCTAGAAGTCAATAACTAAAAGATAACTAGAGAATTCTCCCCAAATATTCAAAAATTAATTAATAAGCCTCTAAATAGGCCATGGGGGTCAAAGAAGAAACCACCATGGAAGTTATAAAGTATTTTGAACTGAATGATAATGGGATATTGCCCAAAACATGTTTAAGGAGAAATGTATAGACTTAAAGTCATAGAAGAACAAAAATTAATGATTTAAGAATCCATTAAAAGAAATTTTTAGAAGAAGAGCATTTAACACTCCCCTTCCCCCAAAAGTAGAAGGAACAAAATGTTAAAGATAAGAGAAGAAATCAATAAAATAGGAAACAAATATAGAATGGAGAAAGTCAACAAAGACAAATACTGGTTCTTTGGAAAGATCTCTAAAATTACTAAAGACCTCTAAAAGTAATAAAGAGCAGGAAAGATTAAGGTAAAAAGAGAAGGAGGGAAGGAGATCACAAGTAACAAATATTAGAAATATAAGGCCAGGCACGGTGACTCACGCCTGTAATCCCAGCACTTTGGGAAGCCGAGGAGTGGATCACCTGAGGTCAGGAGTTCAAGACCAGCCTGGCCAACATGGTGAAACCCCATCTCTATTAAAAATGCAAAAAATTAGCTGTGTGTGGTGGCAGGCACCTGTAGTCTCAGCTACTGGGGAAGCTGAGGCAGGAGAATTGCTTGAACCCAGGAGGTGGAGGTTGCAGTGAGCCAAGATCGCGCCATTGCACTCCATCCAGCCTGGATGACAGAGAGAGACTCTGTCTCACAAAAAAAAAAAAAAAAAAAAAAAAAAAACAAAGAAAGAAAAGAAAAGAAAGAGAGAAAGAAAGAAAGAAAGAAAAAGAAAATAAATAAGAAATAAAAAAGGAAACATTACTATAGACCCTACAGATGTTAAAAAGATAATAGCAGGATATTATAAACAACTTTACATCGACATTTGAAAATTGAGATAATATGGGCAAATTCCTTAAGAGAAAACACAAAGTGTCATAAGAATATTTAAAAATTTTATAAGAATTTTCTGATTTTTGAGATCACAATACACCTATATCTGTTAAAGAAGTTGAAGGTCGGGCGAGGTGGCTCACTCCTGTAATCCCAGCACTTTGGGAGGCCAAGGCGGCTGGATCACAAAGTCAGGAGTTCAAGACCAATCTGGCCAACATGGTGAAACCCCATCTCTACTAAAAATACAAAAATTAGCCAGGCGTGGTGTCAGGTGCCTGTAATCTCAGCTACACAGGAGGCTGAGGCAGAGAATTGCTTGAACCGAGGAGGCAGAGGCTGCAGTGAGCTGAGATCGCATCACTGCACTCCAGCCTGGACAACAAAGCGAGACTCCGTCTCAGAAAAAAAAAAAAAAAAAAAAAGTTGAATTAATTTAAAATCTTCCTGGCCGGGCAAGGTGGCTCATGTCTGTAATCCCAGCACTTTGGGAGGCCGAGGTGGGCGGATTACCTGAGGTCAGGAGTTGGAGACCGGCCTGGCCAACATGGTGAAACCCTGTCTCTACTAAAAATACAAAAATTAGCTGGGCATGGTGGCACACACCCGTAATCTCAGCTACTCAGGAGGCTGAGGCAGGAGAATTGCTTGAGCGCGGGAGGCAAAGGTTGCAGTGAGCCGAGATCATGCCACTGTACTCCAGCCTGGCCAACAGTGAGACTCTGTCTCAAAAAAAAAATAAAAATAAAAATAAATAAATAAAATAAAATAAAATAAAATCTTCCCCTAGAGAAAACTTCAAGCTCGGGCAGGTTCACTGAGGCAATTCTTCCAAACATTTAAGGAAGAAATAATACCATCTTATACAAACTCAGAGGACAGAGTAAAAAGGAACACTTCCCAATTCATTTTATGAGACTTGCATAACTGTAATACCAAAAGCTGACAAGGATAGTACAAAGAAAGGAAAGTCACAGGCCAGGATCTCTCATAAATGTATATACAAAATCCTACACAAAATATAGCAAACGAGGCTGGGCACAGTGGCTCAGGTCTGTAATCACAGCACTTTAGGAGGCTGAGGCGGATGGATTGCTTGAGGTCAGGAGTTCGAGACCAGCCTGGCCAACATGGTGAAAACCCATCTCTTCTAAAATATAAAAATTAGCTGGGTGTGGTGGTGGGCACCTGTAATCCCAGCTACTAGGGAGGCCGAAGCAGGAGAATTCCTTCAACCCAGGAGGTGGAGGTTGCAGTGAGCCAAGATCACGCCACTGTACTCCAGCCTGGGCAACAGAGCAAGATTCCGTCTCAAAAAAAAAAAAAAAAAAAAAAAGACAACAACAAAGCCAGGCGCGGTGGCTCATGCCTGTAATCCCAGCACTTTAGGAGGCCGAGGAGGGCGGATCACCTGAGATCGGGAATTTGAGACCAGCCTGACCAATATGGAGAAACCCCATCTCTACTGAAAATACAAAATTAACTGGATGTGGTGGCGCATGCCTGTAATCCCAGCTACTAGGGAGGCTGAAGTAGGAGAATCGCTTGAACCCGGGAGGCAGAAGTTGCAGTGAGCCGAGATCGTGCCATTGCACTCTAGCCTGGGCAACAAGAGCGAAAACTCCATCTAAAAAAAAAGAAAATATATATATATCTCAAACCAAATTGAGTAATACATTTATTTTTAACCTTTTATTTTGAAGTTTTTAAAATTGTTATTATTATTTTGGAGGCAGGGTCTCACTGTATTACTCAGGCTGGAATGCAATGGTGCGATCACCCCTCACTGCAGCCTCGACCTCCTGGGCTCAGGTAATCCTCCCACTTCAGCTTCCCAAGTAGCTGGGACTATACAAGTATGTCATCACCCCATCTGGCTAATTTTTTATTTTTTAGAGAGACAGTGTCTCTCTATGTTGCCCAGGCTTGTCTCAAACTCCTGGGCTCAAGCAATCCTCCAATCTTGGCTAATTTTTGTATTTTTTGCAGAGACTAGGTCTCACTATGTTGTCCAGGGTGGTCTCGAACTCCTGAGCTCAAGTGATCCACCCACCTTGACCTCTCAAAGTGCTGGGATTACAGGTGTGAGCCACTGTGCCCAGCCAGTATACATTTTTTAAAAAGATAACTCAGAATAATGACCAAATGCAGTTTTGTCCAGTAAGGCAAAGTAAGTTTAATATACCAAAAAATGTAATTAATCATATTAACAAAATAAAGTAAAAAATCTAGACAACCACTTCAATAGATGCAGAAAAAGCATTTGGCAAAATTTAGTCATTATTCATGATTTTTGAAAACTAGAATAAAAAGCACTTTCCTCAATTTGATAGAAGTTATCTCAGAAAAAAAATACCCACAATTGACCTCATATTTAATGGTACAATATTGAGAACTTTGCTGCTAATACTGGAAACAAATAAATAAGAATGTCTATTCTCATTTCTTCTATTCAACATTATCCTAGCTAGCTCAATAAAGAAATAAAACAACTTACGAGCATAAAGACTGAAAAAGAAGTAAGTCCGTCTTTGTACAACAAGGTTATATACATAGAAAATCCTGAAGAATCTGCAAAAACTATTATATTATAGTCAGTGAGTGAAATTAGCATCAATATTGTCAACATACCAAAAAGTCAATTGCATGTCTACCAGCAACAAATAGTTGAAAAATCAAATTTTAGAAACACCATAGGCAATAATATATTAAAAAAACACTAATAATTTTATGAAAGATATGCAAGACCTCTATTATAAAAATACAAAAATGTTGCTTGAAGAAATAAAAGACAACTGAAATACATAGAGAGATGCATCATGTTCATAGAATAGACTCGATATTGTTAAGATGTCATGTCTCTCCACGTTGATCTATAGATTCAATGCCATCACAATCAAAATGTCAGCAGGTTTTTAAAATAGAAATGGACAAGCTGATTCCATCATTTATATGGAAATACAAAAGACCTAGAATAGACAAAACAATTTTGAAAAAGAAGAACAAACTTGAAAAACTTACACTATTGGATTTTAAGACTTACTACAAAGCTATAATAATCAAGATAACATAGGCTGGGCATGGTGGCTCACGCCTGTAATCCCAGCACTTTGGGAGTCCAGGGTGGGCGGATTACGAGGTCAGGAGATGAAGGCCGTCCTGGCTAACACGGTGAAACCCCTCTCTACTAAAAATACAAAAAATTAGCGGGGTGCGGTGGCGGACGCCTGTAGTTCCAGCTACTCAGGAGGCTGAGGCAGGAGAATGGCGTGAACCCAGGAGGCGGAGCTTGCAGTGAGCCGAGATCGCACCACTGCACTCCAGCCTGGGCAACAGAGCGAGACTCTGTCTCAAAAAAAAAAAAAAAAAAAAAAAAAAAAGATAACATAGTATTGGTATAGGAGAGACAAATAGATTAGTGGAAAAGCGTGTTCATAAACAAACCCACATATATAATAATTCATTTTTGACAAAAGAGTCAAGGTACTTCAGTGGGGAAATGAAAGTGCCGTCAAGGGGAGAGACTTCAACTCTCACCTTACACCATTTGCAAAGATTAATTCAAGTTAGATCATGGACCTAAATGTAAAAAGCTGAAACTATAAATCTCCTGGAAGAAAACATAAGATTTTGCAGCCTTGGAGT
Source organism: Homo sapiens (assembly GCF_000001405.40). Classification (NCBI taxonomy): domain Eukaryota; kingdom Metazoa; phylum Chordata; class Mammalia; order Primates; family Hominidae; genus Homo; species Homo sapiens. The sequence goes on from NC_000017.11 coordinate 38,643,185, forward strand.
AGGCAAAGATTTCTTAGGACAAAAATGTAACCATAAAGGAAAAAAAATGATCAATTGGACTTCCTTAAAATTAAAAATTCCATTCATCAAATAATACCTTTATAAAATGAAAAGGTAAGACACCGAATGAGAGAAAATAATCACCTCATATATGTGATACAGACTTATATACAGAAGAAATGAATAACTTCCACAACTCAATAATAAACAAACAATCCAATTTTTTAAAAAGGCAAAAGACTTGGCAGAGTGCAGTGGCTCATGCCTGTAATCCCAGCACTTTGTGAAGCCGAGGTGGGAGGATTGCTTGAGCCCAGGAGTTCGAGACCAGCCTGGGCAACATGGCAGAACCCCATCTCTACGAAAAATACAAAAATTAGCCAGGTGTGGTGGTGCAAGCCTGTGGTCCCAGCTACTTGGGAGGCTAAGATGGGAGGATCTCTGGGGCCCAGGGGTGAAGGCTGCATTAAGCCATGATTGTGCCACTGCACTCTGGCTTTGGTGACAGAGCAAGAAGACCCTGTCTCAAAAAAAATTAATTAATTTTAAAAAAGACTTGAAGAAACATTTCACAAAAGAAGATATTTGAGGCCGGGCACAGTGGCTCACGCCTGTAATCCCAGCACTTTGGGAGGCCGAGGCAGGCAGATCACTTGAGGTCAGGAGTTCAAGACCAGCCTGGACAACATGGTGAAACCCAGTCTCTACTAAACTACAAAAATTAGCTGGGCATGGTGGCACGTGCCTGCTCAGGAGGCTGAGGCAGGAGAATCGCTTGAACCTGGGAGGCGGAGGTTGCAGTGAGCCGAGATCGCGCCACTGCATTCCAGCCTGGGTGACAGAGCAAGACTCCGTCTCAAAAAATAATATATATTATTATATAACAATAATAATAATAACTAAAACAACAACAGGCTCATCAGAATGGTTAAAATTAAAGTCTGAAAATACTACTACATGTTGAGAAGATGTGGACAACCAGAACTCACTGACATGGATTATAAAATAGTACAACCTACAACCACTTTGAAAAACAGTTTGGCAATGAAGATGCACCTACCCTATGACTCAACAATTCCACTCTTAGGTTTTACCCAAGAGAAATGAAAACACAAGTCCACACAAAGACTTGTATAAGAATGTTTTTGGGGTTTTTATTGTTGCTGTTTTTTTTTGTTTGTTTGTTTTTTGAGTCGGAGTCTTGCTCTGTCGCCAAGGCTGGAGTGCAGTGGTGCGATCTCGGCTCACTGCAGCCTCCTCCTCCTGGGTTCAAGCCATTCTCTCGCCTCAACCTCCCAAGTAACTGGGATTCCCAGTGCAGACCACCCCACCCGGCAAATTTTTGTATTTTTAGTAGAGATGGGTTTCACCATGCTGGCCAGGCTGGTCTCGAACTCCTTACCTCAGGTGATCCGCCCTCTTTGGCATCCCAAAGTGTTGGGATTACAGGCATGAGCCACCACCCCTGGACAAGAGTGTTTATAGCATTTATATTCATAATAAGCTCAAACTGGAAACAACCCAAATGTCCATCAACATGTGATTGAATAAATAAGTTGTAATATATTCATGGGAAACCACTCACCAATAAAAAAGGAACTAACTACAGGTGCATGCAAGAACATAATAAATTGCAAAAGTCTTATGATTAGTTTTTTAAAAAAGCCAGACACAAAAGAGTACATATTGAATAATTTCATTTATATGAAGTTCTAGAATAGGGAAAAATTAATCTATGGAATAGAAATAAGAAGAGTGGTTGCCTCTGGAGATTTCCTGGAAAGAGGCATGAGGGAATTTACTGGGATGATGAAAACGTTTGATACATTAGTTGGGGTAGCGGGTTTGTAAAAGCCATTTACTGGAAAATCTGTACATTTTACTGTATGTAAATTACACATCAATAAAAAATTGAATCGTGTAAGTAGCACATCAAGTATATATCAATTATATATATCTATACATATAAACAATTGTTTAAGAAAAATTATAGTTAGCACCATACTTAATAATAAAATACTGAATGTTCTCTGAGTTTGGGAATAAGACAAGAAAGTCCACTTTCACCACTTTTATTCAACATCACATTGGTTTTAACTAGTGCAATTAGGCAAGAAAAGGATATGAAGACTGGAAAGGAAAAAGCAAAACTATAATTATTTAAACAACATGATTTTGTATATAGAAAATCCGGCTGGGCGCGGTGGCTCATGCTTGTAATCCCAGCATTTGGGAGGCTGAGGCAGGTGGATCACCTGAGGTCAGGAGATCGAGACCATCCTGGCTAACACGGTAAAACCTCGTCTCTACTGAAAATACAAAAAATTAGCGGGGCATGGTGGCGGGCGCCTGTAGTCCCAGCTACTCAGGAGGCTGAGGCAGGAGAATGGCGTGAACACAGGAGGCAGAGCTTGCAGTGAGCTGAGATGGCACCACTGCACTACAGCCTGGGCAACAGAGCGAGACCCCGTCTCAAAATAAAAAAGAAAGAAAATCCAATAGAATCTGCAGATAAACTATTAGAAATAATAAGTGGTTAGTGGCCGGGCGCGGTGGCTCATGCCTCTAATCCCAGCACTTTGGGAGGCCAAGGCGGGAGGATCACCTAAGGTCAGGAGTTCGAGACCAGCCTGCCAACGTGGTGAAACCCCATCTCTACTGAAAATACAAAAATTACCCAGGCGTGATGGCACGCACCTGTAATCCCAGCTACTTGAGAGACTGAGGCAGGAGAATTGCTTGAACCCAGGAGACGGAGGTTGCAGTGAGCCGAGATTGGAGATCCACTGTGCTCCAGCCTGGATGACAGAGCGGGCTCCATCTCAAAATGAAAATAAAAATAAGTAGTTTGCACAAGAATGGGCAAATAGACTACCACTGGTACAGAATAGAATGCAGAAACAGACCTACAGATACATCGTCACCTAATTTACATCAAAGACCCAACTGCAATTCAGTGGGGAAATGATCTTTCCAATAAATAGTGTTAGAGTAATTGGCTAGCCACATAGAAAAAATTGAGTCTTGGCTCTCCCATTTCGAGCCTACACTCAGATTAATTTGAGATGTATAATAGACTTCAGTGCGAAAGATAAAAACAATAAACCTTCTAGAAAAATTATGGAAGGATATTCTTATGGCCTTGGGGTAGGCAAAGATTTCTTGATCAGGACACAATAAGCATTAATGATATATTTGACTTCATTAAAATAAACAAGCTCTGTTCATCAAAAGATACCATAAAGATGAAAAATCAAACCACAGAATACATAACTCCTATTAACTAATTTTAAAAAGTAAAACAATCTAATTTTAGATTGTTTAAATTGTTTAGATTTAAACAATCTAGATTTAATTTTAATCTAGATTTAGATTCAAATAGGCAAAACTGTTGAACGCATTTCACAAAAGAGATATCCAAATACCCAACAAATATGTAAGTACTCAAATCACCAGGCATCAGGAAAATGCAAATTACAGCTGCAATGAGATACCTATTCTGCACATCGACAAGTATGGCTAAAATTTGAAAAACTGAAAATTTATGGTGCGAGTGTAAATTGGTATCATTCTTCTGGAAAACTCTTTGACAACTTCTGTGAAAGATAAAAATAAGCTTACCTTATTATCTAGCAACTCTAAGGTAAGTACACAAGAAACATAAACGTGTATTTCCAGCAAAAATCATGTATAGCCAAAAACTAGAACAAACCTGAAGTCCATCAATAGTACAATAGATAAGTAAATTGTGTTATAGTCACACAACAGAATTCCATACAGCATTGAAAATGGTCCAGGCACAGTGGCTCATGCCTGCAATCCCAGCACTTTAGGAGGCAGAGGCGGGAGGTTTGCTTGAGCCCAGGAGTTGGAGACAAGCCTGGACAATATAGTGTGAAGCCATCACTACCAAAAAAAATAAAATAAAATTGACTGGGCATGGGTGGCACATGCCTATGGTTCCAGCTACTCTGGAGGCTGAGGTGGGGCAATCACTTGAGTCCAGGAGTTCGAGAGCAGCCTGGGCAACATGACAAAACTGCAACATGGTCTGTACCTAAAAAAAAATACATAAATTAGCTAGTCCCAGCTACTCAGGCAGCTGAGGTGGGAGGATTGCTTGAGCATGGGAGGTTGAGCCTGCAGTGAGCTGCCATCACCACTGCACTCCAACCTGGGCAACAGAGTGAGACCTTGTCTCAAAATAATAATAATACATTCAACAATATGGATGAATCTTACAGACATAATTGTTGAGTGAAAGAAACCAGATATAAAAGAGTATGTACTATATAATAATTCCATTTCTATGAAGTTCAATAACAGGCAAAAAAAAAAAAGAAAGAAAACCCACAAACAAGAAAAACAAAACTATAGTGGGCCAGGTGCAGTGGCTCACACCTGTAATCCCAGCACGTTGGAGGCTGAGGCCAGCCTGGCCAACATGGTGAAATCTCGTCCCTACTAAAAATACAGAACTTGGCCAGGCATGGTGGCACGTGCCTGTAATTCCAGTTACTTGGGAGGCTAAGGCAGGAGAATCACCTGAACCCAGGAGGTAGAGATTGCAGTGAGCCAAGATCATGACACTGCACTCCAGCCTGGGCTACAGAGCGAGACATAACAACAAAACCCTATGTTAATAGAAGACAGAAACAGTCACCTGTAGGGACAGGTTTGGGATGGGGGTGCCTTCTGGAGATGGAAAATGTTCTGTGCTGGGTGGGGTGTCTCACGCCTATGATCCCAGCATTTTGTGAGGCCGAGGCTGGTGGATAACTTGAGCCTAGGAGTTCGAGACAAGCCTGGCCAACATGGCAATACCCCATCTCTACTAAAAATACAAACATTAGGTCAGGTACACTCACGCCTGTAATCCCAACACTTTGGGAGGCTGAGGTGAGAGAATCAACTGAGGTTAGGAGTTCAAGACCAGCCTGGCCAACATCGCAAAACCCCATCTCTACTAAAAATACAAAAAATTAGCTGGGTGTGGTGGTGCACACCTGTAATCCCAGCTACTCAGGAGGCTGAGGCAGGAGAATTGCTTGAACCCAGGAGGCAGAGGTTGCAATGAGCCAAGATCACGCCACTGCACTCCAGCCTGGGTGACAGAGCAAGACCCTGTCTCAAAAAAGAAGAAAAAAAATGTTCTGCATTGTGAATCTGGGAATGGTTATATCATATACCTATGGGAAAATTTATTAAGCTATTACATAAGATTTGTGTCCTTTGCTTATGCATGTTATACCTAAACAAGATAAGAGTCCTTTAAATTCATTTTGGCATGGCCTATCCTCTATTAACATAGCCACTCCAGCATTCCTTTTTTTTTTTTTTTGAGACAGAGTTTCACTCTTGTTGCCCAGGCTGGAGTGCAACGGCCTGATCTCAGCTCACTGCAACCTCCACCTCCCGAGTTCAAGCGATTCTCCTGCCTCTGCCTCCTGAGTAACTGGGATTACAGGCATGTGCCACCATGCCCGGCTAATTTTGTATTTTTAGTAGAGACGGGGTTTCTCCATGTTAGTCAGACTGGTCTCGAACTCCCGACCTCAGGTCATCCACCTGCCTTGGCCTCCCAAAGTGCTGGGATTACAGGCGTGAGCCATCGCGGCCCGGCCTCCAGCATTCTTTTGATTAATGTTAGTATATTCTTGTACTTTCTACCTATTTGTGCCTTTTTTCTTTTTTTTTCTTTCTTTCTTTCTTTTTTTTTTTTTTTGAGCTAGGGTCTCACGCCCATCACCCAAGCTAGAGTTCAGTGGAATGATCTTGGCTCACTGCAACCTCAAATTCCAATACTCAGTTTCCTGAGTAGCTGGCACTATCAGAACATGCCACCACTCCCGGCTGATTTTTTTGTATTTTTAGTAGAGATGGGTTTTCACCATGTTGCCCAGGCTGGTCTTGAACTCCTGGGCTCAAGCAATCTGCCTGCCTCAGCCTCCCAAACTACTGGGATTTCAGGCATGAGACACCGTGCCCGGCCTTGTGTCTTTATTTTTAAAGCGGGTCTCTTGTAGATAGCATATAGATGGGTGTTGCTTTTTCATCTGCCTTTTAATTGGGTTGTTTAGTTTATGTATATCTATTTTAATTGTTGATCTGATTGAGTTTAAATCTACCATCTTGGTTGCACAACTGTATAAATTTATTCAGTATCATTAAACTGTTTATTTAAAATCCACCATCTTGCTGTTTTTTTGTTTGGTTTTGTTTTGTTTTTCGAGACAGAGTCTTGCTGTGTCACCCAGGCTGGAGTGCAGTGGCACGATCTCTGCTCTCTACAAACTCCGCCTTCAGGGTTCAAGTGACTCTCGCGCCTCAGCCTCCCGAGTAGCTGGGATTATAGGCGCCTACCACCATGCCCAGCTAATTTTTGTATTTTTAATAGACACAGGGTTTCACCGTGTTGGCCAGGCTGATTTCAAACTCCTGACCTCAGGTGATCTGCCCACTGTGACCTCCCAGAGTGCTGGGATTACAGGTGTGAGCGACCGTAGCTGGCTGTTTTTTTTTTTTTTTTTTTTTTTTGAGACACAGTTTCACTCTGTCCCCTAGGCTGGAGTACAGTGGCTCGATCTCAGCTCACTGCTACCTCTGCCTCCTGGGTTCAAGTGATCCTCCTTCCTCAGCCTCCTGAGTAGTTGGAATTACAGGCATGCGCCACCATGCCTGGCTAATTTTTGTATTTTTAGTAGAGATGGGGTTTCGCCATATTTGCCAGGCTGGTCTTGAACTCCTAAGCTCAAGTGATCCACCTGCCTCAGCCCCCCCAAGTGCTGGGATTACAGGTGTGAACCACTGTGCCTTGCCTAGATTGATTGATTGATTGATTGATTATTTATTTATTTTGAGACGGAGTCTTGCTGTGTTGCCCAGGCTAGAGTGCAGTGGCGTGGTCTCAGCTCACTGCAACCTCTGCCTCCCGGGTTCAAGTGATTCTCCTGCCTCAGCCTCCTGAGCAGCTGGAATTACAGGTGCCTGCCACCATGCCGGGCTAATTTTTTGTGTTTTTAGTCGAGATGGGGTTTCATCAACATGATGGTCTCAAATTCCTGACCTTGTGATCCGCCCACCTCGGCCCCATGAAGTGCTGGAATTACAGGTGTGAGCCACCATGTGTGGCCTAGATTTATTTTCTAATAACAATTCTTGAGTTTTGTTCTGGGATGAAGCGAAGCTACTTCACAAAAGTTTGGTCCCTTTGAGGCTAATTTTTAAGCTTTGTTAGGCGGGACTAGAACAGACTTTAGTCTAGGGCTAATTTTGCCCCATTACTGAGTCAATACCCTTCTGAGTACTATCTGATGCCCTGTTAGTTATAATGTTTTGTCTCTCTGCTAGCAGGACCATAACCAATTCCCAGCCTTGTGTGAGTCTCGGAATCATTCTCTCTCCTCCGTTGGATGGTCTTGACCTGGCCTCAGGTGGTTTCCTCACACACATGCACTGATTAGTACTCGGCTGAAGACTCAAGTGGGATCCCCTGCAAATTTTCAGGATTCTCTTCCTCTGTCTGGCACTTTTTTTTTTTTTTTTAAGACAGGGTTTCACTCTTGTTGCCCAGGCTGGAGTGCAATGGCACGATCTCGGCTCACCAAAACCTCCACCTCCCAGGTTCAAGCGACTCTCCTGCCTCAGCCTCTCGAGTAGCTGGGATTACAGGCAACTGCCACCATGCCCGGCTAATTTTTTGTAGTTTTAGTAGAGACGGGGTTTCACCACATAGGCCAGGTTGTTCTCGAACTCCTGACCTCAGGTGATCCACCCGCCTCGGCCTCCCAAAGTCTGGGATTGCAGGTGTGAGCCACCGCGCCTAGCCCTCTGTGCAGAACTCTTTTCTAATACCTTACCCAGTGAACTTCTGGGCCTCTCTTGTCTCCCAACTTAACCTCCTCAACTCAGGTAGACCATCAGACTCTGACTGACTTACTCTGCTCTGTACTGTGGCTGGAAACTCACTCCAGGTAATAGGTTTGAAAAATTGTAGGAGCTTTGTTTCTCTTCTGTCAGGGATCACTGGGCTGTGCTGCCTGATGTCCAGTATCTGAACCCCATTGTTCTGAATATTCTGTCTGGTTTTTTTAGTTGTTTCTAGTGGGAAGATAAATCAATTACCTGTTACTCCATCTTACACAGAAGCAGAAGCTCAGCTCATTCATTTTGGAGATTCATGTCCTACAATTCTGTGAATCTTTTTTTTTTTTTTTTTTTTTTTTTTTTAGACAGAGTCATGCTCTGCTGCCCAGGCTGGAGTGCAGTAGTGCGATCTCAGCTCACTGCATCCTTAACTTCCTGACCTCTCAGGCTCAAGCAATCTGCCCACCTCAGCCTCCCAAGCGTGTGGGACTACAGGCACGTGAGCCACCACACCCAACTAATTTTTGTATTTTTTGATAGAGATGGAGTTTCACCAAGTTGCTCAGGTTGGATGTGAAATTTTTAAAAAATTGATTGTCAATTTCCAACTGGGTACTGTAGCTCACTCCTGTAATCCAAGCAATTTGGGAGGCCAAGGTAGAAGGATCACTTGGGGCCAGGAGTTCAAGACCAGCCTGGACAACACATCAAGATCCTGTCACTACAAAAATAAATAATTTAAAACATCAGCTGGATGTGGCGGTGGCATGTGCCTATAGTCCCAACTACTGGGGAGGCTGAGGCAGGAGGATCACTTGAGCCCAGCAGTTCCAGGCTGTGTGGTGACCCATGATCACACCACTATACTCCTGCCTGGGAGAAAGACCCTGTCTTTAAAAAAAAATTTTTTTTAAATTAAAAGTCAGTTTCCTGCTCTCTTCATCTCTGTCTTCTGTTTCAGGATTAGTCAGATATTGGAGCCACCACACTCCAGTCTGGGAGACAGAGTGAGACTCTGTCTCAAAATAATAATAATAATAATAATAATAATAATAATAATAATAATAAGCACATCAGTTACCACTCCTTGAGCGCCTACCAAATTACCAAAAACCTGCCATTTTAATAGATTTTCTTATTGAATCATCACAGGAATTCCATGAAGTAAATATTATTATCCCTCTTTCACAGATGAGGGGACTGAGGGACAAAGAGATTAACTCACTAGCTCAAGATCATACCGTTTGTGGCTGGGTGCGGTGGCTCATGCCTGTAATCCCAGCGCTTTGGGAAGCCAAGGTGGGTGGATCACGAGGTCAGGAGATCGAGACCATCCTGGCTAACACGGTGAGACCCCATCTCTACTAAAAAAAATACAAAAGATTAGCCGGGCGTGGTGGCAGGCGCCTGTAGTCCCAGCTACTCAGGAGGCTGAGGCAGGAGAATGGCGTGAACCCGGAAGGCGGAGCTTGCAGTGAGCCGAGATCGTGCCACTGCACTCCAGCCTGGGTGACAGCGAGACTACGTCTCAAAAAAAAAAAAGATCATACTGTTTGTGGAATGGCAGAAGCTGGGTTGAAACTCAGCCATGTGGGGCACCAAAAACCGTGATCGTGACCACAGAGGGCAGCTGGAATTCAAGGGGCCTGCCTGTTTTTCTGCAACTCACCATCCACGGATTTCCTAAGTTTTTTGTGCCAGGCTCTGGGGAACCTAAGTGAATGTGGGCCCAACAGATGGGTGTTCACCAGAGAGTGAGCCAAGAAAGAGGGGTGGGGACAGACAGAGGTCCCTATAGAAGTAGAAAAAAGCAAGACAAGGCCAGAAGACTGTGTCTTTCTTCTTCTTTTTTTTTTTTTCTTTTTTTTCGACAGAGTCTTGCTCTGTCGCCCAGGCTAGAGTGCAGTGACACAATCTTGGTTCATTGCAACCTCTGCATCCCGGGTTCAAGCAATTCTCATGCCTCAGCCTCCAGAGTAGCTGGGACTACAGGTGCGTGCCACCACGCTGGGCCTTTTTTTTTTTTTTTTTTTTTGAGACGGAGTCTTGTTCTTGTTGCCCAGGCTGGAGTGCAATAGTGCAATCTTGGCTCACTGCAACCTCCGCCTCCTGGGTTTAAGCGACTCTCCTGCTTCAGCCTCCCGAGTAGCTGGGATGACAGGCGCCTGCCACCACCCCTGGCTAATTTTTGTATTTTTAATAGAGATGGAGTTTTGCCATGTTGCCCAGGCTGGACTCAAACACTTGGCCTCAGGTGATCCACCTGCCCCAGCTTCCCAAAATGCTGGGTTTACAGGCATGGGCTACCATGCCCGGCCATGTGTCTTTTGACTTTAAAGGAGCAGCTTGCAAATCATATTCAAAGCAGTATGCATATGAGATGTAAATTGCATCAGAAATGAGCATCTGGTATTTTTGAGTCAATAGCTCAGGCACTTTTGGGAGGGCCCTCCCCAGCTTTCTCCCAGGGTTGCCTGGGGTCAGGATCCCTTGCAAGACCTATTAACTAAACTTGAGATGTAGCATGTGCCTCTGCCAAACCCAGCTCTGGATAGAAAGGGGAGTGCTGCTGACCATGTCAAGGTGGGTTCTTTATTCTCACATTTGTCTGACAAATACTTGTAAAGCACCTGCTGAGCATAAGGTGCTCAGGCAGATGCAGTAGACAAGCAGGAAAGTCATTATTTCTAACTTTTAGGAACATACCCTCTACTCGGGGAAATAAATAAATACAGTAAAGACTCCAGTATTGTCTAGAGTCTAGACCAGGCTTTCTCAACCTCAGTGCTATTGATATTTGGAGCTGGGTAATTCTTTGTTGAAGGGGGTTTTCCGGAGCATCGTAAGATACTTAGCAGCGTCCCTGAGCTCTACCCATTAGATACCATTAGCAACTCCTGAGTTGTGACAACCAAAAATGTTCCCAGACATTGCCAAATGTGGGGAGGGAGGGCAAAATCCCCCCAGTTAAGAACCACTGCTCAAGACCCTAAGGCTATGAGCTTTTCATACAGACCCAGCGGGCTGAGGACTTGCCTTCAAGGATGCACGTTGTTCCATATTTTTGTATTTTAACCACTATGGAAGGTGCTCTTCTCAAATTTATCATGTAATTCTTTTCCTTGAAGCCCAGACCTGCCCCGCAACCACAGCATGCGCTATAATTCCATCCAGATCCCGGAGATTCTTGAGGACCAATCAACGTTGCCCCCAGATGGAATGGCCCCAGCCTGCAGAGCCTGTCAGGTCTGCAGTCTGCTCTTTCTGCTCTTCAGCATCTCTCTACCTCCTCTTTCCCTGTCATCCAATTGGCCCTGTGGGACTGCTCGTTATATTCTTATCGACTCTGGCCCCCATTCCCTTTAATTGGCAGCTTCGAGGAGTTAAGGAACTTAGTTTTGCAGATCAGTGTTTTTCTAACTGTGCCCCGCCAAGCACTGGGAATCCCCAGGGCCCTCTCAGAAGCCCCCGTAGGATGTAGTGGGGTAGGAGGAGGAGGAGGAGCTTCCGGGAGGCTGGAGGAGTGGAGGCGGCAGGTCGCCCTGCCCCAGCCCTCAGTGGCCCCACAGCAGCTTGGCTGTTCTTGGTTTTGTTTCTCTCTGCTTCTGCATGATATCTTTGAACAAAAAGTCCCAAGTGTACAAAAAGTCCCGAAAGGCGTTCGCAAACCACTGACCTAGATGGAGGGAATTGTGAGGAGCAGAGGGCACCCTCTTATAAAATGCCTGTACTTCGGTGCAGGGTTTGGTGGTGTCGGCGGTTTGGAGGCCCTTTAAGCTTCCTAACTCCTTGTCACTGGTGGATGGTGGGGTGCCGGCAGGAGGGCATCCCTTTACATAGGGGCTCATTGCTGTATGGATGTGGGCAGAGAACGAACAGGAGAGGGAGACTGAACTCCTGGCTTCCACATCAGGCACAAACCCCAGGACGTGAAGATCCCTAACTGCCTCCCCTCCGGCCCCCAAATAGCAGAACAGAGAGTAATCGCACTGCAGTGGCAGTGGAAAGAGCTGAAGCTAGACGCCGGGAAGAACTTCCCAACTTGGCACCTGGGGGAGGAGCAGCTGGGAGCAAATGTGGAACTGTCTGAGGTAGGAGGAGGTCCCCTTTGCAGGCTGAGAGATAATCACATACATCCTCCCACTCACACCCCCTTCGTCTGCTCCTGCCCCAACCAGGGCTGACTCCAGAAATTCTGCACAGATAAACCTCCAGGCCCTGAAACTCAGCAAGGGGTGGGGAGAGTGGGACCTGGGGCCATGCCCCCTCTGTTGCTAAGAAGCCCTTTCTGGGTGAGCGTGGTGGCTCACACCTATAATCCCAGCACTTTGGGAGGCCCAGGCAGGTGGATCATTTGAGGTCAGGAGTTCAAAACCAGCCTGAACAACATGGTAAATCCCCATCTCTACAAAAAAAAAAAAACTATATATATATATATATACCCACACACACAAAAATTAGCCAGCGTGGTGGCACGCCTGTAATCCCAGCTACTCGGGAGGCTGAGGCACAAGAATTGCTTGAACCCGGGAGGCAGAGGTTGCATTGAGCCAAGACTGCGCCACTGTACTCCAGCCTTGGTGACAGAGCGAGACTCCATCTCAAAAAAAAAAAAAAAAAAAAGAATCCCTTTCTGTCTGACCCCCACCAGACGGCAGCAGAATTGTGTGGAGAGCTTGTTCCCGAGGGACCTGGGGGATGGAGCAGGCAATCCCTTCTCCCTCTGACCTCCAGGCCCCACTGAGCCCTCTGGACACAAGCACAATCAGGCACTTCATGCCTGGCAAGGGTCAGAATGAAAGGCCTGTGTCTGTCTGCTCCCCGCCTCCCTTTCTCCATCTTCAGATAATTCCATCTGCCCTTGGGCCAGAGCCTCATCTTTCTCCCTCCTTTCCCCCTCCTGCCCGCTGAGTTATTTACAAATATCTGGGAACAGAAGGGATTTCTTCAGTGCTCTGTAGTGCCTGCCACTGACTCAGGTCTCTAACATGCTGGGGGGCAGCGAGGGTAAAGATGCTTGTGGTCCTCTCCTGTCACCCACAGGAACCCAAAGAGCTCAATACACTGGGCGCAGTGGCTCATGCCTGTAATCCTAGTATTTTGGGAGGCTGAGGTGGGAGGATCACCTGAGGTCAGGAGTTCAAGACCAGCCTGGCCGACATAATGAAACCCCATCTCTACAAAAATTAGCCAGGCGTGGTGGTACGTGCCTGTAATCCCAGCTACTTGGGAGGCTGAGGCAGGAGAATCACTTGAACTCAGGAAGTGGAGGCTGCAGTGAGCTGAGATAACACCACTGCACTCCAGTCTGGGCAACAGAGAGAGACTCCATCTCAGAAAAAAAAAAAAAAGGCTCATGCCTGTAATCCCAGCACTTTGGGAGGCCGAGGTGGGCGGATCAAGAGGTCAGGAGATCGAGACCAGCCTGGCCAACATGGTGAAACCCCATCTCTACTAAAAATAAAAAAAAATTAGCTGGGCACGGTGGCAGGTGCCTGTAGTCCCAGCTACTTGGGAGGCTGAGGCAGGAGAATGGCGTGAACCCGGGAGGCGGAGCTTGCAGTGAGCTGAGATCGCTCCAGCCTGGGTGACAGAGCGAGACTCCGTCTCAAAAAAAAAAAAAAAAAAAAAAAAGACCTTGGCCTTGGCTAGACACGGTGTAATCCCAGCACTTTGGGAGGTGAGGCCGAGGCGGGCGGATCACCTGATGTCAGGAGTTTGAGACCACTCTGGCCAAGATGGTGAAACCCCATCTGTACTGAAAATACAAAAATTAGCTGGGCATGGTGGTGAGTGCCTGTAATCCCAGCTACTCAGGAGGCTGAGGCAGAGAATTGCTTGAACCCGGGAAGTGGAGGTTGCAGTGAGCTGAGATGGCGCCACTGCACTCCAGCCGGGGCGACAAAGCAAGACTCTGTCTCAAAAAAAAAAAAAAAGAAAAAGAAGAGCTCAATGGCTCCCCAAGGTCACACCGTGGCAGCCCATTTTCTGTTTCCCACTCTGTTCTCCTACATGGTTTGTCCCGGGTACAGGGTGAACCAGGAAGAGGATGAGTTACCGCCATTTCCCCATGGAGTCAAAGGGCTTCTTCCTCCTGGAAAATCCCCGGACACGGAAGTGACTAAGACCTAGTGGAGCTGCTGAACCTAAAAAGTAAGTTCAAATTCGGGGCCCCTCCTTCTGATAGCCATGTGGCCCAAAGAAGGGAAGCTGTCCGTGCAGCTGGGGGAGCTGATCTCCAACATGTTCTCCCCAAGCCCACCTCCTGCCACCCCACCCCAATGCTGAAGCCCAGACAAGCAGCCAGGAACTGGCGTCACCATCCCCAGTCCCGCAGACGCTCATCCCACCGCCACCACCCGTGAGCAACCATTCCGGGGCCTGACATTCTGTCGGCTTCACACCACCTCCCGGAGCCCCAGCCAGAAGCACTTCCTGGATAAAATATTAAACATGCAAATCTGAGACAGAGCCTTAACGAGCGACAGACTGCACGACCACAGCCTGGCAAACGAGACGCACGACGTCCGGGGGTGGGGGGGTGAGAGGTATATATAGATATAGACTTTGGATCTATCTGTGCAATGTGTGTGTAAGGCAGAGAACAGCAGGGATGGAAAAGTACCGCAGCAGCCTCCAGCTGGGGTGGCCTGAGGTGGCGGCAGGAGGCTGGCCGGGAGGGAGGGTCAAGAGGAGCCCCAGAGCCAGGCTCAGAGTGAGGGATGACAAAAGCCCTTTGTGCTTGGATTCTGTGCAGGGGGTGCCAGACACGCTGGGCAGGGGAATGGGCATTGGTTTTGGAGAAGGAAGTTGGTTAGAGGCAAGGCCTCCGAGTGGAAGAAAAGAAGGGGAGACAGAGGAGAGGCATAGACCTGTGTGGCAGGAGTAGGGGTGTCTAGAGGGAGAACACCTCCACTCACATGGGGCACGGGGCGGGGGGGGGGTGTCTCTTGTCACCACACTGGCCCAGGTGTCATGGAGCTCACGTGGAATTAGGTCAGCAAGGTTCCTGCCTTGATTCAGGTCAGCATGCATTTGATGATGGCGCTTCTTAAACTTGTACATGTGCCAGGATCGTCTAGGATCTTGTTGGTAAATGCAATTCCGATTAGGGAGGCCTGGAGTGGGGCCTAAGAGTCTGCATTACTAGCAAGACTCAGGTGATGCCAGTGCTGCTGGCCTCCCGGCCCCCATAAAGTGGCGAGGGACTACAAGGAGCTAGAGCAACACGGAGCTCCCTTTGGCTCAGGCGAACACAGGACCCACAAGAGTCCAGAGTGGGATCAGAGGCTGAGCCCAAAGGCGTCTGGCCTAAGGGGAGGTCCACGGTGCTGATCAAGATGGTGTCTGTCCACAGTGTCCAGCCTGTCATGGAATTAGAACTATAGGACACCTAACTTGGCCCAAACCAACACAGAACCCAGCCCAGGGTGTCAGGGAGCCTGTAGCAGCCCACACTGAGACAGGGCTCACAGGGCCTGGAGTGACATGGAGCCTGGTGGGGTGGGACTGAATGATAGGGCGCCCATGTTGCTTCAGGAAATCACAGAGCCCACAGGGATTAGACTGAAGTGGTGCCCGTTTTGGTCCAGAGTGACATGGAACCCACAGTGGCCACAGGGGTCTGGACTGACTTGGAACTCAGAAAGGACTAACAGAGGTGATGGCCACATTTGCTCAGGGTGACATAGAGCTCATCAGGACTTGGACCAACTGGACCAACCAGGCACCCAACACAGAGCCCCAGACATGACAGGGGGCTCTCCGTGCAAACTCCAGGTTGCAGAAGACAGGAAGGGAGGGTCCGGAGGAGGCTGGGAGAGGAGAGGAGCAGGTGCCGGGGAGCAAGGCTGCTCTGTGGCTGCTGTGAGCCTGCCTGCCGTGGGCTGAGTGCTACTTGGCTGGGCCCCAGAGAGGAGGTGCTGCTGCTGCAAGGCTCAGATGGAGGAGGAAGTGGGAAGCTGGAGGCAGGGTGGGCGCGAGGCTGGGGTGGGGAGAGCACTTCCTCCCCCAAAGAGGCTTGGCACGGGGGCTGGCCCACTGCCCATGTGGATCCTGGCATTTACACTCCCCGCTCCCATTATACACAGGCGATGCGGTGGGTTATGGGTCTGGGACTTACGGACCTCAGATCAAGGAGCATTCAGCGCTGGGGGAACAGACAAACCGATGTCTCCCTGAATGGAGCACTCAGGGTCCAGAGGAGGAAGGGTTCTCCCTCCTGGCACTGGAGGTCCTTTTGATGCAGCCAGGTCCCTAGGCAGAGTGCCCTGGCCCTATTGTGTCCTTGCCCAGAGGAATGCAGAAAACAATGCAGGCTGCCCCTTCCCACATCCCTGGCAAGATCTAGAAATAGGTGCCCACACCTTCGTCTTAACTAAACCCAGCCCTCCCTCCCGCTTCTGGTCAGATGCCTCTCAGTCCTTGTCCCTACCAAGGGGAGAAGCCCCTCAGAGGCTACCTGCAGCTTCTCTTTATGCCAAGGTTAATGTAGAGGAGGAAGGGATGGAGGGAGGGGCATTACTATGAATTTATTTTTTGAGACAAGGTCTTGCTGTCTCACCCAGACCAAAGTGCATCAGCACAATCATAGCTCACTGCAGCCTTGATCTCTTGGGCTCAAGCAATCCTCCCCGTTCAGCCTCCTGAGTAGCTGAGCTGGGACTACAAGCACAAGCCACCACACCTAGCCAATTTTTAAAAATTTTTTGGGCCAGGCGCGGTGGCTTACGCCTGTAATCCCAGCACTTTGGGAGGCCGAGGCGGGCAGATCACAAGGTCAGGAAATCGAGACCATCCTGGCTAACACGATGAAACCCTGTCTCTACTAAAAATACAAAAAATTAGCCGGGTGTGGTGGCGGGCGCCTGTAGTCCCAGCTGCTGGGGAGGCTGAGGCAGGAGAATGGCGTGAACCCGGGAGGCGGAGCTTGCAGTGAGCCGAGATCCCGCCACTGCACTCCAGCCTGGGTGACAGAGCGAGACTCCATCTCAAAAAAAAAAAAAAATTGTTTACAGAGTCTCCCTATGTTTCCCAGGCTGGTCTCGAACTCCTGGCCTCAAGCAATCCTCCCACCTCTGCCTCCCAAAGTGCTAGAATTACAGGAGTGAGCCACTGCACCTGGCCAATTTGAATGGGGAGCTGGATGACGCTCCCCATCCAGCCTGGTACTGCTGAAGAATCCAACCCTAACTCCACTCCTGCCCACACATCTCCAGGCTGACCTAGTTTCTGTTTCAAGGCAGGGGGGACACATGTTACACACTCCTAGACACAGAGCTGTGCAGAGCCAAGAGATGCACACGCATGCACGTGGGATAGACGAATGCAGGAGATCGCACACTCGAGGCCGGTGCACACACATGCATATCCAGAGACTCCTTCCTGACTCACGAACAAACCCAAGGACCCCCTCCAGCAGACACACAGACAGAGCTCCCTGTTCACAGGGCCACACAGACACACATGGACCTCATAAGCCATAGGCGTGATTCCCCACAGGGGTTCCCTACTCTCTATCCAGCTCCTGCTCCCAGGTCCCCACTCTCTGGGGCACAAAAACAGCAAAGGCAGTCCTGCTGCCACACTACCAGGGCCATGGGATCAAGGATCACCGCAACCCTGGGAATGGATCCCCAGTCTCCCCTCTTCTCTCCATAAGCTCCTGTCTTTTGGAACTGCAGTGCTTATTTCCCCAGGACAAGTCTCTCTGTGGGAGGGACCAAGGGTGGAGGACACTTCACTTCCCTACTTCCCTTCTGGTTTTTTTGTTTGTTTTGAGACTGTCGCCCAGGCTGGATTGCAGTGGAGTGATCTCAGCTCACTGCAACCTCCGCCTCCTGGGTTAAGCGATTCTCCTGCCTCAGCCTTCCGAGTAGCTGGGACTATAGGAGTGCATCACCACGCCTGGCTACTTTTTGTATTTTTAATAGAGGCGGGGTTTTGCCATGTTGGCCAGGCTGTTCTCAAACTCCTGACCTCAGGTGATCCACCCACCTCGGCCTCTCAAAGTGATGGAATTACAGGCTTGAGCCACTGCACCCGGCCTTTTTTTTTTTTTTTTGAGATGGAGTCTCTCTGCCGCCCAGGCTGGAGTGCAGTGGCGCGATCTTGGCTCATTGTAACCTCTGCCTCCCGGATTCAAGTGATTCTCCCTCAGCCTCCCAAGTAGCTGGGATTACAGGTGCCCACCACCACCCCTGGCTAATTTTTGTATTTTTAGTAGAGATGGGGTTTCACTACGTTGGCCAGACTGGTCTTGAACTCCTGACCTCATGATCCACCCGCTTCGGCCTCCCAAAGTGTTTTTTTGTTTGTTTGTTTTTCTTTTTTTTTGAGATAAGTTCTCACTCTGTCACCCAGGCTGCGGTGCAGTGGTGCGATCATAGCTCACTACGGCCTCAAACTCCTGGGCTAAAGTGATCCTCTTGTCTCAGCCTCCTGAGTAGCTGGGACAATAGGCACATGCCACTGTGCCTGGCTAATTTTTTAATATATTTATTTATTTACTTTTATTTTTGGAGACAGGGTTTCGCTCTGTCTCTCTGGGTGGAGTGTGGTGGGGCAATCACAGCTCACTGAAGCCCTGACCTCCCAGGCTCAAGCAATCCTCTCACCTCAGACTCCCAAGCATCTGAGACTACAGGTATGCGTCACCACACCCGGCTAATTGCTTATTTTTTGTAGATAGGGGGACTCACTATATTGCCCAGGCTGGTCTCAAACTCCTGGCCTCAAGCAATCCTCCCTCCTTGGCCTCCCAGAATGCTGGGATTATAGGTGTGAGCCACTACACTCAGCCCCTCTTCTTCTTATTTTTGTTTTTTGTTTTTTGAGACGGAGTCTCGCCCTGTATCTAGGCTAGAGGGCAATGGCACAATCTCAGCTCACTGCAACCTCTGTCTCCTGGGTTCAAGCGATTCTCCTGCCTCAGCCTCCCAAGTAGCTGGGACTACAGGCACCTGCCACCGTGCCCAGCTAATTTTTTTTTATTTTTAGTAGAGATGGGGTTTCACCATGTTGGCCAGGCTGGTCTCAAACTCCTGACCTCAAGTGATCCACTCGCCTCGGCCTCCCAAAGTGCTGGGATTACAGGTGTGAGCCACCGTGCCCAGCCTGTCTCCAGGCTCTTGTGTCAGGTGTGTGTGCATGTGTGTTCATGTGTGCGTGCACGTGCGTGTGTGTGTGCATGTGCATAGGAGCAGGAGTCTGAGCCCGTTTGGGAACACGCTTGTCCATCCCTGTCCACCTGAGCTCTGGAGCCCAGCACCTGCCCTCCACAGAGGCCTTCCTCTCTTCTTTCCGGTGTCCCCAACCCCTCCCTCTCTCCTAACGCACTGTAATCGTGCTGGATCCTGGGTTCGTTCTAGAGCCTTCCTCATCTCTGCCCTTCCTCATCCAAGTTCCTCAAAAGAGATGCATGGGCTGGATCTGCTTCTTTCCCTCCCGTTTCATCCCTACTCCCCAGGAAGATCTCACTAGAGTCACTGGTGCCATCCTGCTTGCCAAGGCCAGTGGACCTTCCTCATCCTGTATCTGATCTTGTTTTTTTTTTTAAGACAGGATCTCACTCTGCCACCCAGGCTGGAGTGCAGTGGTGCAATCACTGCTCACTTCAACCTCCACCTCCCCAGGCTCAAGTGATCCTCCCACCTTGGCCTCTTAAGTAGCTGGGACTATGGCTTGCGCCACCACACCAGCTAATTTTTGTATTTTTAGTAGAGACGGGGTTTCACCATGTTGCCCAGGCTGGTCTCAAACTCCTGACCTCAAGTGCTCCACCCGCCTTGGCCTCCCAAAGTGCTGGGATTACAGGCATGATCCACCATGCCCGGCTCTATCCCATCTTTGTGTGACATTCCACCCTGTTTTCCTCCTTTCTTGATACTCTCCTCCTTTGATTATTGGATGAGTTAGGGTAAGTTGTGTTCGTTAGGCCAATATTTTATTTTATTATGTTTTAATTTTCCATTGTATTAATTTGGCTAATTATTTTTTCATTAGGTTAATTCTCTGTATTATTTGGGCTATGCTAAACTGTTTAGCTTAGTCTAAGTTGTACTGGTTAGGCTAAACTCCTAGAACAAAGAGATCCAAAAAAAGATGATGGCTTGAAGAATGTAAAATTTGCTTCTTTCCTGTGTTGCAGGTGAACACTCCAGGTCAGCCGGGAGCTCTCACAGCCATTCGGGGACCAGGCTCCTTCCATGTGCTGCTGTGCTGCCCCCTAGGGCCCTGCCAGTGACTCAGGACCGAAGCTGAGTGACTGCCATGCCGGGTTCCAGCCAGCAGGAAGGGCAAGGGAGTGTGGGGCGGGCAGGCCCAGGGTCTTAAAGCCCAGGCTGGGAGAGGCACACACCCCTTCCCCTTCGCAGCCCAGTGGTGGGAATTAAATCACATAGTCATACCTGACCGCAAAGGGGCTGGGAAATGTGCCTACCCAGTTGGCACAGGGAGCTCAGATTTGGGTGGACAATGAGCAGTGGTCACCAGAGCCCCCAGAGCCTCCCCCTCTCTCCCTCCTCTCCACCCTCTCTCTCCCCACTCTCTCCCTGGCCATTCCTCCCCAGCCCCCGCCTTTTTTTGTTGTTTTTTTTTTTTGAGACAAAGCCTCCCTCTTTTGCCCACCACAGGCTGGAGTGCAGTGGCATGATCATGGCTCACTGCTTCCTCGACCTCCTGGGCTCAAGTGATCCACCTCAACCTCCCACAAAGCTGGGACTACAGGCACGAACCACCATGCCCAGCTAATTTTTTTTTTTTTTTTAATTTTTAGTAGAGACAAAATCTGACTATGTTGACCAGGCTGGTCTCAAACTCCTGGGCTCAAGTGATCCGTACTCCTTGCCCTCCCAAAGTGCTGGGATTACAGGCGTGAGCTGCCACGGCACTTGGCTCCCCTTTGTAAATGTGCCCCAGGGCTCTGTTCTTGGCCCTTTTCTCACCCCACATGCATGCCTTGGCCATTCCCGTCCAATCCTGTCTGATGCCCTAAAGCCTCCCTACCTCCAGCTCAGGCCTCTCTCAGCCACAAACCCACGCAGGCAACAGGGCCAAATCTGGGACTCAAGCCACACTCCTCCTCTGCCTCACCCCACATTCAATCTGTCACCAAAGCTGGTGAGTCTACCTTGTAAGGACCCCCTCACCGAGACTGTCCTCTCCTTCTCCCCGCCGACCCCGCCCCCGAATGGGTTCTCACAGCCTCCACCCCTGCCCCCCTGCCTCTACCCCCAGGGACTCCACACCAGCCTCCCATGAATCATGAAATGTGAGTATTCACCCTGCCTGTTCCTGAGCCCTCTTCTCTCACAGTCTGATTGGGTCACCCTTCAGGGGCTCCCTCTTGTCTTCAGAATCAACTCCTTACCCTAACATATAAGACCTTTTGTGATCTGACCTCGGTCTACTTCATCTCTTGTCACATGTACCCTGTGCTCCAGCCACTCAAATCTTGGCACTTTTGTGTGTGCTCTGCCCCAGTGCCTCCCGGCCTTCACTTCAGGGATTCCTATATCCTTGAAGACTCAATTCAGAGAGCTCCTTCTCTGAGAAGCCCCCTCTGATGCCCTGATGCTCTTCCCACATGCTCCACTGTTCCCTCAACCTCACCAGTCTCCACCTCTATGCCTGTCTTGTCCTGATTGCTCACTTACCTCTCTCCCCTGCTAGGTGGTGAGCTGTCGGAGAGCAATATGAGGTTTTAGTTATTTCTCATCTCCAGTCCTTAGCCCATTGTTGGAGACAGTTAACGCTTAACGCTTGAGAAATGTTAGCTCCTTTCTCTTCTCCTTTAAAACTGTGACACAAAGGCTGGGCACAGAAGCTCACGCCTGTAATCCCAGCACTTTGAGAGGCCAAAGCGGGTGGATCACTGGAGGTCAGGAGTTCGAGACCAGCCTGGTCAACATGGCAGAACCCCGTCTCTACTAAAAATACAAAAATTAGCCAGGCGTGATGGCTCACACCTGTAATTCCAGCTACTCGGGAGGCTGAGGCAGGAGAATTGCTTGAACCTGGGAGGCAGAGGTTGCAATGAGCTGAGATCACTCCACTGCACTCCAGCCTGGGCAACAGAGCGAGACTCTGTCTCAAACAAACAAACAACAACAATAAAAACTGTAACACGTAGCTTTATACATAAAACTAAAATCTGGAAACAGCCCAAACATCCATCAACAGGAAAACATATACATTGCAGAATATTCATTCAATCAAATACTACACGGTGATAAAATGAGTTAACTACAGCTTCATGCAACAGCATGAATGAATCCCATGCATAATGTTGAACAAAAGAAGCCAGACCCAAAAACGTACCTTCCATTCTTATGAGGGTCAAAAACAAGCCGAACGGATCTTCGGTGACAGAGGCCGGCATGGTGGTCATCTCCGGGTCAGGAGATCAACTGGGAGCAGGCCTCACACAGCCTCCCAAAGGCTGGAAGTGTTGCTTATCTAGGTCTGGGTGGCGATCACACAGGTAATGTACATGTGTAATGATCATCAAGCTGAAATTCTGGTGCATTTTAGAGTAGGTAACTTCCCTCTGTTTGTTTAAGTGCCATGATTTTGTAATAAATCATCGTGGAAGCCGGGTAGAGTGGCTCATGCCTGTAATCTCAGCACTTTGGGAGGCTGAGTCAGGAGGATCCCTTGAGATCAGAAGTTCAAGATCAGCCTGAGTAGCATAATGAGACCCCCATCTCTACAAAAAATAAACAGAGCTCACGCCTGTAATCCCAGCACTTTGGGAGGCCAAGGTGGGCGGATCACTTGAGGTCAGGAGTTCTAGACCAGTCTGGCCAACATGGCAAAACCCTGTCTCTACTAAAAAAATAGAAAAAAAAAAAATTAGCCAGGCATGGTGGTGCACGCCTATAGTCCCAGCTTCTCAGGAGGCTGAGGCAGGAGAATCGCTTAAGCCTGGGAGGTGGAGGTTGCAGTGAGCCAAGATTGTGCACTCCAGCCTGGGTGACAGAGCGAGATTCCATCTCAAAAAAAAAAAAAATTGGCCAGGCACGGTGGCTCACACCTGTAATCCCAGCCCTTTGGGAGGCTGAGGCGGGTGGATCACAAGGTCAGGAGTTCGAGACCAGCCTGGCCAACAGGGTTAAACCCCGCCTCTACTAAAAATACAAAAATTAGCCAGGCATGGTGGCAGGCACCTGTAATCCCAGCTACTCAGGAGGCTGAGGCAGGAGAATTGCTTGAACTCAGGAGGCAGAGGTTGCAGTGAGCCAAGATTGCACCACTGCACTCCAGCCTGGGCAACAGAGCAAGACTCCGTCTCAAAAAAAAAATTAAAAATAAACAGAATTAGCTGTGCATGGTGGCACGTGCCTGTGGTCACAGCTACTCGAGAGGGTGATATGGGAAGATCTCTTGAGCCTGGGAGATCAAGGCTGCGATGAGCCAAGATCGCACCACTGTACTCAGCCTGGGTGACAGAGTCAGAGCCTGTTTCAAAAAAAAAAAAAAAAAATCACCATGGATGGCAAGTCTGCGTCTGAGAGGCACTTTCTGTTACAGAGTCCCCTGATTTTAGGTGATGACACTGAGCCCCAGAGAGGGTAAAACACTCAACACTCAGCTTGAGTCGCTCAGCACATCTGTGGAGAGTCCACACCCTAAGGAGGGGACTGCATGTCCTGCTTTCCCCATGCCACTCTAGGGACCTTGGGGGCAGGCTCTGTGTCTTTGTGTCTCTGGAACAGAGCTCTGGGACCTCTACATATTGGTGGGGGCTACTCCCACCCCATAACAGGTTGCTGCTGGGTGGTGAAACATGGCAGCAGTGTGGTCATTTAGAGCACAAACTCAAAGGACACAATTCCGTAGCTGTATGGGCTTAACCTCTGTGAACCCCAGTTTTCTCATCTGCAAAATGGAGCTAATAGTACCACGGTTGGGCGCGGTGGCTCACACCCGTAATCCCAGCACATTGGGAGGCCAAGGTGGGCAGATCATTTGAGGTCAGGAGTTCGAGACCAGCCTGGCCAACATAGTGAAACCCCGTCTCTACTAAAAAATACAAAAATTAGCCAGGCATGGTGGCCCACGCCTGTAGTCCCAGCTACTAGGGAGGTTGAGGCATGAGAATCACTTGAACCCAGAAGGTGGAGGTTGCAGTGAGCCAAGATTGCGCCACGGCATTCCAGCTTGGGCAACAGAGTGAGACTCTGTCTCAAAAATAAATAAATAAATAAATAAATAAATAAATAAATAAATAAATAAATAATAGTACCTACCTCATGTTGTGTCCTGAGGATTACATGAGCAACTAAGCATAATATAACAAGGCCTGGTTCCAAGGAAATGCCATTACAGTGCTTGCTATGATAACCACTCAGGAGGAAACCTAGTCAGACAGACCAGAGCTACTTTGCTCCTCCACTGGCTGTGTGACCTCAGGCAAGTTAATTAACCTCTCTGAGTCCCATTTCCTCATCTGCTAAACAAATAGTACTTATCTATTGCTATGAAAGCAAAATAATGCCTGTAAAACACCTGACACCTGCTTAAGTTCCTTGTGTGCAGAGACCACGTCTTGCACATCGATCCCCCTCAGGGCTCTCACTCCATGGCCTGGGAGAATGAATCCCTTCCCCAGCCACCCTTCTCTGGCTCGCCATCCTCTTTCTGGTGCTAGCAGACAGCAGCATCTAGTGGACAAGCTCTGGAACTGCATTCTGGCCAAGGGTCACTCGCCAAGCTGCTGTGCAGTCATTTAAATGAGGCTTTTTAAAAATGCTTTAGACAAGGGTGGAGGGGTCAGGAGGAACGGAGGTGGGGTGAAATGCATTGGGCAAGTATTCATTAGGTGCCTGCTGTGTGCAAGGCACTGATCCAGGACCTTAAAAAATGAAGCAAGAGATACAAGATCACTGTAGAAGGACACAAGAAAAATCACAAATAATTATAACTTTGTCATCAATACCCTAACTTTTTATCTTAGAGAAAATGTGAACACAGCATAGGGGGACTTGGCACACTGGACAGTGTCTTCTCAGGAAGTGTTTTTTGTTTTTGTTTTTGAGACAGGGTCTCGTTTTGTCACCCAGGCTGGAGTGCAGTGGAGTGATCACAGCTCACTGCAGCCTTGATCTCCCTGAAGTGGCTGAGCAATCGTCCCACTTCAGCCTCCAGAGTAGTTGGGACTACAGGTGCACGCCACCACACCCAGCTTGTTTTTTGTTTTTGTTTGTTTGTTTGTTTTTGGTAGCATCAAGTTCTCCCTATGTTGTCCAGGCTGGCTCAAACTCCTGGGCTCAAGTGATTCTCCCCGCCTTGGCCTCCCAAAGTGCTGGGATTACAGACACAAGCTACCTTGCCAGCCTTCTCAGGAAGTTTTTACAATTGCAGGGGCGATTTTTTTTTGAAATGGTTGTTACATGTCAATGACTCTCAGTTAAGGCCAAGGCAATAAAATGAAAGCTTAGGTCAGGAAGGTTCTGCCTCGAGTCCCCTGACCCAGGTTCTCCATAGACAGAGGGGAGCGGGAGTGTCTGGCCCCAAAGCCGCACTCGCCCTCCACACTCCACAGTCCCTTCCTACCAGACACAGAAGAGTGAAGAGGGTCTAGAGGTGGCATGAAGCACATCTAACTGGGGGAATCAAAAAATACTTCATGGGAGAGATGACATTTTGCATTGGAGAATGAAGGTAAAGAAAGCAGGGAGGGGCATGCTGGGGGCGCTGGGGAAGGAAGTGCATTCCAGCCTAGTAGACCAGGTATACCTTCACTGGTATAAAGCGAAGTAATGGGAACCAAGTTGGTTGAGGGAGCTGGGGGTTAAGGCCAAATCACAGAGGGCTCCAAATGACAGGCCAAGGAGGCTGCATTTAATACTATCAGGGGACCCACTCAGTAAGAAGGTAAACTGATCTGAGGGCATCAGAGAAAAACCAGACACCCAGAAACTATTAATAGTTAGGTGGCTACTGTCATAGTCCAGCCTAGAGGTAGGGGACACTGCACCATGATGGAGTGGAGATTAGAGACAGAATTGTGAGATCCTTGGGAGGGGAGAAGCAGGGGGAGGCTTGGAAATAGATAGCTGTGGGTCAAATGGGAGGACCCAGCTGAGAATTCAAGGTGCTGAGTCCAGGGGAAGTAATGGGGAGAAAAGCAGAGCTGTAACCAGAATGTGGACTTGACCAGGGGGACTGCTGTGGGCAGGGAGCTGTGGGCAGGGACCAGGAGCTTGGTCTTTGACAGGGGCAAATGAGTTGCCATTGTCCCTGTGGAGATGCGGGACCAAGGCTCAGGAGGGGTGCTGGAGGGAGAGGAGGCAGGGACAGTCAAGTGGGAGTCATTTACCCATATAGGTGCAAGCTGATGACCTAGGGGAGGAAAACAGAATCCTGCGGGCAGATAGGGTGGAGGGCAGGCGCCACCGGACTTCATCGGACTTTGTCTTTTTAAAGCTTCTGGGGGAGGGGGGCAAGAGAAGGAGGAGATGGAAGAAGACAGAGGCGGGACCTTTGGGGACAGAGACCCTTGTGAGTGTCCAGCAGTGTCACAGGCTATGCAGAAGTCCAGGAGTGGTGGCAGGGAGGCAACTGTTGAATTTGAGGTTGGGGGCTCTCCTGGCTGACCTTGGCAAAAGCGGTTTCAGGGACAGAAGTCAGGCTGCAGAGGTCTAAGAGGTGAGAGGCAGAGGAGCTGGAGGCGGCTGATGCTCCCGGGAGGAGGGAGGAGACGGTAAGCAGGGCTGGGATAGGGGAAGGTGAGCGAGGGGTTACTCTGGGGGTCCTGCCAGACCCTGAAGAGGAGGGTAGAGACCCAGAGGCACATGGAGAGGAGACCCTCTGAGACCCTTTGAGACAGAAGGAAAACAGGTGATGCTGTAAGAGCTTAGAGACCCAGACAGAAATAAGACTATGACCACCACATCCCTGACAAACCAACGTGGTGGCCACCAGCCCTAGAGGACATGGGACTGGAGGAAGGGAGGGGTAGAAGCAGGGGCTGAAGACACCTGGGAGGGAGAGCAGACTTCCTCAGACCCTCTCGGGCTCCAGCGTATTGGCGTGGGAGAGGGAGTCCCAGATTCCCGGGAGCTCAGAGCCTAGGGAAAGCCAGGGGTCCCTTTCCCCTTTCCCCAGGCGGCTCCTGTTCGGAGAAACTTGTGGCCCTCGCTTGGAAGCACGCTTTTCCCTATTCCAACCCCAAATACTCAGTACCTGTTTGCTTCCCCCAGAAGTCTGGGCAAGTTTCTTTCTTTTCTGGGACTCAGTTTCTGGGGTGGGCTGAATGATGGAACCCAAAAAGATGTGTCCAGGTCCTAATCCCCAGCCCCCACTCCCCCAGAGCCTGTGAATATGACTTCATTTGGAAAAAGGGTCTTTGTAAATGTAACTTAATTAAAGATGTCAAGACGAGATCATCCTGGATTGTCTGGTGGGCCCTAAAGCCAATGACAAGTGTCCTTGTGACAGACAGGAGAGGGGAGGGCCATACCATGGGAGAATGGGAACTCTGCAGCCCCAAGTCAAGGAACACCTGGGGCCACAGAAGCTGGAAGAGGCACGGAGGGGGCCCTTCCCGAGAGCCTTCGGAGGGAGTTCGGCCCTGCAATGCCTTAGGTTTGGACCTCTGGTCCCAGTAAATGGAAGAGAAGAAATATCGGGGTTTGTTGTTGTTGTTTGAGATGGAGTCTCACTCTGTCGCCAGGCTGGAGTGCAGTGTGGTATGATCTCGGCTCACTGCAACCTCCGACTCCCGGGTTCAAGCGATTCTCCTGCCTCAGCCTCCAGACTAGCTGGTATTACAGGCATGCGCCACCAAGTCCAGCTAGTTTTTGTATTTTTAGTAGAGACAGGGTTTCACCATGTTGGCCAGGATGGTCTCGATCTCCTGACCTTGTGATCCACCCGCCTCGGCCTCCCAAAATGCTGGGATTACAGGCGTGAGCCACCTTACCCGGCCGCTTAAATATCTGTCTTTTAAGCCACCAAGTTTGTTATGATTTGTCATGGCAGCCCTGGAAACTAACGTAGTTCCCTATTCTGTAAAATAACTAGAATTAAATCTTATTTGGCCAAAAGGTGTGTTTTTTAACTCGCCACCCCGCCCCCTTCCAGGTTGAGTTGTAACCCTTTCACTTGCAGGGCGGGGGTGGGGGAGTGAGGGTGGGGGCAGGTGATGCAGGGAGGAAAGAACCTAAATTAACAGCATCTCCTCCTGCCCCGAAGAGGAGGAAAGTCCAAGAAGAGTATTTCATGCCCACCAGCCCTTCCTCCTTCACCCAGAGCTCACACCATCATCCCGTGCCCGGCTCCAGGCAGGCGGGTGGGGCAGACGCTGACCCGGAGCGCGTTACTAAAACCAAGGGGTCTTTGAAAATCAGGGAGTCTGCCTTTCCAGACTTCTGACAGCCCCCCTCTTCACAGCGATTCTCTCCCCACCCCTTGTGTCTTCTTCCTCCCGTTCTCCATTCTTGGGGGGCAAAATAAGATGGAGACTCCCGAAGCACAGGGTGGAAGGCACTCCCCCACCCCTTCTTCCTCCTCCTCCCACAACACAGCTGGAGGGGGAGGGGAGGTCAGCAGGGTTCACAGAGGCCAGATGTTAAGGAAAAAGAGAGAAGTGCCCACCCACCCCACCCCCACCCTCACCCCCAAGGAAAGAAAAATGAAAGGAGACAGTTTTTAAAACAAACAAAACTTTTATGGTCCAAAACAGTTTTTCTCAAGAATCTGCTCTATGCAAACAATAACAACTTTTTACAAAGCATTTTCACAGAAAAGGAGACAAGTCCTTCCCCAGCGTGGGAATTGTTCCTCTCGCACCTCGTTTTCGGGGGAAGAGGGGGCGCTATTCACTAGTGCGGGATGGAAGGCGCACTGGGTCCCTCAGTTGTTCGGCAGCTCCAAAAGCCCCAGCTTCCCTTCATACCTCAACTTGCCATCTCCCTAAGACCTAAGCTCCCCTGACCTCACCTGGGTGGAGGAGAAAGCACTTCCAATCCTCTCTGACTCAAGATCCTCCTAGCTGGAGGGCATGGCAGAGGGCATGATCCAGGCCTATCTCACCCCTCCCCTGGAAAACAGAACCTCTGACCCCAAACCTAATCCCCTGGCCCTGCCCCTTTCGGATCCATCAGATCTCTGACAACTCCCGCAATCCCTGAGGCTGGGGTGTTGCGGGGGGAAGCTTAAGGTACCTCAGCCCAGGTTCCATCCAGACTCAAACTTTGCCCCTTCAAACCCCAGGGGACTCTTGAAGTTAGGCCAAGAGTCCTTTCATTTACCACCTCTGCAAAGTGCAGCTTGTTTTGTTTCCACTCTTTAAGGGGGCTGAGTTTGGGTGTCCAAAGAATGGACTTGGGCCTGCCTTCCACCTCCACCCCCTCTCATCCATAAATCGGTGGAGGCCCTCGAAAGGCGACTTGTTTGGTCTGATTTTATTGATTTCTTCCACCTTCTATTACTTTCCCTGGGACAGTGTCTAGCCCCTTCCCCAGGCAAAGTAAGCACTTTCCAGGAGAGGAGGTCCCTCAGCCCTACCCGTCCTAAGGGAAGTAAGTTGGGGGAGGGGGCTGATTAATCAAGGTTGGGGGAAATCTTTCTCACCGGCCAGACCTTACACTCGGAAAGCAAACAAGGAAAAAACGGGAACTCCAAAACTGGACAAAAGGGAAAGGTCGGCGGCTGAGGCTGAAGATCTCACCAATTAAGGGTCACCTGCACTTGAGGGGGCCTAGAAAGGGGACAGGAAGGGGGTGATCTTCCTCTTACCCAAGTTCCCTCACCCATTAAAGGCTCCAGCGGTGCTTGGAGCGTTAGGGAAGGCCTGAGGGGAGCAAAGGGTTAAAGGCCTGGACAGTGGGGGTGGGGGATGCCCCCAGGGAGCTGCCAATCATCTCCCCACCCCCACCACAGCCCCGCACCCCAGGCTCGCCCACAGACACAGTAACAACCGGTTTGTCCATCACCGAGGTCTCTCTCTTCTCCCCTTTTTTTTGGGTGGGGGGGTGTCTTTGAGCGGTGGCCTCCTTTGCTCCCACTGGGGTGCAGGCCCTGCCTCCAACGGTCCGAGATGGAAGGAGGCAGGGATTGGAATCTATGTCATCAGCCTTCTCCCGACTCCAGCCCTGGGTTCCTCTGCAAAGGATGAGGGGGAGGGACTGTCACCCCGAAAACTTAGGTGCTTGAATGAAGATCACTGTTATTTAGGTCCCTCTGCCCACAGCTCCTAAAATGTAAAGGAAGGGGACAAATGTGAGAAACGGGGCTCCCTCCTCAAGCCCGCGGTTTGGCCATGGTCCCAACTTTTCCCCTTTGGCAGAAGTCCCACGGTCAGCTTTCATCCATGTTGATCCCCCAGAATTTGAGGCCAGGGGGCTCAGGGACAGCGGGACCCCCCATCTGCCACCTCCACAGCGGGTGGGCGGGCGGGGGCTTAGAGTCTCCCTGGAGGCGAAGCGAGGATGCCGGCTTTAGGTCTCCGTCTTCCCCCACCACCAGGGCCGGGGGGCAGGGGAAGCAGTTGAGGAGGCTGAAGGTGCTCGTGGTGGGGAGCGTCGGTGCAGGGCGGCGGGGCTGCGCGGTGCGCGGAGGGGGCGCCGGCAGCCGGCGTTTCTTGGCGGCTCCCCGAGCCGGCCCTTTCGCAGGCGGCCGCTCTGGCCCCCGGCGCAAACTCGGAGTGTCCAAGGCGAAGCCCTTCGCGTAACACCAAAGTTTCGACCGGCGGATCAGACGATCGAAATGTTCCTGGCGGAGATCTCCGGGTGCGGCCGGAGCCGGGCTGGCCGTCGAGGGGCTGGCCGCTGGAGCCTCGGGGGCGGCCGGCGGGGGGTTTCCATCGACTTCGGCAGGCTGGCCGGGCAGGAACGGCCGCGGCGCCGTCCCGGGACCCGCGGGCTCGGTGGAGAGGCCCGCAGGTGGCGACGGAGGCCGGGAACTGGGTTCCTGAGGCGGGCTGGCGGCTGGGCCACGCTGAGGCTCGAGACCCGGGGCCGGGCGAGGCGGGGCCGAGGCGAAGCTGGTCGTAGATTCCCGAGGGTGCGGGGGCGCAGGGCAGCGGCCCGGAGGTGCACAGGAGCGAACGCCGAAGTGCGGGAAACCGCCTCCGCCCTCTTCCTCCTCTCCGCGGCGGGGGCACGCTGCGACGTCCGCATCCTCGCCGG
The DNA here is from genome assembly GCF_000001405.40 of Homo sapiens. Lineage (NCBI taxonomy): Eukaryota > Metazoa > Chordata > Mammalia > Primates > Hominidae > Homo > Homo sapiens. The sequence goes on from NC_000017.11 coordinate 38,674,186, forward strand.
CGGCGGTGTTAGGAACGCCGGGCCGCCCGGTCGGTGCCCAGAGGTGCTTCAGGCCATCCGGGGCCCAGCCGCCAGGGCGCAGGGGGGCCTGAGGGCCCCGCAGCACTGGGGACCGCGCCGCCAGCTCCCCAGGCCCCGGGCCCAGAGAGGACGCCCGGGGCTTGGCAAGGGCGCAGAAGGCGAGGGCACGCAGGCACAGCGGAGAGAATTCCTGGGTCCCCCGACACGGCTTCCGGGGCGTGGGGGAGCAGGGCGACCCTCGCGGGGACGCCGGCACTGCCAGGCGGGGCGCAGGGCACAGGGTCTCCATGGAGCAGCCTGAGGGGTGCCCACTGAGCGGGTCCAGGTCCCAGCGGCGGGATGCCCTGGCTGCCCGAAGAGCCCACGGGTGAGGGGAACATCGCCCCCCGTCGACGGGGAGGTCTCTGCTCACGGGCGCCCCCGGCCCGCCACCCGGGGCCGCAGAGCTCGGGCTCCCTCTTCGCTCTCCTCACGCGGCCCTCCCGGCGGCCGGACTCCTGGGTCCCTGTGAGTCCCGGCGGGGTCGGCCGCCCTTCTGCCGCCGCGTCCCCTTCGCAACCCCGGCGGGAGACCCTCTCGAGTCGCCCGAAGCGCAGAGGCAGGGGAAACAAAGCGGCCGGCGGCCGCGGGAGGCGGGAAGGACCCCGGGCCCGGCACCCGGTGCCCGGGCCCAGGCGGCGGGGAGGGCGCCTTCCGCCCGCTCGGTTTCTTTCTTCCCCGCTGGCTCCCGGAGACCGCGTTATAGAGAACTGCCCCCTCGCTGCCCCAATACCAGCGCCGGGGCCGCGAGCCCGCCGCTGATTGGGCCGCACCGCCCGTGACGTTAGCCCGGACCCCACCCCTCCGGCGGCACCGCCCCCGTCCCCATTCCGCACACAGACACACACACGTGGACCCGGCGCGGCGGCGGCTGGGAGGGAGCGCGGGAGGGAGCGTGCGCGGGTGGGATCGCGAGCGGCCAGATGCGCCGCCGCACGTGGCCCGGTGGCGTCCTGGGATTTCGTCGTCGCAAAGCCACTCGTTTTTTCCCGAGCAGTCACGGTTTTGCATCTGTAAAATGGGACGGTTCATATCTGCCCTCTTGGGACTAAAAGAGCTATGTGAATCAACGTAGATGAATCTCAGAAATAATGTTTAGGGGAAAGATGAAATGAGGCAATGGTTGTTTACAAGCTTTGCACAGCAGGGATTCTAGCGGGCCGTGAATGGCCCCTAAAACAGTGCGTGGCACACAGTAGGCTCAAAAATGCTGTAATGTATAAGTAGTTAATAATTCAGTACTTGTATGCAAGATGAACAAAAAAAATAAATTTGGAAGGGTGGGAGTGTTATTACATCCATGGAAGCCGATAAATAGGCTGTCTCGGTATCTATTTCCATTTCTCTGATGCAGTATCTAAATACTCCGCCTCAACTAAATTCCGAGGGCTGACTCTGCAACCCCTGACCCCCAATCCCAGGATGCCCCCCTCTGAGGTTTGATCTGCCAAACCGGTTGAAGAGGCCAGAGGAGGGCACGCGCAGACCCTCACTCTCATCTGCCCCAAGGAAAATAAAGAAAAAGTGAATTCCCAGTACAAATTCTGATAATGCAGCACACACCCCCACCCTGTTCTATCCCCTTAACCTTCTTTAGTTTCTGCATAGCTTATTGTTACATAAAAGTCTGTAAATGGATTTATTCTTTAGTGTCTGTCTCTCCCATTAGTCTGGAAATGAGTTGACGAGAACTTTGTCTTGATCATTGGTGCATCCCCCACTGCCTAGAACAGTGGCCAAGATATAATAGGTGCTCAATCAATATGTGTGAATGAATGAATGAGCAAGTGAGCGAGTGAATGAATCCTTGGGATATTTCTCTCTTGATAAAAATCAGGTTATTGGAATACTGCCGTTTCCTATCTGTGGAAATACAGAGATTGGTATGATGACTTGGGGTAAAGGTGTGGAAGAATGCTGGGGGCGGCCCCACAGATAAATATCTTATTCTGGAGCCAGGACAAGAGAGGGTTTCAGAACGGGGACAAATGATGCAGCTTGCCTCCGGGCCCTTCTAGCAGTGACAACAGAGGTGTAGTTTCCCTATGTGTCATCAAATAACATCTGGGAGGACAGGGGTAAGGAGGATCTGCCTCCCCCACCTGCAAAGTCCAGAGGTAAAGTCCCTAGGTGGGGCGAGGGTTTGAGGAAGGAGGAGGTGTGATGTTCCATTGCCCAAAACACTCACCCTCTAACATCTGCAGAAGAGCTCTCCAGGGCAGTTGTCACAAGGGGGGATCCTGGGGTCCTGCCAAGTCATGAAGCTGAGCTGGGTCTAGACTCCAGGGCTCATAATTGCTCAAAAAGCCCACCTCTACACACACACACACACACACACACACACACACACACACACACACACGGAAAGTTCTGGAAGGATGATCTTCATGGCTGTCTCTTCTGCAGGACAGTGCTGAGGACTCATCCTCAACAACAGTGCCTACTTGCACTCCTGTGCCTACCACAGTGTAGACACAAGGAGAGAATGCCCAAGAAAATGATCAGTATGAATAAATGAGTGAATATTACATAACAGTGCAGATCAATGGCCTCTTCTTTCTCTGCCTCCAAAAGCTCCCAGCTCCCCCTTCCCCATGTGAGTTTGGGGGCTTTATTGAGGGGTCATTACGATTGTGAGTGCTTCTCTCTGCCTCCACTATCCCTACTTCCCCTTGCTCTCATCAGGCACCCCAGAATATGGACTCAGGGATGGAATCACTACAAACAGTAGGAGAATAGTGTGAGTGCCTCTCCAGCTGAAAGGAGATCATCAAACCACCCTTTATGGCCTGGATGGGGGCGGGGGTGGCGCTGTGCAACCCTGGGCAGGTCACCTAGACACTCTAAGTCTCAATGTCCTTATCAGTGAAAAGGGGACAACAGTGGCTTCCTCACATTGTTGGGAGGGTTGAAACATGATGTGAGCAGTCACCAGAACTCACGTGGGCAGGCCCAGCTGCTGCAATTACCATTTCCTCCGGTAGAGGACACTCGACCCCATCCTCAGCCTGCTATGAGGGCGGCAACACCCTTCTCAGGAACCTCTCCTCCTCATAGGAGAAAAAGAGGGACAAGGCTGGATGCCGGGTCCCATCTAACACTTCCAGAGTGAAGGCTAGAAAGGGCCCCTCTGGATCCAGAAGCCAGCCCTTCCCTTTCCTTGGCCCATCTAGGTCTCACCTGGGGCAGTAAGGACTGTGTTCAAGGATTTGGGAGCAGGAGACCTGCCCGGTTGCCCCTTTTGGGGAACTGCACCCCAGGCGTCCAACCCCATAGTAACTTCTGTAGTACTTACTGCCCAGTCTCTGTTCTAAGAACTGGATGTCACTTAATCCCCATAACAGCCTATGAAATAGACCTTTTTTTTTTGAGACAGGGTCTCACTCGGTCGCCCAAACTGGAGTGCAGTGGCGCGATCTCAGCTCACTGCAACCTCTGCCTCCCGGGTTCAAGCCATTCTCCTGTCTCAGCCTCCTGAGTAGTTGGGACTACAGGCGCGCACCACCACGCCCAGCTAGTTTTTGTATTTTTAGTAGAGACGAGGTTTCACCATGTTGGCCAGGATGGTCTCGAGCTCTTGACCTTGTGATCCGCCCGCCTTGGCCTCCCAAAGTGGTGGGATTACAGGCATGAGCCACTGCGCCTGGCCGACACTATTTTTAAAAGTGAACATACCACACATAACCCATTTTAAGTGTCCAATTCAATGATTTTTAGTAAATTTACAGTTATGCAACCATCATCATAGTCCAGTTTTGGGGGTTTTTTTGAGACAGTTTCACTTTGTCTTCCAGGCTGGAGTGCAGTGGCACAATCTCAGCTCACTGCAGGCTTCACCCCCCGGGTTCAAGCAATTGTCCTGCCTCAACCTCCCAAGTAGCTGAGACTATAGGTTCCCACCACCACGCCCAGCTAAATTTTTTTTTTTTTTTGAGAGTCTCACTCTGTTGCCCAGGCTGGAGTGCTCAATCTCAGCTCATTGCAACCTCCGCCTCTCAGATTCAAGCAATTCTTGTGCCTCAGCCTCCCAAGTAGCTGGGATTACAGGCAGATGCTACCACGCCCGGCTAATTTTTGTATTTTTAGTAGAGACAGGGTTTCACCCTGTTGGCCAGGCTGGTCTCGAACTCCTGACCTCAGGTGATCCGCCCACCTCGGCCTCCCAAAGTGCTGGAATTATGGGCGTGAGCCACCGTGCCCGGCCCCATAATCCAGTTTTAGAACATTGCTTATAAGACTCCTCCTCCCCACTTGTAGCTCTCCCTTCCCATCCCCAGCCCTGGGTGACTAATCTTTCTGTCTCTATAGAGTTCCCTTTTTTGGATATTTTATATAAATGGAATCATGCAATATGTGGTCTTTTGCATCTGGCTTCACAAAAGCATAATGTTTTTGAGGTTTACCTGTGTTGTAGCGTGTATTGGTAATCTGTTCCTTTTTTTTTTCTTTTGAGATAGAGTTTTGCTCTTGTTGCCCAAGCTGGAGTACAATGGCACAATCTCAGCTTACTGCAACCTCCGCCTCCTGGGCTCAAGCGATACGCCTGCCTCAGCCTCCCGAGTACCTGGGATTACAGGCACCCGCCACCACGCCTGGCAAATTTTGTATTTTTAGTAGAGACGGGGTTTCTCCGTGTTGGTCAGGCTGGTCTTGAACTCCCGACCTCAGGTGATCCGCCTGCCTCAGCCTCCCAAAGTGCTGGGATTACAGGGATGAGCCACTGCGCCCGGCCTGTTCCTTTTTATTGCTGAGTAGTAGTCTGTTGTAGGGATATGCCACATTTTGTTTATCCAATCACATTTGGGTGTTTTTCACTTTTTGGCTATTATCTATAATGCTGTTATGAACATTTGCTATACACGTCTTTTGTGAATATATGTTTTTATTTCTCCTAAGTAGACATTTAAGGGTGGAATTGCTGGGTCATATGCTACATTTATGTTTAACCTTTTTTTTCTTTTTCTTTTTTTTTTGAGACAGGGTCTCACAGTCTCATTCAGGCTGGAGTGCAGTGGCACAGTCAGGGCTCACTGCAGCCTTGACCTCCTGGGCTCACGAGATCCTCTGCCTCAGCCTCCAGTGTGGCTGGGACCACAAGCCTGAGCCACCATGCCCAGCGAATTTCTTTTTAAATTTTTTTTGTAAGACAGGGTCTCGCTATATTCCCCAGGCTGGTCTCAAACTCCTCGGCTCAAGGGATTCTCCTGCCTCAGCCTCACAAAGGGCTGGGATTACAGGCATGAGCTACCATGCCCAGCTGTGTTTAATTCTTTTAAAAACTGCCAAGGTCGGGCATGGTAGCTCACACCTGTATTCCCAGCACTTTGGGAGGCCAAGGCAGGCTGATGGCTTGAGGCCAGGAGTTTGAGACCAGCCTGGGCAACATGGTGAAACTCCATCTCTACAAAATACAAAAATTAGCCGGGAGTGGTGGCATGTGCCTGTAGTCTCAGCTACTCAGAAGGCTGAGGGTGAGGAATTACTTGAGTCCAGCAGGTCAAGGCTGCAGTGAGCCACATTCATGCCATTCTGTGCCTGGGCGGCAGAGTGAGACCCTGTCTCAAAACAAAACAAAACTAAACTAAAAACTGCAAGGCTGTTTTCCAAACGGGCTATTCCATTTTACATTCCTATTAATATCCATGATATAGGCTGGGCACGGTGGCTCACGCCTGTAATCCCAGCACTTTGGGAGGCTGAGGTGGGCGGATCACCTGAGGTCAGGAGTTCGAGACTAGCCTGGCCATCATGGCGAAACCCCGTCTCTACTAAAAAAATTTAAAACTAGGCCGGGCGCAGTGGCTAACACCTGTAATCTCAGCACTTTGGAAGGCCAAGGCGAGCAGATCACAAGGTCAAAAGATCAAGACCATTTGGCCAACATGGTGAAACCCCATCTCTACTAAAAATACAAAAATTAGCTGTGCGTGGTGGCGGGTGCCTGCAATCCCAGCTACTAGGGAGGCTGAGGTAGGAGAATCGCTTGAACCCAGGAGGTGGAGGTTGCAGTAAGCCGAGATTGCGCCACATCACCCCAGTCTGGTGACAGAGCGAGACTCTGTCTGTAAATAAATAAATAAATAAATAAATAAATAAGCCAGGTGTGGTGGTGCACGCCTGTAATCCCAGCTGCCCAGATTCTCGGGAGGCTGAGACAAGAATCGCTTGAACCCAGGAGGCGGAGGTTGTGGTGAGCCAAGATTGCAGGACTGTACTCCAGCCTGAGTGACAGAACAAGACTCTGTCTCAAAAAATAAATAAATAAATAATCCATGGTATAAATGAGGACATTGAGGGAGATAAGTGACTTGCCCAAGTTACACTGCTAGCAAGTGGTAGAGCCAGAACCCAAACCCAGGTAGTTGAGTCCTAAGTTAGCTCTGGTAACCACAAGGCTACCCCACAACAATGAATCCAAGAGGGAAGCCATTTCTCCACCCTGCCACACCCAGCCACCATCATTTAACCTTTCTTGGTCCCAGAATTCCCTAAGTCAGCAGGGCTGCATCACCCCCTAGCATAAACCCACATGTTCCTCTACCTCCTCTGGGAATTTGCACCCAGGGTTAACAGCTTAAGTTCTGGGCTCAGATGGGTCAGTTCACATTCCAGACCCATCATTTTACTAGCTTTGTGACTTTGGGGCAATTACTTAACCTCAGGAAGCTTTAGTTTCCTTATTTGTAAAACAAGACTAGCATCTTTCCTCATGCAATTAAAAAGGTATTATATGATGGAAAATTTCAAACCTACACAAAAGTAAATAAACATAATTAACCTCTGAGTACCCAATATCCAGCTTCGACACTCACCAACTCATGGTCAGTTTTGTTTCATTCTTACCCACCCACTTCCTCACTTAAAAAAAAAAAAAATCAAATTGGCCAGTATGATGGCTCACACCTGTAATGCCAGCATTTTGGGAGGCCGAGGCTGGCAGATTGTTAGAGCCAGGAGTTTGAGACTAGCCTGGGCACCATGGCGAAACCCCATCTCTACCAAAACAAACAAAAACAACAACATGTAAATTAGCTAGTCCCAGCTACTCAGGTGACTGAGGTGGAAGGATCCCTTCAGCCTGGGAGGTTCAGGCTGCAGGGACCTGCAATCACCACTGCACTCCAGCCCAGGTGACAGAGCGAGACCCTGTCTCAAAAAACAACAATAACAACACAATTTTATTTAGGTATGATTTATGTAATAAAATGCACATTTTAAGTGTACAGTTCAAATGGTTTTGCCAAAGGAATATGCCCATGTTACCACCACAATTAAGATGTATTATAGCCGGGCGCGGTGGCTCACGCTTGTAATCCCAGCACTTTGGGAGGCCGAGGCGGGTGGATCATGAGGTCAGGAGATCGAGGCCACGGTGAAATCCCGTCTCTACTAAAAATACAAAAAATTAGCCGGGTGTGGTGGTGGGCACCTGTAGTCCCAGCTGCTCGGAGAGGCTGAGGCAGGAGAATGGCGTGAACCCGAGAGGCGGAGCTTGCAGTGAGCCGCGATTGCGCCACTGCACTCCAGCCTGGGCAACAGAGCGAGACTCCGTCTCAATTAAAAAAAAAAAAAAAGATATATTATAGAACAATGGCCAGGCACGGTGGCTCATGCCTGTAATCAATCCCAGCACTTTGGGAGGCCGAAGCAGGTGGATCACTTGAGGTCAGGAGTTCAAGACCAGCCTGGCCAACACGGTGAAACCCCATGTCTACTAAAAATACAAAAAAATTAGCTGGATGTGGTGGCTCGTGCCTGTAATTCCAGCTACTTGGGAGGCTGAGGTGGGAGAATAACTTGAACCCAGTAGGCAGAGATTGTAATGAGCTGAGATTGTGCCACTGCACTCCAGCCTGGGTGACAGAACAAGACTCCATCTAAAAAAAAAAAAAGAAAGAAAGAAAAATATAAGATATAGAACAAACCCCAAACCCCATATTATTTTGTTTTGCTTTGTTTGTTTTTTAGAGACAGGTCTTGCTCTGTTGCCCAGACTGGAGTGCAGTGATGCGACCTCGGCTCACTGCAACCTCTGGGGTTCAAGTGATTTTCATACCTTAGCCACCTGAGTAGCTGAGACTACAAACGTGTGCCATCACGCACGGCTAATTTTTGTATTTTTTTGTAGATATAGGGTTTCACTATGTTGCCCAGGCTGGTCTCAAACTCCTGGGCTCAAACAATCCTCCTGCCTTGGCCTCCCAAACTGTTGGGATTACAGGTGCGAGCCACTGTGCCCAACCTAGAACAAACCCCATGTTATTTTTAGGCAAATCCAAGACATCACATAATTTCATTCCTAAATATTTCAATACATATTTCTATAAGGACCCTTTAAAAGTAAACATAACCCCAACATTATTATCAAACCTAAAAAAAATTAACAATTGGCCGGGCACAGTGGCTTATGCCTGTAATCCCAGCACTTTGGGAGGCCAAGGCGGGTGGATCACCCAAGGTCAGGAGTTCGAGACTAGCCTGATCAATATGGTGAAACCCTGTCTCTATTAAAAATACAAAAAATAATCAGCCGGGCATGGTGGCATGCACCTGTAGTCCCAGAAACTCAGGAGACTGAGACGGAAGAATTGCTTGAACCTGGGAGGCACAGGTTGCAATGAGCTGAGGTCACACCACTGCACTCCAGCCTGGGTGACAGAGTGGGACTCCATGTCAAAAAAAAAAAAAAAAAGAATTAACAATCACACTTTAACTTCATCAAATAGCCAGTCAGTGTTCAAATTTCTAATTATCTTATAATATTTTTTCTTTACAATTTTTAGTTTATTTGAATTAGGAGCCAAAGAAGGATTTCAAGTGGTTAATATGTCTCTCTTTTTATCTATAAATTCCCCCTTTATCTCTCTCTGTCTCTCTTTTTTTTTTTCCTCTTTGCAATTTAGTCATTGGAGATACTACGATTGTCTTCTAGACTTCCCATAGTCTGGAATTTACTGGCTGCATTCCCACCGTGAGATTTAATCAAACAATATTTATGGAACAATATTTATTAAGGACCTGCTATGTATAGTATTGTCAAATTTAGCACAGAGCTGGGTGCACTGGCTCACACCTGTAATCTCAGCACTTTGGAAGGCGAAGGCGGGTGATCACTTGAGGCCAGGAGTTTGAGTCCAGCCTGGCCTACATGATGAAACCCCATCTCTACTAAAAATACAAAAATTAGCCGGGTGTGGTGGCGAGTGCCTGTAATCCCAGCTTACAAAAGAGGAGGCTCTTGTAAGGGAGGCTGAGACAAGAGAATCACTTAAACCCTCGAGGCGGAAGTTGCAGAGAGCTGAGATAGTGCCACTGCACTCCAGCCTGGGAAATAGAGCAAAACTCCGTCTCAAAAAAAAAAAAAAAAAAAAAATTAGCACAAAATATACAGAACATATTTATTTATACTAAAAAACTTACTTATTGTTTATCTATAATTCAGATTTGACAGTGTTTTATCTGGCAACTCTATGTGCCAGGTGCTATTCTAGCACTGGGGACACAGCAGCAAGACAGACAACCCCCACCTCAAGGAGTTTGTATTCTAGTAGATTCGGGAAGCCAGCTAATGCACAGGCAAATAATATTCCTTCTGAAGATATTGTGAGGATTAAAGAAGAAACCTAGCCTAGGCGAGGTGGCTCATGCCTGTAATCCCAGCACTTTGAGAGACAAAGGAAAGAGGATCACTTGAGTCCAACAAGAGTTCAAGACCAGCCTGAGCAGCAACATAGCAAGACCCCATCTCTGCAAAAAGTGTAAAAATTAGCTGGGCATGGTGGTGCATGCCTGTGCCCCCAGCTACTTGGGAGGCTGGGACAGGAAGATCCCTTAATCCCAAAAGTTTGAGGATGCAGTGAGCTTTGGTCACACCACTGCACTCTAGCCTGGGTGACAGAGCAAGACCCTGTCTCAAAAAAAAAAAATAATTATTATCCATAGGTAAGAAAAAACATGGCCGGGCGCCGTGGATCACTCCTGTAATCTCAGCACTTTGGGAAGCCAAGGTGAGCAGATCATTTGAGGTCAGGAGTTCAAGACCAGCCTGGCCAACATGGTGAAACCCATCTCTACTAAAAATACAAAAATTAGCCGGGCTCGGTGGCGGGCACCTGTAATCCCAGCTACTCGGGAGGCTGAGGCAGGAGAATTGCTTGAACCCAGGAGGCGGAGGTTACAGTGAGCCGTGATCACGCCATTGCACTCCAGCATGGGTGACAGAGCAAGACTCCGTCTCGGGAAAAAAATAAAAAATAAAAAATGAGAAACTCACGTATTAATGCTTGGTGCATAGAAGTTCATGATCAATGTAAGTGCCTTTGGCAGTAGCTTAGGCTGCCTTTTCCCTTTCCTCCTTTCTTTCCTTGTCCCATCCCTCTCCGCATTCACTTAGGAACTATTCCAGACTTGCCTCCTCCTGCAGTACTTCCTCCATATGACCATGGTTAATTCATTCATTTATTTACCTCACAGTTACTGAGCACCCACCATGTAGCAAGCCCCAGGCCAGGCCCTGGGGACTCAGAGATGCTGGAGACGCAGTCTGGTGGGGGAGATGGACATTACAAGCTGATCTAAGAAGTAGCAATAGAGGGATGATCATGGTCCTGGAATCTTAGAGGAGGATGACCCTAGAGGAAGAGGAAGGAGGTCTTTTCAGAGAACGTAATCTTCCTCCTATGTCTACAGGCTGAACAGGAGTATACAAAGGAGGCAGGGCTGGGCATGGTGGCTCATGCCTGTAATCCCAGCACTTTGGGAGGCCAAGGCAGATGGATCACCTGAGGTCACCTCAGATCACCTGAGACCAGCCTGTCAACATGGTGAAACACCATCTTTACTAAAAATACAAAAATTAGCCATGTGTGGTGGTGCATGCCTGTAGTCCCAGCTATGCAGGAGGCTGAGGCAGGAGAATCACTTTGAACCTGGGAGGTGGGAGTTGCCGTGAGCCGAGATTGCACCACTGCAGTCCAGCCTGGGCGACAGAATGAGAGACTCCATCTCAACAAAAAGAAAAAGAAAAAAAAACAAAGGAGGCAGGAGAGAAGAGAGAAGAATTCCACCTGCAGAGGAATATGAGCAAGGAACCAAGGCAAGCAAGTGCCTGCCCCATGTGCTGCCAACTTCCAGCCATCAGCGTACCACCCCTCTGTTAAGTAGCAGGGTGCCCTGGCCTTGGCCTTTCTCATCCACCTTCCTAGAGTCATCTCATCTCCCTTGCACAGCCAATCACTCTCGCCATCAGGAGGTCTCTCCCATTAAAAAGCTAAATCTTCCTTGACCCCAGAGGCTACAGCCCTATCCCTTTCTTCCCTTCACAGCCAAGCTCCCCCGAGAGCTGTCTACGCACGTAGCCTTCCTTTTCTCACTTCCCACTTGCTCCCCAACCCGCTTCCATCTGCTTCCACCCTCGCCCGCCACCGGAATAGCTCTTGCTGAAGTCTCGGTGGCCTCCATCTCATCGAAACTGGCAGGCACTTGTCAGCCTCCCTGACCTCTCCGGGCAGCCCGCTTGGCTGGCCACTTCCTCCTCCGAGACATTTCCAGTCCCCTTCTTTCTGGACACCAAGCTCCCTTGCTGTCCTGCCTCTGGGGCTGCTTCCTCTTGCTTTTCAGTGCAGGCTCACTCTCCCCTTTTCAGCCCAAAATGTCGGGGCTCCTCAAGGCTTTGTCCAGAACTCTCTTCTCTCTCCAGACACTCTTCCCTGCTCACTTTGCAGTCAGCATTGGAGCCCCGGGGTTCAGCCTGGCCCTTTCCTCTCAGGTCTGGCCCAGACACCACACTGCCCACTCAGTCCACCTCGGACATTTCAAAAGCCCCTCAAACTCAGCCATCCCAAACCATCAGCACCCACTCCACCCCCTCTTCCCAGGAAACCTATCCTGAGGTGTGGCTCCCCCATCTATTCACTTCCACAGCCAGAAACCCAGTCCTCATCCCGACACCTCCAGCCCTCCAAGTCAATGCCTCAGCAAGACTCATCATACCCCACAGTCATCTTTCCAAAGCCACAAATCTGACTGTTACGCCCGTATTCAAAACCTTTTTTCTTTTCTTTTTGAGACAGGGTCTCACTCTGTCACCCAGGCTGGAGTGCAGTGGCACAGTCACAGCTCACTGTAGCCTCAACTTCCTGGGCTCAACTGATCCTCCCACCTCAGCCTCCCAAGTAGCTGGGACTACAGGTATGTGCCACCACACCCAGCTAATTTTTAAAATTTTTTGGGGGGCCAGGCCCGGTGGCTCACACCTGTAATCCCAACACTCTGGGAGGCTGAGGCGGGCGGATCACCTGAAGTTGGGAGTTCGAGACCAGCCTGACCAACATGGAGAAACCCCATCTCTACTAAAAATACAAAATTAGCCAGGTGTGGTGGCAGGTCCCTGTAATCCCAGCTACTCAGGAGGCTGAGGCAGGAGAATCTCTTGAACCTGGGAGGCGGAGTTGCCAGGAGCCAAGATCGTGCCATTGCACTCCAGCCTGGGCAACAAGGGCGAAACTCTGTCTCAAAAAAAAAAAGTTTTTGTAGAGTCGGGGTCTCACCATGTTGCCCAGTCTGGTCTTGGGCCAGCTGGTGAGCAAATGTGGTCCCAGCTACTTGAGAGGCCAAGGTGAAAGGATCGCTTGAGCCCAGGAGTTCGAGATCCATCTCTACAAAAAAACAAAAATCTGTTAATGGTTTCCTACTGCTTTCAGGAGAAAGACCAGACTTTTTTTAATTTTCTTTTTGAGATGGAGTCACACTCTGCTGCCCAGGCTGGAGTGCAGTGGCACGATCTCGGCTCACTGCAACCTCCATTTCCCAGGTTCAAGTGATTCTCCTGCCTCAGCCTCCTGAGTAGCTGGGATTACAGTTGTGCGCCACCACACCCAGCTAATTTTTGTCTTTTTAGTAGAGAAGAGGTTTCACCATGTTGGCCACGCTGGTCTCAAACTCCTGACCTCAAGTAATCTGCCCACCTTGGCCTCCCAAACTGCTGGGATTACAGGCGTGAGCCACCAAGCCCAGCCTAAAAGACTAAACTCTTAATTTGGCTCACAGGTAGTGTTACTTAACTCTAGCAATGCCACACACAGGTCTTCTTAGGGAAGGGGACAGTTCCCTTGCCTCTTCCTTCAGCCACTCATGTCTTCTTTAGGCCTAAAGCAATAAGCTCCTTCCTCTCTTTCCCTAAGCACTTGCTGTTCCTTCAGACTGTAAACTTTCCCCCCACATTGCTTCTCCTGGCCAACGCCTGCTCCTACTCAGAGCTCCACTGAGTCATCCCTTCCTCTAAGAAAACCTCTCTTCGCCCTTCCAGATGATGCCCAGGTCAGTTTCCACACTATCCCCACTTCAAGAGCTGTGTATATTTCCTTCAAAGATTTCCACTGGCCAGGCGTGGTGGCTCACGCCTGTAACCCCAGCACTTTGGGAGGCCAAGACGGGCAGATCACCTGAAGTCAGGAGTTCAAGACCAGCCTGGCCAACACAGTGAAACCTGCTCTCTACTAAAAATACAAAAATTAGCCGGGTGTGGTGGCACGTGCCTGTAGTCTCAGCTACTTGGGCGGCTGAGGCAGGAGAATCGCTTGAATCCAAGAGACAGAGGTTGCAGTAAGCTGAGAGGGCGCCATTGTACTCCAACCCGGGCAACAGAGCAAGACTCCATCTCAAAAAAAAAAAAAAAAAAAAGATTTCCATCTGCTAATCACTATTCATCTATTAGTGTATCTGATTATCCACCTCTCCTCCCTCTCCTCCGCCACTCTGTTTCATGGGGACAGGGACCACATTGAATTTTGCAGTAGCTTAGTAATTGGCACAGAGTTGGCAACCCAATACACTTTTTTTTTTTTTTTGAGACGGAGCCTTGCTCTGTCGCCCAGGCTGGAGTGCAGTGGTGCAATCTCAGCTCACTGCAAGCTGTGCCTTCCGGGTTCATGCCATTCTCCTGCCTCAGCTTCCTGAGTAGCTGGGACTACAGGCACCCGCCACCATGCCTGGCTAATTTTTTTTTGTATTTTCAGTAGAGACGAGGTTTCACTGTGTTAGCCAGGATGGTCTGGATCTCCTGACCTCGTGATCCACCTACCTTGGCCTCCCAAAGTGCTGGGATTACAGGTGTGAGCCACCACACCTGGCCACCAAATACTTTTTTATTTTTTTTTAAGAGACAGGGTCTCCATCTGTCACCTAGGCTAGAGTACAGTGGCATGATCATAGCTCACTGCAATCTCAAACTCTGGGACTCAAGCAATCCTCCCTCCTCAGCCTCCCAAAGCACTGAGATTACAGGCATGAGCCACTGCTCACAGCCAACATTTGCTAAAAGTGATTTAAAGTTTTCATGGAAGTTTACCCCTAAATACTTCAGGAAGTTTTCTTACTACAATATCATGATCATAGGCTGCGTGCAGTGGCCACACTTTAATCCGAGCACTTTGGAAGGCCAAGGTGGGCGGGTCACCTAAGGCCAGGAGTTCAAGAATAGCCTGGCCAACATGGTGAAACCCTGTCTCTACTAAAAATACAAAAACTAACCAGGCATAGTGGTGCGCCTGAAATCCCAGCTACTCAGAAGGCTGAGGCAGGAGAATTGCTTGAACCCGGGAGGCAGAGGCTACAGTGAGCCAAGATCTCTCCACTGCACTCCAGCCTGGGCAACACAGCGAGACTCAGTCAAAAAAAAAATACATATATATATATATATACCCACACACACACACACACACATATGTATATATATGTTTATATATAAAATGATCATACCTCAGAAAATTACCCATTCCTTAATATCATCCAATATGTAGCCCATATTCAAATTTACCAACTTGTCCTCCAAAATGCTTTTTTTGTATTTGATTTGTTCCAACCAAGATCTTTATTTACTTATTTATTTTTTGGGACTGGGTCTTGCTTTGTCGCCTAGGCTTCTGGCACAATCACAGCTCACAGCAACCTCAACCTCCAGGCCTCAGCCTCCTGAGTAGCTGGGACCACAGACGCGTGCCACCATATCCAGCTAATTTATTTATTTATTTATCTATTTATTTTATTATACTTTAAGTTCTAGGGTACATGTGCACAACGTGCAGGTTTGTTACATATGTATACATGTGCCATGTCGGTGTGCTGCACCCATTAACTCGTCATTTACATTAGGTATATCTTATTTATTTATTTATTTATTTATTTTGGTAGAGATAGGCTCTTGCTATGTTGCCTAGGCTGGTCTTGAACTCCTGGGTTCAAGCAATCCTCCTCCCTGGGCCTCCAAAAGTGCTGGGATTACAGGCATGAGCCACTGTGCCTAGCTCCAACCAAAATCTAAATACGGTCTGCGCACTGCATTTCGCTATGTCCCTTAAGTCTCATTTAAATCTAGAATAACTTTTTCCCCCTTTGCCATTGACTTGGTGAACTGCTAAAGTATTTTAAGTAAATTACAGACATCATGTCCCACCTTCTAGATTTCTCTGATTGCTTCCTCATGGTGTTGTTTATCCCGTATTTTCTGTAAACTGGAAATTAGATCTCCAGGCTTGATTAGCTTCAGGTTGACTATGCTGACAAAAACACTTTGTGGGTGAAGCTTCCTCCAACATATTGCGTTCCCTTGGGGTGTCCCTGATGCCTGAGTTTCACTGTTAGTGATATAATATTGATCAGTTGCTCCCCTTGGCAACAGCCAATCCTTCTATCAAGAAATTGCATTTTTTGGCTGGGCGAGGTGGCTCATGCCTGTAATCCCAGCACTTTGGGAGGCCAAGGCCAGTGGATCACTTGAGGTCAGGAGTTTGAGACCACCCTGGCCAACATGGTGAAACCCCATCTCTACCAAAAATCCAAAAATTAGCTGGGTGTGGTGGCATGCACCTGTAGTCCCAGCTACTCGGGAGGCTGAGGCAGGAGAATCTCTTAAACCTGGGAGGCAGAGGCTTGCAGTGAGCTGAGATCGTGCCACTGCACTCCAGCCTGGGCGACAGAGTGAGACTGTCTCTAAAAAAAATTAATGAACAGAAGAAAAGTCATATTTTACAGATGAGGAAAACAGAGGCTCTGCCTCATTCAGTCACTCGCCCCAGAAAGCAGCAAGAGATGGTTAAGACCTAAAGGAAGGCAGTGGCCACAGGAACGGACGGGTTTTCAAAGGAGAATCAGCAGCATCTGCAAACAACTGGCTGTGTTGGGGAGGGAACCAGAAGCCCTGGCAGAAGCAGAGACTTCCCTCACATCTCGGGTGGGACATGAGGAGACAGAGCAACTTGGGGGGAAGGTAATGAGCTCAGGCTCCAGGCTTCCCAGATGTCTCCAAGCCGCTCTCTAGGGAAATGGTGTTTATAACATGACAATGTCTATAATTTGGCTTCCGGCATGACTCGATAATTAGCTTAAGTTATCCCTCATTGGCATTTTATTCAAAGCAAGGACACTCTTCCATTCATTCTGATGAGGCCTGCCTTCTGTGAGTGTTCCAGGGTAAGTGTGAACTGAGAGCTGTGCCTCTGTCTCTTTTGACTGAAGTGGGCTGGAGACTGAAGTTGGTGGGGTGGTTGAAGTGTCTGCTCACTGGGCTCAAGTCTGTCTCTGGGGCTTGAAGGTGTGGGCTCCCCCTCGGACAGGGTGTGGGGGGTGCTGAGACCTGCACATTCAATGCCTAGCAGGAGTTTGGCCCAGAGATTGGTTTCCAAGAGGTGTGTGAAGGAGGCAGTGACCAGGAAGATGGGGGATAGATCCCCTGGGAGGCAGTGTGGAGGACTACAACCAAGATGCTTCAGGCTGAACAGGGCTGTGCTCAGGGGAAATGGGAATGCTTCTGGGTTAGGACGCATTGACCAGGTTGATTCTGTGGGACTGAGTGGCTGATTCAGAGAAGGAGTGAAGAAGACAGAGTTGAGAAGGCCCCCATGTCTTTGTCTCCAGAGAAAGTGGAGGCTAGTAGCTGAGGCAGGACCTGGAAGAGGAAGGGTGGGTCTGGGGTGGGGAGATGCGGAGCTTAGTTTAGATGCGGAGGGAGTGGCCAGAGGAGACCTGGAAAAGGAGGCCTGGGACTGGAGAGGTGAGGACCAGGTCACAGGCACACAGGTCAAGGTTAAAGCCACAGACATGGATAAGCTCTTCCAGGGGAAGCCAAGCGGATCCAGAAGTGGGCCCCTGTGGGAGGGGCAGGGCAAAAGGGCCCTCGCAAAGGTGGCTGGGAAGGAAGAGAGTGAGACTTGAGGGCAAGGGAAAGGGAGTTTTCAGAGGAGGGGGATGGTCATGGGGACCAAATGCCATGGACAGGGTAAGCAGGACAGTGTTTGAGGAGCTACTGACCTTAGTGATTCTGAAGCCTTAGGAGACTCCAGCTTCTCAGCAAAAACAGAGAAACGAGAGGACTCACTTGGTGTCAGAGCCCTGTGGGCCAAGAAGCAGAAAGTATAATACAATTGTCTCTCAGCCCGGAAAAAGCACAGGAAACAGCACCCGCTGGGTGCTACCAGTGTAGCCACTGAGTGACCCCTGCTAGCCTCTGGCTACTTGCTCCTCAGAATAGACCAGGAGGGCATCAGACTGGCACAGCTTGGGCCATATGTCCACATCTTGGCTGCCTAGGGCTTGAAGACAGAGGCTCAGAATTCCTTCCTTCAGTTCTTTCTGTAAATATTTACTGAGAACCTAGAATGCGCCAGGCACCGTTCTAGGCCCTGGAATACAGCAGCAAAATCCACAAACATCCCTGTCTTCATGGCACTCACACCCGAGGGGAAAGAATGACAACAACCCACAGACATAAATGTGGAAATAATGTAAAAGCTGAAGGACAAAAGGAAAGTATAAGGAAGACGGGGAGTATGGGGGCAGCAGGAGAACAGGGTGCAGTTTTTTTGTTTGTTTGTTTGTTTTGAGACAGAGTTTCACTCTTGCTGCCCAGGCTGGAGTGCAATGACATGATCTTGACTCACTGAAACCTCTGCCTCCCAAGTTCAAGAGATTCTCCTGCCCCAGCCTCCCAAGTAGTTGGGATTACAGGCGCCAGCTAATCTCCTCGTATTTTTAGTAGAGATGGGGTTTCACCATATTGGCCAGGCTGGTCTCAAACTCCTGACTTCAGGTGATCCACCCACCTCGGCCTCCCAAAGTGCTGGGATTACAGGGATGAGCCACCGTGCCTGGCCCAGGGTGCAGTTTTAAATAGGGTGGTCCTGCAGGACTTGGTGGCTCACACCTGTAATCCCAGCACTTTGGGAGGCTGAGGTGGGTGGATCGTTTGAGCCCAGGAGTTCAAGACCAACTGGGCAATATGGCGAAACCCTGTCTCCACAAAAAATGCAAAAATTAGCCTGGCATAGTGGCACATGCCTGTAGTCCCAACTACTCAAAGGGCTGAGCTGGGAGGATCACCTGAGCCCAGGGAGGTCAAGGCTGCAGTGAGCCGAGATTGTGCCACTGCACTCAAGTGTGGGTGACAGAGTAAGACCCTGTCTCAAAAAAATTAATTCACTAAAAATTAATAAATAAATAGGATGGTCCAGAAAAGCCTAATCGGGAAGGGAGGAGCATGCCAGGAAACAGCAAGGAAGCTGGTGACCAGAGGATGGGGGTTGGGGTGGAATGGAGAAGAAGCTGGAGGGATTGGGACAGTAGGTTGCGTAGGACCTTGTAGGCCCCTGGAAGGACTTGGGCTTCTCTTTGGTTTTTTTGTTTGTTTTTTTGACGGAGTCTCGCTCTGTCACCCAGGTTAGAGTGCAGTGGTGTGATCTTGGGTCACTGCAACCTCCGCCTCCAAGGTTCAAGGGATCCTCTTACCTCAGCCTCCCAAGTAGCTGGGATTACAGGTGTGTGCTACCATGCCCGGCTAATTTTTGTATTTTTAGTAGAGACAGGGTTTCATTGTGTTGCCCAGGCTGGTCTCAAACTCCTGACCTCAAGTGATCTGCCCGCCTTGGCCTCCCAAAGTGCTGGGATTACAGGCATGAGCCACCGTGCCCGGACCTCAGGCTTCCCTTTGAATGCCATGAGAACATCTGGGGGACTCTGAGCCCAGAGGTGACCTGATTATCTTACAGCTTAATAGGATCACTCTGGCCACTGTGCAGGGAATAAATGGCAGGGCCAAGGATGGAGGCAGGGAGACCAGTTAGGAGGTGACCACAGTAATCCAGGGGAGAAAATGATGGGGGAGATGGTGGCAAGTCATCATATTCTGCACATATTTTGAAGGTAGAGCCAACAGGATTTGCTGACAGAATGGATGTGGGAGAGGAGTCAGGAATGATTCTAAGGTTTTCAGCCTGAACAACAAGAAAGATGAAATTGCCATCAGTTGAGAAGGAAGAGGCTGTGGATGAAGCGGTGGGTGTGGGGTGGGAAGGGGGAAGCAAGGGTAGATCCAGGGTTCCAGGGCAGATCACCCAATGGAGCACTCCCCTGACCTAGGAAAGGGGACACTGGACAGCCACAACTTCCGGCAAATGCCCAGGACAGGTGGTTCCTGGTGACCTGCGGCAGAGCAATTCCAGCAGGGTGAGGAGGAACCACACAGCTAAGTGTGCTGCGCATGTGGAGGCCGCGCTTGGTCTCCTGACTTACGAAGCAGAGCAGAGGGATCTGGGAGACACAGAGGGTGGTGGCCTGAGCCCATGTGGAGGCTGCCGGGAAGAGCCAGGAGAGGGAGAGAGTGCAGATCAGGATAGAGTCTCCACATGAGGGAGGAGAGATGGATCCCAGCCAAGGCTTGGCTGCAAAAGCACAGGGTCAGGCTCAAGGCACTGAGGGCCTGGACCAGCGTCAGGGAGCAGGGGGAAAGGATCCAGAGACATTTGCGCAGCAGAGATGGCCAGGAAGCTGCTGGAGAGTGGGAGGAGTCAGGCGCAACTCCAAGATTTTGAATCCCAACTCCTGCCAGCGTCCTGAAGGCCTCTGTCCCCCTCTAAGTCCAGGTTTACCAAAGCCTGCTGCACCCTGGAGTTCTCAGTTCTCTGAGCACGGCCCCATACCTGATTCTAAATTCACACCACTGCTTCCTCTGCTTTTGTTGCAAGCCACAATCAGAGGACACTGTTCACTTGCTGATTCCAATGCCCTTTGGCCCCTCTATCCCACAGCCCGGTGATGTGGCTCCTTCTCCTGCCCTCCACCAGAGCCCCCATCTCAGCAAGGGCTTTGCTTTCTGTCTCAAAGAGAAACACGGTGCTGAGCGGGGGAAGCTGAGCACAAAAGAGTACACATAATACACTCTTAGGAGGTTCTAGAAGCAGTGACACCCACCTACTGTGACCTACAGTGATAGAAATCAGATCAGTGCTGTCTGGGGCCAAGGGACTGATTGCAATGGGATAGGAAGAAACTTTCCAAAGAGATGGAAATGTTCTATATCTCTAAGGGGTGGTGGTTACACAGCTGTCTACACTGGTCAAACGACATCACCTGTACATTGAAAACGTGTGCATTTTATTATATGTAAATTATACCATAATAAAGTTTATTTTATTTAATTTTAATTCTTTTTTGAGACAGAGTTTCACTCTTATTGCCCAGGCTGGAGTGCAATGGCATGATCTCAGCTCATTGAAACCTCTGCCTCCCGGGTTCGAATGATTCTCCTGCCTCAGCCTCCCGAGTAGCTGGGATTACAGGTGCACGCCACCACACCCAGCTAATTTTTGTATTTTTAGTAGACGTGGGGTTTCATCATATTGGTCAGGCTGGTCCTGAACTCCTGACCTCAGGTGATCCACCCACCTCAGCCTCCCAAAGTGCTGGGATTACAGGCATGAGCCACCGAGCCCAGCCTAATAAAGTTGATTTTTAAAATAGAGAACTAAATATTTTTTTGAGACAGGGTCTCACCCGGTCACCCAGGCTGGAGTGCAGCACTAGGATCATGACTCACTGCAGACTTGACCTCCCAGGTTCAAGAGATCCTTCCACCTCAGCCTCCCAAGTAGCTGGGACTACAAGTACCCACCACCATGCCCAGCTAATTTTTAAATTTTTTGTAGAGACAGGGTCTCATTATGTTGCCCAGGCTGATCTCAAACTCCTGGGCTCAAGTAATTCCTCCTGCCCTGTGCTCTCAAAGTACCTGGCCTAAAAAAAAGAAAAAACAAAAATTTTTTTTTTTAGATTGAGTCTTGTTCTGTTGCCTAGGCTGGAGTGCAGTGGCGCGATCTCAGCTCACTACAACTTCCGCCTCCCAAGTTCAAGCAATTCTCGTGCCTCTGCCTCCCGAGTAGCTGGGATTACAGAGGTGCACCACCATACCCAGCTAATTTTTGTATTTTTAGTACAGACAAGGTTTCACCATGTTGGCCAGGCTGGTCGCGAACTCTTGGCCTCAAGTGATCCACCTGCCTCGGCCTCCAAAAGAGCTGAGATTACAGGCATGAAGCACCATGCCGGGCCTTAAAAAATTTTTTTAGGGCCGGGCGTGGTGGATGGCTCATGCCTGTAATCTTAGCGCTTTGGGAGGCTGAGGCAGGCAGATCACAAGGTCAGAAGACCAGCCTGGCCAATATGGTGAAACCCCGTCTCGACTACAAATACAAAAATTAGCCAGGTATGGTGGCAGGCGCCTGTAGTCCCAGCTACTTAGGAGGCTGAGGCAGGAGAATCGCTTAAACCTGGGAGGCAGAGGTTGCAGTGAGCTGAGATCTCGTCACCGCACTCCAGCCTGGGCGACAGAGCAAAACTCCGTCTAAAAAAAAGAGGGTGGGTCTGAGAGGCCCCCTTGGAAGAAGTGAGACTAGAGCAGGGCTGGGAGGTCTGAGAGGCTCCCTTGGAAGAAGTGAGATAAGGGACAGCTGGGAGGCATTCCAGGTGGAAGAGGGGCTGGTTCACTCACAGGCCCAGAATCTACAGGGCCACCAAGGAACCAGCCTGACAGCAGAGGCAGGTGGGGCCACTAAGAAAGTTGGGGCTGTGTGGCCCCTCTGTGACCACAGTTCTTCCTTCCCACTCCCTTTCTGTTCTTTGATTCCCCTCCTCCACCAGGGCACACAGTTCCCACTGGGCAGCCTGTGTAATGCGCCCCACATTTGTGCTTTGAGGCTACAGAGCACTTCCCCTACACCAGGGACCTGAAACGTGTCCTGGCTAAGCATGTTTTTTTTTTTTTTTTTTTTTTTTTTTTTTGAGACAGAGTCTTGCTCTTGTCACCCAGGCTGGAATGCAATGGCACCATCTCAGCTCACTGCAAGCTCCACCTCCCGGGTTCAAGCGATTCTCCTGCCTCAGCCTCCCAAGTAGCTGGGACTACAGACATGTGCCACCACACCCGACTAATTTTTGTATTTTTAGTAGAGACGGGGTTTCACCATCTTGGCCAGGCTGGTCTCGAACTCCTGACCTCGTGATCCACCTGCCTTGGCCTCCCAAAGTGCTGGGATTACATGTGTGAGCCACCGCACCCCGCCTAAAAAATTGTTTTTAAAGATAAAATAACAGTCTATCAAGCAGAAAAATCCTACACACACACACACACACACACACACACACACACACACGCTCATCTCACACATACACACACTCCCATCTGTCCACATGCTTTGCTTCCTCCCTTCTCTCTGGCACGGCAGAGCGCCTCCTCTTGTCCATGCAAGCTATCACGCCTAGACTGTTCCCCCTAAAAAAAACTCATGCCACCCTTCCTCTGACCTTGCATCCATCTCCCCTGCTGTCCTTACAGCCCAGCCCCTAGGAAGGATGGGCTATATTCCCCTTCAGCATGCTGGATCAGTCACCCATCTCTGAGACACCTGCCCTGCAGAGACACTCCTTCTCTCCTTTCTGTCTTCTCTCAGGTTCCTAGGACCCCACTTGCTTGTATCCAGCGATGGAGGGAGAGTTTCAGGCTCTCCCTCCATGTCTGGATACTCCTTCTCATGCTCCCAGCCCAGCTCCTCTCCCTCTGACACCTCTTCAGTGCCGGCATTCCCTGGGCCCCTGGACCTGGTCTTCTGCTTTCCACTCTGCACCTGCACAGTCTCCCGTCATGATCTCACCTGCTCCAGGGCTTCAGTTACCATCTATTGCTGACAATGCTCAAAGATACCTCTGAATATTTTTTTCAGAGTATCAAGGATGTGGCAGAAGAGGTAGACACAGGATATATGACATATGCTTCAGAAGCTGTTTACAATTTTTAATATGATATGTATACTCAACCCCCTTCTGTCACAGTCCACTGGACCTCAGGCTCAGAAAGCCCCAAACTGAACTCATCAGCCCTTTGCCAGCCCTGCTCTTCCTCCCTTCCTCAGGATTCCAGCTTCAGGCAGAAACCTGGGAGTTACCCTCTTACTCCATGACCAGCAATTGTCAATTATCCCCTTCTCTTGATTTCACCCTCTAAAACTCCCCCTTCTCCACCCCTACAGACATTCCCAGAGAGGTTCAAGCATTCATTCATTCAATAAGTATTAGCTGAGCACCTACTCTGTGCCAGACACTGATCCCGATGCTCAAACACAACACATAAAAATCAGTGCCCTACAGAGCTTCCCTTCTAGCACTTGCAGTAATTTCAAAAGCGGCTCCATCTTTCATTCTAACCCCTCTAACTGCCCACTCTGCTGTGGCCACAGCAAAAGTCACCACATGTGCAGCTGCTCAGCATCTTCCATGGGACTTCATCCTCCTGGGATCAAGCCTGGGCCATGTGTGAGGTGTCCTGATCCCCTTCCTCCTGTCTTCTCTCATCTTCCCTTCCTCCCCCACCAAACACTTGTACCCTCTAAACATGGTAGACTCCCTCTGCAGGTGGTCCATCCCCAAATATAAGGCATATTGTACTGCCTGTCCAGCGGCCTTCCCTTCAACCCCAAGCACCTGCAGGACCAGAACTGCTTTTATCCTTCCTGCAGTATCAGTGCCTGGCCCATTATCCGGCACATAGTCGGGGGGTCAACAAATGGTAACTGATTACATAGATGACAGTGGATTAACAGTAGTGTCACACAGACAGGGAGAGTCTTGGGGAGCAGGGAAACATGAGTTCTGAATTAGCCCCAGAACACCTCCCTGATTGATAATTTAGACCAACCCCATGGACACCTAGTTAAAAGGGGGGGTGCTAGCGGGGCATGGCAGCTTACACCTGTAATCCTAGCACTTTGGGAGGCTGAGGCAGGAAGATTGCCTGACCTGAGTCAAGATCAGCCCAGGCCAGGCGCGATGGTTTATGCCTGTAATCCCAGCACTTTGGGAGGCCAAGGTGGGCAGATCACGAGGTTAGGAGTTCAAGACCAGCATGGCCAACATAGTGAAACCCCATCTCTACTAAAAAAAAAAAAAAAAATACAAAAAAATTAGCCAGGGCGGGCGCGGTGGCTCAAGCCTGTAATCCCAGCACTTTGGGAGGCCGAGGCGGGCGGATCACCTGAGGTCGGGAGTTTGAGACCAGTCTGACCAACATGGAGAAACCCCGTCTCTACTAAAAATTCAAAATTAGCCAGGCGTGGTGGCGCATGCCTGTAATCCCAGCTACTCAGGAGGTTGAGGCAGGAGAATCGCTTGAACCGGGAAGTGGAGGTTGCAGTGAGCTGAGATCACACCATTGCGCTCCAGCCTGGGCAACAAGAGTGAAACACTGTCTCAAAAAAAAAAAAAAAAAGTGAGGTGCAAATCCTACTTTTGCACCTACTGCTCTTTCCTCGCCCTAGAAATTTCCACAGGAGCACAGTCATCAACCTACAGAATGTTAACACCAAGGGGACTTTCAAGATCTGGTCACCTGACCAAATACCAGAGAGGGTAACCGCTTTGCCCAAGGTCACACTGCTGGCTGGGGCAGGGCTGGGACTAGAGTAGCTCTGGAAAATGGGAACAAGAATAGAACCTATCTCAATCTTGTTGCAGGGAGTATGTTACATGCTTAGCACATTGCTTGGCACATAATAAACTCTCATCGAATAGGAGCTGTTGCTGTTATCGTTGCTATTATCATCATCATCATCATCACAGGTGTCCATCCTTGCCTCCAAGTTCCTTGCCTCCTGATCCTCCCATCCCCCAGTGCTATTCTCCACTATTTCCTCCCTTTCCTCCCAATCCATGATTTCCTCCCTTCTCCCCTCCCAATTCATGTTTGGCCCACTGCAGTCAGCGTCCACCACCACCAGTGCCTGGAACCTTCCAGGCTGAGGTCACCAGGGACCTCCTCCTTGTAGAACCCTTCCTTCCCTCGACCTCTCAATGGCATGTGACCCTAGCACTGCTTCCTCCTTAAATGTCCTTGACTTCTATAACATAAACTCTCCTGCTGCTCAGGACATCCGGCTCTCCCTCTCACCCTCTCTGCTAATCCAGACACAAATAGTCAACTGCCTACTGCCATAGGCACCCAACGTCAGCACATCCAAAGCAGTTTGTTACCAGCTCCATCACCCTGCCCCGCTCCTGGGTTCTACTGTTCAGTGTACAGATAGCCCCGTCCACCAAATACCCTAGGCTGCACCAGGCAAGACAGGGGAGGACTCCCAGAGGTACAGCCTAGGGGATGGATTTGGTGGATGGGGTTCATCTGAACATCCTTCTTAACATCCCACCTTTTTTTTTTTTTGAGATGGAGTCTCGCTCTGTCACCCAGGCTAGAGTGCAGTGGTGTGATCTCAGCTCACTGCAACCTCCGCCTCCTGGGTTCAAGCAATTCTCCTGCCTCAGGAGATTCTCGAGTAGCTGGAATTACAGGCATGCGCCACCACGCCCTGCTAATTTTTGTATTTTTTTTTCTTGAGACGGAGTTTCACTCTTGTCATCCAGGGAGTGCAGTGGCGCGATCTTGGGTCACTATAATCTTTACCTCCCGGTTTCAAGCAATTCTCTGCCTCAGCCTCCCAAGTAGCTGGGATTACAGGCACCTGCCACCATGCCCAGCTAATTTTTGTATTTTTAGTAGAGACGGGGGTTTCACCATCTTGGCCAGGCTGGTCTTGAACTCCTGACCTCGTGATCCACCCGCCTCAGCCTCCCAAAGTGCTGGGATTACAGGCGTGAGCCACCATGCCCGGCCGCCTCTGCGCCTTTGAACATGCTGTTCCCCCTGCCTGGAATGCTCTTCTGCCCCTTAACTGCCTGCAAACTCTCCCTCACCCACTTGGTCCTAGTTCAGGCCCTCCCTGATCCCATAAACTCAGTTACTTCCTCCCTGCAGTATCAGCATCATTCATAGCACTGTCATAGCCCTTTTCATCCTGAAGTTAATAATTCCCTATGTCTGTCACCCCTACTAGCTATCTGTGTACCTACCATGTATCTCCATGTATCTGTTAATACTTTCCTATGTCTGTCATCCCCAGGTGCTATCTGTGTATCTCCTATGGCCAGCCCATGATGATTCAGTGAGTGTCTGCTGAAAGACCGAATAATTAAACTTTTTCAACTTCTGTCCTGATGGTAAGTATAAGAGGAGGGATGAAGATTAGGCTGTAAGGCCAGGCGCAGTGGCTCACACCTGTAATCCCAGCACTTTGGGAGCCTCAAGCAGGGGGATCACGAGGTCAGGAGATCAAGACCATCCTGGCTAACCGGTGAAACCCCGCCTCTACTAAAAATAAAAAAAATTAGCCGTGCGTGGTGGCACGCGCCTGTGGTCGCAGCTACTCGGGAGGCTGAGGCAGGAGAATGGCGTGAACCCAGAAGGCGGAGGTTGCAGTGGGCCGAGATCACATCACTGCACTCCAGCCTGGGTGACACAGCAAGACTCTGTCTCAAAAAAAAAAAAAAAAAAAAAAAAAAAAGATTAGGCTGTAAGAGGAACTGGTAAAGTGGAACACAGCAGGGCAAATGTGCTAGTCAACTGTCATTGCTTACCCTGGAAATTTCCCCAGGAGCGGAGTCATCAACTTACAGAATGTTACCACCAAGGGGACTTTCAAGATCTGGTCACCTGACCAAATACCAGAGACGGTAACTGCTTTGCCCAAGGTCACACTGCTGGTTAGGGGCAGGGCTGGGGCTAGAGTCCACGTAGCTCTGGAAAAAGTTTGGGCAGATGCTATCTCATCCCATGAACTTCTTCCCTTCCTACCCATTCTGTCTCCCCAAAGGAGGTCCCTGATGCCCTAACATGGTCAGGGAACTACCTGGGCTCACTCACAGCTCTTACAGCATTTGCTGGGACCTTGGCCAGGTGGAGTTACCAAAATCCTGTAGACTGGAGGCAGGGGGATCCAACTATCACCATATTAGAGATTGGCAAACTGAGGCAGCTAGCTAACCGCAGAGGGCAAGATTTGATATTGAGTACTGTGTTCCTCCTGTAGAAAGACCTGAGAAGCCCAAACTCCCACATATGCAGAGTCACTATTCACAATAATCATGACTGCTGACTTCCTAATGTCAGGGAAATCCCCTCACTCCCACCAGTTCCTCCTGAAACAGAGCCTCCCTCCATCTTGCACAGGGTGTCTGACTTAGGAAACAAACTGTACACCCACCCTCCTAAGCCACCCAGGCCTACTAGATAGATCACCTCCGAGTCATACCCTTTAATGGGGAAATCACCCTTCTTTGTGCCAGGCACTTGACATCGTCACTGCTCACATCAGCCCTAAGGTTAGTACTACAGTCTGCGATGGGGAAACGGAGGGTCCCAGATAAGTCACTACTAATCCATGGTCAAAGCAAGAAAGTGGCAGGGCTGGGACTCGAACTTAGGTTTGCCTGACTCCAGCGGGTCCCCGCCCAGGCGGGAGGCCCTCCCAGCTGAAGCCTTTCGCTGACTAGATTACCTGGGGGAAAATGACTTAACCTCTTCGAACCCCCAGAAGGTCAGAAGCTTTGCTTTTGGGGGAGAAAATGGTGTGCAAACGAGACGCGAAGGAAACGCAAACCCTCGGGCGTCGGCGCAGCCTCTTCCCCGAGCCTGGGTCTGTCTAATGGCCCAGAGGGAGAGGTCGCACCCCCGACCCCTGGCACCTGCGAAACCAAGCGCCCGGTCGGCTGGCAGAAACGAAACCTCAACACCCTCCAGCCTCCCCCGCTTGGTTCCCGGAACCGGCGAGCCAGGCTTCGCGGAAACTTGCCCGGCGGCAGCCGCCTAGGGCCCCGGGATCGCCCTGACCGCAGCCCGCAGCTCCGGGCCGGGAGGTGCGGGCCGGCGCGGTCGGGCCCGAGCAGCAGCGCGACGCGCGCTTCCGCCCCGCTCGGCTCCGGCGGCGGCCGCGGCGGCCCCACAATCCCCTTCTGGCTCCGGGGACGGGCGGGGCGGGGCGAGCGGGCGGAAATAATTTTCTGTTTGGTCGTCTCTGCCCCAGTCCCTTCGCCGCGGGACGCGCGAGACGGGAGAAGGTGCGGGAAGCGGGAAGCAGGAGCGGGAGCGCGCGGCCCTGGCACGCATAGGGCGGCGGAGAGGGCACGAGCAGGGATTGAGCACCTACTGTGTGCCTTCACGCTTTACAAAAGGATTTTCGTTCGATGTTCACTACAGCCCCTGCCCGGGGGTACTGATGCCCCATTTACAGAGGGACAAGCCGGATTTCGGAGAGGTGAAGTCACTCGCCGAAAGTCGCACCGCCAGGGTCTGCGTGACACCCTAAAGCAGTGTTCAGTTACCCCGGGGAGAGCGCGATGAACTTGAACCACTTGTTGGCTGGTTCCTGCTCTTGCTCGTTTTTTGCGGATCGACACATAGTGGGCGCTCAGGAAAATAAATGTTGGAAGCTTGAGATTGAACTTGACAGCTCGACCCTAGGTACCCGCCACGAATCCAGCCCAGCCCGCGGGGCACCGGGTTTCTCCAGACCTCGCAGGGAACATTTGCGGATGGGCTGGTAGAGGAGGCTCGGACATCCCAGTTCCGCACCCGCACTCGACCAACGCGTGGTAGCGGAACCCCTGTCGTAGCGAGGCACAGACTGGGTTCAAGTCCCGACTCTGCCGATTTCAGCCTGAGTGACTTTGAGCGAGTCACTTTTTCCCGTCGAAACCTCAGTTGCTCCATCCACAAAATGGGAAATATGAACAGCCACCCTAAAACGGTGTGGGGAGGATTAAACGAAACAACGTTCCCAAAACTCTAAACTTACAAATGTTGTCTCCCGTCCATCCCATAAACTTAGGCGACAAACCTGGCGCAGGGTGACCTGAGACAAAGGCTTCCCGGCCCCTGTCTCCAAGTCGTCCATCCCTGGGGCGTAGGCACGTTTTAGTGAGCCCTGTCCGGCGAAACCCGAAACTGCGGCCACCTTGGCAGCGGTGGGCCCCAAAAGGAAATATTCAAATATTCTGAAACTCGTGCATGATTTAGGACTGACATTTTTACGTTTAATTTTCTTGCAGTTTTATTCTTGCTAGTAAAGGTAATTCGTTAGAAACCCTTAAGTGCAGTTTCTCCTCTGTGTCTTGTTTAACTTTTCGTGTTAGCGAAATTCACAAATTTGACCAAGGAACCGGAGCGCGGCCGTCCTCGCCGGGATTCCGGTCATCGCAATAATCTGGCTCTCGGCCCCTACTCCCAGGCACGGAGGTCGAAGAGACGGGCTTCCCCTACACCGCCCTGTGTAGATGTAGCCTCTTCGTCCCGGCAGCCCTCCGAGATTCCCTGTGTCCACCGGAGCGAGGAGAGGTGTGGGGCTGCAGCCCAGAACTCAGCTTCCTGGACCTCCCCAAACTCCCGCCTCTCCGGGATTAAGGGAGTAAATCCCTGACGCCAAAGACCAGGTCAAGGACAAGTTCTCCCCCGCCCTACTCCCCCCTCCTGGGCGGGGATTCATCTCCCTTCCGGATGAAAGGTACTAAAGAGCCGACGGGGGGCCGCGGCGGGCCCCAGGCCCTTGATGTTCCGGTTGAACAGGTGCTGGTGAAAAGGAGGCGGACCCGGCGGAAGAGTCTGCCAGGGGGCAGTGCGCCGAAGGGGAGGCGGCCTCCTCCACCCCCAGTCCCCCGGCCCGTCTTCCCTTCTCCTCTCTGTTTGCCCCTCCCCCGCAGGAAGCGTTCCCGGCCGCGAGGTCTTTGAAGTGTCGTTGAAGCCCCCAGGGCTGCCTTCTCCCCTACGCCACCCGAACTCCCGCTGTGGGGGGCGGGTGACCTTTAGTCCCCACGAGTCGTCCCCCTTTAGGAAGTTTTTGGGGGTCAGATCTCACCCCCCCTTGCCCACACAGGTTGGGAAGAAGACTTTGGGCCGACGCCCCTCACTTCTCCCCCAGACCCAATTGCAGGGACTTTAGTCCTCTGGAGTGCTGCGTGTGAGTTACCTTGTGTGTCTGTGTGCGTGCCTAGAGGTCAAGTGTAACTGGTGTTCGTGAGCACCTCGTGGTTGCGGGTCTCTAACTCTCGTGGGTCTCTAAGCGCACCCGCGGGGCTGGAGCGGAGGTTCGTGTCTCTGGGAGGGTCAGTGGTGTGACTGAAGCTGGGAGTTAGCTCGTGTCTGTGGGTGCCTCGGTGTGTGTCTCTGGGGCTCTGAGTCCCTGTGCGTGCGTGTGTGTCTGTGAACCCGACAGGAAGCTCCCCGAGGGCAGGAATATGTTTTGCTCTCTACTCGATCCCAGCGACTGGCAACGAGCGTTTAATAAATATCTGTTGAATGAATAAATGTCTGCGTGTGAGAGCGTCTACCCTCCAGAGTGGCCTCGGAGGAAAGGGCCCGAGGGCGGCCATCCAAAAAGACCCCCAGACACGGGGTGGGGCGGGGGCGAACGGCCCGCGTCGCTCCCATTCCTCCTAGCGCCCCTTCCCCCGGTCTCCACTCCAAAGTTTCCCTGGGGCTGAAGAATCCACCCAGAGACGAAGACTTGGCGGAGGGGGCTGGAGACTCGGGGACCCGGGGCCCGAGACGGGAGTGCGGGCAGAGGGAGGGCTCGGGAGCGACGACCCAGAGCCGTGAAACGAAAAAGAAAGCAGGCAAAGCAGCACGGAGCGAAAGAGCGAAAAGCTCCCTACCAAGCCAGGCTTTGTTCCCTGAACCTAAGACTTTACCCGGCGGCTGGCGGCGGGCGGGCCGGGAGCGAGCGAGCGGAGGCGCGCGGCCATGGCTGCCGCGGCCGGGCAGGGGGGCCGGGGGGGCGGCGCGTGAGCGGGTGGCGCGGGGCGGCGCGGGGCGGGCGGGCGCCCGCGATGTGCCACTCGGCGCCTCCCCCGCCGGGCTCGGGCTACGCGGCGGCGGGGCGGCCCTAGGAGCCGGGCGAGCGGCGCGGAGGGGGCGAGCCCGGCGTGCGAGTCTCATTGTTGTGGGGGGGGCCCGTCGGGGCATGAGGGCGAGAGCACGGCGGGGGGGGCGGCCAGACAGAGCGAGCGAGGAGGAGGAGGAGGAGGACGCGGAGGAGGAGGAAGGAGGAGGCAAAGAAAAGAAGCGGCGGCGGCGGAGGGAGAGGAGGAGGGGGCGAGGAGGCGCGCGGCCCCCCGCTCCCTCCCTCCCCCCTGACCCCCGACCCCCGCCGGCCGGCCCCCCGCCCCAGCCCCGGAGGGAGCTCATGGGAGTATGAAGGAGATGGTAGGAGGCTGCTGCGTATGTTCGGACGAGAGGGGCTGGGCCGAGAACCCGCTGGTCTACTGCGATGGGCACGCGTGCAGCGTGGCCGTCCACCAAGGTACGGGGGTGGCCCGCGGGGGGCGGCGGGACCCCGGGGGCGGCGTGCGCGGGGCGCCCCCGGCCGCGCCCTCCGGAGACCTCCTGGGGCTCGCGCGCCCCTCCCCCACCCCACCTGAAGGGAAGGGAGGCGTAGGGGGAGCTCCCCCCGCCCGGTCCTGGAAGACCGGGTCAGGCATTGTTTTCTTGCCTATTGTTCCAGTTCCGCGCCCCCCACCCTAAGTTGAGGGAGTTTGGGGAGAGTCTAGGGAGCAATGAGTGAACTCCCCACGCCCCACACCGCGGGTGTCGGGGCTGCCTGGGGAATGTTTACCTGCGAGGTGTCCCCTCCCGCCCGGTTATTTTGGTCCCGGCTCCTGGAGGAAGAGGTCAAGGGGGGGGCGTCATCCCCCCTCGCTTCCGGATAATGGGAGGAGCGGACTTGGAAAGGGAAGAGAAGGGTCCCAGGGGAGAAGGGACTCCTAAAATCCGCCGGGGAAGAGCTAAGGATAGGAGAGAGGTTGTGCAGGGGGCCGGAATCGAGAAGAGGGAGGCTTGGAGTTTCCCCCAGCAGCACATGGTTCGGGAGTTAACTCCTTGAGGAATCTTGCCGAGGGCGCAGGCTGGCATCTCCCGCCTGCCTGGCACAGGCAGCCGGGCCCCCCCTTCCTGGGACATCCCTGAATGCTGTGGCCCGGGGCTCTTCCCGCCACGCTCCTCTCGGTTCCCAGCACCGCACCTGCCCTCAGCCTTGACTTTTAACCTGATTCTGGAATACTTAGAGGTAGAAGATGAGGTCCCTAGACCCCCTACTTCTCCGCCTCGTCCCTCACTGGCCCTTTAAGAAATCCCCCCGCCCACAACAACAAAACGTGTTTGACGGTCGTGACTGTTGTCCCCTCTGGTTTTCTCTATTTCTGATGCTGATGGCTGGTCCGAGGAAGAAGCTGGGAAACAAGTCCAGAAAGGGCGTGGGGGGAGGATCTTCTAGAAGTTTAAGGTCAAAGACTCAGACTTCCCGCCCTGTTTGAAGTGCTTAATTGTGTGGTTGAAGGCTGGTGTTGGGCGGTTGGGCAGTCCTGCTGTAGAGTGAGTGACCCGTAGACTGGGGAGCAGCCCCCACTGCTGGAACTGGCTCTAGTCCTTTGGAGTCACCGCCTTCCCCCAGTTACCCTGGGAAAAAGCCACTGGCTGACAGCTTTGCTCAGCGACTGTCCTCCCCACCCTCAGCTTGCTATGGCATCGTTCAGGTGCCAACGGGACCCTGGTTCTGCCGGAAATGTGAATCTCAGGAGCGAGCAGCCAGGGTGGTGAGTTCCAGACTGCCCCTCTCCACTCCCCTGCCCCTCCCACACACCTGAGCGTCTCAGGTTGAGCTAGGGGACTCTGAGGCCGAGGCTAGGGTGGGATTTAGCTCTGTCACACAGACTTCCTGTTTCCTGCACACCTACCTCCAACCTCATCTCTGCCTCACGCTCATCCCTCCCTCTGCCCCACCTCAGGCATGGGGCTTTGGTTTTTGTCTGTTTGAACTTTTTTATTATGGGAAGTTTCCTACTCATATGAAAGTAAAGGGAAAACTATAATGAATCTCATGTCCCCTTCCTCATTTTCAACAGTTACCAACTCATGGCCAATCCTGTTTCCACTGTAGCCCCATCCATCCACCCTAGAGCTTAGCATTTCAGCCTGGGACCCCTTGAACGTGTTCAGGGAGGGTCCAGCTCAGCAGATCCCCCAACCCCTGTGCACTCTTGCATTGGCAGAGGTGTGAGCTGTGCCCACACAAAGACGGGGCATTGAAGAGGACTGATAATGGAGGTGAGGCGGGCTCATCTGCTGAGGTCAGCAGGGCCCCCTGAGCAGGGTCTGGGAAGGCAGGAATGGACTGAGTTGGGGTGGAGGCCGGGTTTCCTTTCCCTGGCTGGCGCTGGAATCTGATGGGAAGGCTGTGGAGGAGGGAACAGTCTGCAGCGTGGGGTCATAAGGGGTGGAGTCTCCGGCTTGCCATCTGCAGCTGAGGCTACCCCCACACTGCCCCAGGCTGGGCACACGTGGTGTGTGCCCTCTACATCCCCGAGGTGCAATTTGCCAACGTGCTCACCATGGAGCCCATCGTGCTGCAGTACGTGCCTCATGATCGCTTCAACAAGGTCAGCGGCCCCCCGCCGTGTCCCCTACCAGTTCCCTCCCATCTATGGGTTCCTCCAACGCTCTCTTCATCCGGTGTAATTTGATTCTGTCCAACGAGCACTGAAAGGGAACTTGGGAGGTGGGTAGGTACCTACCAGTGAACCACCCTTCTGTTGACAGACACACTCATGCTCTGGCACTCAGGTGAAATAGTAGGCTCCCCTGCAGTAGTTCTGCCAGAGGGTAGACCTTCGCAGTTACTTCATTCATTCATTCGCTGGACACATTTTATTAAGTGCCTACTATGTGCCAGACCTGGTGCAAGGTAGCTGGCACACGCTGTTCGGTGCTGATCAAGACAGGTGTGCTGCCCGCTCAATGGAACGCAAGTTCTTGCATGCGAAGACTATAAATATCAGTAAAAAGGCAAAGTAAATGCAATTTGTGATAAATGCTGTGAAGAAAATAAGACACTAAAATAAAGACCTGGTGGGGGCTTACTTTAGACCAGATGGTAAAGGAAGGAGACATTTAGGCTGAGACCTGGGGCGTGAGAAGGAGCCAGCTTCCAGGAGGGTAAGGGCCCCCAGGTTCCAGGCAGAAGAAAGCCTGGGCAGAGGCACAGAGGTGGGCATAAGCTCCCTAGTGAGCAAGACAGACAAAGGCCTTGGCCTTTCAGAGCTAACCATCCAAGGACTGTGCTACCCAGCATAGTAGCCATCGGCCACACGTGGCTACATAAATTAATCAAAATTAAAAGCAGGCTGGGTGTGGTGGCTCACACCTGTAATCCCAGACTTTGGGAGGCTGAGGGGGGTGGATCACCTAAGGTCAGGAGTTTGAGACCGGCCTGGTCAACATGATGAGACCCCATCTCTAGAAAAATACAAAAATTAGCTGGGCATGGTGGTGGGCACCTGCAGTCCCAGCTACTCGGGAGGTTGAGGCAGGAGAATCCCTGGAACCCAGGAGGCGGAGGAGGTTGCAGTGAGCCGAGATCGTGCCACTGCACTCCAACCTGGGCGACAGAGGGAGACTCCGTCTCAAATAAATAAATAAAAATAAACAACAATTAAATACAGTTTAGAATCTAGTTCCTCAGTCACGCTAGCCATAGTTCAAGTGCTTATAGCCCATGTGACTGGTGGCATTTGTCTTGGACGGCGCAGACCATAGAGCGTTTTCATCACTGCAGACAGTTCTGTGGGATAGCACTGATCTAAGACTGTAGAGAGCAAATGGAATGGAGGGGGTGGCCTAAGGACCATCAGTAGAACAGGGGCTCCCTGGAGGAGGGGACGATTGCGCTGTGTCCTGCAGACCTGTTACATCTGCGAGGAGCAGGGCCGGGAGAGCAAGGCGGCCTCGGGAGCCTGCATGACCTGTAACCGCCATGGATGTCGACAAGCTTTCCACGTCACCTGGTGAGACCCCTGTCCCACCCCCCTGCCCCCCGGGTTTGTCCTGGATGGCCACTGATCAGGCTCATCCTAGCTGCTGTCCCTTTGATGGTGGTGGCAATGCTTTGGATGGTCTTGGCTTCGCCTCAGCAGGGGGCCAGGAGGGTGAGAGGAAGGTGGCTCATGTGATCTGTGGCCTCAGCCGTCTCAGGCTGCCTTCTCTGGTTAGTGCCCAAATGGCAGGCTTGCTGTGTGAGGAAGAAGTGCTGGAGGTGGACAACGTCAAGTACTGCGGCTACTGCAAATACCACTTCAGCAAGATGGTGAGTCCTGGCGACCAGCGCATGAGCGGGTCAGTCAGCTGTGGTAAGATGGTTAGAGGGCATGGGCTCTGGGCCAGGCCAGTGCCTGGTGCTAGGAGGACAGAGAGGGAAAAAACCCAGTCCCTGCCCAAGAGGAGCTCTTCATTCGATGAGGAATAAAGTACAGCTTCAGGTGTGTGGATCAGAGCTAGACCAAGCAGTCTGTCCCAAAAGACAAAGCTCAGACCCTGCCTGTCAGAGTCTAGGAGGCTTCAAGGAAGAGGTAGCATTTAAGCTGAGTGGAGGTGGAAATCAAAGTAAGAGCCAACATTTGTGTGGGAGGCAGCATTTACTACGCCTCCGCCTTAGGACAAAGTTCCTGCCATGTGTTATTTTGTGTGGTCCCCCCACCAACCCTAAGAACTAGGTGTGCTATATTTTCCCCATTTTACAGATGAGTAAACTAAGGCTCACTGAGGTCATATAACTTATCTTGCAGCTGGTAGATGGGATTTAGAACGGGCAGCCTAATTTGAAAACTCCTCAGGAGCCTGCCAAACAGAGAAACGAGTCCCAGGCAGAGGGACTAGCGTGGACAAAGTCCTGAGAGGAGGAAGGGCATGGGTGAGCAGCGGGAGAATGGGGTGTTTGGTGGGGAAGAGGCAGGAGATGAAGTGAGAAAGCAGAGCCCGAGCTGGGCTTGCCTCTGCCCCAGGCTTCAGGGGTCCAGGGGGAGGCTGGAAAGGGTGCTACTCTGTGTCTGTGTTTGTGGAGAGACGTGTGTCCCAGAAGCTGTGAGGTATTCTGGAGCAGTTGGCTGCAGCTTGGATCTACCCCCGAGCCACAGGCTTGTCAGGCCTGTAAGCGGGAGAGTAACATGATCAGATTTGTTTTTTAGGAAGATTACCCTGGCAGCCGCTGTGAGGCTAGATCAGAAGGGCTGAGGCTGGTGGCCGGGAGACAGCTGCAAGAAGGGGGATGGAGGGGTGAGGCTGGATGCTAGAACCATTTCTAGGGAGACTTGCCTAATCGTGGGAGTGGCTGAGAAGTAGGAGTTGGGGGTGACATTTAGGATCTAGGCTCTAGACACTGGGTAAATGGAGCTTGAATACCTGGGGGGTGCCATGAACAAGGGGTACAGCTGGCTTCTGTAGGGGGAACACATGTCCTGATTTGCCCCAGACAGTCCCAGTTTATACCTGTTGCCCTGGTGTAATTATTATTAGTTCCCCTGTTTCATTTTTGAAAGTGTCCAGGTTTGGATCATAAGTTACGTGGTCACCGTGGTTTCAGGGTTTGATGATAGCTTAGGACAAGGTAGCGAGCTTGGCTTGGTTTGCAGGAGACACCATGTGGAGACATTTAGATTTGGTGGATGTCAGACTCCTGGGCAGGGTGTAGTGGCAGCTCCAGGCTTATAAGGCTGGGGCCGTAATCCCAGGTTGTCCACAAGGATGGATCAGGCGGGCCACGAAAGAGGGGGCCTTGCAGGGTATGGGGCTCTGCAGGTAGGAGCTGTGTCCAACACTGGGGAGCTGCCCACTGGTCAGATAAGGCCTGAAATTAGCCCTTGGGTTTGGCAGTTGGGAGGTAGCTGGTGACCTTAGAGGGAGCAGCTATAACCCCGGGGAGGGTGGAGCCATCAGGCTGGGTCTGTAGTGAAGGGGATGGGGGAGGCAGGCCCTGGCTGGGAGGAGACGCAGCATGTGGGTTGTTTGGGTTGTGTTGATGTTTAACTTCCCCCCTTTCTTCAAGTTAAGGGCAGCATATCCTTTGGGACAGGAGCAACCACTGTGTTTGGTGGAGGGGAGGGGCCAGGATAAAGGAGAAGAGGGTGATAGCTGAGCCAAGTGTCTGGAGGGAGGATTGGATATGGAGTGCAGGGGAGCACTGGCTCCCCACGAGGGTCCCCTGCACGCCCTCTGCTCCAGGGAAGGAGGTAGAAACGGGCCGTGGCTCAGTCAGCCAAGAGGGCACCATGGAGAGAATGAAAGACCCGGGCCCCAGTCTCACCTCCACCTGGGCCTTGCTGGGGCCCAGACGCATCCTTGCCT
Source organism: Homo sapiens (assembly GCF_000001405.40). Classification (NCBI taxonomy): domain Eukaryota; kingdom Metazoa; phylum Chordata; class Mammalia; order Primates; family Hominidae; genus Homo; species Homo sapiens. Next base: position 38,711,609 of record NC_000017.11, read on the forward strand.
CTTCTGGGCCTCAGTGGTTGACTCTGCACATTGGGCGAGCCAGCTGGAACACTCTAGGATTTTCAGGCTGGGGAACACCCTTCTGCTGAGCAGAGCATCATAGAGGACATGAGGTCCTCTTAGTGACAGACGGGGCACATGGGGCTGACCCCCAGGATCAGGATCCTCTAACCTTCTGGAAGCGTTCCCTAAGCCCGTGAGAAGAGGGTTTGCAATTTCTCTCAAATCTCTCCCGCAGAAGACATCCCGGCACAGCAGCGGGGGAGGCGGAGGAGGCGCTGGAGGAGGAGGTGGCAGCATGGGGGGAGGTGGCAGTGGTTTCATCTCTGGGAGGAGAAGCCGGTCAGCCTCACCATCCACGCAGCAGGAGAAGCACCCCACCCACCACGAGAGGGGCCAGAAGAAGGTAGAAGTCCTCCCCCACCTGCCATCACTCCCACACGGGGACTTGGAGACTCACAAACATGGCTCAAAAAGCCATCATGAGGTGCCCTTAAGGTCTTGGCCCTGCCTTCTTCCTTCCTCTGAGGCCACTGAGGGCAGGAGGGGGCTGAAATGAAACGGTGGGGGGGTGAGGCGGGAGCTTGGCTTCCCTGTGGCTGTGTTAGTGGTTCCTCTGGGTCCTCCCCATGACATCACAGTGTCCCCCAGGCCCCAGACACATGGCTCTGCACGTTGCACACGTCTCCGCAGTCCAGCCATGTGCCGCCTAGTAAGTGCTCATGCCTGCATTCCCTCGCGCCACATAGCACAGCGTGCCCAGCTCCTGTCCCTCTGTGCAGCTGTGTCCCAGGTGGACACCCTTGCAGGTGTTATGTTCACGCGCGTGGTGCTCTATAGCACTGGCGTGATAATGGGACAGGCTATTTTTAGCAGGCGGGGCCGGGGGAAGGGCTGTTGGCTCTCATAGGAACTTGCCTGAATCGCTCCTGCCCAGCCCATTATCCAGCCCTCCTCAGGGAGAGATGGTGCCCACAAAACCCCATCCCTAAGGGGGTGTCAGCTCCCCATACCCACATGTCATGTTTGTCCTCGCCCAGACAGCCCCCCAGCACAATATCTAGTCACCTCTCCCTCTCCAGAGTCGAAAGGACAAAGAACGCCTTAAGCAGAAGCACAAGAAGCGGCCTGAGTCGCCCCCCAGCATCCTCACCCCGCCCGTGGTCCCCACTGCTGACAAGGTACTGCTGCCCACCTTCAGGAGGGATGGTGTGTGGGTCTGGGGTGGCAGAGGGAGGGAGGCGGGGGCGAGAGGTTGGTGAGTCAGGGACCTGGGCACCCTCCCCACAGCTTCAAGTTAATGCCACTCCCCTCCTACCCCATACCCTCTACTCCTTCTTCCAGCCTAGAAGGGGCCACCAATCACCGACCAACCATGGGATTGGGAGTTTGGGGTGCTGTCTGCCAGATACTCCCATCTGCCTCTGTCCAGAGGGCCTCAGCCCTGGGCTCTTGTCTGCAGAGAGTGGGGGACGGCACTCAGGCCTGCTCTCCAAGTTCTAGGGCCCCTGTCCCCAGAGATCGGTAGAGGACATCCCCTACGCCCCATCAGGAGGACACCCAAAGCTTGTCACCCAACCCAAATCCCACTCTGTGCAGGTTGGAGGGGCTGAAAGTTCTGACCAAGGTGGCATGGGGGGCAGGCCCCTGGACAGTATCCCGAAACTCCCACTCATCCCACCATTCCCAGCAGGGCATGGTATGTCAGGCCTGTCTCCAGAAATGGGCAACATCTGGCTGAGCGATAGGCAGGCCCTACCCTAGGCCAGGGAATTGCTAATCCAAGCTGGAACAGCCCTCCCTGCTCCCTACAACCTGCCCTCCCCATGGGAGGAGAACCTGGTAGGGTGGGGGGAGATGGAGAAACTGCTCCCTCCTGTCACCATTATTGCCCATTCACCTCCACCCCATCTCAGACGGTTGGCAGAGTTCTGGGCACCTTAGCAGGAGGTTCAGGTATCAGGTTTCCAGGGTGATGTTGCTGTGGCAACTGCCCCAGTAAACCTCTCCCCTGCTTCCCAGGGCTCACCTGGAGACCTTGTCATTCATGCCCTCTGACCTTTCCAGGGGCCTGCAGGCAGGTGGCAAGAAATGGCCAGGGGTCTGGGAGTTTTTCCAGTAACTGGATGTCCCTTGGACATGCCAGAGAACTCTGCCCATCCTCCTCCACTCGCCCCAGCACTTCGGCTACCCTTCCCCCCAGCCCCTCTCTTCCCTTGCTCTCAGAACCACATCTGGCTCCCTTCAGAACTCCAGCTGTTGAAAAGAACAAAGAGGAAGACAGAGACCAGGACTCCGCCCGGGAGGGGCAGTGCAGGGTGGCTCTCGTTTCTGGTCCAGCCTGCATTCAGCATTTATCTGTTCAGCACGATTAACTGAATACCTGGTCGCTACTAGGAGGAAAAGGGCCTTCCCTGGCAGCAGCCTGAAGCACGAACGAACTCACGGCATGCCAGGCTGTGTTCTAGAACCAGGAGATGGAGGGGCATATGGAGATTAGTCCATTTAATACTCAAAATAATCCAATTAGGTTGGAAATTTATAAACCCCATTTAATATATGAAGATGATGGGGCACAGGGAGGTTAAGTAATTTGCCTAAAAGCACACAGCTAGTAAAGTGGTAGACCTGAGATTCCAATGCAGTCTGGCTTGAAGGCTTGTGCTCTTCACCTGCCCACAGCACTGTCTCTGCAGCTGCTGCCACTGGACGTCTCATCATTTATTGACCCTATACCATGTATCTGGCATCATGCTGCTTCCAACTCACCACATATGCATAGTGCTCCCTGTAAAGACACTGACACTTATCGACGTTGAGACTTTGCACAGTATAACATGGCAGTGAGGCCAGGCGTGGTGGCTCACGCCTGTAGTCCCAGCACTTTGGGAGTCCGAGGCAGGTGGATCACCTGAGGTCAGGGGTTCGAGATCAGCCTGGCCAACATGGTGAAACCCTGCCTCTATTAAAAATACACAAAATTAGCCGGGTGTGGTGGCTGGTGCCTGTAATCCCAGCTACTTGGGAGGCTGAGGCAGGAGAATCACTTGAACCTGGGAGGTGATTGAAGGTTGCAGTGAGCCGAGATCGCACCATTGCACTCCAGCCTGTGCAACAAGAGTGAAACTCCATCTCAAAAATAAATTAAGAAAAAACAAAAACATGGCGGTGAAGGGCAGAACCCATCAGGCTCATACCTTGCTCTGCCCGACTTAGAGCCCACGCTCCTTCAACCACCACCCTGCCGCTCTCTTTGGTTTCTGGTGCCTCAGATAGGACAGAACATTTCAGTGCAGAGTGGCAGCTGTTGACATGTGGTCATGTGTGCACAGTTCTCTGGAAATAAGGGGACAGAATGTCTTGTTCCACCTGAGGTATTTAGGGAGGCTTCAGGGAAGAGGGACTTCCAAGCTGGATTTTAAAGGATGAGAGATTTCCCAGGAAGAGTAAGGATAGGCTGTCCTGGCAAACGCTTAGTGTGTGCAATCAGGTTGTCTAGGAAGAGCATGGGGTGGTCAGAGAATGGGTGGAAAGCCAGGGGGCCGAAGTTTGGGGTAGTAGCTGGAGGGCTCCAGGATGGCACCAGAGAAGCCCATTCTCCTGTGGGTCCTCTTCTCTGCCTCGCCACTTCCAGCATAGGTCCCGCCTTCTTAGACGCCCTAAGTATTCAGTGAATGAATGGACCAATGAGTAAATCTCTTCAGACTCTGGGACTGTTTTCATCTCCCTCTTGGCTTCCATCTTCCCTGCCTAAGGTGAAAGACAGACACCTTCTTGGGTTCAGTGAATTCCCCTCTGCCTTACACCCAGGAGTGCCACAGCTGCCTCCCCATATCCCTGGTCTAGGAGCTCCTGGCCACTCCCTGCCCGGAAGTCCTTCATGAAACTAGCTGTGGGCTCTCCCAGTTGAGCTAGGTCCTGTGCCCTCCTGCTTCACTCCCACATCAGGATCAGCACAGGCCCAGGCACCTGGTGTTGAACCTTCCTCTCTCCTCTCCTTCAGGTCTCCTCCTCGGCTTCCTCTTCCTCCCACCACGAGGCCAGCACGCAGGAGACCTCTGAGAGCAGCAGGGAGTCAAAGGGGAAAAAGTCTTCCAGCCATAGCCTGAGTCATAAAGGGAAGAAACTGAGCAGTGGGAAAGGTGTGAGCAGTTTTACCTCCGCCTCCTCTTCTTCCTCCTCCTCTTCCTCCTCCTCTGGGGGGCCCTTCCAGCCTGCAGGTGAGTGTGGGCATCCGGGAGGAAGCTGGGAGCAGGGAAAGCCTTTTGTCCTGAGCTTTTCTGGCAAGGGACTTTGCATATTGGTTTTGCATCTCATTTACTTCTCCATTGGTTCAGGATAAAGATGGGGAATCCCCTCCTCTCCAAACCTGCCCCCAAACCCTTCCTTCTTGAACCAGAACTCTCCTCTCCCCTTCAGGGGCCACCCCACCAACCTCATAACAGTATTCCTTATCCCCTACATTTGTGCTGCAAGGTACAATTTTTCAAGAACCCCCATTAACATTTTCTCCTATAATCGCTACAGTCATCTGGTGAGGCCAGTAGGGTGCGAGTTACTCTCCCCCATTTTATTACAGGTGGGAAAGCTGGAGGGGTCGGGGGTACTCATCCCAGGACACAGACAGTGGCAGAGCTGAGACAGGAAACCAGGCATCCCCATTCGTGGACCAGAGCTCTCTCCCGCCAGTACACGCGGGAGTGGGAGGGAGTGCGGGGATCTGGGGTCCAGCTGTAACTGTTTCCCCTCTGTGCACAGTCTCGTCCCTGCAGAGCTCCCCTGACTTCTCTGCATTCCCCAAGCTGGAGCAGCCAGAGGAGGACAAGTACTCCAAGCCCACAGCCCCCGCCCCTTCAGCCCCTCCTTCTCCCTCAGCTCCCGAGCCCCCCAAGGCTGACCTTTTTGAGCAGAAGGTGGTCTTCTCTGGCTTTGGGCCCATCATGCGCTTCTCCACCACCACCTCCAGCTCAGGCCGGGCCCGGGCGCCCTCCCCTGGGGACTATAAGTCTCCCCACGTCACGGGGTCTGGGGCCTCGGCAGGCACCCACAAACGGATGCCCGCACTGAGTGCCACCCCTGTGCCTGCTGATGAGACCCCTGAGACAGGCCTGAAGGAGAAGAAGCACAAAGCCAGCAAGAGGAGCCGCCATGGGCCAGGCCGTCCCAAGGGCAGCCGGAACAAGGAGGGCACTGGGGGCCCAGCTGCCCCATCCTTGCCCAGTGCCCAGCTGGCTGGCTTTACCGCCACTGCTGCCTCACCCTTCTCTGGAGGTTCCCTGGTCAGCTCCGGCCTGGGAGGTCTGTCCTCCCGAACCTTTGGGCCTTCTGGGAGCTTGCCCAGCTTGAGCCTGGAGTCCCCCTTACTAGGGGCAGGTTAGTGACCCCTGGGGACAGAGGGCATTTCAGGGCCCAGCCAGTCTAGTGAGGAACAGAGCTTACACATGCACTTAGAAGGAAATGGGATGGATACCACTCCAAAAGATAGAGCACGGAGGAGACAGTCACCTTCAGGACATCCCCCTCTGCATGCGTGGAGTAGAAAGGATTGGGGACAGATTGTCAGAAGGTTTTACCAAGTTTTGGGAGGGAGATTAGAAAAGCTAGGAATTCTGTAGCCCTCGGCAGGGCAGTTTAACAAGCAGGCGCAGCAAGCAGATGTCACCCAGGCAGGAAGTGACATCTTTGCAGCAAGAGGGTTAGACTGGGGCATGTAGCCAGATCCCGGGGAGCACTCGAGCTGGGGAGGGGCTGTCAGCCACCTGGCTGAGCAGGAGTCTGGGGTGGAGAGTAACCACGTGCTTCCCTCTGTCCTTGTGCCTGCAGGCATCTACACCAGTAATAAGGACCCCATCTCCCACAGTGGCGGGATGCTGCGGGCTGTCTGCAGCACCCCTCTCTCCTCCAGCCTCCTGGGGCCCCCAGGGACCTCGGCCCTGCCCCGCCTCAGCCGCTCCCCGTTCACCAGCACCCTCCCCTCCTCTTCTGCTTCTATCTCCACCACTCAGGTGAGACCTGACTCCTGGGCTCCTCCTTCCCTGGGCAGGTTGGGGACAGACTGACAGAGGACCCCAGCCTTCCATGGGAATTGGAGCAACTGGGCTGAGTTGCCATCAGACCACCCTCCGGGCTCTGGACCCCTCTGCTCCCCAGCACACCCGGCCCCCTGCACCCCGGTACACACAGTTGTGCTCTAGATCCAAGAATAACCGCCAGGGGATTCTACCTCCCTCCCTTAGGTGTTTTCTCTGGCTGGCTCTACCTTTAGCCTCCCTTCTACCCACATCTTTGGAACCCCCATGGGTGCCGTTAATCCCCTCCTCTCCCAAGCTGAGAGCAGCCACACAGGTATGTGAATATCTGATCCCCTCTCCCCTTTCTTCCCAAAGGTCGGACACCCATCACCTGCATGTGACCCCAGAAAGAATGGGAGAGCTTTCTGGCTGCCCCCTCCCTCTGGCCATTGCCCTCCCTGCAAAAACAAACAGGCCGGGTGTGGTGGCTCACGCCTGTAATCCCAGCACTTTGGGAGGCCGAGGCGGGTGGATCACCTGAGATCAGGAGTTTGAGACCAGCCTGGCCAACATGGTGAAACCCCGTCTCTACTAAAAATACAAAAAGTAGCTGGGCGTGGTGGTGGGCGCCTGTAATCCCAGCTACTCAGGAGGCTGAGGCAGGAGAATTGCTTGAACGTGGGAGGCGGAGGTTGCAGTGAGCCGAGATCGCTCCATTGCACTCCAGCCTGGGCGATAAGAGCAAAACTCCGTCTCAAAACAAACAAAATCCCAGCGTAGTGGCTCCCGCCTGTAATCCCAGCTACTCAGGAGACTAGCCTGGGCAACACAGGGAGAACCTGTCTCTTAAAAAAAAAAAAAATCCACACACAGCAAACCAGGGTACACTTTCAAGTTAGAACCCAGCGAGAAGGCAGGGCAGGGAAGTTACTGCTCCATCTCACAGAAGAAAAAGGCAGAGATGGAAGACTTGCTCAAGGCAGGAAATGGCAGACCTAAAGCTCAGATTCTGTTCTCCTGACTCCAAGCCCAGTGCTTTCACCGGTGTAGCGTGCTTCCCCTTGGCTTCGTAGTGTGTCTTGGGATCAGCGCTTACGGAGGTCTCAACCTCTCCGGGTATTTACGAGTTAAGGGGGCGGGTCACAAGCGCCCCGCCCTCTCCCTGGAGAGTCAGCCCAGCCCCAGAAAGCTAATTGGTGCAGGGAGACCACCTGTCAGGCTGGGAGGCGGGGCCTACAGCCAGGCTGCCGACTCAGGTAAGCCTTAAAGGGGACAAATATGATTCCACGTTTAAGAACGACAGAGTAGGGTGATATATTTGTTAAAACTCAGATCAGGATTCTGTGGCCCAAGGAAGAGTTTTAGTTTTGCCTCCTGATAAGGGATCTGATGAATGTAAAAAGTCATACAGAGCTAATTATGATAATAGCTGCAGTCATTAAGGGCTTGCTACATGCTAGCTAAACCCTTCAGGTAAACACTTCACATTTATTACCTTCTTTTAATCTTAATAACAGTCACTTCGGAGAGGCTGGTTAGGAGCCCAAGGTCACAAAAGTTGATGTCAGGTTTAAGTTCAATCCAGGTCTGTCTTGACCTCAAATTTCTATAACTCTGAAGATCCCAGGAAAGGAATTGGGCGGTGGATCTGAAAGAAGCCAGACAGTGGAGCCTTCAGCCCAGAGGAGGAAGAGAGCAGATGCCCGGGGTTTGCCTCCCAGGGGCAGGGTTTCCAAGCCAGGGCCCTCAGCGCTGGCCTTGAACTGCCAGTGTGGGGTTGGGGATTCCTGGGGAAAGGGATCTGCGGTGAGGTCCCAATCCCATATCCATCTGGGGGCGGGGACCCTGAGGCAGCTACCACTCCTCCACGCTGATCCCAGCCTTCCCTTCTTCCAAGAGCCAGACCTGGAGGACTGCAGCTTCCGGTGTCGGGGGACCTCCCCTCAGGAGAGTCTGTCTTCCATGTGAGGGAAGGGGCAGCCTGGAGGAGGGGCTGGGGGCAGGAGGGACACCCGAGGGAGGAGGGACGGAGAGACCGGCGTGGGCTGGAACCCCTGGGGGATACGGGAGAAGGGCCAGAGGAGCCTGGAGTGGTCGGGTCGACTGAACCCAGGTTCCCTCTGGCCGCAGGTCCCCCATCAGCAGCCTCCCCGCACTCTTCGACCAGACAGCCTCTGCACCCTGTGGGGGCGGCCAGTTAGACCCGGCGGCCCCAGGGACGACTAACATGGAGCAGCTTCTGGAGAAGCAGGGCGACGGGGAGGCCGGCGTCAACAGTGAGGAGGGGTGGCGCCGGTCGGGACGCCTGCCCTAGGGCCCTAACAGTCACCTTTCTCCCCGAGGTCCCCAAGCTTCTTTAAGGTTCCGCCCTTAGGCCCCGCCCCAGCCTTGACTCTCGGCCACCCCGGGCCTCACCTCCCATCCCTGCCAGGCCACACGACCGGCCCTGGTCCCTCAGCGCCCCACCTTTGGCCTTCGTGGCCTCCGGGCCCCGACCTTACCAAACCGCAACTTCCGCCCTTCTCTCCTGACCCGTGTGGCCTCGACCCCAGCCTCAGGCTCCGCCCCAGGTCTTCACACCTGTGGCTCCCCAAGTCCCGCCTCTCTTCTCAGAGCTCACCTGTGTCCCTCCTTAGGATGGCGCCGCCTTTTCAAGGGCTGAGCACTGGCTCCCCTCCAGGCCCCGCCCCCGGTCCCCTGGCCCCGCCTCCGCCCCCTCGCCCCTCCCTCAGGTTCCTCGCTCTCTCCGCAGTCGTGGAGATGCTGAAGGCGCTGCACGCGCTGCAGAAGGAGAACCAGCGGCTGCAAGAGCAGATCCTGAGCCTGACGGCCAAAAAGGAGCGGCTGCAGATTCTCAACGTGCAGCTCTCTGTGCCCTTCCCTGCCCTGCCTGCTGCCCTGCCTGCCGCCAACGGCCCTGTCCCTGGGCCCTATGGCCTGCCTCCCCAAGGTGAGGGGATCCTGCCCAGCCCGGGAGAGAGGCCCGTGCCCTGAAGTCCGGACTGGCCCTGACTGCAGCCTGTGACATCCCTCCCACAGCCGGCAGCAGCGACTCCTTGAGCACCAGCAAGAGCCCTCCGGGAAAGAGCAGCCTCGGCCTGGACAACTCGCTGTCCACTTCTTCTGAGGTGGGCGCTACGAGGAGTGGGGCAGGAAGGAGGGGGAGACTCAAGGCTCTCCTGGTCCCATCTCTTCCCCGCAGCTATTGGAGGCTGGGCAATGAAGTGACTGACTGAGCAATTGATTGATCCATTCAGTCCTCCCTTAATCAAGTAATATTTATGAGGTGCCCACTTAGTGCCAGCCATTGGCTAAGCAATCAGTGAGCAAAACCGGCACAGCGCTGCTTCTTAAGATAGGCTACCCCAAGCAAAGAAGGAGTAATCACAAACTGGGAGATATGTTAGTGTGGAGAGAAATTGAGGGCTGTGAGAGAGAGAACGGGGGAGGGCTGCTTCTGTGGATAGAAAGTGGTTAGGGAAGGCCTCTTTGAGAAGTATTTGTGAAGGGTTTATTATAGCGCCTCACACAAAATAATTCCTGTGTAACTGGTGGCGGTTCGAATAGCAGTTGCTATTGTGTTGTGGTTATTACTGGAATCCAACAAACTGGGTTCTTGTTCTCTCTCTGCCATTTATTAACTGTGTGACTTGGGCAGTAATAATCATAATAATAACCAGCATTAATTGCACACTTGCCCTTTGTCATGCCCTATGCAAAAATTTTTTAAAGCATTCATTTAGTCTTCATAGTAAGCCTATGGAATAGGTACTACTGTTACCCCCCAGCTTACGAGTGAGTAAACTAAGACAGGTTGAACCCAAGGTCACCCAAGCCATTGGATTGTGGACATAGGATTTGAACCTGAGCCTTTCACTTTAGCTGTAGTGCTTTTGCCTGCAGAGTTACTTAACCTGTGCAAGAATCAATGGCTTCACCCATAAAATGAGAATAGCAAGATAGCACAGGTCAAGCCCTCAGCCCAGGATCTGGTTCACCAGATGGTCACCACCATCATCATTGTCCATTATTAAATGAGGATGATGAGGGGCGCTGGACTCCCAGGAAGGGGTCAGGAAACATGATTCGTGAAGACAATTTGGATTCTTAGCCCTCATCCCCGGACCTTGCTTCTTCCAGGGTGCCTGGGGGTGAAGTGGGGGTTGCTGTGCTCTGTGAGAATGCTGGTGGGTGCTGGGCCAGGGGCCAGAAAAGTCATGCTGGCCCTCTGACCCCTCCCTTCCCCCTCCCTCCCCAGGACCCACACTCAGGCTGCCCGAGCCGCAGCAGCTCGTCGCTGTCCTTCCACAGCACGCCCCCACCGCTGCCCCTCCTCCAGCAGAGCCCTGCCACTCTGCCCCTGGCCCTGCCTGGGGCCCCTGCCCCACTCCCGCCCCAGCCGCAGAACGGGTTGGGCCGGGCACCCGGGGCAGCGGGGCTGGGGGCCATGCCCATGGCTGAGGGGCTGTTGGGGGGGCTGGCAGGCAGTGGGGGCCTGCCCCTCAATGGGCTCCTTGGGGGGTTGAATGGGGCCGCTGCCCCCAACCCCGCAAGCTTGAGCCAGGCTGGCGGGGCCCCCACGCTGCAGCTGCCAGGCTGTCTCAACAGGTGAGGGAGAGCTCAGCCCTGGGAAGGGGAACAGGGTGGGGGGCTGGCTCTGGGAAGGGAGGGATTTTCCCCAAAACACCCACAATCCCTAAAAGGAAAAATGGCCTCTGGTCTCACAGGGTATATAATCCTAGTCACCTCTTGGCCTCTAAGGACTCCACAGACTGTTAGACATGTGTGTCCTCTGGACGGTAGCTCCCCAGGGACAAAAGAATTGTTGACTTCCTGTCCTGCACTCTAGGATTTCCTTCTGGGACAGTTCTTCTAAATCAGACCTGTATCCCTCTTGCTGCACCCTATGAGCACGGTGCTCTAAGATCGCACATCCCTGCCTTGCTTCCCCTGGGTCTGAGGGAGTCTAGGGGCTTGGGATTAGGAGCAGGAGTGTTTCCCTGGCCCTCCCCCATGGTCTGTGTGTTGTCCCCCCCCCACCCCCCACCCCCACCTCAGCCTTACAGAGCAGCAGAGACATCTCCTTCAGCAGCAAGAGCAGCAGCTCCAGCAACTCCAGCAGCTCCTGGCCTCCCCGCAGCTGACCCCGGTAATGCCCCTCCCTTCCCTGCCTCAGGTGCCCCTTGGTCTGCCTGGAAGGGCACATCTCAGAGGATCAGGGCCAGCCAGGAGAGGGCAGGAGCAGGCAGAGTGAGGGGAAGCTCTAGGCTGGGCCTGTGGGACTGGGGCTGGGCCCTGTGGAGCATCCATGGCAGGTAAGGGGGATAAGATCATGCCCAGGATCCCCTGGGCATTGAGAAAGGGCTGCTGTAATAGCCCCAGGTCGCATCCTGGTGAAAGACTCTGGAGGGCAGCAAGTCCTCAGTTATTCAGCATTTCAGTCCCAGCCCCAAAGGCATTCAGGGGAAACTCCAGGGTCTGAGTGGCTGTGCAGGTGACACCACCCTCAACCACAGCAGCTTCTTTGGGTCTGTCTCCTGTTGGGTCGGCTGAAACTACCTTTGGAGAAAAGGAGTTTTACTTTTTAAAAATGAGGGAAGCAGCCGGGTGTGGTGGCTCATGTCTGTAATCCAAGCACGGAAGACTGAGGCAGGCAGATCGCTTGAGCTCAGGAGTTTGAGATCAGCCTGGGCAACTTGGTGAAACTGAGTCTCTACAAAAAATTAGCTGGGCGTGGTGGTGCACGCCTGTAGTCCCAGCTACTTGGGAGCCTGAGGCAGGAGAATCGCTTGAACTGGGGAGGTGGAGGCTGCAGTGAGCTGAGATGGCGCCAATACACTCCAGCCTGGGTGACAGAATGAGACCCTGTCTCAAAAACAAAACAGGGAGTTGAAAAAATAAGAAAAATCAACATTTTCATATAAAGAAATATTAGACAGGAAACCAATTCAGCTGGCTGCCTGTAGGGACCAGATGGGAGCAAGAGGAGTAAGTTCTTAAGGTAAACTTTGATATATTATTTTGGTTTCTGGGACATTAAGAATGCTTTGCCTATTCAAAGCAAAATAAATGAATCTTAAATGATAGAAGCAAACAAAACAAAAGAGAAAGGGAATTGAAAACTTTTTTTTTTTTTTTTTGAGACAGAGTTTCACTCTTGTTGCCCAGGCTGGAGTGCAATGGCATGATATCGGCTCACTGCAACCTCCGCCTCCCGGGTTCAAGGGATTCTCTTGCCTCAGCCTCCCAAGTAGCTGGGATTACAGGTGCATGCCACCATGCCCAGCTAATTTTTGTATCTTTAGTAGAGATGGGGTTTCACCATGTTGGCCAGGCTGGTCTCAAACTCCTGACCTCAAGTGATCCACCGGCCTCAGCCTCCCAAAGTGCTGGGATTATAGGCGTGAGCCACCGTGTCCGGCGAATTGAAAACTATTGACCTAGTCAGTAGTTTTGGCGAAACCCCGTCTCTACTAAAAATACAAAAATTAGCCGGATGTGGTGGCAGGCCCCTGTAATCCAGCTACCTGGGAGGCTGAGGCAGGAGAATCGCTTGAACCCAGGAGGTGGAGGTTGCAGTCAGCCAATATCGCACCACTGTACTCCAGCCTGGGTGACAGAGCAAGACTCCGTCTCACAAAAAGAAAAGAAAAGAAAAGAAAACTATTGACCTAGTTTAGTGTTTTTCAACTTGGGGGCGTCTGTGGTTGTCTTAGGAGCTGAGGGGTGATTCTGTGGGCAGGGCCAGAGATATTAAATACCCTGCTGTTGGCCGGCAGTGCTGCAGCTGGCAAATACCAATGGCGTGCAACCATTTTCTTGTCTAGATGGGGAGACCCAGGCTAAGTGGGAAATGCGAGACAGTACCTTGACTGTCTCACAGGCCTCTTGCCTCCTGATTCCAGTGTGATGGGGTGGGGCCTGGCCAGGCAGGGCAGGCAGGCAGCAGGGAAGAGACCCCCGGGACTGTTGGCCAACAAGCGGTCTGGCCCCCTTGCAGGAACACCAGACTGTTGTCTACCAGATGATCCAGCAGATCCAGCAGAAACGGGAGCTGCAGCGCCTGCAGATGGCTGGGGGCTCCCAGCTGCCCATGGCCAGCCTGCTGGCAGGAAGCTCCACCCCGCTGCTGTCTGCGGGTACCCCTGGCCTGCTGCCCACAGCGTCTGCTCCACCCCTGCTGCCCGCTGGAGCCCTAGTGGCTCCCTCGCTTGGCAACAACACAAGTCTCATGGCCGCAGCAGCTGCAGCTGCAGCAGTAGCAGCAGCAGGCGGACCTCCAGTCCTCACTGCCCAGACCAACCCCTTCCTCAGCCTGTCGGGAGCAGAGGGCAGTGGCGGTGGCCCCAAAGGAGGGGTGAGTAAGGGGCCCGGGGCCTTCCTGCCTCCCCTCTGAGGGATGGGTAGAGATGGATTGTCAGAAGGCTTATCATCAGGTACCTCAGCAGGGGGAAGGAAGCAACCCCTAGGTCAGCAAAGTACCCTGCCTCAGACCCCAGGGCCTCTGCTTGCACATGGGTGCCCTCCTGCACGGCCAAGAAAGATCCGATCTGAGCATGGGCTCAGAGGAAAAGGACCAATTAGAAAACAGCCTTCCTCCGGGAGGACCAATTAGAAAAAGCCATTTTGTTTCTCATCCGACCAATTAGAAAAAGATGACCCTCTGGGTAGGCCAATGTCAGAAAGGCCCTCTCCCTCTCCTGAGGGCACACGGCCTTAGCTTGCACATGCCCACGCAGCCCGGTGCTCTTCTGCAGGGTGGTTTCACACCCCTGCGCATCGGCCCTGGTGCACACCCCTCAGAGCCCAGGCCAGAGGCTTCCATTGGCCCCGTTTCAGTACCCCACAGCAGCTTTCTTGGCCTAGGAAGCTGTTCTTATCTGGGGGTTAGGACCTGACACTTTCCACACCCCCGGCCTCCCTCCCTCTCTTTCCAGACCGCTGACAAAGGAGCCTCAGCCAACCAGGAAAAAGGCTAAATCCACCCTTACCCCTCCTGACCCCCCCAAGTGGAGGGAACAGATCCTGGCCTGAGGGGTCCTAGCCTGGAGCAGGCGCCTGCGCCCAGACCCTGGAGAGCCTTGACCCAGAGCCTGTGCTGAGGTCCAGGGAGTGTGGAGAGCTCCTGGTGTCGAGGACTGAGACTGAGAGGGGAGCCCCCTCCATCTGGCCCCCTTCCCTTTCCGCACTGTCCGCTTTGTGAGGCTCAGAGGAAGGACAGTCTGCAAGCCCGCCTAGGAGGTCCATCCCCAGCAAATGTTTTGGAGGTCCCCCCAGAGAGCAGAGTGGGCCATGGCAGAAGTAGGGGGTTGGTTGGACCTGTCACATGAAATGGATCAGCACTTGAATGGGGAGAAGTGGAGGGAGAGGCCCTGGGCCTGTCCCTGCGGGGAAATCTTTTATGGAAGAAGGGCTGGACCCACTTTACCTGCAGTTTCTTCCCAGCTCGGGCAGATGGCAGAAGGGACCCCTTGGACTTTTTCTCGCCATCCCTCCCCCCAGCGCAGGGGCACAAGCTGAGCTTGTAAAAGCCCACAGATGTTGGGGGCTGGAGAAGGGGCAGGAGAGCATCACACTCAGCCCCAGCCTCCTCAACCTCTTGGGGCCCCGTGATGGGGAGGAGAGGGCAGGTGCGGGGAGGCTCTGGCCTTCCTTGGTGCCCCGCCCTTTGTTTGCACTATTGGACTTAGGAGTGCCGAGGGTGGGGAGATGGAGCTGCCCGTCTCAGTGTGTGAGTGTGTGTGTGCGTGCATGTGTGTGTGTGTGTGTGTGTGTGTGTGTGTCTGTCTGCCTGTCTCTCTCCTCCTGGACCCAGGGCAGCCAAGGGCAGGGATAGGCGCAGTGGTCAGATGAAGCAGCGCCAGAGAGGGGACCTCCCAGCTCTTATTTGCACCCTCCCCACCTCACCAACTTTGGTCCCTCTCTGGGGGCATGAATGGTTAACAAACACCAGAGCAGTACTCCAATATTGGAGAGTCGCTGGGGGCACAGGGCTTTGAATCAGGGTAGTATCCTGCCTTCCCTCCCCTGACCCCACATGGTCTCAGGGCCCCCTTAGGGCCCCCTACCCCACTGATAGCTTCCTCCTTCTCTGGCACAAGGGGAGCCCCAGGGCTTGGGGGAGGGCGTAAGGTGGGGGGAAATGCCACTGCTTTTAGCAAAAGCCTCCCTCCCAGAATTAGCCAGCTTGCCTCCTGCACCCCACCCCCACCAACCAGGGGAGCCACTAAGCTGACTAACAACTGTCCCCTCACCCACCAGCTATTTCCCCAGGGTAGAGTGGGCAATTCTCACCTTCAAAGAGTCCCCGCCTGCCCAGGCCTTTGGCACAGAGGCTGAGTGGACAGTCAGGAGAGAGGCGAGAGGCAAGGCGAAGCCTGTGTCCCTGTTTCAGTTGCACTGGGGTTGGAGCCCAGGGTAGGGGTTTCCAGCTTCCCCAGGCTCCGGCCTTGTCAGTCTCTTTGCATGTGTGGATTTTTCTGTGTGTGTTTCTGTTTGGGTTTTTGTTGTTGGGTTTTTTTTTTTTTTTTAATAAAGAAAAGAAGATGTGTATATTTTTGGCAACGACAGAAACGTAGTGCAGATATATTTTTGCCTGTGCTGCTCAACTGTTTTTTTTTTCTGATACTGAAAATAATATTAATATTCCTGTTGATAAGACTTTGTAAGATGTTAGGGAGCTGATAATGGAGGGGGGTGGGAATCCTTCAAAGGCAATTTCTTAGGCACTTGCAAGGGCTTGGGGGAGGGGGAGGCAGTTGTGATGACCTCAGAAATACTCACTTTTTATTAATGCTAAATATGTTAGAAAGAAATGATAGCATTCAGCATTTTATTCTTCTTAATCTATTAAGCTGTGTAACTCCCTGCCCCAAACCACTGAAAAGAAAAGTAACCTTCAGGCCAGGCGCGGTGGCTCACGCCTGTAATCCCAACACTTTGGGAGGCTGAGGCGGGCGGATCACTTAAGGTCAGGAGTTCAAGACCAGCCTGGCCAACATGGTGAAACCCCGTCTCTATCAAAAATTAGCCGGGCATGGTGGCACGTGCCTGTAATCCCAGCTACTTGGGAGGCTGAGGCACGAGAATTGCTTGAACCCAGGAGGCTGAGGCTGCAGTGAGCCAAGATTGTGCCACTGCACTCCAGCCTGTGTGAGAGAGTGAGACTCTGTCTCAAAAGAGAAAAAAAAAGAAAAGTAACCTTCAGAGATTCTTAGAAGAGTTGCTCATTCACACCCACGCCCTTGCCCAAGGCTGGCCCACTTAGAGCGAAACTTAACTTTTGTCTGGATGGGAAGAGAAGTAAGTCTACCCCGAGGTTGCCATGTTGAAGAGTGAGAGGTCCAAGTGATTCTGTGCATTGAAACCAAGACACCCCACCCAGAACACTTCTTCCCTCCCTCAGCCCAAACCAAAGGCTGGGGTTCTCATCTCCAAGTGGCTGTTCTCCAACTTTCCCAAGCCGCTTGCATTCCCCAGACTGGACTACTGTGGCGGTTAGGTTAGATTTGAAGACGGGGCCCAGGCTGGGTATGAACGGGTGCAGCCCTCTTCTCCTCTTCCCCCCCACATCTCTCATGAGAGAGGTAGTGGCATTTCCTTCTCAGGGAGCTTCAATGGGAAAGGTCTCGAAAGCTTCAGGAGGAGCAGAATACCAACGCAGGGGGATGGCTGTAACGATCTCACCGTCTCCTAACCTCAGTCCCTTTTTTGAGAGTGAATGGTGGAGGGTGGGAAGGGACCCAGATTTGTAGATCTCTTTGTCTGGGGGAGGGGAAGGATGTGGTTTGCAGAGCGGAAGCAGAGTTTGGAAACGCATGAGAGCAGAGCTTCGTGTGTTCCCACCCTCAGTGAGGAGGTGTGAGTGGGTGAGCATGTGGAGTTGGGTGTTCCCACCCTCAGTGAGGAGGTGTGAGTGGGGGTGCATATAGAGGCAGTGCCTGCTGTGGGGTCACAACTGGTGCATGCCAGCGCCAAAGGGACCTGTCTTTAGGGGTCATTTCAGCCAGCTCCTCCCATCACAGATGACAGCTCCAAGCCTAGAAGGGGCTCAGTGACAGGGCCAGGACAAGCCCTCAGGACTGTGGCCTCCTGGCCCTTGGTTCCCCTGCCCCACAACATGGTCTCCACATGGCTGGCTGGCTGGCTGTCCCTGTGTGTGTGTGACACACGGTGTGAGTGCAGGGCTGTGCCCGGGGTGGGAGGGTGTCTATGTGGCACTGACTGTCTTAGCTCAGAGCTGGTGGATCCTCTCCATGGACAATGACACTTTAAGGATTGTCTTGGTTTGTTTTTCCTATTTGTGGGGTATTTTCCCCCTCAGGCTCCTGGGTCTGCTGCTGCCTCAAGGTGTCCTGACCTTGAGGCTGATGAGGGGACCCCTGCCTGTTTCCCCCATACTGAGTTCTAGGGAGGTGCTCACCCCAGACTCTTAGGAAGGGTCTAGAGAAATGAGAGGAGCCCAAGCCAGGGGCCAGCTCCGAGAAAGGGTAACCTCCACGCTTCTCTCTCCCAAATTGGAAATGAAGACAGGTTTTCAAAGGCACAGGCTCCCCCTGCCAGCTTCTAGGATCTTCCTTGGTGTGCAATGGGCCAGTTAGGGGTAGGCAGCTTGCACCCAGTTCTCCTTTATCTCAACTTATTTTCCTGGGGAGAGGTGCCTAGAGGGATTGAGGTAACTTCAACTGGGAATTCCAAGGAAGGTGGGCAAGTAGCCTTGGCTCTCTCCCACCATGTCCATCAGGATTGAGAGTGTGTCTAGCTCCCGACCACTTTGTCTTGACCTACTGAAAAGTTGGGAACTGAGGGGTGCCTTCATTCCCCTTTGTTCACTTTCTCCAGCTCAACTTGGGACTTGGGTGGTGGGACTGGAGACCTCACCCCTGCTCCCGTCCCGCCCCCTTTCTATCCCAACCTGTTTCCATGTAGCAGACCCTTCCTAGGGAGCAGGGAGGGGAAGCCACAGATTGCAAACCCAGGGGCTCCTTTTTCATTCTTTCTAAAACCTTGATATCCTCAGCCCAAAGGCGATGCCCCCCTGCCACCTCCAAGCCTGGAATTGTGCATAACCCGGATCTTGTATCTTTGTATAACGGATGTTATTTGTACGAAGGGCAGTTCGTAAACAGCACTTGTTCTTTTAATAAAAGAATGTTTTGCAAAAAAAAAAAAAAAAATCCGAAGAGCCCCTGCGTAGTCTCGCTTTATGGAAGGGGACAGGAGGTGGGTGCCAACTGCGGGGGTGTAGGAGGGCGTGGGCTGCGGCCCTTCTGTCCGCACTCAGCGGCAGAGAGCGCACAGACGCTCAGCACACCCGGGCCCACCACGCAGGGTGCATCAGTCCGTGGGCCCCGGCCGTCGGGACCCTGACCCGTCCCGAGGTGACGCGACGCCCGCGCGCTTGCTCCCAGAAGCGCGGCCTAGGCTCGGCCAGCAACAGCGACTCCTGGGAGGGTCCTGCGCCCTCGGGGGTGCCCCAGGCGCCGAGGCTGCGCGCGGGGCGTTCCACCGCCAGGCCCGCCCGGCAGGGGGCGCCGGGACCGACCGCTCACGCCCGGCGTGCTGAGGAGGCCGCTGGGCGGGCGCCGTGGTCGGGCTTCCGTACCCCGCCCGCCCCTGGCCTCCGCCCTCGCAGAACGCCGCGGCGTCTTCCGGGGCCTGGCGGGCCGGGGACCGAGGGGGCGGGGAGGTGACCCGGCGGGGGCGGAGCCAGCGGGCGGGCGCGGCGCGGGAGGCGACCATGCGCGGCGCGGGGGCGATCCTGCGGCCGGCGGCGCGTGGTGCCCGGGTGAGCACCCCCGCCCTGCACCAGCCCCCGTCCCGAACCCCAGCCGGGCCCCTGCCAGCCCCCACTCCAGCCCCGGCCCGGCCGAGCATCCCGGAGCTCCCGGCCCGTCCCGCCGGTGTCTGGCTTGCCTCAGCTCACAGGCTTTTCCCGAGCGCCAGTCCCTGCCAGGACCTCCGCAGCCAGCACCTTCTCTTGCGACCTTTTTCTTACCCTCTCATTCCTCCCTCGCCCCTTCAGCCCTGTCACCTCCTCCTTCCTAGATGGCCTCCCGTGTCCTTCCCTTTCCACTGATTTTATTTTTCCGTTTCCAAACCACCGTCTTGTGATGCCTGCCATGCTTGCGTACCTTGCAGGACCTGAACCCGCGGCGGGACATCTCCTCCTGGCTGGTGAGTCCCCCCATCCTCCCCTCCTCCTCGCACAAGACCCCCAGGCACGGAGATCTCAAAGGCAGAAACAGGAAATGGAGCTAGGAAGAGTACAGGCCTATTCCCTGGAGTTAGCCCGTGGCTCTCAGGGAGGTGGGGCGGACCAGAGGGCACTGGGCAGGGCGCCAGTCTTCTGTACTGAGGACAGCAGCACCTAATGAACCAAGCCCCAGTGTGGGTGGCCCTGCCGTAGGCTGGAAGGATCCCAGCCCGCCTTCCCTAGCACGCAGGTGGGAGCCAGCGTTTGAGGGAAGGCAGCTGGACCCTGAAACCTGAGTGCCTGCATGGCTTTGAAATCTCCCTGTCCAAAGCTCACGGTCCTATGGTGTCCTGGGGAACGGTCTTGTTGGGTGGCATCAGATCAGCCTCTTGTAGAGGAAACCTGCCACACACACAGGCCAGTGGGAAACTAGGAAGGGTCGCAGGCCGGACGGTGCTTCCAGGGCTTGAGCTAACCCTGAGCCCCTCATCTTCCCTGGCCACAGGCCCAGTGGTTCCCTAGAACCCCAGCCAGGTCCGTGGTGGCCCTGAAGACCCCCATCAAGGTGGAGCTGGTGGCAGGGAAAACCTACAGGTGGTGTGTGTGTGGCCGCAGCAAGAAGCAGGTGAGACCCCTGTCTGCCTTCCTACTGATACCTCTGGCTAGGAACAGCCTGGTGTCTCCAGTGAGTTCCCACCCAGGATGATCTTATTCTTCCCACACATACCTGAGGGACACCAAGGGGGCTTGGGAACAAAAGGCCAGTGCCACCAGCAACCTTAAGCTCACTGCATCTACCCCTTGCAATGAAGCCAGAGAGACAGAAACTCAGTCACGCAGCCAGCCTGGTGTGGCCAGGCTTCCAGTGGGCTCTTCTGGAGCTGTTTGTTTCTCAGAGGTGCACTGCATGGCGAAGCTCACCTGGCCCTTCCCTGTCTCCTTCCAGGAAGCGCCTGGGCCACAGATTCCCAGGCCTTGAACCCCAAAAGCCTACAGCACCTGGTATTTCCTGGCGGTCTTCCATCCAAGTACTAACCAGGCCTGACCCTGCTTAGCTTCCGAGATCAGATGAGATTGGGCGCATTCAGGGTGGTATGGCCATAGACACATTGGGAAGAGATTCTGCTCAGGCTCTCCTGCCTCCAAAGCCTCCCAGCCTTCCCCTGTGCCCCTCTCTACTCTTCTTCCAGAAAACTCTTCCTTCTCAGTTTATGGGACTTCCTGGCCGCTTGCCACAGTTTGCTGTCTTCTCAGCTTCACTGCCTGCCCCACTTGCTTCCCCTTCTGCCCAGGAGCCTTTCGTCCCAGCAGGAACCTGCCCATATTGTTTGCCTCCCTGGCCCCTTTCCTTCCTGAGCAGAGCTCTGACTGGTATTCCTTCAAGCTATGTGGCATGGTGTCAGCAGCCCAGGGTCCTTGAGTCCCACTTAGGTCCATGCACCTCAAGCCCTCTAAGACAAGTTGCTGGTTTCTATTTGCACGCTTCTCTCATCTCCTTTCCATCCCACCCTAACTCCAATGTCAAGAGGCCTTGGTTCAGCCAGGCGAGGTGGCTCACCTGTAATCCCAGCACTTTGCGAGGCCAAGGCAGGAGGCTCTTTTGAGTCCAGGAGTTCAAGAACAGTCTGGGCAACAAAGTTGAGACCCCGCTTCTACAAATGCCTCTACCCCCACCAAAGACTAGCATGGAGGCAGGCCTGTGTTCCCAGCCATACTGGAGGCTGAGGAAGGAGGACCGCTTGACCCCAGGAGGTTGAGGCTACAGTGAGCCGTGTTTGCATCACTGCACTCCAGCCTGGGCAACAGAGTGAGACCCTGTCAAAAAAAAAGGCCTTGGCACCAGCTCTGCCTTCAGCTAGCAAGGCATGTCACCTTTCTGGGCCTGTTTCCATTACCCAGTCTCTGCTTGAGCGGCTTCTGGGATGGGGAGTACACTTCTGTGCCAGCCAGCCAGTTTGCTATGGGGCATCCCCTCCTCCTTGTAACCTTCACTCCCTGTCACGTGCCCAGTTATTCCCTGGAGCCAAACAAAATTGCTACCACAGTGTACTCTCCAGCCCAAAGAAGTTTTAACCCAGGAACATGGGAAGTAAATGAATTTCATGATCCAGTGGAGACTCAGAGACACACACACACACACACACACACACACACTCACACTCTATTAGTGTCCTGGCCCTCTGGGTGTCCCAGAGACTAATGCTATAAAGACTCTGTAAATACTTACCAGACACTTACTATAGGCAAAGTGCATCACGATCATATTTTATTTCCTCATACAACTCTACTCTTATCACCCCCACATTACAGATAAGAGAGGTCACTCAGTGAGCCTTGGCAGTCTTGCTCTGGAGCCTGTACCCTAACCACTGTGCTCCACTCCCCCTGAGCTCCTGCAGCCTGCCCTGCCCTGCCCCAGCAGGTGGGGTCAGGTCTTTGACTCCTGTCTTTCCCCCACCAGCCCTTCTGTGACGGCTCCCACTTCTTCCAACGCACTGGCCTATCTCCACTCAAGTTCAAGGCCCAAGAGACCCGCATGGTGGCACTCTGTACCTGCAAGGCCACTCAGAGGCCCCCGTACTGCGATGGCACCCACAGGAGTGAGCGCGTGCAGAAGGCAGAAGTGGGCTCCCCACTCTGAGGGGGCTGCTGCTGTCCAGCCACAGGTGGCCTTGGCTCCAGGCCTCTGACAGGCACCCCCTTCTGTGGGAAAGGAAACAGGTGCTGAGCCCAAGAGACTCTGGTACCCACTGCTGGCTCATGAAGGAAGAATTATTCCTTATAACCTAAAAGTCTCCAGTCTGGGGCAGGCGGGAGTGGGCCCTGGTTCAATGTTTGCTGATGGGGAAGATGGCAAAAACAAGCCTGCCCAACCAGACTGGTAGTCCTGCAGTCACTGCTATGAGGCCCACGTGCTGCCTCCTGCTCCAGATTTTAACCTCTCTGTGGGCTGGGGGCACCTGACCAGCCACAGGAGAGGGCAGTTCAGATTCATTCTGTATGGGGTCCCCAAGCCAGGCTAAACCCAGAGATGAGAGGCACCCTTCCCTTCTTCCCTCCACCCCAAAGAACTACAGGCTCCAGAAAGTATGCAGCATTTATTACAAAGCCAAGAGATACAGATGTCCCAGGGCAAAGGAGGGTACAGTCACAGGACCTCAGACACAGGACAAGGTGCAAACACAGACAAGCCCATCAGGGGGCTCCCAACCCCACACACCTACGCTATGATGGAATCTCGAGTCTCGACTCCCGACTCCTCTCAGATCTATGCACACTTGAGGAAATCTCGGTGGGCAGCGACCTGCCAGGGTCTGTCCCTAAGGAGGTGGTCCGCTGACCTCTCAAGGGGTGGGGGTGGGGTCAGAGCTTACAGGTTTCTGTCTTCTTGTGCTTTTAGATGCAGTTGCTCTGTCCTGACCAGGTGACCGGGCCTCAGCTGGGGGTGGAGGGGCAATTGGAAGGCTGTTTGCCTCTGGCAAAGTCTGGGATCTGTGCTTGTGTGAGGTTAACCCACCCCCACTTCCACTCTAGGCCCCAGGTGAGACTCCACCACCAGTCCTGCTAGTGAGGGTTCCCCGGTGAGGGTAAGGTTGGTGGGGGTGCAGCGCTTCACAATGCTAAAGCCTTAGCCCTCCTCCAAGAGCTGAGACCTCTCAGGGCCTGAATCTTCTTTTCCACAAGATAAATGATGCAAAGGCCACACACACAGGAAAAAAAAAAAAAGAGGCAGAACTATCTATTCTTTGCACAAAGTTTCCACTGCAAGAGGAGGAGGTGATGCAGGTGCCACCTCCACCCTGCACTTGCTCCTCAGAACCAGGGATAAACTGCATTTGTAAAAGGCACTGTTCTTAGCAATTTCTGGACATTCAACAACGTGGGGGGCGGCCACTGGTCAGAGGCAGGACAGCAGCCAAGATGGGGAGAGAAACGGGGAGAGAAAGAAACGATTCTAACTGACTCCTATATGCAGCCAGTTGGAATCATGCCTAAAGCTTTGGGTCTGAAGGGGCCCCCAACACACCACCTGCCTTGGGAAACAGCGAGGATGGTGCAGAGCTTTATTGAGACTCCAGTGGCCCATCCAGTTCATCTCCAGGCACCCCCAAAAACAGCAAATTACACAAGACCCCCCCCAAAAAAAATGAACACCATTTTCCACACATACACACACACATAAAGTTTGTTTCCTGTGGCATTTAAATTAATCTGGTTGGTCCATAGAAAATAAGTATGTATATTTGGTTTTTCCTATGTACATATATATATATATTTATTTATAAAACCCGCCCCCCACCCCCAAGGTGGGAAGAGCTGGGGAAAGTAGAAGAGGTGGAAAAAAGGGCCCAGAAAAAGTGGAAGGAGTGGAGAGGCTTGGCTGGAAGAAGGGAGAGGGTCCCTGGCCTCAAGTTAAGGGGGGCACGGGAGCGCCGTTGACAGTCATCTTGCGCCCCCTGCTGGTGGAGGATGGTGTCTGCAGGCAGTTCAAGCTACCCCCGTTGGCAGCTGTGGTGGCCCCACTGGCTGTCGAAGGGGGAGTGGGGGAGGTAGGGTGGGTGGCTGGAGGCCCATGGGAACTGGGAGAGCCATGGGATGGGGTGGCTGGGCTGGGCAGGGAGGAGGAGGTGGCTGGCAGGGTGGCAGGGCTGGGAGCCTTGTCGCTGACTGACTCACACTCGGACGCCCCGCTGGTGTTGGTGCCCTCGGAGGGGGTGGGCACCGTGGCTAGGGTGAGCCGCTTGCAGGCTGGCTGGACACGGTACTTGAGGGGGAGAGGCCCGTTCTGCGGGGAGAGTGGGGAGGAGAGACACAGGGAAGGGGAAGGTATCAGGAGACAGAGTCCAACTAAAGGGCCACCATCTCCACCCCACAGTGTCCAAACTCGAAAAAAGGGATGGGATGGGGCCTTGGAGAGGAGAGAGACAAGGATACAGGGTGCATGAAGACCCAGAGAGGGAAAAGGTCTAAGAGCAGAGACTCCGTCAGAGAGGAGACGGGAGAGAGGGAGGCAAACACACGGCAGCTGCCAGCACCTATTTCTGCCCCCAAATCTGGGGACACCGTCTGCCCAGGGAGCCTTGTCTCCTGAGCGGAAAGTCATCCGCAAGAGATGGCCCAGAGGCTGACCTGCTGTAGCAAGCCACCCTGGACATGCAGCTCATGGGATAAGGGACAGACTGTCTCTGATTACAGAAGGGTGGCCCATGTGGCCACAGACCTATGCCAGACCCTGTGGGAGTCTGCTCCCTGCCCGCCCCACTCGCTGGCTCACCCGCCGCCAGGGGTAGATGTAGGCGATGTCCATGAGGGTGTAGTATTCCTTCAGTGGCTCGTCCTCGTACAGAACCTCCACCTGGGGGAGGGAAGCGGAGGACACCATGACCCTGGCCAGCTCGGGGCTCCAGGCTGGGAATGTGGGGGACTGGGAGGCGGGGCAATGGGAAGGGTGGATTTACAGATGGTCCCTTATTTCTCTGGGATTTCACTGTGGATTTGACTTCCCTGTCAGAGTTGTTCCAACATAACTCCTGACCACCAGGCAGGAAGGGTTCCAGAGAAGTTTCCCCTATTGTTAGCAGCCTCTGGTCCCACCATGCACACAGCTGTCTGGGTCTCCTATCTCTGGCAGGTCGCCCAGAGGAGCTGAAAAGGCTCAGGGGGATCTCCTGGAACTCTGGCTCTCACCCCCAGCTGCAAAATGGAATCACCCAGGGAGCTTTAAAAAACACCAATGTGGCCGGGTGCGGTGGCTCATGCCTGTAATCCCAGCACTTTGGGAGGCCAAGGCGGGCGGATCACAAGGTCAGGAGATCGAGACCATCCTGGCTAACGTGGTGAAACCCCGTCTCTACTAAAAATACAAAAAATTAGCTGGGCGTGGTGGCGGGTGTCTGTAGTCCCAGCTACTCGGGAGGCTGAGGCAGGAGAATGGCGTGAACCCGGGAGGCGGAGCTTGCAGTGAGCGGAGATAGTGCCCCTGAACTCCAGCCTGGGCGACAGAGCGAGACTCCGTCTCAAAAAAAACAAAACAAAACAAAAAACAAACACCAATGCCTAGGCCAAGTGCGGTGGCTCAAGCCTATAATCCCAGAGCTTTGGGAGGCCGAGAATTCAAGACCAGCCAAACCAACATGGAGAAACCCCGTCTCTACTAAAAAAACAGAATTAGCCGGGTGTGGTGCCACATGCCTGTATCCCAGCTACTCGGGAGGCTAAGGTGGGAGAATCGCTTGAGCCCGGGGGGTCAGCAGAGGTTGCGGTGAGCCAAGATCCTGCCATTGCACTCCAGCCTGGGCAACAAGAGCAAGACTCTGTCTCAAAAAACAAACAAACAAACAAAAAACCAAAAACCCACCAATGCCTGGCTAGGTGCGGTGGCTCACACCTGTAATCCCAGAGCTTTGGGAGGCTGAAGCGGGTGGGTCACTTGAGGCCAGGAGTTGGAGACCAGCCTGGCCAACATGGTGAAACCCTGTCTATACTGAAAGTACAAAAATTAGCCACGTGTGGTGGCATGTACCTGTAGTCCCAGCTACTTGGGAGGCTGAGGCACAAGAATCACTTTAAACCAGGAGGTGGAGATTGCAGTGAGCCAAGATGATGCCACTGCACTCCAGCCTGCGTGACAAAGGGGAAACAAAAAAAGCAAAAACAAAAAATCAATGCCTGCATCTTACCCCCAGAAATTCTGACTTAACTGGTAAGATGTGAGTTAACTCATGAGATTTAACAGGCAACAGTTTAGGATCCACTGTCCTAGAGTGTGATCCATGGACCTTCAGTACCTAGGAGCTTGTTAGAAATATGGAATCTGGCCGGGTGCCGTGGCTCATGCCTGTAATCCCAGCACTTTGGGAGGCCAAGGTGGGGTGGATCACGAGGTCAGGAGTTTAAGACCAGCCTGGCCAACATGGTGAAACCCTGTCTCTACTAAAACTACAAAAATTAGCCAGGTGTGGTGGCAGGCGCCTGTAATCCCAGCTACTCGGGAGGCTGAGGCAGGAGAATCGCTTGAATCCGGTAGGCGGAGGTTGCAGTGAGCCGAGATCGCTCCACTGCACTCTAGCCTGGTGACAGAGCAAGACTCCATCTCAAAAAAAAAAAAAAAAAAGGAAATATGGAATCTACTAAATAAATCAGAATCTGCATTTTAACAAGATCTCCAGGGGACACATATACATTCAAGCTTGAAAAGCTATGTCCTGGAGCTCCGTTGGAATTTCAGACTAGCCTTCCCACAGCCAACCAGCCTGAGGAGGCCCTGCGTTTTTTGCACTCACCTCTGCCACAGTTCCGAGTGTGCAACATGCACACATACACACCGTCTTGGTCCCATGCACCACTGCACACTGACTTCAACACCCCTAGACTGCCCCCAATCTTGGTTTCAACCACCCTTCTGTTAACGCATGGGCTCAGTTAACCGCGCAAGCCCTGGGTGACACCTAGCCAGCTCTGACCAATGGCTGGGCTGCACAGACTGTCTGACACACCCATACACAGACACTCATTTTTTGAAAGGCCCAGGGACCCACCTTGTACTTGCTGGGCACATCCATCTTGTTGCGGAGAAACTTGGCAAGATGCATGACGGTCATGGCTGCTGGGCATCGCAGGAAGCGCACCCCTGTCTGCTGGGGCACAGGCACCCATGGTAGGGGATCCACCCCAGGCCACTCCCTCCCAGCCCACATTCCAGTCCTGGGCAGGCCCCAGCACTCACTTTCTCTTTGTCCCCATCCCCATTCTCCAGGGGGCCCTTCTTCTCGTCCCGGTCCCTGGGGACGGAGAAAGAATGAAGCTAGGAAGACCCAGGAAGAACCAGGAGACCCAGGAGGATGATCCCTCAATGGACACATCCAGAGAGGGTCCTGGGTGGGAGAAGGGGTTACCCAGACTAGGAACCCAGAAGGGGCCAGCCTGGGCCAGACTTGCCTGGCACCTTCGTAGAATTCGATGGAGAGGCTGACAATCTCATCATCACTCAGAGCCCCCTTCTCCTGCTCCAAGACCTCGCCGCGGTCCTCATTGGAGCCGTTGGGGACTGCAGAAGGAAAGAGCTCTCGGGTTGGCGGAGGATGTAGGAAGGGAGCCCGCCAAGGACCCAGAGATCATGAACTCAGCCAGGTGAGCCCAGCCACCTTCTGGAGAGGTGTGCGCGGAGGAGGTCAGAGGGTGAGGGGTAGCGCTACACACCTACATGGTCCCAGGCAAGACTGTGCACACACAAACAGACGCGAGCACACTCACCCTCCGTCAGGGGGTACGCTGCATAGAAATCCCGCCGCCGTTTCATCTCATCTGGAAGAAGGCAGCAGGATGAGGACAGGGCCATGGGTTGGGAAATGGGGTCAGTGGAGGAGGAATGGAGTGCAGATACCTTTAAAAAGCCCAGGGACCAATTTGTAGACAATGTCTTGAAGTGTTTTGTCAGACCTGGGGAAAAATGGACAGGGCTTATCAGCAATGCCTTCTCCAGAGCGCTCCGACCTCGCCCTGCTCTCCCAGCCAGGGTACCCCTCTTCCCACCCCCTTCCTGAGACCGGTGCCCAGGCATTAGGATCCCTGTGGGTCTGGTCTTTGCCCCTCTAGTATGCCTCACCCTGTGATGAGCCAAATGTAACCCCAAGGTCGGGGAGTAGCCCAGGTCCACACCCCATGCTTCTCCTACACCTGCCGCCTTGGCTGAAGGAAGCACGGAGCGTGGGAGGGATGGGGGAGGCTGACCCAGAGGATCGCGGGGACAGGAGGTGCCGTGCCAAGCCCACCTGATGCTCAGCAGCGGCCGGGTTTTATGGACCTGCACGTCACACATGGGGCAGTATTTGTTGGTCTCCAGGTAGCGCACGATGCAGGTTTTGCAGACTTGGGGGTGTGGAGAGAGAGAGGAGAGTCAGAGCCAACTTCCAACTCCAGGACCAGCCTCCCCGCCCTCTGCTCAGACTCAGATATCCCTCCTCCTCCACCCTGTCCCTGCTCCGAGGCCCAATGTGGCGATGTGTGTTCTGCACGTGTGGTACCTGTCCTTGTGCACTGTTGAGGGAAGCTGGATCTTGTGTGAGACAGGCCAGTGTCATGTACAATGCAGAAGGTCAGCCCTGAGTCCCAAGCTCCCCGATGGAGTGGGGGACAAAAGCCAGCGTGTTCAAGATGCCTCTGAGTCCCACCCCCCTGCTGCCAAGCCCACAGTGCAAACAAGGGGTGTCCGCGTCTTCAGGGCATAAAATTTCAGCCATTTCAAGAAAGAACTGAGATTTCAGATGTGAGTCCTTGAAATGAACTTCTGGGCTGATGCCCCGCGCCCAGTCGCCCCTGCGAGGTAGGCCCTCTGTGACCTAAGGATTCCCAGCAGACACGTGGGCGCGTTGGCTCTTTAGGGCAAGGGTTTGCGTGCTACCTTCCTCAGGCCGTGCCCGCCCCAATCTGGGCACAGAGGCTGCCCACCCTGAGCAGCTCCCCTCCCCCCAACTCACAGGAATGCAGGCACTCCACGATAGTGGTGGCGTCGATGAAGTACCCCCCGCAGAGGGCACACATGAGGTGGGGGTTCAGCTCTGTGATTTTGATCCGTGTAGTCCGATGCATGATTCCGGGGTCGGGGGTGGGGGGACTGGGGAGCGTTGCCCTGGGAAACGGAAGTGGAATCAGAAACCCAGAGTTGGCCGGGCGCGGTGGTTCACGCCTGTAATCCCAGCACTTTGGGAGGCCAAGGCGGGCGGATCACGAGGTCAGGAGATTGAGACCATCTTGACTAACATGGTGAAACCCCATCTCTACTAAAAATACGGAAAATCAGCCAGGCATGGTGGTGGGCACCTGTAGTCCCAGCTGCTTGGGAGGCTGAGGCAGGAGAATGTCGTGAACCCGGGAGGCGGAGCTTGCAGTGAGCCGAGATCATGCCACTGCACTCCAGCCTGGGCGACAGAGTGAGAGTCTGTCTCAAAAAAGAAAAGAAAAAAGAAACCCAGAGCCTCGGCAGCCCCTCTTACGCTTCACTCCACACCTCCCCCCACCAGCACATCTCTCCCTGAGCCCAAGACCCTTCTCTGCCTTCAGGGTGGGCTGGGGGTGTACATGTGGCTGGTTCTTTCTGGCCACCTCTGAGAGTTCATTGGGTGCCCAGGCTCTGGAGAGTCACACAGCCTTGAGCAACAAGGTTAGGCTTCCTCTGAGAAGCAGGAGGAAAGACTGAAGTTAGGCCACAGGATGTACTGCCCAACTCCCCAGAGAATGTGAGGAGGCAGGAAAATGGAAAAGAAGAGGGTTTTTAAAACTCTTTCCAATCCCAAGTCGGGCACAGTGGCTCATGTCTGTAATCCCAGCATTTTGGGAGGCTGTGGCAGGAGGATCCTCCTGCCTCACGTGATCCCTTGAGTCTGGGTGGTCGAGGCTACAGTGAGCCGTGATTATGCCACTGCACTCAAGCCTGGGCGACAGAGCGAGACTCTGTCTAAAAAAGAAAAACAAAAACAAAACTCTCCAATCCCAATCCGTATTCACTCACATGGTCCACATTTAAAGCATCCTAGGAACTAGGAGGAAACTTAGATAAAGCAGCCACTGGCCTGAAACTTCAAGGAATAGAAGAAGGGAAAAATAAGTTATCCTTACTCCCTCAACCCCTCCACCCAGGTGCAGGGCCTCAGACTTGATCCTTCCACTACGTCCCAGCCTCCTATCTACTCCATCCATTCACTCCTCCTCCAGGAAGTCTTCCCTGGAAACACCATGGACACAGGCTACCCTAAGTTAGAAGGCCGCAGCCATCACTTGTGCTTCTGGCTCTGCATCCAGCCTAAGCTTTGGAGCACCTCCCTCCTCTAAAGTCTGCCAAATATAGGCTGCTCCCAGAAAATCCACCATACGCTAATCATTTGGCTTCCAGGCCTGAGACTCAGGCAGGGAACAGAGAGGGTCCTTACATGCCTGAAGTTGGGAACGTGCAGCTCCAGCCCTAGCCCTGGACTCAAAGAGTTTAGGCAAAAAGGCTATACCCCTGCCACAGGAATCCCTGCCAGTGTCCCTGATGGACAGCCGCCTGCATGAGTGCTCCCTGTCCACAAGCACACAGGGTCCAGGAACCCCCCTTTCATACACAATGCAGGAATCCCCCCCACATGGTCACTGTTACTCTCCCACTGTCTCCTGCCCTGGTGACGCCTCTGCCACCTGTTCACAGGCTGTCCAGTGACAAACCACAGGCTCTCACAGATGCCTGCCAAAGCTGGGCAGAAAGTGCTCTGTCCCCAGACCGCCTGCTCGACACCAGCCAGGCCCGGGCAGGGTCCAGAGAGGTGAAAAGTCCGGCTCTGGATTGGCCACCGTGCTTCCTTCTTGGTAAAGAAATCAAACCAAACCTGCACCTGGAAGGGACAGCAGCCCTCCCTCCTCTTTCCCAGAGTAAAAGCCCAGGGGTGGGGCTTGGGAGGGTGGCCAAGCCCCAACAGCTCCTTTACAACATACTCACACCCTTCTCTCCTTTCCAGAAAGATTTCTAAAGCCACCACACTGAGTTTTCTAGGACAAGAAATTCACAGCCGGGATCAGCAGTTTCTATAGAGACCCCAGGATGAGTCTGGCCAGGACCCAGACAGCCAACAGAGGCTCAGGGAACCTGGCCAGAGACCGAAAGAGATGCAGAGACACAAAGGCCACATGTGGGAGAGACACCAGGTTACAGGGCAGACAGAGGGGCACAAGCCAGTCCTACAGCAAGCCCAGAGACATGGCGGAGAGGTGGCGGCCCCGGGGATCTGAGAAGGGAGAGGGGTTCCCACCCCACGCAGGGTGGCCTCGGCCAGCCCTCCCTGCATGGGTCCCCCCTTTGCAATTACGCAGAAAGCTGCTGGATACTCCACTGTTTGGTCGTTTCCATAGTAACCCTGTCCCTGGCAAGATGCCCAAATATTATTACAACCATCCAGAGGAGAGAACAATCCAAGTGGCTGTCTCTCTGAGCGTGTGTAATATCCATCCTGTGTACGTGCCATCTGGGCCTCCAAAGGTACTTCCTGTGACTGCCTGTCAGTCATATGTGTGTCCAGATGCATCTATGTGTGTGTGCAGAGCCACCAACAAACATGCTGATGCTGAGCTCTGATAATGCCTGGGGTCTCTGTTGCTGGGGTAAATCGCATGCCCTCATCTATCTCCCGTTCACCCTCATATACACATGCACGCGTACACACACATACACATGTAGGCTCCGCACACTTCACATCGTGCCCGAGCCACCTCATTCACACACTCGCTGTGTTTTCAAAGCAGACACTTGCTCTTTTTTTTTTTTTTTTGAGATAGTCTTGCTCTGTTGCCCAGGCTGAAGTACAGTGGTGCGATCTCGGCTCACTGCAGCCTCCGCCTACCGGGTTCAAGTGATTCTTGTGCCTCAGCCTTCTGAGTAGCTGGAATCACAGGTGCATGCCACCACACTGGCTAATTTTTTTTTTTTTTTTTTAAACAGAGATGGGGTTTCACCATGTCAGCCAGCCTTGAACTCCTGGCCTCAAGTGATCTGCCCGCCTCCACCTCCCAAAGTGTTGGGATTACAGGTGTGAGCCACCACACCCGGCTGACACTTGCTTTTAAGAAGAACCCCACAGCCGAGAGCCCCACACTGCGAATGGCTGTACCCCTCACCCAGTCACTTCCCCGAGCATTTCTGAGAATTCAGCCCCAGCCTGTTCCTCTGGACCCTTTCTAGACACGAGGCCCAAGGTGGTGCTGACTGAATGAAACGCTGCTCCTTCTCCAGTTTAAGAAAATAAGCCCCTTGCCACACTCCCTGCTCCCCTCATTCCATCCCCACAGGTTCTGACTGTTACCTCTGGGGCTGGGGGTGGGGAGAAGCACTGATTGGCTCCTCACCTGATTGCCATGGTTACCTGCAGGGCCCTGCCAGCAGGTGCCAAGAGCAATGTAAACAGGAGCTCTGACTCCCTAGAGCACCCTCTCCCCATCTCCCCACCCCAGGAGGCCCCAGGCCGCGAATTCCTGATACCCAGTTCCTCCCCCGCTGCACTGGCTGGTGTGCTGTGAGAAGGTGAGGGAAAAAGGGGTGATGGGTGACTGGAAATCCAGCTGTCATTACTTTGAGGAAGAGGCTGGGAGATGGGAAGAACTCGAGGGAGAAAGAGTGGGAGACACAGATCCCAAGAAACAGAAAGGGGAGGCCAAGCACCATTGGAAGTGGCCTCTGCAGAGCTCAGGTGCTTTAACAGGTCAGTCCCAACTGTGTGTCCACCCCTCCCTGGACTTGAGCACTGCCTCCACCTCTAACACCACTTTTCCCCAAGCAGAAGCCAAGCCCTTCAGTGTCTTCTGCCATTGTCTTTGCAAGGGTGTGTGTGACCCTTAGGCAGCCCACATTCTGGGCCCTGAGGCCCTGGGTCTGGCTATTGCTAATGTGGCAGGAAGGGAGCTTGCTCAGCACCCAGCATCCAACCCCGACCCCTCTTTGCCATTCAAGCCTGGCACTTGTCTTTCCCAATCCTTAAAGACCCCTGCTAAGAAAACACCACCATCTCTTTCTCTCTCTCTCTTTTTTTTTTCTTTTTGAGACGGAGTCTCACTCTGTCTCCTAGGCTGGAGTGCAGTGGCAAGATATCGGCTCACTGCAACCTCCGCCTCCTGGATTGAAGCGATTCTCCTGCCTCAACCTCCCAAGTAGCTGGGAATACAGGCGTGTGCCACCACACCTGGCTAATTTTTGTATTTTTAGTAGAGACAGGGTTTCACCATGTTGGCCAGGCTGGTTTCCAACTCCTGGCCTCAAGTGATCTGCCCGCCTCGGCCTCCCAAACTGCTGGGATTACAGGCATGAGCCACCACACCCAGACCCATCTCTCCATTTTAACCAGTGTCTTTCTGGAAGCCACCCTGCAATTTAGGCCTCTCTCACTTCTTCATGGTCCCCTGTGGAAACAGTGGGTCTCCCAGCCCCAAGGCCCCTGTGCTTCTCTGATGCCATAGCTCTCTCTGCTCTCCCTGCCTCCAAATGAAATCAGCCCCACTCCCTCACTAGAATGTCTCCAGGTCTTGGGAAAAGTCACTCAAGGTCACATCCAGATGTCTAGAACTGCAGAGGTGAAAGGGCTTTTAGAAAGCACCTTGTTCAGCTGGGCGTGGTGGCTCACACCTGTAATCCCAACACTTTGGGAGGCCAAGGCGGATGGATCATGAGGTCAGGAGTTCAAAACCAGGCTGGCAAAGATGGTGAAACCCCATCTCTACTAAAAATACATGGTGGCTCACGTCCGTAATCCCAGCACTTCGGGAGGCCAAGACGGGCGGATCATGAGGTCAGGAGATCGAGACCATCCTGGCTAACATGGTGAAACCCCGTCTCTACTAAAAATACAAAACATTAGTTGGGTGTGGTGGCACGCGCCTCTAGTCCCAGCTACTCGGGAGGCTGAGGCAGGAGAATCGCTTGAATCCAGGAGGCAGAGGTTGCAGTGAGCCGAGATTGCGCCACTGCACTCCAGCCTGGGCAACAGAGCGAGACTCTGTCTCAAACAAACAAACAAAAATACAAAAATTAGCGGAGCATGGTGGCAGGCGCCTGTAATCCCAGCTACTCAGGAGGCTGAGCCAGAGAATTGCTTGAACCTGGGAGGCAGAGGTTGCAGTGAGTGGAGATCGTGCCACTGCACTCCAAGCTGGGCCACAGAGTGAAAGAAACTCCATCTCAAAAAAAGAGAAAAAGAAAAAGAAGCACCTGTTCAATCCTTTCATTTTACAGATGAGCACACTCAGATGTGACTTGTCTAAGGTCACAAAGCAAAGCAGTGGCAGTCCTGTGACAAGAAAGTGCCTGACTCCCACCCCAGTGCTTTTAACATCCTGGCACCTGGCCAGGCTCCTCACTCATCTAAAGCAGTAATGCCCGGCTTCATCCCAGCAGGTGGGAGGGGAAAAGAGCAGCTCCCTGGAGTGGCGGGAAAACCACTCAGTGGGCCGCCGTCTGGGAGGGAGTCAGTCTGGCCCAAACATGACCATCAGCATGGACTCCTGCCTTGAGGCAGGAAGAGGAGGCACATGTTAATTGCCTTACCCCACTTCCTACACATAGGGAAACAGAGGCTGCAGGGAAGCACAGCCAGCCAGAGTACAGCATCAAGACTCAGACCAGGGGTTTTATGACTCTGTTCCTCTCCCAGCTTCGTGGGTCCAACTGCGCAAGCCCCTTGTATTTGTGTTTGGGGCCGTGAGGGTCTGCCTAGGGACACTGTGAACCTCCCAACTTTCCCCAATCCTTGACAATGGCACAAAGATCTGCTCCCCTGTCCCCACCATGCATTGAAAAGGGCCTCCTGAAGCTGGGCTTACTCAACCCTCCCTTCCTCCCTCTCCCACCTCTCAACTCCCTAAGATCAAACAAAGGCAAAACCCCAAAATATACACATTGCCAGATACACACACATACAGCAAGACACACCCCCCTCCACCTCTCACACTCACTACACACAAGGCCAGATAGACACGCCACAACCCTCCCCCACCCTGCGCCACACACACACACAATCACAGCCAGACCAGAGCCAGGCCCACCCTCGCTACATGCAGAAGCCATCCACATCCACCCCCCACCTAGAAGCACACAGCCTGACATCCCTGCCTGGAAACAGACCCTGCAAACACACACTAACCTTTTGTACGACCCTGGTCCACCCAGGGTAAATTATAACATAAGTCTTCCAGCAACAAAAGCAGTTCAGCTTCCAAAGTCCGCTCTGGGGACCAGAGGCTGGAGGGCTGCAGTGGGCATGTGACCTGCACAAAGCTGTACCCTCTTCCTGTTCGGGCTCTCTCCATTCCCATGACAACAGCTCCATCAACCAAGATCTCTCAGGCAAGGCCAGGGGCAGCAGAGTCCCCCTTCCTGCCCAACCCCCAAGACTTCAACTTGAACCCTACCTAGCTACACATGGTCTGGATCCTGGGGTTGGTTTCCTGCTTCATTCCAAAGTCAGTTCTAAAGCCTCAATCCCCCAACCCCCAACCAGGGGAGCCCGTGGGAAAACCTTCCCACCAAAAAGCTGCAACAGAGCTGGCTTTATGCTCCCAGTAATAACACCTTGGACCAGAGTGAAGGGGGGAGGGAGGAGAGAAATTAAAGAGTTTCAGGAACAGAAACTGCCAGAGGTCCCAGAGGAGGAGGCATCAGAACAGAGCGGGGAGGGGACAACCAGGAGACAGCCCTCCCCTCGAGACAGACCTCTGGGGAGACTGAGGCAGCATGGGGGACACTGAGGGACAAAGATCTCGGGAAGCGCTGGGTAACACTTCCACAATATTCACTGGCAAATCCACCCGCCTCCATGCCGCCTCCTCCCACCTCAAGCCAACCGGAGCGATTATGGGCAGACAGGGGCAGTGGGGGAGGGCGAGGGGCAGCCCGGGCCCACCGTGGAGACAGGCAGGGGGTGTCTGCTTGCCCGGGGGTCCCACGCCCTCAGAGCTAGCAGTAGGAGGGCGTGCGCAGGGTGGGGTGGCTGGGCGTCCCAGGGGAAGGGGGGCCAGTTTAGCAGATCCCCCTGCTTCCGCTGGCGATGGGAAATATTGCGATAAATTTCCCTCCATCCCCATTCTACCCCCAGCGCCCGGGCTTCCCCAGGAGCCCATGTCCAAGGATCAGGGACCCCAGTTACCGGGTGGCCGCTCCCACCTTCCCTAGAGCCAAACTTTCTGCGGGGCCCCGGGAGGGGTGTTCCGGAGGGAGGCTCTGCTGAGGTGGTTCGGGGAGGGGGCGGGGCGCCGGCGCCGGGACGGGGAGCGGGGACCGGCGGGGGGAGGTGCCCGAGAGGACCCGGACCCCGGCGGGGAAGGGCGCCCTCCCCCGGCCTCGCGGCCGCCCCAAAGCACATCCCCTTCTGCCGGCCCCAAGTCCCCGCGCGTCCACGGCGCCCCTGTGCCCACGGGAGAGCGACCCCCGCCCAGATGGAAAAGGGGGTAGACCGGGCAGAGCGAGAGGCGGCTTTGGCTCGTGGGGAGCGGCGACCCAACCCAGCGCGCATCCCGCAAGCCCTCCCGGCTGCCCCGGACCTTCCCCCTCGCTACCTCGGAACAGGGTCTGCCCGGGGGCTGCTGCACAAAGAGGTGGTGGTCGAGGGAGACGCCAAATCGTTAAGACGGGGAGCCCGTTTCGGCCATCTTGGAAGAGAGGAAAGGGAAAAAGGGACAGAAAAAAGGGAGAAAGAAAGGCGGACGGGGCAAGCTGGGCTAGGGACTGACGGGGCGCGGGGGGTGCGAAGGCAGGATCGGCTCAGAGCCTCCCCCTCCCATCGGGGCTTGCGAAGAACGGCCGGCCCCCATCCCAATCCCCAGAGGGTTACAGGCCAGGAGAGGGAAAGGCAGGGGGAGTCCGCTCCGCTTACCTGGGTTCGGGGTCCGGTGGGTCTCGGGGAGGGGGGGATGGGAGGGAGGGAGGGAAGGGAGGGGAGGGGGGCCGCAGCCGTGTCGCTCGCCCGGGCGGCGGGAGGGGAGAAACCTACGGTAAGAAAGGAGTTTGTGAAAGCGGCTTGGGGTGGGAGGGAGAGGGGAGGGGA
Organism: Homo sapiens; assembly: GCF_000001405.40. Taxonomy (NCBI): domain Eukaryota; kingdom Metazoa; phylum Chordata; class Mammalia; order Primates; family Hominidae; genus Homo; species Homo sapiens. Next base: position 38,748,367 of record NC_000017.11, read on the forward strand.
GGGGACCGAGGGGGGAGGGGAGGGACCGGAGTGTGGGGGGGAGACAAAATGGCTTTTTTCCTCCAGACAAGAGTAGGTCCCGCCCACCACTCACCCACGTGACCTCATTCCTTCAGGATGCTGGCAGAGACGGGAAGAGGAGGGGGAGGCTGGCGCGGCCGCTCCCCGCCACCGGCTGCCGGGTCCCTAGCCAGGACGAGACCCCTCCCTTCCCATGCGGCCGCCCCGACCCCGGAGGATGGATTCTCTTATGTTACCTTCCGCAGTTAGCCCCCCTCCCTTCAAAATATGGGTTCCCCCCACTGACACTGTGATGCCCATCCCTAACTGGGGCGCCTGGAAAATGGTGAAATGGGGACTGGGCTGAAAGGTGGCTCGTGGTCCTCCACGCCCCGGCCTAGACCAAAGGGCGCGGGGCTCCGGCGGGGGACGCGACGCCTTCAGCCAGGCGTCCGAGCGATTTTCATTCACTCCAAGTGACACTCCCTTAAAATTAATAACTGCATCTGGGAGGGCGAGCGTGTCCTCCCCACTCCCCTTGCCCCCTCGGCGGCAGGGGCGCTGGCCCCGAAAAGCGGCGCACCAGGATCCAGCCTGGGCGCCTGGCAGGGAGCAATCGCGAGAGGGGAGTGGAGGTGCGGGGTGAGGCCGGGTGGGGGGCCTCGCCGCGGGGGGATCGGGTAGCTCTGGCGGAGGCTGCGCCCCCGGCGTGCTCGGGCAGAGAAGAACGGAGGCCCGCTGAGGATGGGAACTCAGGCTCCGGGTCTGGGACACAATAATCCGGCCGAAGGCGAGCGGCCACACTGGACTAGGAAACGAGGCGCCGGGCTGTAAGGTGGGCCCGCGCCTTTTCTCCTGCCTGGCGCTGATTCCCGCATTTTTCGCTCGCGCCCTGCGCTGCGCGCTGCCTGTGCGCCTCCCTGGGCGCGCGGGCGGGAGAGTCGGGCGAGCGCCAAGACGGCTGGGCCCGACTCCCACTGGCGCCCCGGCTCCACCTGGCGCTGGGGCTCCGGTCCGCAGTGGCTCCGGCAGGAGGGAGAGAACGAGGAGGGAGGCTTGGAAACGCCGGGAGTAGCGGTGAGGCCGACGCCGGGGAAGCGAATCGATACTGCGTTACTGGACGCCCGTGGGCCTCATGAGGATGGTCGATTCCCTCATTCGTTATTCACGATTTATTAGGGATGGCGGCCGCGTCTGTCCCTCCAGAGAGCTCGATTATCCATCCGGCCAGCAGCGCCATTAAGCGCACTGACGGTGGGAGGCTCGAGTTAGAAATTAGGATAGGAATCTTCGCCCAGTTTTGGAGCGCCTGCCTCCTCTTCCCTCGTTGCTCGCAGCCAAGGCAGCCGCGAAGCTGGGGGCCTCGGGTGAATGCTTTCGCCCTCTGGCCGGCGACCAGGAGACCTGCGCACACTGGCCGCCGAGTGACCCCAGCTCGAGCCTGCAGCCACACCAGCGGGACGGGGGCGGGGAGGAAGAGGAAGGGCGGAGAGACTTCCTTCCAGAGGGAGTGGTCCGAGAACCGGCGGGAGAAGGGCCAAGGGAAGATCCGGTCACCTGCTCCGGAGCCTGCAGGCGGAGAGGCGAGTAGTTCACCGGCCCCGGAGGAAAGGGGACCCTCCCACTGTTCCCAGGCAAATGTGTCGCCGGCATCCTGCACTCTGCCGGGGAAGACGCGCATCCACTCGCTCTGCAGGGAGGGGAACGCGGGAAGGACTCCCAGTCAGCCGCCCCTCTCTGGCTACAAGACCCCGAACAAGAGAAACCTGTAACAGGGGCTCTGCGGAGATCTGGATCCCACCCACCAACCACATGGGCACCTGGGGGGCTGCCCCTCGGGGCATTATCAGCCAGTGGGAAGGGGGTTGACGTTCCTCTGCGGCCCATGAATCCTGGAGGGCTGCCCGAGGGGCCACCGGGGTCCATCCACTTATTCTTCGGTTGTTAAGCGCCAGACAGGAGAGAACCGCTAGAGAGGAGTGTGCTAAGACCCTATTACCCACTAAAACTCCATTTTCATCTTTTGCGTCCTGGATGACTAGTCTCCACATTCCTGGCCTTTCTGGTTTCTCAGGAGAACCTTCTGACCCAACTCTTCCCACATCGAAAGAGTTTCCTAGTCTTTTGTTCTACTACTAGCCGACATAGAAAGCACCTGTCATGTGCCAGTGTCAAATACTGCGCTAGGAACTGGGAACTCAAGGCACAGGAGCCTGGCTTTTGCGCAGGGCGCTCACAGGCCGGTGGGTGCAAACCCTGAAGGACACACAGCCTGTCCCTTTAGCGCCCATCGCTTCTGGTGTGAGCTCCCGCTAAGGGTGGGTGAGTACTGGGGTGGGCTTCCAGAAGAGGCCTCCTTTGAGCCGAATCTGCAGAGACCAAGTGTCTATGAGAACTGCTCAAGAGTGCTTTGCACATTCTCCTCCACAAAGGTCGAGGCTCCCACTGCGCCCAGGAATGCGCCTCGTCAGACATTAGGCGCCCCTTGATTTTGTGTTTGCATCTCACGCGGTCCTCTAGCTGACAAGTGCATCAGAAGAGTCACAGTGGCTGTCACAAGCCAGAGACTCGCAGAGGACAGGAACGCGGGAAATCTAGGCAATTACCTCCAGCATATACCAAGAGCTATTGCGAGGATCAGATCCCTTTAAAAATGGTGACGAGACAGGAGAGGGCGGCTCCTCTAGAGCTTTCCGGAACGTCTTTACCTCTGTGTCCTTTATACCTTTTATCTCCCCCAAACAAGGTCCTTAGTCAGTTTCTCCTTCTATTTCCCCATCTTCCTCCCCCACCTCCCTGTGTAGTTCTAGGGGGAAAAAATGTGTTGTTTTCCTTTTTTTCTGATGCTTCTAATATTAAATGCGTCTATTTTCCCACTCTCCATTGTCTTGAGGTCTTCCCCTACCCACCCTGCCTAGTTCTGTCACGTCCCTTCTTTCCCTGTATCACAACAATGTTCTCCCTTTCTCACCTTTGTTTCTCTTCATACTTGTTTCTCTCTCTGTGTCTCTCTCATTCTCTTCCCTTCCAAATGTAGTATTTGGAGACTGTAATATCGATTGAGGCAGACAATAGAAAACTGTCGAACCTCCACTGTAAATTCATTCTTAATCCTATGAAAAAATGCATCCTGAAACGTGTTGCATGCACAGTGAGACAAAAACCTGTGTCTTTAGGTTTCCTGCGATCTAGCTTGGAGGCGGGTTGGGGGGGTGTGGAGGGAAGTGCTGGAGAAATTATCCCATTATTGACTGAGCAGCAAAGAATTTTCAAGAACAGTGATTCTCCTAGAAAAAGTATTGCTGCTGCCATTTCAATGCAAAATTTGGCTTTTGAGTAAAAGGCTTAGGTTTTTATCTTCCGGGGAGAAAAAAAAAACCCAAAAGACAAAAAAAAAAAAAAAAAAGGTCATAGCGTCCCTGGGTGGGCTCGAACCACCAACCTTTCGGTTAACAGCCGAACGCGCTAACCGATTGCGCCACAGAGACCGAGTCGACTACCGGCGTAGTAGTGAGCCGAGTCAATGGGAGCGAGCCTGGACGGCGCAGACGCCGTAAGAGATGCCGCCATCGGGCGAAATAAGTGGAACCCGGGGGAGAAAGGGAAGGATCCTGATGGGGGAGGGAGGCGAAAGAGCTTGGGAGGAGAGGACGCGGGACGTGCACGCCCTTCCTCCATTGGAACGGCGAGAGGTCGACTCTGGCTATCCTCAGGTTCTACCTCAAACGTGGAGAGGCGCGGAACGTCCCTTTTTAGGGTGACCTGAGATTGAGGATACGTGAAGTCGGGCCGCAGGAAGTCCCCCAAATCAGAACAAGCTTCGGCTTCCAAACTCCCTTTCACAGCTGAACCCCTGCAGCCGCAAAATACCCGCGACGCCTACACGCGACGCCTTCCCCTTCCCACCTGCATCATTAAATTTCCATTTAATGGGCGCCTCCTATATACTAGGCACTGTTGTGGGCCAGTGAATATTCCGAGCCTAGGCAAGTGCCTGGTACACAGTAAACGCAGGATTTCTGGAGTGAATAAATAAGCTAGCACGACTAATACGACGAACTCATACATCACGTTGATAAGCGTCACGGTGCCCCTTCAGCTGGGGCCGCAGCTTCCTAAACCCAGTTTCACCAGCCCACGTGCGCGCAGGCTCCGCCCCCAGTCCCTGAGGTCCCGAGTCCAGGTCCGCCGAGATCCCACTATGCACCGTGTCGCAAGTCTCTTCCGCAGCCACAGTGACTTTTCACTTCCGCTTTTCCCGCCTCCGTTTTGACTTTGCAACCAAACTACCTGTACTGGTGACCGACAGGGACGTGTGACCAATAGAAAGCCCAGATGTCCAGGAAGAGTCCGCCTATCAGCCAATGAAGAGACAGCAGTGAGAGCGGTTGCGCAGTGAAGGCTAGACCCGGTTTACTGGAATTGCTCTGGCGATCGAGGGATCCTAGTACACCGCAATCATGGTGAGATGGGGAGTTAAAGCAAAGGGGCATGGGGAAGGATTGAGAAGCGGAGGGGGTCAGGAGAGGCTTGGGGACGAAAAGGGCCTAGGGTCGATGGAAGGAAGCGGTTTCAGTTCGAGGGGAGCGGGCCCCGGTGAGGACCAAGAGGGTGAGTGCGGCTCATTGCCGCCACACAGTGCTCATCCCAGCTGGAGAACCAGGGGTTCAGACGCCTCCGGAATGGAGAACGGGCGTACAGGAGCCTCCGCATCAGGAGCTGGGCCGGGGGCTGTGGCAGCGTTTGACCCCCCGCGCTGACCCCTCCGCTCTGTCTGTCCTAGTCTATTATGTCCTATAACGGAGGGGCCGTCATGGCCATGAAGGGGAAGAACTGTGTGGCCATCGCTGCAGACAGGCGCTTCGGGATCCAGGCCCAGATGGTGACCACGGACTTCCAGAAGATCTTTCCCATGGGTGACCGGCTGTACATCGGTCTGGCCGGGCTCGCCACTGACGTCCAGACAGTGTAAGTTTCAAGGGTCCCCGCCCACACCCAGGCCTCTTCTTGGACCATCCAACCCCGGCGTCTTGACCGGCCAAGGTGTCAGTCATCTACCACACACCACCAGTGAGTTTGAGACTTTGCCGCCTCCAAAAAACATGTCCTTCCCTTTCTTTTTTTTTTTTTTAGACAGGGACTTGCTCTGTCACCCAGGCTGGAGCTCAGTGGCATGATCTCAGCTCACTGCAACCTCCACCTCCCAGGCTCAAGCGATTCTCGTGCCTCAGCCTCCTAAGTAGCTGGGACTACAGGCGCGCACCACCATGCCTGGCTAATTTTTGTATTTTTAGTAGAGACAGGGTTTCACCATGTTGGCCAGGCTAGTTTCGAACTCCTGACCTCAAGTGATCCACCTGCCTCAGCCTCCCAAAGTGCTGGGATTACAGGCATGAGCCACCACACCTGGCCTGACTTTGATTTTGACAACAATTTTGAGCAGACAAGACAAGCCCAATAGAAACATCTTGCAAGCAGTTGGGGTTTTGTTATTACATCTCAGGGTTGGGGAAGCATTGGCAATGTGCCAAATCTATGGGAGCAGATTCTGGAGAGACAAAGTCTGTAGGGAGGGAAATAATGAGCGGCAGTTTGAGAGCTGAACGTTACATTTAGCAGTGAGGGGCGAAGAGAAGCCAGAGAAGAATAAGAGAGGAAAAGAACGGTGATAGGTTTTCAGGAGGGAATACGTGGTCACAGGGGGCAGGTCCTGCAGGGTACTGGTGCCTGAGGAGCAGCAGGTCCTGGATTTGTTTCCTAGAAGGTGGAGAGACTAGCTCACAAGCGTGGGTGGATGCCTGTCAGAAAATGTTCTCATTTCGGCTGGGCGCGGTGGCTCACACCTGTAATCCCAACACTTTGGGAGGCTGAGGTGGGCGGATATCTTGAGATCAGGAGTTCCAGACCAGCCTGGCCAACATGGTGAAACGCTGTCTCTACTAAAAATACAAAAATTAGCCAGGCTGGGTGGTGGGCACCTGTAATCCCAGCTACTCGGGAGGCTGAGGCTGGAGAATTGCTTGAACCTGACAGACGGACGTTGCAGTGAGCTGAAATTGTGCCACTGCACTCTAGCCTGGGCAACAGAGCGAGACTCTGTCTCAAACAAAATAAAAAAAGAAAGAATAAAAGAAAATGTTCTCATTTCTCTTAAAACTCCCTGAGTCTCAAGAACATAACACTTACTGAGATCTCACCCAGCCTGCCCTTTTTTCCTGTCTGGTAGAGTCAGAGAATGACATCCTGGGGTTCCTGTCAGTGAAGTCTCCCGTGAGCCTTCCCTTCTGCAGTCACTGCTGTTCTCACACCATTTCCTTTTCTTCAGAGGGCTTTTCTCACTGCGTTTGCTTCCTTCTGGGCAATGACTGCTCATTTCACTAGGCCTCAGTTTCCTTACCTGGAAGATGAAGCTCAAGTCATTTCTAAGTCTCTTTGCTCTGGTGTCCTGAGACTCATTGCTTTTCCTCCAGCAGGTGTGGCATTGGTCTGCTCTATGCAGGGGCCTATCCTGGGGCTCTGAGATGGAACTGGCAAGCTGTGACCTTTTTTCCTTTTTTCACCAGAGCTGCCAAATGGCCTTTTTCTAAGGCATCTTTCAAGTCTGTTAGCACATAGCACAGCAGTTGGTGCTGCCCCCTTTTTTTTTTTTTTGTCACCCAGGCTGGTGACATAAACTTAACTCACTGCAACCTCCGCCTCCAAGGCTCAAGTGATCCTCCCACCTCACCCTCCCAAGTAGCTGGGACTACAGGTGTGTGCCACCATGCCCAGCTAATTTTTGTAGTTATTGTAAGAGGCAAGGTTTCGCTATGTTGCCCACAGCTGAACTCCTGAGCTCAAGCAATCCTTCCGCCTCAGTCTCCCAAAGTGCTGGGATTACAGGTGTGACCCACTGCGCCCAGCCTAAACATTTTTAATATGGAACGCTTCACAAATTTGCATGTCATCCTTCTGCTAATCTTCCCTGTATTATTCCAGTTTTAATATATGTGCTGCTGGCCAGGCGTAGTGGCTCACGCCTGTAATCCCAGCACTTTGGGAGGCCAAGGTGGGCAGATCACGAAGTCAGGAGATCGAGACCATCCTGGCTAACACCGTGAAACCCCATCTCTACTAAAAATACAAAAAGTTAGCCGGGAGTGGTGGCGGGCGCCTGTAGTCCCAGCTACTTGAGAGGCTGAGGCAGGAGAATAGCGTGAACCCGGGTGGCGGAGCTTGCAGTGAGCCGAGACTGACTGCGCCACTGCACTCCAGCCTGGGCGACGAGTGAGACTCCGTCTAAAAAAAAAAAAAATATATATATATATATATATATATGTGTGTGTGTGTGTGTGTGTGTGTGTGTGTGTGCTGCCAAAGCAAGCACCAGTTGCTACTTCCTAACACATGTAAGACTACAGTTTTCCCTGGGCAGGGACTGAGATGAGATGTCTCCTTATGTTTCCCTGACCTCAACAGGGTAGACACTCAGGAATATTCAATAATGACTTACTAACTCACTTTTCTCCTACCTCAGTGCCCAGCGCCTCAAGTTCCGGCTGAACCTGTATGAGTTGAAGGAAGGTCGGCAGATCAAACCTTATACCCTCATGAGCATGGTGGCCAACCTCTTGTATGAGAAACGGTGAGTGCAAGTGTAGCTAGCACTGAGGGAATGCAGACATCTTTGAATGTAGTATGGAGTAGGTACTGAGGAAGAGGACTCTCCTTGTTTTTCCATCTCTTATTTGCAGGATAATATCCTTATTTTATGGGTGTGTTTTCTTTGGGCCTGTCTGGCAACCAGATAGGAAAGAAAATACTTATGTTGGAAGAAGGCAAGGAATGCACATAGCAGATAAATTTGCATCTAGGCAAAAGAGTTAGTCCCACCAGAGTGTTCTGGGGTCTCCCAGCAGGAGCCACTCTTGCCCTAGAGCTATTCTGTCAGCACTGGCTTCTTGGGAATAGCAGGGAGCCTAGGAATGGGGTGTTCATTTTCGTCAGTTCTCCTTGAGGGCTTTATGGTGAGAAACAAGGGGCCTAACTGTAGAATTTAGTGCAGAAATCTAGGATGGAATTGAAAGGAAACCCTGTGGGTGCTTTCTACCTCTGGGCAAACCTGGGTGGCCAGAATATAAGTTGAGCTCTCTTTTTCTTTTTTTTTTGAGACGGAGTCTTGCTCTGTCACCCAGGCTGGAGTGCAGTGGCGTGATCTCGGCTCACTGCAACCTCCACCTCCCAGGTTCAATCGATTCTTCTGCCTCAGCCTGCCATGTAGCTGGGACCACAGGTCCATATCACCACACCCGGCTAATTTTTGTATTTTCAGTAGAGACAGAGTTTCAACATGTGGGTCAGGCTGGTCTCGAACTCCTGACCTCAGGTGATCCACCTACCTTGGCCTCCCAAAGTCCTATTATAGGCATGAGCCACCATGCCTGGCCTGATCTCTTTTTTTTTCTTTTCTTTTAACTTTTTATTTTGAAGTAATTTTTGTAATTTGTAAAAATACCCTTTAGCTTTCAAAAACTTTTTCTTTTTTTTTTTTTGAGATGGTGTCTTGCTCTGTCGCCCTGGTGTGCAATCACGGCTCACTGCAATCTCCACCTCCCGGGTCCAAGTGATTTTCCTGCCTCAGCCTCCTGAGTAGCTGGGATTACAGGTGTGTGCCATCACACCTGGCTAATTTTTTTTTTTTTTTTTTTTTTTTTTTAGTAGAGACAAGGTTTCACCACGCTGGTCGGGCTGGTCTTGAACTCCTGACCTCAACTGATCTACTGCCTCCGCTTCTCAAAGTGCTGGGATTACAGGCATGAGCCACTGCGCCCTGCAAAAAGTCTTATAAAGTTGTAACAATTAACTCATATTTGGATGTATATTAAATGGCTTGCTGGGCGTGGTGGCTCATGCCTGTAATCCCAGTACTTTGGGAGGCCAAGGAAGGTGGATCACTTGAGGTCAGGAGTTCGAGACCAGCCTGGTCAACATGGTGAAACCTCATCTCTACTAAAAATACAAAAATTAGCTGGGTGTGGTGGTGCACGCCTGTAATCCCAGCCACTCGGGAAGCTGAAGCATGAGAATTGTTGAACTTGGGAGGCAGAGGTTGTAGTGAGCCAAGATCATGCCACTGTACTCCAGCCTTGGTGACAGAGTGAGACTTAGTCTCAAAAGAAATAAAAAATAGGTCGGGCGTGGTGGCTCATGCCTGTAATCCCAGCACTTTGGGAGGCCAAGGTGGGCGGATCACGAGGTCAGGAGATCAAGACCATCCTGGTCAACATGGTGAAACCCCATCTCTAATAAAAATGCAAAAATTAGCTGGGCGTGGTGGCACACACCGGTAATCCCAGCTACTTGGGAAGCTGAGGCAGGAGAATCGCTTGAACCTGGGTGGTGGAGGTTGCTGTGAGCAACTTGCCTCAGCCTCCTGAGTAGCTGGGATTATAGGCGCCTGCCACTGCACCTGGCTAATTTTTTAATTTTTAGTAGAGACAAGGTTTCATCATGTTGGCCAGGCTGGTCTCAAACTCATGACCTCATGATCCGCCCACCTCAGCCTCCCAAAGTGCTGGGATTACAAGCATGAACCACTGCGCCCAGCCAACGAAAAAAAAAGTTAATAATATCTGGGATTATCTGGATAAGAACCTTAAAACCAAATACTATAACACAGCTCAGGGCCTGTGTTTGAACTTCCTATTATGCTGATGCCGAGTTACCATCTGAAGTAACTTTTACTGCAGTGTTTCAGACAGAGGTGCGTAGATGGTATCTCTGGGGTCCAGATTTTAAAAAGGGTCTGGACATTGCTCAGGTTTGCAGTTCAATGCCTCAGCCTGTCCTGCCAGAAAAATCACTGATTTCAGATGGGCTCATAGAGGAAGCTCCCGTCAATAGTAGCTAAGAATCCAGAATTTTTCAGGTCACCTAATGTATTTTTTTTCTTTTCAATAAGAGTAAGACATTTATTTTATTATTTTTATTTTTTATTTTATTATTATTATTTTTTTGAGAGTTTCACTCTTTCGCCCAGGCTGGAGTGCAGTGGTGCGATCATGGCTCACTGCAACCTTTGCCTCCTGGGTGCAAGCAATCCTCCTGCCTCAGCCTCCCAAGTAGCTGGGACCATAGGTGCATGCCACCATGCCTGGCTAATTTTTAAATTTTTTTGTAGAGACAGGGGTCTCACTTTGTTGCCCAGGTTGGTCTTGAATGCCTAGGCTCAAGCAGTCCTCCAGCCTTGGCCTCCTCCCTAAGTGCTGAGATTACAAACGTCAGCCATCATGCCTGGCCTAAAAAAGTTATTTTCATGGTGGCTCATGCCTGTAATCTTGAACTGTGCGTGTGTATGTGTGTGTGTTTCTATTTAGAGCTATAACTGAAGATCATGCCCTTAGAAATGACTGTGATCCAGGCCTGGAGCATTGGCTCACGCCTGTAATCCCAGCACTTTGGGAGGCCGAGGTGGGTGGATCACAAGGTCAGGAGATTGAGACCATCCTGGCTAACACGGTGAAACCCCGTCTGTACTAAAAATACAAAACATTAGCTGGGCATGGTGGCGGGCACCTGTAGTCCCAGCTACTCAGGAGGCTGAGGCAGGAGAATGGCTCGAACCCAGGAGGCAGAGCTTGCAGTGAGCCAAGATCGCACCACTGCACTCCAGCCTGGGCGACAGAGCAAGACTGTCTCAAAAAAAGAAAGAAAGAAAGAAATGACTGTGATCCAATAAGACATATGGATAACGTCTCTTTTACTGACTCTTTCTACTGAGGATATTGGCCATTTGTTATTTGGTATTTTATAGATATTCCTTACCTTATAAACTGTTATAAGTTTAAAATATTGTAAGTTGAAATGGGTATTTTGTAGACATAGGATGCAAATACACAAAACACTATATCCAAAAATTGCTCACAGCAGAACAGTGTAAAGTATCTGTTGTTTCCTCTGGTGATTGTGTGGCTGACTGGGAGCTGCGGCTCATTGTCACTGCCCAGCATCAGGAGTGGGTTTGGTACCACAAATTGCTAGCCTGGGAAAAGATCAAATTTCAAAGCATAGTTTCCACTGAATGCCTGTTGCTTTTGCACCATCATAAAGTTGAAAAATTTTAAGTTGAACCATCATAAGTCAGGGACCATCATCTGTACATAAAGATCCCTAAGACTGATTTTTCTTTTTTTTTTTTCTTTTCTTTTCTTTTTTTCTGAGATGGAGTCTCGCTCTGTCGCTCAGGCTGGAGTGCAGTGGCGCGATCTCGGCTCACTGCAAGCTCCGCCTCCCGGGTTCATGCCATTCTCCTGCCTCAGCCTCCTGAGTAGCTGGGACTATAGTCACCCGCCACCATGCCCAGCTAATTTTTTTTTGTATATTTAGTAGAGAGGGGGTTTCACCGTGTTAGCCAGGAAGGTCTCGATCTCCTGACCTGGTGATCCACCCACCTCGGCCTCCCAAAGTGCTGAGATTACAGGTGTGAGCCACCGCGCCTGGCCCAAGACTGATTTTTCTTAAAGATCAGTGTCTAGAACAAGTTTCTGATGAGCTGCCATTTCCTTTTGACAATGAGAGTAACCCAGCCACTGAGTATCCCTCTTTGCCTTGCCTGCTAGGGGGCTCAAAACAAAACTTTGTGTTCAGTCTGAGTTATCTTGTATTATGTTTTAATGGTTTAGTTTTATTTTTCAGTGTTTTTCATATAAACTGCCTCCAATCTTTTCTCTAAAGGAGTAGAGGTATAAACATACACATAGAGGACTGAGTGATGGTAGGACCTTGGGTGAGGAGAGGGAGGATTAGAAGAAAACAATTCTGAAAGAAAGAAGGAGCACAAGAGGGTCAGAGGTGAGAAGGATAGAAAGGTAAGTGTTGAAGAAAAGAAAGTGGAAAAGTCTTAGAATATTTCTAGCTGGCAGGAGAAGGGAGAGGGAGCTGGCCTCAGGGAAAGGTGATCTTCCTAAACAGGTCCTCCATTTCCCTTTGGGTCTGGGTCTAGGCCGGGGCCTTGTCTGAATAGGCTTAAACATGAAAGCGAGCGTTCTTGAGTTCTGGTTTCTCTCTCTGATGCTGGCCCCCACAGGTTTGGCCCTTACTACACTGAGCCAGTCATTGCCGGGTTGGACCCGAAGACCTTTAAGCCCTTCATTTGCTCTCTAGACCTCATCGGCTGCCCCATGGTGACTGATGACTTTGTGGTCAGTGGCACCTGCGCCGAACAAATGTACGGAATGTGTGAGTCCCTCTGGGAGCCCAACATGGTACGTTGGTGGCATGGAGAGGGGCTGGGCTCTGAGTTACCCACCCTTGGTCATTAGGAAAAAAGTGTGTTTATGTGGCAGGTAATGGGGAGAATGGTGCAGGTGGGAGAGAAAGCCACAGCTGCTGCTCCTTGGAAGGGTATCCAGAAATTCCATCTGCCAGGCTGGCTGGCTGGCTCCAGAGGAGAGCATCTTCTGTTAGGAGACCACAGTTAGATATTTGCCACAGCAGTAAGAATTCCTTACATTGGGTTTACAGGGTTCTCGCATCCATTCACTGAGCAAACATTTAACTCAGTGTAGGGTTAGAGGCAGCTCAACAGGTTGTCTGGGTTGGCAACCTGGATCCACCCACCACCTTAGTTATTGTTCTTGGAGAAGCCAGTTTCCCTCTCTGCCTCCACTACCTTGACTGTAAAATGAGGATAAAAAAGTCTGCCTTAGAAGTGGTGCTGAGGAAGCCGGGCGCGGTGGCTCACGCCTGTAATCCCAGCACTTTGGGAGGCTGAGGCAAGCAGATCACCTGAGGTTTGGAGCTCAGGACCAGCCTGACCAACATGGAGAAACCCCGTCTCTACTAAAAAAAAAGTTAAATTAGCCGGGCATGGTGGTGCATGCCTGTAATCCCAGCTACTCGGGAGGCTGAGGAGAATCGCTTGAGCCTGGGAGGCGGAGGTTGCGGTGAACAAAGATCGTGCCATTGCACTCCAGCCTGGGCAACAAGAGCTAAACTCCGTCTCAAAAAAAAAAAAAAAAAAGTGGTGCTGAGGAAAACAAATGAGTATATGTGCTGCCGAAGCGAGCACAAAAACAAGTGAGAAGAGATGAGATAGTGCTTGACGGCGAGGGTCGGCTGTCGTTATTAAGTGCCAGCTCTTCCGGCCACTGGGGAAAGCAGGTACAGTCTGCTTTCAAGGGCCCACTGCAGTCCAGTGAAGCAAGACACATCCAAATACCTGTTGAACTGCAGTTTGTTGGGAAGAGGAGGAAAGAAAGGGTCTGGGGGCAAAGGTACAGGAAGGGGCAGGTATGCTCAGTGACTGGAGAGCTGAGCCTGGCTGGAGTGTGGGTTAAACATGGGGAGAAATGATGCTGGAGACTGAGATGAGACCTCAAAGGGCCTTGAATGCCATGCCAAGGAGTTTGAACTCTGTCCTCTGCCATAGGAACCTAGGGAATCAGGTGCCTTTAGGTGGACGTGACAGGCTGTTACCGCCTGCAGGAGGCGCTGAGGTCCTGAGCAAAGACAGTGGCAGTGGGGAGGCAGGAAGGCAGCTGTCAAGGGGACTTAGTCACTTAAAACAGAAGCGAAGGATGTAGAGACAGAGGATGGCTGGGTTCTCCAGCTAGGCTAGCCAAGACAGAATGTAGAAGGAACAGGTTTGGGGGAAGTGGGTTTGTGGTTGGACAGGTTGGGTTTTGAGGTACCTGTTAAGATATCCAGGATCAGAGCCCATCAGACAGCTGCTAAAGCACACTGGAGCTAAATAGGGATTCTTCTCCCTATTTTACAGAGAAACTGAGGCTCAGTGAAGAGAGACATACTATTTGCCCAATGTCACACTGCTGATTAGTAAAAGAAATTCAGGGCTTGAAGTCTCTTTCACTTTCCTTTACATAATTCTGCTTCCTTCCAAGGAAGGAGCTGAGAGGGGCTTCCCACATCCTGGGAATCATCCCTTACTTCAGGCATGTCTTGGGGCCAGAGCTGGGAATCTTGAGCCTAGAAAAAAGAGAGTTAAGGGACCAGACCAAATCAGAGCCAGAGGCTGTGGTTTGAAGGGGTTCCACTCTGTTGGCAGGATCCGGATCACCTGTTTGAAACCATCTCCCAAGCCATGCTGAATGCTGTGGACCGGGATGCAGTGTCAGGCATGGGAGTCATTGTCCACATCATGTGAGTATGGGCTGGGAGAAGTCTAGAAGCTCTGCAGACACCCTGCCTCTCTCCCTTCTCCACGAGCATACACCCCATTTTCCCAGCCCCCTGGTCAGGTGTGAGATAAGAAAGGTGCTTTTGGCAGTCCTGGGTGAGCAAAAGTCCATGCCTCCCTATGGCTGGTAACTGGCAGCCTACCCAGCTTCCTCTGGCCTCTTGTCAGGTGAGGTTCTGTGACCCCGTGCTCACAAGAGACATTTCTTCCTTAACAATGTCTCCGAAGTCTCAGGGATCCGTGTTGGGGTGAGCCACAACAAAGCTACTGCAGATGGATTGAAATTCTAGGTGGCTCGCATCCTCTCTCCAGCCCAGATCTGTGTGATGTTCTGAGCTCTAGAGACCAATTTCCAAGCCTCAGCCAACTCCCTAAGTGCCATCCTCCTTGTCCTTTTACTTGTTTGGGGCCATCACCAGGAACCTGATTGGATAGAGTAGGAGGTATCCTTCCAACCACTTTCCTACATTGCAGGATAAGCATTTGGACCCTTTTGGGGGATAGCCTGCTTAATTACCGTGAAATAGTATTTGGCCAGGCGCGTTGGCTCACGCCTGTAATCCCAGCACTTTGGGAGGCTGAGGTGGGCAGATCACTTGAGGTCAGGAGTCTGAGACCAGCCTAACATGGCGAAACCCCGTTTCTACTAAAGATACATAAAATTAGCCAGACGTGGTGTCACGTGCCTGTAATCCCAGCTACTAGGGAGGCTGAGGAAGGAGAATTGCTTGAACCTGGGAGGCAGAGGTTGCAGTTAGTCAAGATCACGCCATTGCACTCCAGCCTGGGCAACACAGTGAGACTCTGTCTCAAAAAAAACAAAAACAAAAACAAAAAACCCAAAAAACAGAATTTACCACCGACGGTTTTTTTTTATGTTCTTTGGGGTGAAACACACCACACCTTCTCCTTCCTAAGTGGCTTGTTCTCTAGGCTTGGAGGAGCTTCTTCCCCCTTTTTTTTTTTTTTTTTTTTTTGAGATGGAGTCTCATTCTGTCGCCCAGGCTGGAGTGCAATGGCACTATCTCAGCTCACTGCAAACCTCTGCCTCCTGGGTTCAAGTGATTCTCCTGCCTCAGCCTCCTGAGTAGCTGGGATTACAGGCACGTGCCACCATGCCCAGCTAATTTTTGTATTTTTAGTAGAGACGGGGTTTCACCATGTTGGTCAGGCTGGTCTTGAACTCCTGACCTCGTGATCCGCCTGCCTCAGGCCTCCCAAAGTGCTGGGATTGCAAGCATGAGCCACCGCGCCCGGCCAAGCTCCTTCCCTTCTTTTGAGAGCTGTGAAGTCTGGCCCTGAATCATTTTCTGGGAAAGCCTCCCTGAGGTGGTTCCACCTGTGGAAAGTCGGCCCAGGTCTCTGTTCCTATCCCTCCTTCCTCACCACAGGCGGAGGAGATGAGCTAGCAGGAATGAACTAGAGCAGGATAGTTACACCTAGAGGCAGCGGGCAGCTATTTGTTCTGCTCCCTTGCCGCAGGGCTTGAGGGCTTGGTGCTGAGGGCCAGGAGAGCTAGTCACAGTCACGGTCCAGATGGGTAGAGATGTTTTCTTGTGATTTTCTCCCTCTGCAGCGAGAAGGACAAAATCACCACCAGGACACTGAAGGCCCGAATGGACTAACCCTGTTCCCAGAGCCCACTTTTTTTTCTTTTTTTGAAATAAAATAGCCTGTCTTTCACTCCTGCTTTTGTCTTTGATGCTTTCCTGCAGATCTCTGCCCTAGCTGGGCAGCTACAGCCAGCCACTCAAGTGTGTGTGGCCTGGCCCTCGGCTTGCTTTCTGGCTCGTGCTCTACTCCATCAGTGCGTGCCAGTGGGGACAATCCACATGTCACTTGCTGCATGCTCCCTGTGTGCTAGGCCCCACACAAGTGCTTTACACGATCTAGAATTTATTCATCATAATGACTCAAGGTAGTTGAGATTATCCTTGTTTGGAGAAGAAGGACAGTTAAATAACTTACCCAAGTCTACTTTAATAAGTGATAAAGCCAGGACATAAACTCATGTTCCATTGATGCCAGAGCTTAGAATCCTTTTCACTCAAACTCTACGGGAAAACCCTTACATCTTTTATTGCTTCAGGTAGAAATTTGGTCAAGTACCCATAAGTAGTCTAGATTAGTGTTTCTTAACCTGGCCAGCTCATTAGTCACCTGTGGAATTCCTAAAACACATACCTTGATCCCACCCCTTGAGATTCCAATTGGCCTTTTAGGGGCCTGGGTACCTGTCTTTTCCAGAATTCCCCAAGTGATTCCAGCTTGCAATCTGCAGTACATAGATGGCCTAATAAGCAAGTAGAAAGTTTGCATAGCAGAGTGGTTCCCAAACGTTAGCCCCCATCACAATCACCTGGAGGGCTCATTAAAAGTTTGATTCAGTAGATCTGGGTTGGAACCTGAGAATTTACATTTCTGACTCCCAGGTGCTAATGACACTGCTGGTCCAAGACCACACTTTGAGAACTACTGGGTTTTAAGCTAAATGCCCAGATGCAGTAGATGAGGTGCACAGAGGTGACATGTTCAAAGTTATGTCAGGTGAGTGGCTCCTAGCCAGAGTTCGTTCTACACAGCTGGAGGCGGGGGGGCGGGGGGGGGGTTGTCCATTCTTCCATGTGCATGGTAGTAACAGCTAACAGGCAGATTGGCTCTGGTGCTGTGGTGTTTTGTTTGTTTTTTCCTTAAGAGTCTCATTGTTGCTAGGGCTGGAGTGCTGTGGTGCAATCATGGCTAACTGCAGCCTCAACCTCCCAAGCTCAAGTGATCCTCCTGCCTCAGCCTCCTGAGTAGCTGGGACTACAGACATGTGCCATCACATCCAGCTAATTCTTGTTTTGTAGAGACGGGGTCTCACTATGTTACCCAGACCGGTACTGAACTTCTGGGCTCAAGTGATCCTCCTGCCTTGGCCTCCCCAAGTACTGGGCGTGAGCCACCAAACCCAGCCAGTGGTGCTGTGCTTTTAACCACTGTTTATTAATTGCATCTGAAAGCGGGATGTCATTGACCATATTCTTTCTCCAAACTCAAGCCATACATTGATTTAGCCGAAGCTGCCTCTAAAGCTAGGACCAAAACTTTTTAATTCTGGGAAGAAAAAAAAAAGGTTCATTTCCCAAGGACTCACACATAACAGATGTACACAAAGCTTTTTGAGTTTTATTTTTTTCCTCAGGTTGGAGATTCATCGTAACATGCATGCATTTTCAAACAGTAACAGGGTCTCAAACTTTTTAAAGCAGACGTTAGACAAGCACAGGGGATTGAAAATTCCCATTTAAAAAATGGAAACTGCAGTGGGATATGGAGAAGTCACACACTTGGTGGGGTGGTGGTTTGTCCTGCTTCCCCAAAAGGTGGATATGAACTTAATTCACATTTTTTAATTTCAATGATCTGACCTGATGCTGGGATGTGCCGAGCAGTACTGCCCCCTCCCCCAAGGGTGTTGGCTCCCACCGCCTCTCACAGTGGCTCTGCGCAAGGGCAAGAGGCTCCTGTGGAAACTTCTGCCCTGGGATACTGGCACAAGCTGCCAAGGGACAGCTGAGTCTCCTTTTCCCCATGGGGCACTCTTCATAAGTGGCACATTCTAGAGGAGGGAGAGGGCCACGGTCACTGACCCCTGCAGATGGCTGGTAGATTGGGGAACAGTTGTCTGAATGGGTTTTCCCTTTCAGGACCTCCTGCCCGCATGACTGCCAGGAAGAGATGAGGCTCCTAGACTTGGGGGGCCACAGGTTTAAGGCCAGAGCTCTGAGTGTTGTTTAAACGCACTGTCCCTTCTAGCCCCCAACACCTGAGTAACTCACATGCTGGGGTGCTGCAGTTTTCTCTCCCACCCTGAATTGGTAAAAAGACAACTGGGGGGTAGGACTGGCTACTGCAAAAAGTCCTGGGTCTTTGGTCCACCTCCCCAAGGTATGCCCTGGCAGACCATGAAGACAGGAAAGGCAGGGCAGGAGTGTAGCCTCACGCCCTGAGCGCTACCAGCAGGCCTGTTTGAGGCCAAAAGCACAGGCAAGAGAAAGAGTCAAGTAGGGAGAGGGGATAAAGAGCTGCCTGTGGTGGGAACTTAAGAGACTGCCACTGAGAACAGCCACAGGGGCCACTCGTGGCGCCTGCCACAGACCAGCAACCCCTGAGCTAAAGAAGGAGAGGTGGAGCACTGCTTCAGTCTGCGCCCCTCAGCTGTGGCTTCCCGGCATGCCCTGTGACCCCAAGCCGCAGGGTACAGGAAAGAAGTTTGTGCTGGGGGACTCAAAGACCCAGAGGTTAATTAACAGGAACCAGGGCCAGGGGCCTTCATCTAGAGGTCAGTGGAGTCTCCAGGGCACTCATCACTGTGGCTGGGAGACTACAGTGTCTCGGCTGCGGACTTGTGGAAGAAGAGGGGGAAGGATGGGAGAAGGGGTGACTGGATGCCAGCCAGGAATCCTGGCCTTAGCCCTATCCTGGCCTCGCCTAATCAGCCATGTCGTTATTCTTACACCTTTCTTCTTGGGAGACCCAACATTATTCTGAGATGCCATGAGACTGTTTAGCTTTTCTTCATGGCCCCAGGGAGTGAGGCTGAGGGCAGTCACTTCCCCTCCAATGCCCTCGACTGCCCAGTAAAAGAATGGCGGGACCCAAGGAGGAAAGAGTGGGGGCAGACAACGCTTGGGGGATCAGTCCACTTTCTCTACATTCAAACTGCAGACCAAATAGAATACCATGACAAAAAGAAGAGAAAGGAAACTTGTATAAACCAAGATAAATAGCTTTTAAACATTTGAATGCCAAAAATTGGGGGCCAAACTCAAGGTTTTGAAGATAGCACAGCGAATGACCTTTAAAAAAAAAAATTGAAAATCCACCAAACCACAGCTCAAAATGTTATGACCCAGTCAACAATACTGTCAGAAAAACAAAAAGCATTTGAAACAGAATGCTACCTCTCAAAATGTAAACAATATACAAAACACACAAACATACACACACACACACAAACTCAATGTTAAACAAGTTAGATACCTGGTAGTCGTCTTTAACCAGTAAGAATGTGTTACACTTTCCATACACATTATGGCAACATGATCAGCAGACCAAATGCAGAGAAGCCGGTAGGAACCCGAGGCCACGGAGGCTGCTGGAAGACAGCTTTCCAAGCTTCAGAGATGCTGCGCCTGACGAGGAGCAGATCCAAACTTCCATTCTTCATTATGACGTGGGGAAATCAAGTCCAAACATTATTCCTACATAATCCCTTTCCCAAGTCAAATTTGTTTTCTCCATGAGCCAGTTGGTTTCAAGTTCCCTAAGTCATGTAGTGGTCTTGCGGCAGTTGTTCAGACCTACCTATGGCCCCTTCCTGGGGCCAAGGCAGTGGTTTGACCCCCATCTGCCTCTTCCAGAAGGTTTCCCATCCAATCCAGCAGCCCCAGTGAAGTCCAAGAATGCCGTCTCCATTCTTTCCTGACCTATATGCTGTGAGTCAGGCACAGAGACAGTGCTGGTTCCTGCTTCGGAAGCTGGGCTTGGCCAGGTTTGGAGGGAGCCACAGGAAACCAATCTATTCATTCAAAATGGTTTCACAAGCGATCTTCACATCTTTGGGGTTATCTACAAGTCTGACCATATCTCATCCCAAATCCCCAGTTCCTGGTTGAGGGGGTGAGAAGATGCAGGAATGTACCTCCCCCAATGCAGAACAACAGAGCTGTTTCTCTCCTGGCCAGAGCAGCCTGTGGCTCAGTTCTGAGGGCCTGGGTGGCAGGCTCCGAAGGCAGGTGGAACACCTGCAGGAAGCCACTCCTTCCAAAAAAGCCTGTGGGCTGCAGATCTGCTAAAAGTCTAGAGCGGGGCAACAAGGAAAAACAGCCCCAAGGCTGAGGCCAGGTCAAAACCCACATCAAGCCTCCAAACTGGATTTCCTGGATCACATCCTCATGTAACTAGGAAGCCACCTCACGTTTGGACACCACACTCTAAGATGGGGGCACCTTGCTGGCTGTAACTCTCCAGGCACAGGGAGACAGATCTCCTACAAGGTCATCCCGGAGCTTAACGAGGTGTCTCTGCTAAAAAGCACTCCAGGCGCTTGGAGATCTGCCCAGAGCTAAGAGTTCGGCTAGAAGTAAGAGTGCCTGGGAGGAGGTCAGAAGGAAGAAGGAAATAGATCGAGGGCACAGGGCCTCATTTGATACATCAGTTTCTGAAGTTTTCCCAAAGGGAAATAACCATTTAAACATGAGGGTCCTGATAAATCCAAAGGTACTCTAGTTCCTCTTGACCTAGTGGGAGGCAGGCTTTACAGAGAGGACTTCTGAACTCCAGGGGCTAAGACAGCCTGGGGCTTGGGTGATCATCACAGGGTTCTCTGAGAACCAGGTGTCCAAGAGCCCAGCCGCTTTCCTGCCCCTCACCATCCCATGAGGATGAACTTATTCCCCTCTGAGATCTCTGATTCTGATCTGAGATCTCTGGTGTTGACCTGGTGTATTCCAGACAGGATGGAGGAATAATGCAACAGTTTTCACTTGAATCCAAGGGAAAGGTGGAGGAAGTTGTGCACAATACTCCATAAATTACAAAGTTAATCCAGACAAGAGCAAATGCAGCAGGGCGAGGTGTCTGACCTCTCCAATCTGGCATCCATAGCACTTGGTTCTGGAAGGACCCTTGTGCTGGGTCTACCGGGTATCTCTTTAATTGAAGGGAACTGAGAGCTCAGCAAAGATGGGGAGGGTGGGTAGGCTGATGAAATATGATTATAAATAGCAAACCTGGAGCAATGAAATTTCAGAAACAAAACCCAAATAAACCCACGAAGTCATCTCTAGCCCCAAGGTATCTTAAAAGGTTACAAGGTACCAAAAAGGGAACCCCTTTTTAACCTGGGTGTCAAATGGGGAGAAAAAATCAAGGGTAAGCAGAAGGTGGGGTTACATCCTGTGAGCAGGTGCACACACAGCACATCCCCCTCCTCTTCAGCTAAAGTCTCTTTCGGTGTCACAGGCTGCAGTCTCATTGCTAAAGCCCTCCCAAACCCGACTCTGCTCCCACCCTCCCATCTAGCCCAAATACACCCTTCTCCCTAACTCCCGATCCCCGACCCCATATCCAGCTCTCTGGCTCTGGCTGAAGGTAGAAGAGAACTACGTCAGGATGTTGGACATAAACTCGTTGAAGCGTTTGGAGTACTGCTCAGGGTTCACAGTCGAGATCTCGGCCCCTGCCTGTAATACACAAGAGGCTGATTCAGGTTGAGTTCCTGTGCCCCAATCAGGAGGCTGCACATGGGGGGAGCCAGGGTATTCAGAAGCCTCTTACTCAGTATCAGAGCTGAATACCACCCCCAACCCCACCAAGACTGAGCAGACCACCTCAGGAAGTGGCATACAAGTCCTGAACTGTCCTGGCCCCACTCCTGTGATTTATAACCCCAGGCCTGCACCGAAGTAGAAGAAAGGCAGTGGGGAGGTGGCAACGCGGCTCTGGATCTCTGTGGGGGCCACTACATGGAGAACAGGGCTTCAGGCCCACAGGGAAACAGGCCTGTGGGGAGCAGTATGGGCATGGAAACAAAGCTATTACTCGCCCTTCAACAAGATGCACAACAGGCCCAGCAGGCCCTGGGGAAAGACACTGGCAGGCTTGGCCCCGAGGGCTGGAGAACTGGGGGATAAACAAATTGGGCCCAGCCTGGCAGGGAGCAGGTGGGTGAAGGCAGGGAACATGGCAAGGCAGGCAGGCTGCTCTTCCAGTCTGCTCTCCTGGGAAGAAGGAGACAGGAGTGTGTTCCTTGGAGCAGGAGGCCTGAGACTGCCCTCCCTGGGGTCTGAGGGTAAGCACAGATGCACCGACCCAGCTGGGCCCTGGATGAAGATGGAGAGGACTCACCCCGTGTTTCACCGTTTTGGCAGCATGTGCAGCTTTCTTCTTTGTATCGTATGGCGTGAGGATATCAATGATGGCCATGAAATACACCTCCTTCTTGGGGGAACCTGGAGGGACAAGGAGAGCAGGGAAGAAGGAAGAGGGGGCAGGAGAAGGGCAGACAGCAGCTGGGCACTGCTACAACCCCCAGACACAAGGCTCAGCTCCATCCTTATCATGTTGGGGCTGAGAAAAGGACCAGTGGAGTCCTTTCCAGCTGTCATAGCTCTTATCTTATTGGATCTTCACAGTCACTCTGTGGGGCTGACAGGACAGTATGAATAAAGTTTGGTTCATCTCATGAACCAGAGCAGAACCACTCTTCAGTCAGCCAGGACAAGCAGGGAAGTATAGGAAAGCCTGGCAGAGGAGGAGCCCCAGGTTCAGGTGGTGACCCTGGATGGGAATCTGGAGGCAGAAAGAGGTCAAAGGCAGCAATGAATGAGGTGGAGGTCCAGATGCCCCTAGAAGGATCTAAACAATGAGCTGAGGGGGTAGGATGAGGGCAGGGCTGTGCAGAGCAGGCGCAGGCTCTGACTTACTTTCATGGCTTTTCATGGCATAGACGTCAACAGAGGGGTCGAATTCCCCAGGACCAAAGAACCGAGGAAAGCTGAGGAGGTTGCCAGGGCTGTCCGGAGGTGTGCCATAGGAGCAGAGTAGGTTGCCACCCACCCCATCATTCTCACACTCCTCGTCCTCTGCCCGCTCCTCCACCTCCATCTCCTCCTGCTCTGCCCGGTCCACGTCGTGGATGCCCACCAGCAGGCTGTAGTCCATGATCTTCAGCTGTGCCAAGAACTAGGAAGGGCAAGGATGGAAAGATGGAAGGAAGAAGAGGTTACACAGGACATCCCAGTGACATCCAGAAAGGGGGGAAAGGCATTCCTTTCAACTCAATTCTACAAACAGTTTTGAAATTCAACAGAGAGTAAGGCATCAGAGCACCCGCCCTCGCGAGCTCTCTCTAATGGGGAAGACAGTCATTCAGCAGGGGAAAGGCAGGAGGTCGAGGCTGCAGTGAGCTGTGATCACACCACTGCACTCTAGCTGGGTAACAGAGGGAGATGGTCTCAAAAAAAAAAAAAAAAAAAAAAAAAGCAAGGAGCTGTGGGAGTTTACAGTGAGGGGTGAGCAAGACCCTCCCTGAAGAAAGGAGTTGAGGCCAAGGATGAAGAGGAGTCAGTGAGGCAAGTACTGCAGGTTAAAGATAGAACGAGCACTGCAGGAAGAGGGAACAGCCCATGACGGTTTGGGATCAAGAGAGGCCATGGTGGCTGGGCACGGTGGCTCATGCCTGTAATCCCAGAACTTTGGGAGGCCAATTAAGGAGGATCACTTGAGGCCAGGAGTTTGAGACCAGCCTCAGCAACGTGATGAGACCCCATCTCTACAAAAAAATTTAAAAATTGGCTGGGCGTGGCAGTGCACACCTGTAGTCCTACCTACTTGGGAGGCTCAAGTGGGAGGATCGCGTGAGCCCAGGAATTTGAGGCTGCAGTAAGCTATGACGGCACTATTGCACTCAAGCCTGGGGAACAGAGTGAGACCCTGTCTCTTGTTTTAAAAAAAGAGGCCATGGCCAAGTTTGAGGAAAGAAATAATGAAATGATATACTATGGAAGAGGATGGAGCGATGGATATGACACAACAATATATTTCAGATCAAAATTTCAACCCATTATGAGTCCTAAACCCAATGTAGTGGGCTGGAACTAGGATTTCTTTAAATTAAATGCAGTAGTCCACCCTTATCCACAATGGTTTCAGTTACCTGTGGTCAACTACAGTCCAAAAATATTAAATGGAAAATTCCAGAAATAATTCATAAGTTTTTAAATAGTGTACCATTCCGAGTAGCATGATAAAATCTTGCTATGTCCCATTCAGTGCTGCCCAGGATGCAGATTATCCCTTTGTGCAGTATATCCACACTGTATGCACTAACGTCCCATTAGTCTTTCAGTAGCTGTCCGTAGCTGTCTTGGTTATCAGTTCACTATAGTTGTATCACAGTGCTTGTATTCAAGTAACCCATATTTGACTTCATTATGACTCCACAGAGCAAGAGTAGTGATGTTGGCAATTCAGATATGCCAAAGAGAAGCCATAAAGTGCTTTCTTTTTTTGAGACAGAGTCTTGCTCTGTCACCAGGCTAGAGTGCACTGGTGCAATCTCGGCTCACTGCAACCTCCACCTCCCAGGTTCAAGTGATTCTCCTGTCTCAGCCTCCCAAGTAGCTGGGACTTCAGGCATGCACCACCACACTCAGCTAATTTTTGTATTTTTAGTAGAGACAGTTTCATCATGTTGGCCAGGCTGGTCTCGAGCTCCTGACCTCAAGTGATCCACCTGCCTCAGCCTCCCAAAAGTGCTGGGATTACAGGTGTGAGCCACTGCACCTGGCCAGCTTTAAGTGAAAAGGTGAAAGCTCTTGACTTACAAAGAAAATAAATTGCATGCTGAGGTTGCTAAGATCTCCTGTAAGAACAAATCTTCTATCCGTGAAATTGTGAAGAAGGAAAAAAAATTCACGCATAGTATATACAGGGTTCAGTACTATCTGTGGCTTCAGGCGTCCACTGGGGATCTTGGAACATGTCCCCTGCTGATAAGGGGGGACTACTGTATAATAAAATAGAATAGAAAATATCAGAATACATGACAGAAAATAAGGGTAGACAGTGTTTCAGTTGTGTGTATCCATTGGGTTGCAAGGTAAAATATACTTCTAACTGGCCTCAGAGACAAAGTCTGAAAAAACTATGTCATCGACTTTTCAGCCCAGGTAAAAATAGAAAAAAAAGGAAAAGGGAACACAAAACCATACAAGAATGGCAGCCAGAACCAACCAATATTCTCAACCCATTCCCTGAAGGTCAAAAGAGGCTGTGTGGTGCTGGGGGAAAGTCCTCCCCTAGCATCATGTGACTCCCCTTGCCAAGCCTTAGTTTTCTCATCTGTATAATGGGTGCTGTGAGCAGGGTGGTGGTTCAAGTCTTTTATCTAGGATTTCAAGACAAAGTATGGAATGATACAGGATGGAAATGGCCAGCTAGCATTCCAGTTTAGCTAATAATGAGGCAAGAGTGCAGTCACCATCATACAGTGGTCACTAGGAGACTGTTAGACTGACCACCATGTTAGGTCCTAACAGAGAACTAGGAGGAGAATCATCATGGAAGCAGAGCAGCTCTATGCACGAGCCCAGAACACAACTAAGGACAAGGAGCCCTAAAGATGGGAGCCCAGCAGGATCTCCTTGGAAGAGGAAGGGAGGGAGGGATGCCACTCTGAGCACTTCCAGACAAAGCCTTCTCAAGGCCCAGGGAGAAGGGGCTAGGGTCCCAGGAAAAAGAAGGTCCATGCACCATGCCCTCCACCCACCTGAGAACATTTATAAAGCAACATGCATTGAAAACAAATGCACTGAGTAAACTGCATTAAATTCTTCTCAGAACCACAGTAGGGGGAGAGGGTAGAAAAGGGAGAAGGACAAAGACTCAGGACAAATAATGTCAGATGATGAAAGGCAGAATAAGGAAAGAACATAGTTGGGGGTGACTAAGGAAACGCTTCCTAGCAAAACGAAGTTTATGACACCCATGTTCACAGTAGCATTATTCCCAACAGCTACAAGGTGGAAGCAACCTAAGTGTGATGGCTAATTGTATATGCCAGCTGGACTGGGCCTGAGTGCCCAGACACTTGGTCAAGCATTATTCTGGGTGTGTCTGTGAGGGTTTCTGGGTGAAATGAGCATTGAACTGGTGGACTGAGTAAAGCAGATGGCCCTCCCCAGTGTGGATGGGCATCATCCAATCAGCAGAAGGCCTGAAGAGAAGAAAAAGGGTGACCCTCCGGTGAGGAAGAGGGAACTCCTTCTGCCTGGTGGCCTGATGGCCTGTAGAATAAAACCACACCACCAGCTCTCCTGGGCCTCCGGCTTGCTGACTGCAGATCTCGTTGGTATCCATAATCCCATGAAACAATTCCTTAAAATAAATCTCTTAGGGCCGGGCGTGGTGGCTCACACCTGTAATCCCAGCACTTTGGGAGGCCGAGGCAGGCAGATCATGAGGTCAGGAGATCAAGACCATCCTGGCTAACATGGTGAAACCCCATCTCTACTAAAAATACAAAAAAAACTAGCTGGGCATGGTGGTGGGCGCCTGTAGTCCCAGCTACTCGGGAGGCTGAGGCAGGAGAATGGCGTGAACCCGGGAGGCGGAGCTTGCAGTGAGCCAAGATCGCGCCACTGTACTCCAGCCTGGGTGACAGAGCAAGACTCTGTCTCAAAAAAAATAAATAAATAAAATAAAAAATAAATATCTTGGTATAAAGAGATTTACAAAACATCCTATAGGTTTTGTTTCTCTGGAGAACCCCAACTGATATAACAAGTGTCCATTAACTGATGAATAAACAAAATGTAATACATCCATACAATGGAATATTAATCAGTTTTTGTGTGTGTGTGTGTGTGTGTGTTTTTGAGATGAGGTCTCGTTCTGTCGCCCAGGCTGGAGTGCAGTGGCACGATCTCGGCTCCCTGCAAGCTCCGTCTCCCGGGTTCATGCCATTCTCCTGCCTCAGCCTCCCGAGTAGCTGGGACTACAGGCGCCCACCACCACACCTGGCTAATTTTGTTTTTGCATTTTTAGTAGAGACGGGGTTTCACCGTGTTAGCCAGGATGGTCTCGATCTCCTGACCTCGTGATCCGCCTGCCTTGGCCTCCCAAAGTGCTGGGATTACAAGCGTGAGCCACCGCGCCTAGCTTTTGTTTTGTTTTTTAAAGAGATGGGGTCTTACCCTCTAGTTCAGGCTGATGCACAGTGGCATGATCATAGCTCACCACAACCGTGAACTCCTAGGCACAAGGGATCCTCCCACCCAGCCTCCTGAATAGCTAGGACTACAGGCACATGTCACCACACCCAGCTAGTTTTTAATTTTTTGTAGAGACAGGATCTCAGTAAATTGCCCAGGTCTCCAACTTCTGGCCTCAAGCAGTCCTTCTGCCTCAGCCTCCTGAGCTGCTGGGATTACAGGTGTTAGCCACCATGCTCAGCCTTATTCAGCTTTAAAAAGAAAGAAATTCTGGCCAGGTGTGGTGGCTCACGCCTGTAATCCCAGCACTCTGGGAGGCCGAGGCAGGCAGATCACGAGGTCAGGAGATCGAAACCATCCTGGTCAACATGGTGAAACCCCGTCTCCACTAAAAAAATACAAAAATTAGCTGGGCGTGGCAGCACGCGCCTGTAGTCCCAGCTACTTGGGAGGCTGAAGCAGGAGAATCGCTTGAACCCGGGAGGCGGAGGTTGCAGTGAGCCGAGATCGCACCACTGCACTCCAGCCTGGCAACAGAGCGAGACTCTGTCTCAAAACAAATAAATAAATAATAAAAAGAAAAAAATTCTGACACATGATACAGTATGGATGAACCCTGAAGACATTATGCTAAGCAAAATAACAGAGTCACAAAAGGACAACTGCTGTTTGCTTCCTTTTTTTTTTTTTATTTTTTGAGATGGAGTTTCATTCATAACATGTTGCCCAAGCTGGAGGGTCACCGCAACCTCCGCCTCCTGGGTTCAAGCGATTCTCTTGCCTCAGCCTCCCAAGTAGCTGGGATTACAGGCGTGCACCACCATGCCCGGCTAATTTTGTATTTTCAGTAGAGACTGGGTTTCTCCATGTTGGTCAGGCTGGTCTCAAACTCCTGACCTCAGAAGATCCGCCCACCTCAGCCTCCCAAAGTGCTGGGATTACAGGCATGAGCCACCTCGCTTGGCTGTTTGCTTCCTCTTATGTGAAGTTCCTAGAGTAGTCAACTTCATAGGGGCAGAAAATTGAACACTGATTGCCAGGGGTTAGGGAGGGGGAATTGGGAATTAGTATTTAATGGGTATAGAGTTTCAGCTGGGAAAGATAAAAGTTCAGAGATGAATGGTAGTGCTGGTTGCATAACAATGTGAATATACTTAATGCCACTCAACTATATATCAAAATGGTTAAGGTGCGTGCCTATAGTCCCAGCTACTTGGGAGGCTGAGGTAGGAGAATCACTTGAACCCAGGAGGCGGAGGTTGCAGTGAGCCGAGATCGTGCCACTGCACTGCACTCCAGCCTGGGGACAGAACGAGAATCTCCTAAAAAAAAACAAAACAAACAAACAAACAAAAAAAACACCTATTATTATATGTATTTTACCACAATTAAAAAAAATTTTTTTTCCCAAGTTTGTTTGTAGGATTTGGTTTTAACGAGCAGCCTCTCAATTTATTAAAAGAGAAGGAGACGCTGAGTTATCAAGTGGTCCAGATAACATTTTCACTATTTAGCACCTGTCCTCCCCAGATTACAAACAGAAGTTTGCTAGGTAAGTGGAGAATCAGAGCCAGAGCCAGAGAAGAACCTGATTAGTGGATTTTTGTTTTTTGAGACAGGGTCTTGCTCTGTCACCCAGGCTGGAGCACAGTGGCATGATCACAGCTCATGTTGCCTTGATCTGCCAGGCTCCAGTGATCCTCCTGCCTCACCCTTCCAAGGTGCTGGGATTACAAGAGTAAGCCACCATGCTTAGCCAACTTTTTCGGTTTTTGTTTTGAGACAATGTCTTGCTCTGTTGCCCAGGCTGGAGTGTAGTGGTGAGACCACAGCTCACTGCAGCCTCATCTCCCGGGCTCAAACAATCCTTTCGCCTCAGCCTCCCAAGTAGCTGGGACTACAGGTGTGTGCCCCTACGCCTGGCTAAATTTTTTAATTTTTAGTAGAGATGAGGTCTTGCTATGTTGCCTAGGCTGGTATTGAACTGCTGAGCTCAAGCGATCCTCCCACCTCAGCCTCCCAAAATGTTGGGGTTACAGGACCTTAATAGCTGGGTTCCTACAGCTCTGATGGCCAGATGCCCTCTCCATTGTAGGGACAACAGCAGAAGGGAGTTTGAAAAAGGTGTTGGAATGAATTAGTGAAAAGGGAAAAGCATTCTAAACTAAATTACAAAGGTCCTACTGGCGCCAACTATGCTCCGTCAGGTGGAATGATCATTTGCACTTGCTTTAGGTGCCCATAAGTGCCCACGCTGCTCAAATCACCACC
Organism: Homo sapiens; assembly: GCF_000001405.40. Lineage (NCBI taxonomy): Eukaryota > Metazoa > Chordata > Mammalia > Primates > Hominidae > Homo > Homo sapiens. Next base: position 38,777,575 of record NC_000017.11, read on the forward strand.
CTTTTGTCCATACTCCTGGAAAGTACTGAATTCCATTCTTCTTAAGGTTTAAGAGGCGCCTACTCTAGGTACAGAAGGAGCCTTGCAGGTGAAAATGAAGGTTAGTAAGTACCTCAACGTCCCGCTTCAGTTTCTCCAGGAAGTTCTTTTTACTCTCCTCTCCCACATGCAGCTTCTGCCCTTCATTGAGGAAGTCATTGTCTTTGAATGTTGGCAAGTCCTTGGCCTAGGAGAGCAACAGCAGTTAGGCTGGGTAAGCCTGATTAATTCACCCCAGGGACACCCAACTGTTCTGCCGGGAGCAACTATACAGAAAGGGGAAGGAGGGGTTGTCAGTGTACCGACCCTCAACCTGCTAAATCAGCAGTGCAGGAGCCTCTAGTCCCAGGCTTTGGGTGGGCAGGGAGGGCAAACACATGAAAGATGAGGAATGACTAAAGGATTCTTTCCTGTTGAGCCTGGACCAGCTCAGGGCTCAGGCAGCCACTGACTGACTCAGGCTGGACTATGAGATAGAAATGTCTGCCATCCCAGCAGGACTATGAAGAACGTAGTGAGGGCAGAGGTAAAAGACCAGAGACCAAGGTCTAGGCCTAGCACAAGGACAGACAGGTGATTCATGACACACGGCATTTCATGTTGACAGACGGCATGTCTGGGAGCTGGGCTAGGGGCTGGGGTGGGCGAGGGACAGGATGGCCGACAGGAGTTGTTTCTGACTCCAAGCGACCCTTCCATTCCTGCTCAGCACCAGCATACCTTCTCCTTGTCGCTCGCTTCTCTGGCAACCGTAGAACCCTGAAAGGATAAGAGCCATCAGGGGAAGTCAAGCTGAGGCAAAGTCGACTGCATGAGCAAACATGGGAGAGCCAGCAGGTGAACTCAAGTAGGCTTGTTAGAGTCCTAGAGGGGCCAGGAGGCAGCACCTTGTTCATTTACTGTGTCAAGCCCACTTATAGAGCTCTATGTGCAAGACACTTTTTAGGTGCTCAGCAAACAGGACTGCACTGGAGAAGCTCAGTCCCTGCCCTTGAGCTACTTTCCTTCTAACAGGGGAGACAGATATTCAGCAGTGGTTCCACAAGTCATTAGTTCATTCACTACCACGGTGCTCAGTGGTACAGGGAGGAGCAGGACACTCTGAAAGCACATACCACACGGGCCCGGCCTGGGGAGGGACAGTGGCCAGGGCCTACCTACTTCCTGGAAGTAGTATTTGGGCTGAGCTCAGAAGGGTAAGGAGGAAGCAATTAGGTGGGGGAAGGAGTGGGTGGAGAGAGAGAAGGAGACTATTCCAGACAGCAGATGTGAAATCCTGGGAAGAGGAGCACAGGCACTGCAGGAACACAGAGGAAACCAGCCCAGTTGCAGCACAGAGGGAAGGGATGGCGGCATAAGGTGACAGAAGTCAGAAGCCAGGTTCAAGAACACGGAGCACCCTAGTTCACAGCCACAAGTGTGTCCTTCTCAGAGTCTAGAGATGCACTTGTGCTGGCAGTCCATGGGGGCCTGATGGATGCTAAAGTGCATGCGTCAGCACGGCCTCCCTCACTGTGCACATTCCACAGACAGGAACATCAACTGCTGCATAAATATGGCACATTTAGGGCTTAAATAATCTCCTGTTACTGTCACCTGGACTTCAAACTGCCTTTGGTCCACAAGAATCAGGCATATCCACTCCAGAGTTCCCTGTCCATGCCAACACATAGGCTCCAGCTTCCCAATTACATGGAAGTTGGAGTAGTGGCCCCTTCGGGGCTCAGATAGAGGGGAGGCACAGCTCCGGCAAACACAGAGCCCTTTACCTTGAGGTCATACTTGCGATGCACAGTGAGCCGATGGCTGAACACGTTCCTGGTAACCACCATGTAGGTTTCCACACCATCCACGGTCAGGCGGTACATGCCCAGGAACTGTGGCAAAAGCGTGTTGCCATGACACTCCACTATAAACTAGAATGGAAAGGAAGAAGAGAGAGGACTAAGGAACAGGCAGTGCCAGGGATGGATGGGGCTCACCCCAGACTAAAATGCTCCCTGGCTCCCTGGGATTCTAACCTCTAGACCAGTAGTTCTCCAGCTGGGTTCTATGAAGTAATAGGGGTTTCTCAGGCTTAAAATGGGCAACAGCCACCTCCAGCCTCCTGTTGGCATGGCAGAGGGAGAGGCAAGCTGAGCAGGTGGCTCAGAGCCCCTGTGGGTTCATATTATTAGTATCTCACCTAAGATTTTGTTTAAAGTAGGATTCTACCACAGGAAAATCCCTGATCCACACCTTGCATCTCTTCTGCCAGCCTGATATGGGAATGCCGCAGGGAAGAGACAGGATGCAGAGGCAGGCCAGGGATCCAGCCATCTGGGAGAAGAGAACAGCTCCATATCCAAAGCTCTTATCCATGCCATGCCCCAGGGTTTCTGCCATAACTCCTGAAAGACCAGAAGCTCCCTTCGGCCCTTCTCAGGTGCCCCAGAAATGAAGACCCAAGTAGGCTGAGGACAGACACACAGATGGTGCCACGGGGCTCCCTGCCTTCCTCATGGACAGGTTCCAGATGAGTGGAGAGATGGGACGGGAAAAGAAACAAGCCTGCCGAGCTGAGGGGGCCTCTTTCAGAAGAAACGGGGCGGATGCCAGTGCGTGAACACTTTCCAACTGGGAGTCAGTCAGCGATGAGCCTTCATGGCTCCTTTTTTCTTTTTTAAAGTAGGCATTTCAGCTCACAGAAATACGGTTGCAGGAGAGTCCCACTGCTTGGTGATCAGAAGCAGCTGCCATTACCAGAGAGGACCAACCCCTCCCTAAGAAGCTCCCCCAGGGCTCTCTTCTCCCTCTTCCAACCCATCCTCTGCAGCCCAGGCTTGGGACTCACCATACCTGGTGGTATTTCTTTAAGATGTTGTGCATCTCCGCCACGTCCTCGCTGGACACAGTCTTGATGACAAAGCGCCGGTCGTAGGTGGTGAGGAAACGCGTGCCACACCGACCCTGGCTGTCACTGTTGATGGGGGCGCTGCGCGTCACTGAATTCTGATAATCGAGACAAAAGAAGGCTGGGCTTGGCAGGGGAACAGAATTCTGACTTTCGCTGAGTCTTCCCTCAGGGGCTGGACTGCTTGAAAGCCAACAACACTGAGATAGAGGGACTCCCAGATGGGAGTTTACCCTCCCCTTTTCTCACAGGGTGTTCACATCCCTCCCTAAGTCTTCCTCCAAAGTGACAAGAATTGTTCCTTACCACCTGCTCTTCATCCCAGTCTAGGATGGGAAGAGGACTGACTGTGAAAGTTTCCATCCTGATCCCAGATAGCTATCCTACCAACTAAAATTCTGCCTCTGATGGAGGGGGCTGAGTCTAATCTGGACTCTCACACGCACTATGACCTTGGGTGAGCCATTTAACTTCTCTACCCCTGCATTTCCTCATCAGGAACACAAAGATGCAGACTGAGCTGATTCTCCCAGTCTCTTGGGGGTAGCAAAGATGAAGCTTAGAAAATACTGTCTTCAAGGGGTCTAGCACAAAGAAGCAATGCCCATTCGTCTCTTGTCCCTGGATCTACCCTAATGCTGAAAAACCTTCCCCAAAGCAGGAAGCTGATCCTCATCTCTGAGCCTGACACCTTTCCCCTTGCCTCAACCTCCTGCTTGTCTATGCAAGGCTGGGAGGCAGTTTTGGGGAGCTTTCCTGGCTGTATCCCTGCTCCTCCTCAAGGTCCTACTCCCATTAGGATCAGAGAGCAGTAGAAGCCTTAAGAGGGAGGGTGTGGGAAGGCGTGAGTCAACCAAAGGGATATGTTCACCAAGCAGATGCCAAGGGACCTCTGGGAAGCAACGGTGAGGGGAGATCCCAAGTGTCCCTGTTCCCAAGAAAACATACATGGGGATCATGTCACAGAAATGTCTCCTCTCCAAGATGTTTCCCCATCTCTTAATGAGGATCCTGTTATTATTTTTGTAGAGACAGGGTCTCACTCTGTCACCCAAGCTGGAGTACAGTGGTGAGATCTCAGCTCACTGCAGCCTCTACCTCCTGGGCTCAAGTGATCCTCCCGCCTCAGCCTACCAAGTAGCTGGGACTACAGGTGTGCACCAACATGCCCGGCTTATTTTTGTAGCTTTTGTAGAGATGTAGTTTCGCCATGTTTCCCAGGCTGGTCTAGAACTCCTGAGATCAAGCAATCCTCCTGCCTCAGCCTCCCAAAGTGCTAGGATTACAGGTGTGAGCTACTGTGCCCAGCCTTTTTTTTTTTTTTTAAAGATGGTGTTTTGCTGTCACCCAAACTGGAGTATAGTGGTGCGATCATAGCTCACTGCAGCCTTGAACTCCTGGGCTCAAGGGATCCTCTCGCCTCGGCCTCCTGAGCAGCTGGGACTATAGGCATGCACCACCATGCCCGGCTGATCAGGATCCTACTCTTTACTTTCCCCTAATACCTCCTCAGAAAACCCTGGTGGAGAAGTGAGGACCACCTTCATGGGGAAAACTAAAGTCAGAGGTGGTAAGCAGCTCTGGGAGTTCCTCAGCAAAGGTGCTAAAGTAGCACCCCAAAAAACAGGCTGTTCCCGTTACAGAAAGGTTGAGTAGACTCTGTGACTGAGCGCCTCTTCCTCCCAGCCTGGCCTCTCTACCATAAGACTTACAGGCTGCAAGCCTAGTTGGGAGGTAGAGGCAGCATCCCCTGACTCTCTAAGTGGCTGGTAGTCCAAGAATATAGGGTCCCCTCCCTGAGCACCATCCTCCCTGCCCTCATTTCAGTCTTGAGCACGGGCATGCGCCCACAAGGCTACTAGGGGCAAAATGCAGACACTGAGAGGATGTGGTTAGACAGCCCAGGGGAGGGAAAGGAACCCCTCACTTGCAACCCCTCACCAAGGAACAATGGAGGGAATCTGTCTGAGCAACTTGGGGTTGCAATAGTGGCAAGAAGTTTCCAGAAAACCTCCAGCCCCAGTCAAGTCATGATTGAGTTCAGGGTTCAATCCTAACAGCAGGCTGGAGGAACCTCCCAGTACCTCTTAGGTGTAGGCACTCCTGGGCATTCAAGCCCAAGGCATCTCCTCCTCCTCTCACAAACCCTCACCCTCTTCTTCGAGATACTTTTCTTTGCATGCAAGCCCTCCAGAGAGGAGGAGAGAGGGGAGGAGACTCTAACCCAAGGCCCCTTCTGCTGCTGTGAACTACTCTATCAAAGGGGTGGGGTGGGAGGAACTACAGTGTTAGAAAAGATTTGGGCATCCATTCTAGGTTTCACTGTGCTATACACTAGGTTTCACTGTGCTATGGGGAAAAGTTTTCTCCACAGATGAATGAAAGTCAGCTATATTTCAGGCCAGGTGCGGTGGCTCACGCCTGTAATCCCAGCACTTTGGGAGGCCGAGGCAGGCAGATCACAAGGTCAGGAGATCGAAACCATCCTGGTCAACATGGTGAAACCCCGTCTCTACTAAAAAAAAAGAAATGCAAAAAATTAGCCGGGTGTGGTGGTGGGCGCCTGTAATCCCAGCTACTCGGGAGGCTGAGGCAGGAGAATCACTTGAACCTGGGAGGCAGAGGTTGCAGTGAGCCGAGATCGCGCCATTGCACTCCAGCCTGGATGACAGGAGTGAAACTCCATCTCAAAAAAAAAAAAAAAAAAAAAAAGTCAGCTATATTTCTTACAGCTGTAAAGGTGAAGTGGAAAATTCGCCCACCTTCACCACAAGGCTGTCTGCCAAGGAAGAAGATCCAAGGAGATGTGCTAAGAGGAGAAGTGACAGAAACCATGGACTGAGTCAGATTCTAATGTCCCTGACACTGGGATTGATTCCTCCCAACAGGCCAATGGCCTCTACAACACTGTCACGCCCTGAAGGGGGCAGTTGCCCTGGCAGACCAACTCCCCACTCCCACCACCAGGATAGGGCACAAGTTTAGGAGGTGACACTCATACCTGGCAAGAGGTTACACTACCCTTGAAGTCTTCCTTTTCTAATCTATTTCATCTGCTTTAAGAGGCCTCATCTCTCGCTAACAACAATTCTCTCTCTCTTTTTTTTTTTTGAGACTGAGTTTCACTCTTGTCGCCCAGGCTGGAGTGCAATGGCGTGATCTCAGCTCGCTGCAACCTCCGCCTCCCAGGTTCAAGCGATTCTCCTGCCTCAGCCTCCAGAGTAGGTGGGACTATAGGCGCACATCACCATGCCCATCTAATTTTGTATTTTTTAGTAGAGACAGGGTTTCACCATGTTGGCCAGGCTGGTCTCAAACTCCTGACCTCAGGTGACCTACCTGCCTTGGCCTCCCAAAGTGCTGGGATTACAGGCATAAGCCACCATGCCCCACCCAGTTCTCTTTGAAGTCAAACTACGAATGAGAAGGGTTCTTCAGCCTAGACTGGGAATGTCAGACTAAAATAAAGGTGCTTCCGCAGACCCCTCTCCCTCCTGCTGCCCTCCCTCTGAGGGAGAGGAACCTGAGTGTGTGCAGCATCCTCAGAAGCATTTCTAAGGCCCTCGCCCTGCAAGGGGCCCCCAGTGCTGGGGGAGAGACCGCCTGGGCTGGAGCAAGGCATGACAGGGAGACACAGCACAAAAACAGCCAACACGTTTTGATTCTCTACCTGTCCTGTGGCTTCCTGACCCCATTCCATTCCCTAATCCACTGATGTTGCCAGGAGCCTCCATACCTGGTAATCCTGATCATCAATTCCAAACCTCTCCCGAAGGTTTCGGAACACCATGGGGCAATACTCCTTAAACTTAAAGCGGCTGGGCAGGTTCTCCCTAGGGAAAAGCAGAGATATGTCTTTGTGAACTGCCCCTTGCTCATCTTAATTCTATTATTATTATTATTTTTTGTAATAGAGACAGAGTCTTGCTATGTTGCCCAGACTGGTCTTGAACTCCTGGCTTCAAGCGATCCTCCCACCTCAGCCTCCCAAAGTGCTGGGATTACGGGCATGAGCCACCACACCCAGCCTCATCTATATTCTGACTTCAGAACTCTTCAAAGTGTGGTCCACAGATTGCCTGGATCTGAACATCTGCCATACTTAACATGTAGGTTTCTAGGCTCTTAGGAATTCTGGAGTTGAGTCGAAAAACAAACACTCCAGGTGATTCTGAGCATGTAAAAGTTTAAAAACTTTACATCTTGTATTCACTTTGTAAAAGTAATCCAGCAGTATAACTGGTATTTGTGCGATTTTCTATGTGTGTGCTGCCCTTCAATAAAACATACATTAAAGAAAAAAACTCTCACCCGCTGGGCCATAAGCCTGAGTGCAGGCTCCACCTCACAAGCACTGTGCTTACTACAGTGGGAACCTGCATGTGAACATCTGCTGTGAGGTGAAATCAGCCTGAATGCTACAAGGAAAAACCTCTCTCATCAGAGGGCCCCTCTCCTCTGGCCATATTCCTGTGGAAGCATCCTGAAGATGGTCACTTACAGGAAGCCCTGCCCTGGGCTTCCACTGGGACGTAGGAAAAGAGTGCCTGAGTTAAAGAGGTCTTCAGTCAACTGAGTGGGACCACAGAGCCCTGTCTGCTGGCTGCTGGCACCAATCTCCACCCTCCCACTCCCTCATCAATACAGACTCCCAGGAGGAAAGAGAATCACCTTGAAATGATGACTCTTACCAATCCTCCATCTTTACAACAGCTATCCTGTTTAGGGACCCCCTTTCAGAAATATGTCCCAGTGACTACTCCAGGATGACAGGCTTTAAGGAAATCAAAAGGAATGTCTTCTTGGAAAGGAAGTGGCCTATCTGCCTTATCTACCCCGTCTTCTAGTAAACAGTGCTAGAATCTAATAAATAGCACATACAGGGCTGGGCAAGGTGGCTCCTGCCTGTAATCCCAGTACTTTGGGAGGCCGAGGCAGGTGGATCACCCTGACTGAGGTCAGGAGTTCGAGACCAGCCTGGCCAACATGGTGAAACCCCATCTCTACTAAAAATACAAAAAAATTAGCCGGGCGTGGTGGTGGGTGCCTGTAATCCCAGCTACTCAGGAGCCTGAGGCAGCAGAATCACTTGAACCCGGGAGGCAGAGGTTGCAGTGAGCCAAGATCGTGCCACTGCACTACAGCCTGGGCAACAAGAGTGAAACTGTCTCAAAACAACACCAATAACAACAACAAAAACACATACACAGTTGTTGGAAGGACAAAAGGAATAAAGATAGAAGAAAATAAGAGATTGGGTTCTCTGCTTTAGGCCAAGATATCAAGGAGGTAGCACCTCACCAGAGGCCATGGACCCTGAAGGGGGTAGTGGTGCAATGCCCACTTCGAGAACCCGGACCTCTGAGTCAGAACAACCTTCTTTCTTCTGGGTCAGAACAACCTTCTTTCTGGTCTCTGAGTTGAGGGCTGCCTCTCCCTCCTTAGGTGGCCACTTAACAGGTGGCAGCTATGGAGACAGACGGCTTCTAGAACAAGATGGTATTACTTACTATGGCAGAGGGAGGTCACTAAGGGATGTTCTCAAGTCAATCTTCTCCTCTGGACTAACAGTCTGGGAATGGTGGGGTGACAGAACCCAGCTAGTGAGGTGGTGGGGACTGTGAGACAATGAAGAATAGAACCAGGATTCACATGCAGAAAGGAGAAAGTGTAAGCAGCAAATAGTCCTGGGGTGGTCCACAGAGGGATGGAAAATCCAGGCCCCAAAGGGCTTAAAGCAGGCCCAAAATTGTGCCAGGTGTGGCGGCCGCTAGTGTTTCCAACAATATCTGAGACAACCTTCAGACACTGGTGCTAATCCAAGAAGCGACAGCAGACAAAAATGGGAAGTGCTACTCTGGATAGTGCCCTCGAGCCCCATGCTCTGCCTGTTGCTCATACACCAGCCAGACAGAAAAGAGCCTGGCGGCATCCCAGACCAAGAACATGCCTGGCAACCTCCTGCCTCAGACTAAGACCAAGATGGGGCCACTGCTACAGCCTCACACTGAATACCTCAGCTCCAGAGCAGCTCACTGCCACCTGAGCTGGCTCTAGATGAATCACCCTGGGCCCAGCCACATGCCCCAAGGGCCACCGGAGGTAGGCTGATAATAGAGTGAGACGACAATACTAGGATGAGAGGCACATAACGAATGCATTTTCCTAGCCAGTTTGTCCGCTCTGAGATCCAGGTGCTGCTGTCACACCCTGCCAGGTGCTGCCTTGGCTCCCACCATGCATGAGGCTTCAGAAGCCTCTGACTTGAGGGAAAGGACTGCCCACAAAACCTGAGTCCACTCAGTAGACAACTTACTTATTGAAGAGATGATTGTCCACCTTGATCTTGCTGTAGGCTTTGAAGTCATCTGGCATTAGCATGACAGGAACAGGAACATTGCTCAGCTCATTGATCTGAAAAGCAAGGAGAACGTAAGGCTCTCAGCCAGGAGGCCACCTGCCTCAGAGACACTAAGCTACAATGTGGATGCCACAATCTTGCTAAAAGCATGTCCAAGTTTCCCTCTCTGTCTTTTTTTGTTTTTTTGAGACAGGGTCTCATTCTGTCACCCAGGCTGAAGTGCAGTGGCATGACAATGGCTCATTGCAGCCTTCACCTCCTGGACTCAAGCAATCTGCCCACACCAGCCCCCCAAGTAGCTGGGACTACAGGTGCACATCACCACGCCCAGCTAATTTTTTTGTATTGTGTAGAGACAAGTTCTCACTGTCCTGAGCTCAAGCAATCCTCCAGACTTGGCCTCCCAAATTATTGGGATTACAGGTGTCAGCCACCACACCTGGCCCCTCCCTGCCTTTATTTCTGTTCTTCTCTTCAAGTAAGTTCCCAACCTTGTCCTATTTTACCTATTGAAACTCTCCACCTGATAAGGGCCAGCTCAAAAGGCACCTCCTCCATGAAGTTTTCCAAGATTCTCTAGACCATCAATACCCTTTCCCATCTTGGAATTCCTGAAGTTTTCTTTGTATCTGTCTTCTGGCCATCTCACAGTCTCTCATATTGTAGTTAATGCCTATAAACCTCACCTGCTAGAGTTAAGCTAGGCAATACTATATTATTTATCTTTCTTTTTCTTTTTCTTTGAGACGGAGTTTTGCTGTTGTTGCCCAGGCTGGAGTGCAATGGCACGATCTCAGCTCACTGCAATCTCCACCTCCTGGCCTCAAGTGATTCTCCTGCCTCAGCCTCCCAAGTAGCTGGGATTACAGGCATGCACCACCATGTCCAGCTAATTTTTTTTTGTATTTTTAGTAGAGACAGGGTTTCATCATGTTGGTCAGGCTGGTCTTGAACTCTTGACCTCAGGTGATCCACCTGCCCTGGCCTCCCAAAGTGTTGGGATTACAGGCGTGAGCCACCACGCTCGGCTTTAATTATATTTCTAAGCAAAGAGCATCCTACTAATCTTTGGGGCACCACAGTGCTTGGCACCATTACTAGCATATATGGCAGATACTCAATAAATATTTGTCATATGCAATAATAAATGATCAATAGATAAATGTCTCCCAACCTAAGTGGGTATTAATTAAGGCCTTTGAATATCTTCATACAAATTGTGGGTCACTCAAGAAATTAGCTCAAGGAAGAAAAAAAGCTGGATGGGTTTGTGTGGACTTGTAACTCATATCCCCAAGGTAATAGATTAAATTTATTTATTTATTTATTTATTTATTTATTTATTTATTTATAGACAGAGTCTCACTGTGTCGCCCAGACTGGAGTACAGTGGTGCGATCTCAGCTCACTGCAAGCTCCGCCTCCTGGGTTCACACCATTCTCCTGCCTCAGCCTCCAGAGTAGCTGGGACTACAGGTGCCCGACACCACACCTGGCTAATTTTTTGTATTTTTAGTAGAGACAGGGTTTCACCATGTTAGCCTGGATAGTCTCGATCTCCTGAGCTCGTGATCCACCCACCTCGGCCTCCCAAAGTGCTGGGATTACAGGCATGAGCCACTGCGCCCGGCTGTAATAGATTAAAGTGAGCAGTAGTAAATGTCTGGCCACTGCCCCACTTGGACCCTCCTGATAAAAGCAGGGCCAGGCCTGGCACAGTGGCTCATGCCTGTAATCCCAGTACTTTGGAAGGCCAAGGCAGGAGGATCACTTGAGGCCAGGAGTTCTATACCACCCTGGGCAACACAGCAAGACCCTATCTCTAAAAAAAATAATTAAATGTGAAGCTGAGGCAGGCAGATCACCTGAGGTAAGGAGTTCAAGACCAGCCTGGCCAATATGGTGAAACCCTATCTCTACTAAAAATACAAAAAAATTAGCTGGGTGTGGTGGAAGCCACCTGTAATTCCAGCTACTCGGGAGGCTGAGGCAGGAGAATCGTTTGAACCCAGGAGGCATAAGGTATAGTGGGCCGAGATCGCGCCACTGCCTGGGCAACAAGAGTGAGACTCTGTCTCAAAAAAAAAAAAAAATTAAACACATTAGCCAGGCATAGTCGTGTACACCTATCATCCTAGCTACTCAGGAGGCTGAGGTGGGAGGATTGCTTGAGGCCAGGAGTTTGAGGTTACAGTGAGCTGACTGCACCACTGCACTGCACTCTAGCCTGGGCAAGAGTGAGATCTTGTCTCAAAAAAGAAAATAAAATAAAGCAGGGCCAGTTCCTGATGTCAAGTCCTGCCATACACTAAACTAAGGGAGATGGGGCAGGATGCCTTGCCTCTACTGCAAACAAACCTTCTGACTTTCATCCCTTCAGGGAGCTGGATCCTAGACAGAGAGCTAGCTTTCCATTGGTGCAGAGATGAGGGCAGATCCTGCCCTTCCCCACCTCGAGTTTAGCCAGTTAGTGGTCTAATTAACCACAGATGTCCTCTCCCATCACAGCAGAGTATTTGACATTTGACCCTCAACCCAGTTGCCACTAATGCATTCAGGATTTACAGAGGAAACCTTAGTCCTGACTTAATGGACTGGGGGGAGGGGGCACAGCCTTGTGTCTCCCACTTTCCTTGCAAATCCTGTTATCTCAATGAGGCCCCAGGTGGCAGTGAGGGGATAACCTAGAGTCATTAGAACTCCTCCAGGAGCATAAATGGGGGAAATGGCATTTAATTTGCTGCTCCTTTTATGTTACAAACCTTTTTTATTTAGAAATGTCAGAGAATGGAGGAAGTTCAAGTTAATGCAGTAACTGGGCTGGGGAACCATATCTTCCTAGAGTTGGGAAAAAACCCAATTTACTCATGGAGAAATGAAGGAAGCCATAGGAATGCACGTGCTTTGAGAGGGATGCTGGGGGCAGGGTAGTTTATAAGTTGGCAGTGGAGCAGACACTAGGTAAACTGCTGGCAAAAACTGGCATAGACACAAGAGTGTATCCTGTATAATTCCATTTATATGAAATTCTACAGCAGGCATCTATAATGAGAGAAATGAGATGAGTTGCCTGGCCAGGGGGCGGGGGGTGCTGAGTGTAAAGGGACATGAGAAGTGTGATTCTACGGTGACAGAAATGTTTTATATGTTGCTTGGGGTGATGGTTACATGAGCAAATACATTTGCTGAAATTCATCAAATTGTATACTTAAAATACGCACACTTAATATACATAAATTATTCCTCAATAAAGTTGATTTTTAAATTCCCAGCATCAAGCTCTGTGATACCCTTCATTGGCTAAACCCTCCCAATAGCCAAAAAAAACCCCAGAAGAGTCATGCCAGTTCCTATTCCAGGGGGTGCTCACAAGAGAATGTGACTGTCAAATCTGTGCCTACAGAGGAAACCATTCCACTTCTTTGTTTTTCTGCCAACAGAAACAATTCGTGGTGGCTGTCCCATTTCCTTTTTCCTGGCATATCAAGCCTGGCTCCGAGACTTAAAGGGAAAACAGAGACAAAGAGTTCAGGGCTCGGCTGGGCGCAGTGGCTCACGCCTATAATCCCAACACTTTGGGAGGCCTAAGGGGACGGATCACGAGGTCAGAAGATCGAGTCTTGCTCTGTTGCCCAGGCTGGAGTGCAGTGGCAGAATCTCCGCTCACTGCAACCTCTGCCTCCTGGGTTCAAGCGATTCTCCTGCCTCAGTCTCCTGAGTAGCTGGGATTACAGGCGCATGTCACCATGCCCTGCTAATTTTTGTATTTTTAGTAAAGATGGGGTTTCACCATGTTGGTCAGGCTGGTCTCGAATTCCTGACCTCGTGATCTGCCTGCCTCAGCCTCCCAAAATGCTGGGATTACAGATGTGAGCTACTGCACCTGGCCCAGCCTAGGAAATTTTTAACTCAGCTAACATTGGTGAACAATCCATATCTCAACTAGGGGAGACTTACCCCTCATTTCTACTAGGCCACATGTAGATGATTCACTGTAGGGATTAGCCCTATTATTATTATTTTTTTAGTTGTGTGAAATTTTATATCCCAGAGAGTTCTATTCCATTTCAATTGAACTGTTCCTATTGAAATATCTGCTACGTGCTTCATTCTGTTAGGTAGGTGTGTGGGAGGAGGAGAACACAAGGGGAGAAAGTGTTGTACATGCAAAAGAAACAGGAGGCTTATAATCTCATCAGGGAGATGAAAAAAAACCCTGACACCCTCAAAGTCAAAGCAGTATGCAATTAAGTGAGAATCCAGGGATACAGACATCAAGAACAGCAGAGGCTCAGAGAAGGATGAGGCTAGCATGGCCAGAGGGTCAGGCTCCCAGTCCTCATACATCAGGCCAGAAACAAGGCACCTAATGCCTCTCCTGGTATTGCACCAAGAGCACTTGACATTAGGAGAATCTACAAGATCATGCTACACTCCTGCTTAGAAATCTTCCATGGCTGCTCCTCTCAACCTCAGGGTAAAGTTTTAACTGCTTAGCCTGGCATTCAAGGCCTTTCCTAATCTGGCTCAGACTGCCAATTTTTTTTTTTTTTTTTTTTTTTTTTTGAGATAGAGCTTTGCTCTGGTTTCCCAGGCTGGAGTGCAATGGCGTGCTCACCGCAACTTCCGCCTCCCGGGTTCAAGCAATTCTCCTGCCTCAGCCTCCTGAGTAGCTCGGATTATAGGCATGCACCACCATGCCCGGCTAATTTTGTATTTTTAGTAGAGATGGGGTTTCTCCATGTTGGCCAGGCTGGTCTCGAACTCCCGACCTTAGGAGATCCACCTGCCTCGGCCTCCCAAAGTGCTAGGATTACAGGCGTGAGCCACCGCGCCCAGCCAGACTGCCAAATTTCTATTCAATTTACTTCTACTCAGTGTATTAAGGGCCTTACTATATGCTAGGAGCTGGGGATACAAAACCAAAAAGACATCTGCAGAGCTGGGCGTAGTGGCTCACGCCTGTAATTCCAGCACTTTGGGAGGCCGAGGCGGGCGGATCATGAGGTCAGGAGATCAAGACCATCCTGGCTAACACAGTGAAACCCCGTCTCTACTAAAAAAAAATACAAAAAAAAATTAACGGAGCATGATGGCGGGCACCTGTAGTCCCAGCTACTCGGGAGGCTGAGGCAGGAGAATGGCGTGAACCCACAAGGCGGAGCTTGCAGTGAGCCGAGTTCATGCCACTGTGCTCCAGCCTGGGTGACAGAACCAGACTCCGTCTCAAAAAAAAAAAAGCAATGAGTTCACTCTATGCTGATCTACTGGAGATGAAAATTCCTTGATTGATTGATTGAGACAGGGTCTCACTTCCATAGGCCAGGCTAGAGTGCAGTGGTATGATCTCAGCTCACTGCAGCCTCAACTTCCTGAGCTCAGGTGATTCTCCCATCTCAGCCTCCCTAGTAGATGGGACTACAGGTGTGCCATCATGCCCAGCTAATTTTATTTCTAGTAGAGACAAGTTTTCGCCATGTTGCCCAGGCTGGTTTCAAAGCCCTGGGCTCAAGCAATCCATCCACCTCAGTCTCTCAAAGTGAGAGGTATGATTCTGTTGTACATATACAACAGAATACTATTCAGCCTTTAAAAAAAAGAAGAAAATTCTGCAATATGCAACATGGAGATGAAAATTCAGCAGCTAGTTCTAGTCTGGTGAACTTGTGTGTCCAGAAGCCTCCACTTCCCTGTGCGACCTTCATAGGAATTGTTACCTAGGATGCCTGGACTAGGCATGCAGGTTTCCTGACATGTTCCAGTCCTCTGCTGTCGGTTCAGCAGTGGGCTGGCCACCACCAGCAATCACTTGTTACCTGCCACCATCAGAAAACATGACATGCTAGAAATACACTCACAGGACCGAGGAGGTCCAAAGCAAGAACTGCAACTCCAGAGAGGAAGAGAGGGCCACAGGAGCCAATAAATCTACCGGTGTTTACTCCTCCTTTCCATATCTTGCTTTCTCCTTCTCCTGCTGTTTGAGTCCCACTGCTCCCTGTGAGGTGGGAAGGCCTGCTAAAAGAAACTTCATTCAAAGGCCTGAGTAGGAATGTTCTCTAAAGATTTTTTTTTTTTTGAAACGGAGTCTCACTCTGTCGCCCAGGCTGGAGTGCAATGGCGCGATCTCTGCTCACTGCAACCTCCGCCTCCCGGATTCAAGCCATTCTCCTGCCTCAGCCTCTTGGGTAGATGGGATTACAGGCGCATGCCACCACACCCGGCAAATTTTTGTATTTTTAGTAGAGACAGGGTTTCGCCATGTTGGCCAGGCTGGTGTCAAACTCCTGACCTCAAGTGATCCGCCTGCCTCGGCCTCCCAAAGTGCTGGGATCACAGGCGTAAGCCACTGCTCCCAGCCATCTCTGAAGATTTTTTCTTTTTTTTTTTTTTTTGAGACGGAGTTTTGCTCGTCACCCAGGCTGGAGTGCAATGCCGCCATCTTGGCTCAATGCAACCGCCGTCTCCCAGGTTCAAGTGATTCTCCTGCCTCAGCCTCCCGAGTAGCTGGGATTACAGGCATGCGCCACCATGCCCGACTAATTTTTGTATTTTTAGTAGAGACGGGGTTTCACCATGTTGGCCAGGCTGGTCTTGAACTCCTGACCTCAGGTGATCCGCCCACCTTGGCCTCCCTAACTGCTGGGATTACAGGCGTGAGCCACCATGCCAGGCCCCTCTGAAGATTTTTAAAGCAGTAGGGCAAGATAAAAAGACAGGTAAAGGAGGTCAGTGGCTCACGCCTGTAATCCTAGCACTTTGGAAGACCGAGGTGGGCAAATCGCTTGAGCCCAGGATTTCGAGACCAGCCTGGGCAACATGGCAAAACCCCGACTCTTCAAAAAATACAAGTGTTAGTCGGGTGTGGTGGCATGTGCCTGTAGTCCCAGCTACTCGGGTGGCTAAGGCAGGAGAATCACCTGAGCATGGGGAGGTAGGGGCTTCATTGAGCCGTGATTGTGCCACTGCACTTCAGCCTGTGCAAGAGCGCGAGACCCTGCCTCAAAAAAACAAACAAAAAAAAAAACAAGAAAGAAAGAAAATGTATGGACAGAACAGAACTGGGGTGGAATGTAGGAGAGAAATTGAGCAGACTAAAGAATAAATCTGTCCCTCACACCATACCCAAAAGTGAATTCAAAATGGATTACAGACTTAAATGTAAGAACTAAAACTATACATACTCCAGCACTATTCACAAGAGCTAAGGTGTGAAAACAAATCCATCAACAGATGATAAAGAAAATGTGGTATACATATACAACAGAATACTATTCAGCCTTAATAAAAGAAGGAAATTCTGCTATGTGCAACATGGATGAACCTTGAGCACCTTACGCTGAGATCAGCTAGTCGCAGAAAAACATATATTGCATGATTCTCCTTATATAAGGTTTCAAAACAGTCCAATTCATAGAAACAAAGAGTAGAATGGTGGTTGCCAGGGGCTGGGGGCGGGGGAAATGGGGAGTTAATTGGTAGGCATAAAGTTTCATTCAAGCGAGATGAATACGCTCTACAGAGCTGCACTATGACACTGTTCCCATGGTCATCAATAACATAATCGTACACTTAAAATTTTGTCATGAGAGTACATCTTATGTTAAATGTTCTGACCACAATACAATTAAAAAAAAAAAAAGAAGAAGAAGAAAGAAAGAGCTAAAACTCTAGTTGGGAGGATTGCTTCAGGCCAGAAGTTTGAGAACATCCTGGGCAATACAGAGAAACCCCAATTCATTAAAAAAAAAAAAAAAAAAAAAAAGAGCTAGAACTATAAAACTTTTAGAAGAAAACAAAGGAGTAAATCTTCATGACCTTGGGTTAGGCAATGTCTTCTTAGATATAACACCAAAAGCACACACAACAACAACAAAAAAGATAAACTGGACTTTATTAAAGTTAAAAACTTGAACTTCAAAAGATACCATAAGAAAAATGAAAAAGGCAGGCCAGGTGCAGTGGCTCACGCCTGTAATCCCACCACTTTGGGAGGCCGAGGCGGGGGGATTGCTTGAGGCCAGGAGTTCGAGACCAGTCTGGCCAACATGGCAAAACCCTGTCTCTACTAAAAATACAAAAATTAGCCTGGTGTGGTGGCGGGCACCTGTAATCCCAGTTACTCAGGAGGCTGAGGCAGGAGAATCGCTTGAACCCGGGAGGCAGAGGTTGCAGTGAGCCAAGATCACACCGTTGCACTCCAGCCAGGGCGACAGAGCAAAACTCCATCTCAAAAAAAAAAAAAAAAAAAAAAAAAGAAAAATGAAAAAGACAACTCAATGAATAGGATAAAATATTTGCAAATCATATATCTGATAAGGGACCTGTATCTAGAATATAAAAAGAATTCTTGTAACTCAATAATAAGAAGATAACCCAATTTAATAATGGGCAAAAAGATCTTTGTAAATGGGCAAAAAATTTAATAGACATTCTCCAAAGAAAAGATACCAATGAAGGCTGGGGATGTGGCTCATGCCTGCAATCCCAGTCCTTTGGGAGGCCAAGGCGGGAGGACCACTTGAGGCCAGGAGTTCAGGACCAGCCTCGGCAACAAAGCGAGACCCTGTCTCTACAACAACAACAAAAAGAAAATGTACAGGCCAGGCACAGTGGCTCACACCTGTAATCCCAGCACTCTGGGAAGCCAAGGCAGGTGGATCACCTGAGGTTAGGAGTTTGAGATCAGCCTGGACAACATGGTAAAACTCCATATCTACTAAGAATACAAAAGTTAGCTGGGTGTGGTGGCAGGCACCTGTAATCCGAGGTACTTGGGAGGCTGAGGCAGGAGAATCGCTTGAACCAAGGAGGCGGAGGTTACAGTGAACTGAGATTGTGGCACTAAACTCCAGCCTGGGCGACAGAGCAAGACTCTGTCTCAAGAAAAAAAAAAAAAGAAAAGAATATGTACAAATGGCCAGTAAGTACATGAAAAAATGCTCAACATCATTAGTTATCACAGAAATGCCAATCAAAGTCACAATGAGGCCGGGTGCGATGGCTCATGCCTGTAATCCCAGCACTTTGGGAGGCCGAGGCAGGTGGATCACCTGAGGTCAGGAGTTTGAGACAAGCCTGGCCGACATGGTGAAACCTTGTCTCTACTAAAATAAAAAAATTAGCCACGTGTGGTGGCAGGCATCTGTAATCCCAGCTACTGAGGAGGCTGAAGCAGGAGAATTGCTTGAACCCGGGAGGTGGAGGTTGCGGTGAGCCGAGATTGCACCACTGCACTCCAGCCTGGGTGACGGAGTGAGACTCCATCACAAAAACAAACAAACAAACAAAATCACAATGAGATACGAATTCACACCCAACAGAATGGCTTTAATAACTTTAAAAAGACAATAACAAGTGTTGACAAGGATGCAGATACTGGAACTCTTATACACTGCTGGTAGACATGTAAAATGGTACAGCCACTTTAGAGAACAGTTTGGCAGTTTCTCAAATGGTTAAATACAGAGTCACCATCAACTGCTCCTGCTCCTCTGATCCCTGTGGTAAGGCTTCACACATACCTGGTTCTTAAAATGGCCAACAAGTATCAAGTCAGGTCTACCTCCCATGGTCTCCATGCTCCTCTCTGAGGCCATCTCTTCCCTAATTCCAAACCCTCGGAACTGTATTTCATCCACTAAAACACTGGTTTTTGCTCTTCACTAGTTCTTCCCTGACAGGTGCAAAGTCTTCTGATTTTTCTCCTTGTTTCCTACACATTCTTCCTCCACAAAATCCATGGGCTCTTGTCCATGAGAGCAGCTCCTGTGACAACACCAAGTTCAAAGTCCTCTCTTTTTCCACCTAGAAGTAAACTAATCACCTCATGAAAGGGTAACTAACTTCTGCTGTAGATAAAGACATATCCATCCTTCCTATCTGAAACACCATTAGCCACAGACCAGCATGCCTAAATGCCTAAACAGGTGAGAAACTAAAGAAAAGGTGGTATCTGAAATCTCAGATGACAAAATGTTACAAAGTAGGCTTTTTTTGAAGGGAGGAAATCTCCAAAAAAGTGCAGCAGTCCACCGAGGGCAATGTGGTCCTGATCCCTTAGACGAGTGCAAGATTACACTCTTCTTCTAGGCAGATGTCTCAGTTCCCAAATGGGGACACTGAAGTATCAGACCTTACTGCAGACCAGGATGAAGCAATAAAACTTACGACTAACTGGCCTCTGAAGCTTAGCCTGTCCAGGGCAGTGGTGGGAAGTTCCCATGAGATGCCTGTTCATTATGTCCAGAGGCACGGATCTTGCTTAAAGTCAATGCCTTTCCAACTAGCCCCTCAAACAAACTTTCAACTTAAAGTTAGCAAAGAAAAAAGATGACCACTTTGTCCAACAGAGTAGGACTCACAGGACTCCTGACTCGTGATACCTAACCATCAGCTATTGAGAAACTTCATAACCACATATGGACAGACTCATGCCTGCCTATCGGAACACCATGCATCACACACACTCCCAGGACCTGACATGCATAGGCGTATAACCCAGAGCATATATTCACCTTCTCTAACCGGACTATACTTCGCATCTATCCTGAGACTTGGCTGAGGGAGAGGAAAAGAAACAGGAGGCAAAGAAAACAAGACCAGCCACTCAGGCACCACCCTTGGCCGATACAGTCCCATGGTGCTAGACAATAAGCGACATCTCTTGCTGTAACCACAGGCAAGCTAATCCTCCACCTGAGGCCTCCTTTTCTTCATGTGTAAAATAAGGGACCCAAGGTTCATTGCAGCTAGCTGTAATACTCCTGACTCTCAGGCCTCTACCAGTTCTCTACAGACAGGTTGCTTTCTGTGAGAAACAGAACCAGCAGAGAGAGGCCTGGTAGAGTGAGAAGCAGGATGCAGAACAAAATCAAGGATTGACTTCCAGAAAGGGACATGGGGTTCATATTCTGATCACCCAGTTTCCCTAGAAATGTTGTCAGATGACCCCTGGGACAGCAGGAAGACCGAGTAACAAACTGGGCTGGATTGTTGGCCCGAAGCAGCTCCTAGAGGTCTGGGCATTATACCACTGGTACTCGCTATCCTGGCAGGACCCTCACTAACACCAGTGATGACAGTGAAAACAGTAACCTGCCCAAGACCAAGAAACCACAGAGACCTCAATTTACACATGCACTTTCCTAAATGACAGGTCAAGATCTAAAACCCTAGCTCAGATTACGGTTCATCGATCTCCACCCAAAGGCACCTTCAGCTCCTCTGCCAAAGCAATGCAAAGTCTTGCTGGCCCTCTTTGTCATCGCTTGGTCTTGTGAGCAATTTCAAGCACTCACAAGTGAACCTAAAGAACTGAAATCCACAGGAAACCCAAGCTTGATCCTCCTTATTCCAAAATTCTAGTTAGTGAAGTTGGTGTTTCGGGTCCTTTTACTTCCTCTGCTCATTCCTAGTGTGGGGATTCATAAAGAAATGGTCAGAAGGCAAAGAGCAAGTGGTTGGAAGAGGGAGAATAAAGACCCTGAACAAACACCACATAAACAGTCTTCCAGCTTAAACTGTCAGGATCCAACTTCCTGGCAGGGGCTGTTGAACAATCTCAAAGCACCCTAAGGACCCAGGGGACCTATCTCTCCTATCTAGGACCATAATCACTATGCATCATCACAACATTGCAGCCACACAACAGATAAGTCAACATCTTTAAAATGATCACCTTCAAAAACTATGGGAAGACATATTATTTCTACTATGAATAGTCCCTCCTTATAACCAGGCATCCTCTTCTCTCAAATGGTTAATAGCCATTCTTTCTTCTCCCTAACCCAGAGAGACCCAGGTGAAGTGTCTGGTTCAAGGAAGCCTGTGCTTCTCCAGTTGATACATCTTGTTCAAGAGGGAAAAAAAAGGAAACCCAGGGTGGAGTTCTACATTCAAAGGTAAGGAGGCCTGGAGGATGGAAGAATTTGAGCAGCCACAACAACCAAACGATCAGAAAGAGAGGACTATTTGGGCAGACCACTGCTACTTGACAGAGCTGGCAGCCGGCTGTAAGGAACAAGGGGGAATATACACCCTCACAAACAGGATGAGGGGGGAGGAGGAGAAGCAGGGATGAAAGCGACTCCACTGCACTGAGGCCTTGCCTTTGCGCTCCATGGGCTGCCCCAAGCGAGCACGCCACACGCAGGAAGCCAGAAGGGCTGGAGGGAAGGGGAGGTGGCGACGGCAGACCACAGAGACACCAGGCCTCGCGTGGCGTGCGGGGAGTGCACACGGGGCCGAAAGGCGTGCAAGGGTGGGGTGGGCGTGCAAGTGGCTTGGCGAGGGGTGGCAGGCGTCACCGGCAGGGCCTGCGGGGCAAGGGCCCAGGGCTGCAGGGGGCGTGGGAGCGCGCGGGGCCGCGCTCAGAGGGGCGCGCAGGAGCTGGTTACCGTGTGGTTCACCCCCCACATCAGGACGCTGAGGATCGGCTCGCTGGCCCGGAATAGCTTCACTTTCTGGCACACGAAATGCTTCTTCTTGGTCTTGGTCTTGCTGGCGCTGAGCGGCGCCACCGCCACCGCCGTGGTGCTGGTGCAGTTGGACGACATGCCCGGGGCGGCGGCGGCGGCGGCGAAAGAGGGGGGCGGCGGAGACAGCGCACAAGCCAGCGGCCTCAGGCCTCCCCCGGACCGATCCCCACCCCCGCTCCCTCACCGCGCCATGGTCGCGCCCGTCCCGTTACCTCCCACCCCGCCCCGGTGGTTCCGTCCGCCCCACGCCCCGCCCTCCCGCCCCGCCCCGGGGAGCCCGCCGGCCCGCTCCGCACCCCGCCCCCGGGCGGTGCAGCCGCCCTGCAGTCCCCTGGCCCCGTCCTCCCCGTCCGCGTGGTACGGCCCGTCCCGGGGAGGCAGCGGCCGCCCCGCCCGCCCCTCCTCCCCGGGCCTGACAGAAACCCGCCTGGCCTCCGAACGCCTCGGGGCCCCGTGCCGGAGCCGGAAGGGGAGGAGGGCTGGGCAGGCGTCGCTGTGGACCGCGGGAGGGGCTCCCCGCCCGGGCCCCCCAACGCCAGGGTTTGGCTCTTTCCCGCAACCCGAATGCCAAGATGGCGGCGATGCCACCGCTCCGGAAGGGAAGGAGGGACGGGAATGCGAGGAGGGCGGGACGTACCATGCCCACCCCGGGGGAGAGGAGGGACGCAGCAAGGGGAAGAGAAAGTCCAGCCTAGAAAGCCAAGGAACGCCCCCTCGCTCCACCTAAGCGTGGATCTGCCCACTCTGCTGGGCCCCGGGCGCGCTCCACCCGCGGGGCACGCCCCTTGCCCCCAGGGCCAATGAGAGAAGCAGGCCAGGAACACTGGTTTTTATGAATGGGCCCCGCGCCCACCCACCTGCTGCCTGTTCTCCCCGCAAAGGGTCAGAGCTCAGAGGCCGCCAGCACCTTCAGACACCTATCCCACTAATCGTCTTACTCTGGCTCATTTCGTAAAATCTTTGAGTAAACTGCCCCACGCTTTGTTACATAATTCTCAGATGAGGGATCTCCATATATTCGACACAAATTACAGGTCAACGTTGTTCTTTCTGCATGGAAATTCGTAAACACGGTACTCCACAGGTGGTCGCTCTTTAAACAGTTACAAAAATAAATGTGGCCTTTATTACCAATTATAAAATAAACATAATTAACCCCGGCATAATGAAGTGATTAAATGAATAAAAACGTATGTTACATTCTCTAGGGAAAGATCGGGTTTCAAGCATTACAGTGCCTGGCATCATAAGTGTTCAAAAACAGAAATCCAAATACATTTTAAGCAGAATTAGGAATTAGCAGAACAAGGAAATCGCCCAGCTAATGTGCGGGTCAAGAGGGCCTAGGAGTTCACTGGTCAAATGAGGGCTTCTGGTGAAAGAATAGAGAAGGGAAAAGGAGTAAAGACAGGAGAGTGGCCCCTCGAGGGTTTTGTTTTGTTGCTGTTGTTTTTTGAGACGGAATCTCGCTCTGTCACCCAGGCTGGAGTGCGGTGGCACAATCTCGGCTCACTGCAAGCTCCGCCTCCTGGGTTCACGCCATTCTCCTGCCTCAGCCTCCCGAGTAGCTGGGACTACAGGCGCCCGCCACCACGCCCGGCTAATTTTTTGTATTTTTTTAGTAGAGACGGGGTTTCACCGTGTTCGCCAGGATGGTCTCGATCTCCTGACCTCGTGATCCGCCCACCTCAGCCTCCCAAAGTGCTGAGATTACAGGTGTGAGCCACCGCGCCCAGCCTGTTTTTTGTTTTTTTTTTAGTACCTGACTGAAAGAGACTAGCAAACAACTCCTGAAAATCTGTAATTGTAGTAAGGTTACTACACGGTAAGAAGTGAAGCCGCAAAATAAAAACTTCCATTTTATTTTCCTTTAGGAGCCATGGAGCATATTGGCAATTTGGTTCTGACTCCTAAAATCATTTTACTATACCTTTACACTGCCTACATTGGAGACTGCAAGCAGTGGAAAAGAATAGATACTCCAGATCTCGTCGATAAACCCAGGCTCCTCCTAAACCAGCCAGATTCAGAGAGAAAAACGAGCTGGCCTGCCTTATTGTATTACTTGCCATCAAGGTTCAATGTGGTTCTATTACCCAGTAAAGTCATTGACCAAACAAGGTATTTTCACAAAGCTAACCTTTTTTAAAAGCATGTAAAAATTGTACATTTGTACATATACGCATTACAATTTTACATCCAAAGATCAAATAGTTAACAGTTCATTTAGGGCTTTTTGTATTGTTTGATTTTCCAGATTCTGTCACTCCCTTGGCTTTGACCTAACCTGACATCATTCTGTCACATTATCTTCTAAATCAAGTAAACGTTCATTTGTCTCAGTAAGCACAATCTATCTGGGTGACACCAGAGAGGTTTCTGAAGGGTCTGGTGTACGCTGAGGCAGTGAAATAGGTCTGTTGGCACAGGTAAGAAGGAAGTGGCATGATAAACATCACAACCCCAGGGAACAGCCTTCCAGAGTGGCACAAGCACTCCCACCGAGATGGTCCAGTGCCCACCCGTTAAAGAGTCAAAACCCAAAGTTACTGAGTGTCCCACAAAGCAAGTCACACTAGCTCTCAAAGGAAGTGAGCTGTTTCAGGACTCAATGAAGCAGGGTCACTTTGAACACTGGTGGTTTGACATCTGTGAAAGAAGTCATTTGAACTCTTATAAAGAGAATTAAGGGGTCAGCAGCTTCCCTGGAAAATGCAGGAAAACCAATAAGAGAGGGGACAGTTTTCATCTTTTCATAAAGTTCTTCTCCAGAGCTACCGAAGTTCTCTGTAAAGAGTAGATATTCCGCTTCACCCGATCCTCCAGGGAGGAAGTAGATGCACTCTCCAGCTTCATGCGGCTAGGAAGAGAAGACAGGCAAATGCAAGTCAAAAACATTTTCAATCAGTCAACTATTCTGGCAGCTTCAGAAGAAATGGGTTGTTAGCCATAGAGCAGCTGTAAAAACACAACCTCTTTTAAGCTCCCATAGATAACTTTCGAGTGACTCCACCTGGAACCAAATGTTTTTAAACCAGTGTCCATAAGGGAAAATGTATCTGTTTTGGAAAATAAGTCAAAGCCTCATTGGAAAAAGGCTTCCTGGGCCATGAATTCTTATTAAAAAGGAAGGTCAAGGAATTTCAATGATTTAGAAAATACCAAATTCACTTCTCCTCCCCTCAAATGAAAAACATCCCACTGTGTGGTCAGAAAGGAAGAGTAGTAGCCAAGGTGGTCTGAAGGCTGGGCTCCATGTGCAAACACAGAAACACTGGAACGGGAACCAGCTGCCAGCCTGCCTCTTAAGACCTTCCCCATGAAAGACCCTGGCAGGAAGAAGATGCACTCACTGGATGAACTTCCCATCCCGGGAGTCCAGCTTCTCTAGCCTCTGCTCCCGTTCCTCATCCTTAGCATGCCTCTTGAGGATGTTCAGTCTCTCCTCCTCCCTCCATTTGGCGTTTTCCATCATCTCTTGCCGTTTTCGCTCTAATTCCTCTGCAGAGAGTTTTCTGTTGAGCACAGAAACCATACGATCAGGTCTCTTCCAGCAAAAAAACCAGAAGCAGCACAAGAAGCACAGAAGCCAGGTGGGACCCCAAGCTCTCCAGTTCACTGCTCTCTCCAAGTGCAAGGCCAGCCTGAGTTCCCTTCTAACGTCCTGGTCAGGAGGTTTCATCCAAATTTCAAAGGCTTTTAGTAAAGTATTCCATAATCTCACTCAGTAATCTCTAGAGTGATTATTCTGAAATATGAAATATGAAATAAATTGGGAACTCATCAGGAACCTAAACTTGTAGCAATTATATCCCAATGGTTTGCTCAACAATTGACAGAAGAACAGAAGACTAGGTTATCCATGTAACTGTTAACATCTACCATCTAACTACCCATTGGAGACTAGAAATTCATGACACAGCCCATGAGTACACTACTTTAGGACTAAGCTAGAAGCCAGAAGCTGAAGGAATAACTTAGCCTCAGAAAATAATAAATAGGGCCAGGCATGGTGGCTCACGCCTGTAATCCCAGCACTTTGGGAGGCCAAGGCGGGCAGATCACCTGACGTCAGGAGTTCGAGACCAGCCTGGCCAACATGGGGAAACCCTGTCTCTACTAAAATTACAAAAATAAGCTGGGTGTGGTGGTGTGTGCCTGTAATCCCAGCTACTTGGGAGGCTGAGGCAGGAGAATCGCTTGAACCGAGGAGGCGGAGGTTGCAGTGAGCCAAGATCGCACCACTGCACTCCAGCCTGGGTGACAGAGTGAGTCTCTGTCTCAAAAAAAAATAAAAACCTCCAAACGAAAAACAATTTACTATTAAAAATCTGCTTCAGATAATAAATGAAAGATATTAGAGCATTCAAATGAGAGTAGGAGGCTTAAAAAAAAAAAACAAAAACGATTGCCAGGCACAGTGGCTCTAGCCCGTAATCCCAGCACTTTGGGAGGCTTAGGCAGGAGGATTGCTTGAGTCCAAGAGTTCAAGACCAGCCTAGGCAACAAAGTGAGACCTCCCATCTCTGCAAAAAAAAAATTTTTTTTTAATTAGTTGGGCATGGTGGCACCCGTGTAGCCCCAACTATTTGGAAGGCTGAGGTAGGAGGATCAGTTGAACCTGGGAGTGTGAGGCTGCAGTAAGCCATGATCGCCCCACTGCACTCCAACCTAGGCAACAGAGTGAGACCTTGTAGGGAGAAGAAAGAAGTTATCAAAGAAATAATACAAGAAAATTTCCTAGAACTCAAAGACATGGTTTAGATTGCAGGAAGCAAATACTGACACTAGGAAAAAATATACAAATCATACAAGAAAGGAAATGTAACCTCCATATTCTGCTTGGCTTAGGAATGAAAAGTATCAGTAAACAATATTTATATATCATACAAGTATGAATCCACATACTCACTGAACCAAAAATTCTGATGTAACCATATTGGAAAGATAGGGATAGAAGAAACATGGGACTAGGAGTGTATGAGAGCTCATTTACACTAACAGATTATTTACTATAACAGTAAGAAAATATCTAAGATCTGGCCGGGCACGGTGGCTCACACCTGTAATCCTAACACTTTGGGAGGCCAAGGCAGGTGGATTGCCTGAGCTCAGGAGTTCCAGACCAGCCTGGACAACACATTGAAACCCCATCTATATTAAAAATACAAAAATTAGGGCCAGGTGCTGTGGCTCATGCCTGTAATCCGAACACTTTGGGAGGCTGAGGCGGGCAGATCACCTGACCTCAGGAGTTCAAGACCAGCCTGACCAATATGGTGAAACCCCATCTCTACTAAAATATACAAAAATTAGCTGGGCATGGTGGCATGCGCCTGTAGTCCCAGCTACTCGGGAGGCTGAGGCAGGAGAATCGCTGGAACCCGGGAGGCAGAGGTTGCAGTGAGCCGAGATCGTGCCACTGCGCTGCAGCCTGGGCGACAGAGCGAGACAAAAAAAAAAAAAAAAAAAAAGGAAGCCCGGGCGTGGTGGCTCACGCCTGTAATCCCAGCACTCTGGGAGGCCGAGGCAGGCAGATCACCTGAGGTTGGGAGTTCGAGACCAGCCTGACCAACATGGAGAAAGCCTGTCTCTACTAAAAATACAAAAATTAGCTGGGTGTGGTGGCACATGCCTGTAATCCCAGCTACCTAGGAGGCTGAGGCAGGAGAATCACTTGGGCCCAGGAGGCGGAAGTTGTGGTGAGCCGAGATTGGGCCATTGCACTCCAGCCTGGGCAACAAGAATGAAACTCCATCTCAGAAAAAAAAAAAAAAAATTAGCTGGGCGTGACAACATGTGCCTGTAGTCCCAGCTACTCGGGAGGCTGGGACAGGAGAATCACTTGAACCCCGGAGGCAGAGGTTGTAGTGAGCCAAGATTGTGGCACTGCACTCCAGCCTGGGAGATACAACAAGATGCTGTCTCCAAAAAAAACAAAGAAAGAAAAAAGAAAATATCTAATATCTAAAATTAATGGATGAAGAGGCAGCAACATATTTGTATTTTTAGGAATATGTAGCTATGAAAAGAAACTACTGAAAAAGCTGAAAGTAGTTGCCTTTGGGTAGCATGACTAAAAGTGGGATCAGGCAGGGCAAAGAACTACTAGCTTTTGTTTTTTTAAATGTTTTTAAAATAATTTTTTGTAGAGATAGTGTCTTATTATGTTGCTCAGACTGGTCTGGAACTCCTGGCCTCAAGCGATCCTCCTGCCTTGGACTCTCAAACTGCTGGGATTACAGGTATGAGCCACCACACCCAGAGAGAATAATTGAGGGGTTTTTTAAAGAGGGTTTAATTTAAGAGAGGGTCTCGCTCTGTCGCCCAAGCAAGAATGCAGTGGCTTGATCGTAGCTCACTGCAACCTTAATCCCTTGACCTTAAGTGATCCTCCCTGCCTTAGCCTCCCAAAGCGCTGAGATTACAAGCATGGACTGCTGTGTCTGGCTTGGTTTTTGTTAAGAGACTTTTTTTTTTTTTTGAGACAAAGTCTTGCACTGTCGCCTGGGCTGCTGTGCAGTGGTGAGATCTCAGCTCACTGTAACCTCCAACCCCTGGGTTCAAGCAGTTCTCCTGTCTCAGCCTCCCAAATAACTGGGATTACAGGCATGTGCCACCATGACCAACTAATTTTATATTTTTAGTAGAGATGGGGTTTCACCGTGTTGGTTAGGATGGTCTCGACCTCCTGACCTCAGGTGATCCACCCACCTCAGCCTCCCAAACTGCTGTGATTACAGGCGTGAGCCACCACGCCCAGCCTTACCTCGTCCTTTCAATGTCCTCACATGGCTGGAGGCAGGGGACGCAGACCCTTACAGGTTGGCAAGATAAATAAAAGTTGGTTCGTCGAAAAGGTAATGATGGATTATCCATTTGCCATGGTTTGAGCCCCTTCTAGATTCAGGCCTGCAAAATGTGGTTAATCAACTGGGCTCCTGACTCACCTGGTGTATCCGGGAGCATGTCGCCTTTGGTAGACCTCTTTTTTAGGTGATGGGCTCCTAGTTTGGCCTGTCTCTCTCCTGTTCACCTTAGAGTTGTGCCTGTAGCAGACACAGAAGGCAAAGAGGAAAAAGCCTTTTTGGTCCAGGGGCTTACACTGAATCCCTCAAACAATGCAAGATGAGCTAATGGTCTTAGAGGTATAATCTAAGTGTGAGAAAAACAAAGGTATAGGGTTTGATGTTAGACTCACCCCAGAGCTCCCAAAGCACAGAATACACCTACAGATATGTGGCTTTGGATGCCTGAGCTTTACATTGAGGTGGAAAAAAAAAATGATGTAAAGGAAATACCAAAGCAAAGACATTTGGGAAAGTCAATGGACGGACATCACCAAAAGCAAAAACAAATGCCTGCTGGGACCAGGCCCCCACAGTCACAGGTTATTTCCCAGTGAATCCCACACTCACAGTTTGCTGGGTCTTGGGGACCGTGACCTTCTGCCCAGGGATCGAGACCTCCTGTCCCGGGACCCTGCTTCCCTGGTGCTCTTCTTGCTGGCATGTCTTGGGGGTGAGTGGGAGGAGCTTCTGGATCTGGAATGGTTCTTCATCCCATGCCCTCTCTTTTGCTCTGCTGTCAGAGGACCCTGAAGACCCTGGTTACGGTCAGAGTTCCGGACCTACATCATTAAGGAAAAGAGAAGTTATTCACATGGAAAATCCAGCTATTCAGGAGAAAACGCGGCCGGGCTCAGTGGCTCACGCCTGTAATCCCAGCACTTTGGGAGGCCGAGGCGGGGGGGATCACCTGAGGTCAGGAGTTCGAGACCAGCCTGGCCAACATGGTGAAACCCTGTCTCTACTGAAAATTAAAAAATTAGCTGGGCGTGGTGGTGGGCACCTGTAATCCCAGCTACTCAGAAGGCTGAGGCAGGAGAATTGCTTGAACTCAGGAGGTGGAGGTTGCAGTGAGCTGAGATCGCACCACTGCACTCCAGCCTGGATGACAGAGCGAGACTCCGTCTCAAAAAAAAAAAAAAAAAAAAGAAAAGGCAGTGAAACAGGAAATGTTACATAAGGAGCTCACTGAGCACACCAATATCATCACATAGAATTATCACAGAGAACTGTATAAACTTAGTTATCTGCAGAATCCCCTAAAAGAATCTCCTTCGGTCAGCCAGGTGCAGTCGCTCACACCTTGAATCCCAACACTTTGGGAGACGGAGGCAGGAGGACTGCCTGAGATCAAGAGTTTGATACCACCCAGAGCAACTAGTGAGACCTTGTCTCTACAAAATATTTAAAAATTAGCTCGGTGTGGCAGCACACGCCTGTAGTCCCAGCTACTCAGGAGGTTGAGGCAGAAGGATCCCTTGAGCCTAAGAGGTCAAGACAGCAGTGAGCCAGGATCACACCACTGCACTCCAGCTTGGATGAGAGAGAAAGACCCTGTCTCAAAAAAAAAAAAAAAAAAGATGGCTGGGTGCTGTGGCTCATGCCTGTAATCCCAGCACTTTGGGAGGCTGAGGCAGGCAGATCACGAGGCCAGGAGATCAAGACCATCCTAGCTAACATGGTGAAACACTGTCTCTACTAAAAATACAAAATAATTAGCTGGGCATGGTGGGCACCTGTAGTCCCAGCTACTTGGGAAGCTGAGGCAGGAGAATGGCATGAACCCAGGAGGCAGAGCTTGCAGTGAGCCGAGATGGCGCCACTGCATTCCAGCCTAGGCGACAGAGTGAGACTCCATCTCAAAAAAAAAAAAAAAAAGAAAAGAAAAGAAAAGAATATACCTGGCTTGGCTGGGTGCAGTGGCTCACGCCTGTAATCCCAGCACTTTGGGAGGCCAAGACGGGCAGATCACAAGGTCGGGAGTTCGAGACCAGCCTGGCCAATATGGTCAAACCCCTCTCTACTAAAAATACAAAAATTAGCCGGGTGTGGTGGTGGGTGCCCGTAGTCCCAGCTGCTCAAGAGGCTGAGACAGGAGAATCACTTGAATGCAGGAGGCAGAGGTTGCAGTGAGCCGAGATCGCACCATTGCACTCCAGCCTGGGCGACAGAGCGAGACTCCCTCTCAAAAAAAAAAAAGAAAGAAAAGAATACACCTGGCTTAGCTCTTCACTATAGGTTAAGGAAGAGCGAGATGCAGAAGCATGGAGGACAGGACCCAAGGTTAAAAATACAGAAATATGAGGCCAGGCATGGTGGCTCACGCCTATAATCCCAGCACTTTGGGAGGCCGAGACAGGCGGATAGCTTGAGGCCAGGAGTTTGAGACCAGCCTGACGAACATGGAGAAACCCTGTCTCTATTAAAAATACAAAAATTAGCCAGGTGTGATGGCAGGTGCCTGTAATCCCAGCTACTCAGGAGGCTGAGGCAGGAGAATCGCTTGAACCCAGGAGGCAGAGGTTGCAGTGAGCTGAGATTGCACCATTGCACTCCAGCCTGGTTGACATGGAGAAACCCTGTCTCTACTAAAAATACAAAATTAGCCGGGCATGGTGGTGCATGCCTGTAATCCCAGCTACTCGGGAGGCTGAGGCAGGAGAATTGCTTGAACCCAGGAGGTCGAGGTTGTGGTGAGCTGAGATCGCGCCATTGCACTCTAACCTGGGCAACAAGAGCAAAACTCCACCTCAAAAAAAAAAAAAAAAAATACAGAAATACAGAAGTCAAGCCAGGTGCCTTGAACTTGTACTTCCAGCTACTCAGAAGATTGCTTAAGCTCAGGAGTTCGAGACCAGCCTAGGCAAAATAATGATGCACTGCTACTCAAAAAAAAAAAAAAAGAACCCAGCAGATTTATGTTTGTCAAAAATCATCAACCTACACACTTAGGCCAGGCACGGTGGCTCACACCTGTAATCCCAGCACTTTGGGAGGCCGAGGCGGAGGGATCACCTGAGGTCAGGAGTTCAAGACCATCCTGGCCAACATGACGAAACCCTGTCTCTACTAAAAATACAAAAATTAGTCGGGCGTGGTGGTGGGCGCCTGTAATCCCAGCTACTCGGGAGGCTAAAGCAGGAGAATAGCTTGAACCCGGAAGGCAGAGGTTGCAGTGAGCCGAGATCGCGCCACTGCACTCCAGCCTGGGTGACAAGCGAGACTCCGTCTCAAAAAAAAAAAAAAACAAAAAAACCTATACACTTAAAATGTGTGCATTTCATGTAAATTATTTGTAGAGGGATGGGTAGAATGTCTCAATGCCCCATTGGTGGTTTAGTCTCTCTGCTCAGAGGGTCATCAGCCACAAGAAGGTGCTCAGCGATAAGAATGGGCCTGTTTCCCAGCAGCCCAGGCTTCACTGCCCACCTCCCTGCTATCCACATTGTCCAAGTGGCACATCCCACAGTCCCACAGTCACTCCTTTCAAGAAGCCCACATCCCTACCTGTAAGCCATATCCAGGGACTTTGGACAAAACAGGGGAGGAATTTGCCATCTTCTTCTGTGATCTAAGAGATCAAAATACACACACTCATTGAAAAAGAAAATATATATAGGTCCAATTTAAATATCTTATGCTGAACTATGCTTCTTGCCTCCAATGTGACCTTTCCGCCTCCCAGCAGTTACCTGGCAGTACGTTTCTCTATTTGGACTGTCTATGCCGAAAAATGCATCAGCACAATCAAATTTTCCTGTGAAAAACTGTGGGCCTCGCTTCTAAGCCCCAACGCCTGAACACCTTCTCCTCTCACTTCATGCTGCTATTCCAGGGACAAATAGTGACTCAGCAGCGGCGGAGCTGACTGCTTCCACAGGAAGACATGCAAAATGGGCCCACATCAGCCATCAGTCCATTAAAAAAAGCCTATATAAAGCCCACTTCAGTCTTGAAGGAATCCTAAGCTGAGATGAAACAGAGTCACCCCCAGGATGTCTGACCTACCTAAGACCTACTAGGCTAAAGTCAGCATTATTAAGGGTCTCTCTCCAGCAGCATGGCCAAGATACCCACTCACATTTAGCATCTCCAAGGAACTCTAGCATTAGATGGCAAGCTCTGTGGGCACTGGGCCCATGTTCAAGTGTTCATCACTGAATGCCCAGTACCTGGCAGCTTCCAGCACAGGGCAGGTGTTCATGTCTGTGGAATGAATGAGTGAATGAGCAAGTGAATCAACGAGAAGGGAGGCCAGTCGCCACATGCTCACCTCCCTGCACTGTGCTCATCCTCGCTGCTGGAACGATCACTACTCGAGCTTCTGTGCTTATGTTTCTTGTGCTTCTTTTTCTTCTCCTTCTTTTTCTTCTTCTCCTTTTTTTCCAGACTCATTTGCAACTGGAAAATGCCGAGAACACAAGCACACAAGATTACTGAGACCAGCCAGCGCAGTGGCTCATGCCTGTAATCCCAGCACTTTGGGAGGCTGAGTGGAGCAGATCATCACTTGAGGTCCGGAGTTCGAGACCAGCCTGGCCAACATGGCAAAACCCCATCTCTACTAAAAATACAAAAATCAGCTGGGTGTGGTGGTGGGCACCTGTAATACCAGCTACTTGAGAGGTGAGGTACAAGAATCACCTGAACCAGGAGGCAGAGGTTGCAGTGGGCCGAGATTGTGCCACTGCACTTCAGCCTGGGTGACAGAGTGAAACTGTGTCTCAAAAAAAAAAAAAAAAAAAAAGATTACTGGCTGGGCATGGTGGCTCACGCCTGTAATCTC